>NC_000004.12:141421381-142046381 GCF_000001405.40 Homo sapiens | reverse complement strand
TCTGGGCCAGCACTTACTTCTGGTGCTCTCATCACTCACTGTCTTCGATTGTAGTTGATTTTAGTTTTAACAAAGGTCTAAAGCATCGTATATGCTCAACAAATATTGTTCCTAAAATTCAATTGGCATTCCAGGTCATCTTGTCAAACTTGTTCCTTAGCTTATAATAAAACTTTAAGTTGCTATAAATAACACTTTTTCTTATTATGCAATAGTTATGACTAGAGCCCAGATCTGGAAAGGTAGGGGAGCAGAGTAGTTTGGCCCTTCTCAAAGTTTGTTTTGTAGAATATTGGTTTACACATTTTTTTATTACCAATAAAAAAAGTTGCAGGGTGAAGTGTTGAAAATGCTCCTTCTTTTGCTCACCCCCTCAAAAAAGGCTTTCCCAGATCAATTTATTGAAAAAAAGTCCTCACCGCTCGCTGCTTTCAAGCCCTTTGCACTCATATTTTTCCTCAGGGCTTATTACCTAAAATAAAATGTATATTTGTTTGCTTACGGTCTGCCTTTTTGACTAGAATATAAGTTTCATGAAAATAGGAAATTTATCTCCTTTACTTTTGTATCCAGGTTACTTAAAAGCCTAGCACAATGCAGATGCTTAATTAATATCTCTTGACTAAAAAAGTAAATTAGAAATTCTGTATGAGTTTTCTAACCCAGCATTTCCCAACTTATTTAATTACACACATTTTGGGAAATATTCCATGAAGCTGTATTCCCTATTCTTAGATGAGCTGAGAGGTAAAGGTCAAAAATGGAAAGAGATTAATAAAGATTCACAGCCAAGTCTCTGTAACTTACAGTGGGACAGTACCAATTTTAAAAAAGAAAAATGCTCAATATTAGAAAAACAAGAGGAAGTAGCCATCTGGAAACTAGATGGACCTCTTTATTAACTCTAAGTAGATACTGAAGTTCTGGAAAGCCACTTGTAAGGCTTTCCCAATGACCATAATCAGAAATAGTATGTTGGATACAAAATCTAGTTCCCGGTAATTAAAAATTTTAGTTATTAGAAATTAAAAGGCCAGTACAAAGGCATTGTGGCATAATCGTTTTGACAGTCACTGGTGTTAATAAAATGTTCCTAATTAGTAGCGTTGTGTTTGTTTGTGTATATGTTCATTGGAAGGCTTTAAACCAAATTACCATGTGAAGAAGGGATCAGTTCAGGAGATGTATACACTGCATTAACATTTATATAGGTATGTACATTCTTGAGATTTTCATAACATTGGGCTTTAAAATTATATGCAAAGATGCTACTTCAAACACACTTAGCAGCACAGGTGTTCTAATATATTTTGACATTAATTGTTAGGTGCTCAGAAATTCAATTTTGGCTGTATTTTCTTACTAAAGGGCTGAGAATATATTGCAAAAATTTCTGATTGTGTCACAAAATGGAAAAGTGAATTTTCTAACTGGGTTACTTTCCTACGTTCCCTGCATCCTGTTCCTAAACACCTTTCTCTTCAGTTTCATGTTCAGATGAATGAGAGAATGCTTTGTGGTTGTGGACTCTGACTAAGGACTTTTTGATAATCAGTGAAACTTATCTATTGTATGGCTAATATCTAACCCTGAAATAACTTTTGTTCTCCTGAGAAACAACGACAAAAAGATGATGAAATATTCCATATTATTCTTGGATCTTCCCTACTTACCCCTTTCTCTGTGCCTCCAAGCATCCTCATTTCATATATCTTAAAACGGTTCCATCAATCCTATTGGCTGGGTGAGGTTCTGTGTGTTTTTTTTTCTTTCACTATCAGTGCTCTGAACACAGTAGTTTCCATAGGATAGAATGCTGCCTTCCATTTCTTCATTCATCAGCTGCTTGTAACCTAATCCCTGTTCCTAAAATTCGACTGAAAGTCACAGGCTACAAATCACAAAATCATGGAATCTGGTGACCTCGTTTCCTTTGTAGCCTCCTTGCTCCAACTGCAGCATTTGACACATACTTACTTACACAGTAAGTCTTTGAATCTGTGACTGTTTTCTATGTCACTCCTTACTATCTGCCTTCTTCTCTAGCCATACAAATGTAAGCATTCCCCCAGTTTTGCCCTCCACCCTTGTCTGTGTGATGTATTCTCTACGTGGATGATTCCATCTAATTAATCTACTTCTTGCATGAAATATAAGGAATAGATCCATGGCATAGATCCTCTCCAAACCTCCCTTTTTATTATCTATATCTAACTAACGTCATACATCAAACTTAGCATGTTTAAATATAATGTATTTTTTCTAAAACCTGAAAATAACTTTTTAAATTTTTTCTTTCTGATCTTCTATCTAAAATCTTAATTGTCTTCTACTTTTAAATTACTTCTGTTTTAGAATCTGTATCTTCCTAGTCTTTCCTCTTCATTCTCCAGTTCAAGCTCTCACTATTTCTTGCCTTTACTATTGTAGTAGCCTACTAATTGGTCTCCATGTCCCTAGTTTATTCAACTCTTGTCCCTCAGTCCTGGCTCAAGCCACCCTACTTATTCATGCTAGGTGCCATCCTACAACACAGCTAATCCCAACACTTTGCTGCTCATAAGTCTTCAGTGTTTGCCCACCCTACATCTAGAGAATGATGTCTGTGTTTGTCATCAACCACAAACATTTACAACATAGCCTCATCTCATTTTACTGAATTTCTTACAGCAAATGTTTATTTTAGAAAATGTATAAAATAGATAAGAAACAGAAAATATCCTAGCATTTAATTTTCCTTTCATTTTTTTTTTGCCTCCTCATCATTATGACCAAAGCTAGCTGTGAATCATTCCCAAATACATCTGCCATTCTTCTTTCCATGGCTTTCCATGTTATTTATACCCCTCTATCTCACCTAATTTCTAATCCTTGAAACCCTATCCGGCCTTCACTATACATCACAACATTCTGTTTCTCTAAGAAAACTTCCCTGGTATTTGAATCTTTGTAGAAGAAATGAATGATGATATATATAAAGCATTTTGAGCTGTACCTTGGAAGTTATTCCTCTCTGGTATATTTTATATTTTGCCTTTTTCATAGTCAGGTAACTGCTGTTGTTTTAAGCCATGTACATGTTATTCCAAAACTAAACCTTAAGATTCTTAAATGTATCTTATTCTCTTTCCTATGATTTGCATCATTTCCAGGAGCTGATAACATAAATTGTAGCATCATGATGTTTGCATGGTAGAGTGGAATTAAAGAGAAAAGTTAGTTAGGAAATAGAAGTGGGAAAAGAATAAAGATGGAGGAAAGAGAGAGACCCTATCCTTTTGGGGAGATGATGAATCCTCTAATACTTCCAAGGACAAAAACTTCAAATTGATTCTTTTGGAAGGTCTGACTTAAAAGAGTGAGTAGAGGTTAGTATTTGAGAATATACAACACTGGTAATGGTGGTGTTTGATGTTGAGCCAGTTCATAGTTCGCTCCATCCATTTCAGATGCAGCAAAAAAGAACAGAAGCAAGATTCTATCACTGGGAAAAGTTGGTAGCATTCAACCCTAATAGAATCGTCTGGGCGCGGTGGCTCATGCCTGTAATCCCAGCACTTTGGGAGGCCGAGGTGGGCGAATCACAAGGTCAGGAGTTTAAGACCAGCTTGACCAACATGGTAAAACCTCATCTCTACTAAAAATATAAAAATTAGCCAGTCATGAGGGCGCGTGCCTGTAATTCCAGCTACTCAGGAGGCTGAGGCAGGAGAATCGCTTGAACCCGGGAGGCGGAGGTTGCAGTGAGCTGAGATCGCATCACTGCACTCCAGCCTGGGCGACGGAGTGAGACTCTGTCTAAAAATAAATAAATAAATAAATACATACATACATACATACATACATACATACATACATACATACACACACACATAAATTGGCAGTGGAAAAGGGGGTTGAAAAACTTGAGAAACAAGTTTAAAAACAAGAGATTGTACAGAAAGAGGCTGTAGATAAACTTCCTCCTTGAGATTCAAGAGCTTCAATCTCTTGGTGATGAGCAGATGAAAAGATTTCCACTTTCCTGCAGTTGGATAAGCACCACTGCTTTTTTGACAAGCTTGGCTCCCTGTGCATAGCTAGGATACAGCTGAATTTTGATTCCATGGAAGCTCTTCGGGAAGTATTTTTACTATGCCACTAGCATTGTGCATTGGTTGCTTTGCTATGTGTCTAAATGGATATATTAGGAGTTAGTGAAACTTAATAGAGGGGCAAGCATGGTAAAAGACAGGAAAACAGCTTCTGACAGTAGGAGAACAAGTGACGGTAGATGACAGGCAGTAGTGGAGATCTTGCTGAATGGTCTGACTTGCTGATGGATGGCTATGGAGTATAGAGAATACAAAAGCATCAAGGAGGACTGAGGTGTTTAATACAGATGTCTGAAAGTGGGTGAGTGTCATTTCCTGTGATAGAAAGAAAGGGAAGAGCTGATCTGAGGTGGCAGCAGAGTAAGCAGGACTTAAATTATGTTTTAGCCTTGTTACCTAACATGTCTGTTAGACAGCTAAGTGGAGATGCAGTACATGTGTCTGTAATGCAGCATCAAATGACATTAAAGTCTGGAACTGTTTGTTTGAACTAAATAAAATATATGTAAAACAAAGGATGCTGTGCTGAATCCTGAGGCATTTCAATATTAGAGAAAAAAGAGCCAGAACTGAGCAATGGCAAGGTACTCACTGTCTATGTAAGAACTGAGATTTGGCACAGGAAGAGAAACAAAAGGGATATTATTATTAGTAGTAGTAGTATTATTTGAGATGGAGTTTTGCTCTTGTTGCCCAGGCTGGAGTGCAATGACCTGATCTCGGCTCACTGCAACCTCCGCCTCCCAGGTTCAAGTGATTCTCTTGCCTCAGCCTCCTGAGTAGCTGTGATTACAGGTGCCCGCCACCAAGCCCAGCTAATTTTTGTATTTTTAGTAGAGGCGGGGTTTCACCAGGTTGGTCAGGCTGGTCTCAAACTCCTGACCTCAGGTGATCTGCCCACCTCAGCCTCCCAAAGTGCTGGGATTACAGGCATAAGCCACCGTACCTGGCAAAAGGGATATTAAATTTTTTATTTATTTATTTTTACTATTGAGCACGTTCTGAGTACCTTTACATAATTCTCACAATAATCCTATGGTATGGATGTTAACCTTCTCATTTTAAGGGGAAGAACTTCAGACTTAATGGAGTTAGATAATAGGGAGATGAGCTAATTTTTTTTCGTGTTACTCATATCCTAATTTTTTTATTATTGATTTCTGCTAAATTTCCCAGGCTACTTTCAGAACTTAGGCTATAATCTAAGGTACATGTGGACTTTTATTTTTATTTGGGAGCTAAGAGCAGCCCTGGAGTCAGACTGCCTTCTCAGCTAGGTTTCTTGCTTCACAAGGGAAGCCAGGTGTCGTGATGAATTTACCTCCTATTCTCTGACTAGTGCTTATCAAGAATAGAATCAGAAGGCTTAGACAGTAATTTTACGTGTTAATGTCCTCTTAACTGGGAATTAAAGTTATCCCAGACTCCAGGAGAATGACAAACTAGAGCAGTGAAACATGATTGTTCACATTTTAAAGTACCTTAGCAACAAACACACCTACAGAATGTTTAAGACACTAGTCTCCTTCCTTTTATCTGACTGTTATTTTCAAGCAATTAAAACTAAGTCATCTTGTTAGAGTTTCTGTACAGAGAAAAGCATAATTACATGGTATTGGAACCAGAAAACGAGTTCTAGATCTATATCTATTTACCTATTTCTTTGTAGAAATCCCCTATTTATCTTTCTACTAACTAAGATATGTCAGATATGTATTTTTGTTGTTTCATTTCTTTCAAAAATTTTTCTTTCAACAAGCTTCATTGCATATTTCAGCTCCTATCTAGCAAAGTGGGTGGAAAGTCAATCTCTATTATTTTACGCTCTCCTCCAGCCACAAGTCTTCCCTTGCACTGAGCTTTGAGACTTTTCTGTATCAGTCATTAGCCACTGATGTGCCCATTTCCTATACATTACGGTACTATCACACCTTTTCATTTCACTTTATCCAAGCCTAACTCAATACAGGAGAATCTTTGGGGAAGCTGACTAACGACCAAGGGTCAGCCATGCATCCTGCAGCATCCCCTGCTATTGGGCTCCCTCACCAGGCAAGTGAACAACGAACAAGGCTTCACCCTCCTGGACAAACACTGCCCCTTGTCTTCTCTCCTGTCACTGCTGTATCTGTGTTTGTCTCTCCCTCTCCTTCCTCCCTCCTCTTCTTCCCCCACTTCTCCCTTCTTTTTCTTTTCTGTTTCTCTTTCTCTCTCTACCCTAAAAGATCCTTTTATTCTGTATTACCCCCCCAACCCGCAATGGAAACTTCAAATTTTCTGTCATGAATAAAGGATAAATTAATTTAGTTCAGGCAGCTATTGCTTCCAGTACTGCTAAAATTCCCTTGGGCACACATTTTAAACAATAGCCTAAAAAAGTAAGAAGAAAAAAAAACAGCAAAATAAAAATTGATATATCAAAAATTTTCCATCTTACATATATTTAAATACAGTGATCATATCACATATTAGCATTCTTTTATGCAAACAAAACTAACCTTAAACACTTCACAAGATTTTTTTTTCTTGGTCCTTTAATCATTTGTGATATTTCTCTGTAGACTTGATCCAAATATTTTCCTTTCTAAAATTCAAAGATCAAAACTGGAATCAGTTATTTGAAATGATTTAATGGAAGCAATTATACTCTCAACTCATTATGTCTCTCTTTCATTTTTCCTTTTTTTTTTAATAAAGCACTTTTTAAAATTTCATACCAGGCCACTTTCCTAACTGTTCTTGAGTTATAATTCTGGCCATAGGTACTTCCGAAATTTCTCTTCAAAGCAATGTTTAGACATCCTCTGAAATTATTATTACTTAGTACCTGGCTTCTTCTGATGAGAGGATATTCCTATTTTCTCGGAATTTTATAAAACAAAAACATTGAACTGGAACAAAAGGTATAAAAAGTGATAGTGAAAAATTAATACATTTAAATATATTCATGTAGTTTTGTTTTTATTTTCAATATTGAAGTTGAAAATAGATAAGACTGAGCATGAACAATTTTAGAGACCAAATACAATTTCAGCATGCTTTGTATTCTTCCAATTTGCCCCCAACTCCACTATTTCTTATTGAACAGTCAAGTATTCTATTAGTAGAAAAAATATGCATCTCTGGAGTACTGCAGTTATGTTTTCATAGGATCAAAGAATCACAGGAAAGTAAAGATGAAAGTAATTTTAGAGGTCACTGAATCTAATCTTACAACTGGCAGGAAACCACATCTCCCTGCTTCTGAGAGGTAGCAGAAAACCTGTGCTTAAGGGATCTCAATCATGAAGTGAAAGGAATATGGTTTTTTCATTAGACAGACAGGGATAAAAGCCCTGATCTGCTACTCAATCAAATTTTGAAACCATTTTGAGCTTATACAAAAACTAATACCAACCAGTACGACTGCTTGCAGTATATGAAAAAAAATATCTAAAAAGACGTCGTATTGCATGATAGGACATGATACATAGGCGATCTCTCCCTACTTCACACACTTGCGCTCCTTTCCAAGGCAGCCTACGCCTTACACTACATAGCATTTGATTATTTGAAATCAACAACCACTTAATCATAAATTTTCCTCTTCTCCAGTGCAATGGATTTTTCTTATTCTCAATGTCTTCAGTCTTTCCTGATCTGCCAGGTTTCCCAAACCCCACTATCATTACCTTTGTTACCATGCTCTGGTATCCTCTAGTTTACAGGAACCCTTCCCTTAGAATACCATGTCAAGAAAAGTACACATGTGGGTAGAACTCACAACTCCCATGAGTGGGCATTTTGCTTAATGTTGCCCAAGATTGCTCTTTCTTTTGTAGCAAACTTGTCCATAATCATTAGAAACAGTCTATGATGTTCAAAGCAGTGACACTGGCTTATGTCTTTTGAGTAATTTCCTGATTTAGGGGCTTTTCCTGTGATTAACATAATATATTCTAAATTATATTCTGAAATACAGTTAGAAGAGAAGACAGTTTAAATGGGGCTGGGGATCCTATGACCACATAGGCTATGCTTACATTTAGGCCAATGGGAATTATCTCACTCATGATATTCCCTTATTAAAATTTTCACAACATTTAAATAGTTGCAGTTTTTGAAAAGTCCTGAAACTCGACTTTTAATATTCTAATTATAAATGTAATCTTTGGAAAGTTTAGGTAAAATAACAAATTATCTAGAGTATTTCGAGTTATTTAACTTCCTGGACATTGATCTAAACTGAAAATGAAAATCCTTCTCCATTTCCTATCAGACTATGATATAAGCAAACTGTGAATTAGGGAAACTGTGTTCTCAAGATTCTTTACTATTTGTTACTATGGAAACTTAAGATTTTTAAATTTATTTCCTCATCTAGAAAAGGTGTACGTTCAACTTGAATACTTTTTAAAGCCATTTTTACATCTGAGAATCTATGATCCTGTGATTTCTTGTGCCACACTCACAGCTCTTATTGATACCAGATTCATTATATCCATTTTTACACAGATCTGCAGGATTTAAATCTGATACAATTCAACAGTCTAGGGCCTGAAACGTGGTACTCTATTAATATTGATCCATCAGATGAATGTTGAGTCAAATAAAGCTCTGCAAGATATTGGCTCTAAAATCCTGGCTCGTAATTTCAGGATGGTATACCCATAGCTTCAAACTTGAAGCATGTAATTAAATGTGAAATGTTCTCATTTTATCATGGGAGGAAATCAGGTTGGTGGTCAGAAGGAAAGATTTTTCAATTCAGTTTTAATTGGTAATTTTCCTTTGGGAAGCTTGAATAGCTATAGTCAAAGGAATAAGATATCAAATAGCAAACCTATTAATGAATAACTACCCAGCAGGAGAAGATAGGAAGACTGACTTTTATTTTTAGAAGTCAGAGTGATTTGAGAGAGTATCTGTGATGGGTGTGACTTGTGATCTAGGATACAGCATAGATACTTGCAGAAAAGAAAGTGAAATAAGCAAATGTCATCAAATCATGCACGTTGGATTATATTTACGGATATATCTCCTCATGTAGGCAGTGATGTGTTTAAAAGTGAGACATGTCTTTTAACTTGTTTCTATTTTAAGTGACTGCTTTGACGGGTCTTAAATAAATAAATAAAAAAGATCATTTTCTATCCTGCAGATTTAACAACTGCCCTTAAGTGTCTGATCTTGTCACATTTTCAGTGGAAACAACATTGTGATTTGCTTCCACGGTGATGGCCAAAACTAATGACATTGGAATGCCAGAGTACCTTGCAAGCTACTGATTAATTATTTGTCATAATCTCCTAGTGAGGAAGTTACTAATGTTATTACTTAAAACATCCCTTGCATTTTGCACTTGCAGGGCACTTACAGATTCATTGGTGGCCATGAAGAAATGACCATTTGTACTATTCTTAGTAGGAAGCAGTCCCAAAGTCACCTGTGTCTACTCTGATACAGTCATGGGGCTCAAGCTTTAGGATCTGAAGCAGCCTCCTAGGCCATGTTGCTTTAAATTCCAGCTGAATATAAGATGATTACATGTGAGACATCTTTAATATGTTATTCTGATTTCCAGAGATGGAAGTTAACAACAAATTAATTCCGTTGTAAAACTGCCCCTCTACAACAAAAACAAAAACCTTTTAATTTAGTGATTTTTCACTTGGAGGACATATACAACATGCAGACTGGAAAATTTTAAGTATTCCTTGGCAGTTGTAGAAAATAAAGCCATCTGGCATAAATTATTCCCCTATATTTGGAATAAGGACCATTCTAAGATATTTTCAAATTACTTTTCAGACTTTTGAATGCTCTACTCCTCAGCCAGGAGGAATATCTGTAGGGTGGCTCCACTGAGAAAGTGTATTTCTCTACTATTATGTTGATAAATTGTGGCCAATATGTTAAGCTAAATTTATAATCAGCATATAATATTTATACTATGATGATTGATTGATTGGTTGACAGATGATTCTATACTTTTTTCCTAACAGGAGACATTGAAAAGGAATCAAGATTTCAATAAAGTTATTAAGATTTTCTGCAGATAACCTTCACCTTAAAACTAGACAGATTAGGAGGTAGTGCTAGGATAATATTAACGATAATAGCAACCACAATACACAGGAAAAGAAAACCAAATACCCCACATTTTCAATTATAAGTGGGAGCTAAACATTTAGCACCCACGGACATAAACATGGGAACAATAGACACTGCACACTATTAGAGGGGAGAGGGAAGGAGGGGAGGGTGGTTGAAAATCTACCTTTTGGGTACTAAGCTCACTGTCCATGTACAATATACCCAAATAGCAAACCTACTCATGTATGCCCCTGTATCTAAAATGAAAGTTGAAAGATTTTAAAAAAAAGAACTATATCTTGCCTCCTCCTGCCCCTCTCCCTACCTACCCAACACATGCCTGCATGCATGTTCTATGACTGAGCCCCCTCTACAGCTGGCTGTGGGTGGAATGAACTTCTTTGAAAAGCATTTTCTCCTCATTGCCAGAATTATTCAAGCATGAGATAGACCAGTTATTTTCAACTATTCTTTGCAACCAGACCACAGCATGATTGATTTGGTATAATTCAAATTGCTGTGACATAATTATGACTATTGTTTACCCAAATATAGTCTGGGGTGGTACATAAATACTTTCTTCTGCAGAGACATAAACAATTGCTGCTGGTAAGATCAAGCTGCATGTCCTGGCCCTCTGCTCCTCCACCCACCTCCTGGTACATCCACTTTTGAACACCAGTGGGCTAGGTTAGTGGCTTGCAACTTGGTTTGATTATACATCTCTACCAGTTAAAAAGGTTCTAGGTGAATAGTATCTTTATCTAGTTAAAAAGATTCTAGAGAAATACATTTTAAAAGGTGCCAACGTAGGTGCACAAAATATCTCGGCTCACAGCATCTGTCCTATCCAACCCACCTCTGGGACTTTGCAAGCCAGCTCTTTTTGTGCACCTACGTTGGGACGATCTCATTCATCCTAACCTCACTTTCCAAGAAGGGAAATGGAGGCTTGAAGAGACAAATCAAATCTCTCAAGCAGGCAGAACTAAGAGGCCAGGTAGAATCTGAAGGCAGACTTTTGGCCTCCAGATCCCTCGTATTTAGCCAAGTGGGGATGCTGGCCTGCCTCCTCGTGCTGATGTGAGCCTCAGACAAATCCTCCTGTGCCAGGCTTGATGCCAAGTGCTTCTAAGAGGTAGGAAGATGAGCGAGACAGGGAGACACAGACACAGACCTGGAGGGCTTCCTGGAAGCAGTGGTACTTGATGGATGCAAGAAGTGAGGAGGGCAAACTAGTCAGAGATGGTATATGTGTGTGTGTGTGTTCCAGGTGATAGAATTGGTACACACAGGGATGAGGGTGCCCCAGCCAGGAGGGTTTAACTTCATCAGCAGGCCTAGAAAAGCCATGGAAACTTCCAGCAGGAAACTGATGCTACTGGAGCCATACTTTAGAAAGGACAGGAGAAGTTAGTTATGAGTAACAAGGGTAAGAATGAGCATGACTGGAGTGGCTAGGAGGAGGTGCCTGGTGCTCTGAGCAGAGGACATCATAAAACAAATATATGGTTTCCTGACCATATATGGTCTGGATACAAGGGAAGGGGTCCGGTGTGACTCTTGATGTGTATGAAGGTAGACTAGCAGGGATAGAGGAAGGGTGGCAGTGGTGAGCCTGGCTGTGCAGGCTGTGATCAGTCAGGCTGTGGGGAACTGAGGGCTGGAAGGGAGTTGGGCATTGTTTATGGGGGTTGCGTGAGTAATAGAATTCCTGATGGAGACAGGAGATGTGGAAAGAGAGAGGTAAGAGGGGATCGCGGGGGCAGAGCAAAGTATGAAATACAAAGAGCCAGGGCCCAGCCTCTCTGCTATGCCAGCAGTGACATTCGGGCTGGGTGATTGTGGCAGGGACTGTCCTATGCATTGCAGGATGTTGAGCAACATCCCTGGGCCCCACCTGCTAAGATGCCAGTAGCAGTACCCCCACTCCTATAGTTATGACAACCAACAATCCTTCCAGATATTGCCCAATGTCCCTGGGTAACATCACTTGGTTGTAAACTACTGCCTTAAAGATAAATGATAAGAAGGTTAGATAGATAGGTTATAGTTGATATATTTATATGTACATATAGAGAGAGTCTCATGCTAAAGCAGGGTCTCTCAGTCTCAGCACTGTCAATATTCGGAGCTGAATGTTTACCATGGACTGTACAGTAACCAAACTATTGACTTTATTCCCTGAAATGTTAGCTGATTGGCCTGATAAGTAGAGTATCAGTACTCAATAAGAATGAAGTAGAGGCCAGGCACAGTGGCTCATGCCTGTAATCCCAGCACTATGGGAGGCTAAAGCAGGAGGATTGCTTGAGCCTAGGAGTTCGAGAAAAGCCTGGGCAACATGGTGAAACCCCATCTCTATTAAAAAAACACAAAAATTAGCTGCGCATGTTGGTGCACACTTACAGTCCCAGCTACTTGGGAGGCTGAGATGGGAGGCTCACTTGAGCTCGAGAGATAGAAGCTGCAGTAGGCCATGATCACGCCACTGTACTCCAACCTGGGTGACAGAGAACCTGTCTCAAAAAAAAAAAAAAAAAATGAAATGGAGAACTTACTTAGGAGATAAAAAGAAGCTGAAGGCATGCTCTTTCTTGAAAATCTATCAGACCTGGAGGGAAAACCATGTATGAAAGTGACCCAAAGGAAGTTGAGAAATGCACAGAATGACCTCTAGAGGTTCCTTTCAGCACTAATGATCAGTGAAGGAGACTTACAGACCCTGATGAACTGACCCCAACCAGGCATTGGCTTGCTGCTTTTTTCCCCTACATTGGCCAGTGCTGTCACAACACTCACTACAGCAACTCCTTCCAACCCTGCCTTGACCTCAGCCTCTGCTGCTGGAAATGACCACTGGCCCATGGTCCAGAGGGTGTGGCTGGCACAGTGGAGGGGGAATGTGCCTGACTTGTATATAAAGGCAGCACAGTGGCTGGGCAAGACACACATTGTGGACAGAACCAAGTTTATGGACCAGCCTTCCCTGTGAAATTTGACTTTTCCCTCTTTGCTGAATTGGTCAGGTTAACAATGGTTACCCCTGGATTACAGGAAGGGCATGTGCTAAAAGCCTCCTTGGAGACCCACATGGCCCTCAGATGAGCAATTGTTCAGATTCCTTTTCTTTTTCTTTTCCATGGGAATAAGCTTTCCTCTCTCCAAAGTACATGTTTTAGGCTTTTTTATTTTCTTGCTACTCCCAAGGACCTGGTGATATTTTTCTTTACCATGCATTAAACAGAATCTGTGAGTCTTTTCTGGAAAAAAAAAAGGCAGGAGGGAACATACTAATTAAAAAGTTTCTGGGTACACTACCAAGATGTACCTATTTATTGATATACAAATGGCATAAGTTATTGAATGCTTGCTATAGGCATTCTCTAAGAACTTTGTAAGAATTGACTTACATGAGCTACTTCATAGCAGTTCGATGATATACATGTTGTTATTATCACCACTTTACAGATAAGGAAATAGAGACAGACATACTGAATGACATGCTCAACGCCACTCCACTAGCAAGTGGCAGAACCAAGCTTGAAACAGCTGGTCTGACTCCGGAGTCTGTGCTCTGATCTATATCACAGCTATTTCTATATGTGCTATTCTACTAATATATATTTTTTGAAATACATGAAAAAGTAATTTTAATAGAATGAGATACATATTGGCAATATTGAAGTTCTCATACTTTTGTCCTCTGCTCCAATGAGCCATCTAGAACCACCTCAGATCTATGTGCCCTCCTTCCAAGATCATCTTGGGGGGTTCTTATAGGGGAAATTCAAACTGCTACCCTCAGGGGTCTTAGTGTCCTTGTCTCTATTTGGATTCTGTAATGGAAATGGGGTCCATAACTGTAGAGTCTCTCCTCCAGTTTGGTCTGCCATCCACTAGTTCAGGTCACTTCCCTCCCTACCTCTCTGCTGCCCCTGGTAGCCTGGGCTTTCCCACTGAGACCCAGCCAGGCAGAAAACACCCTCTCAGTATTCCTTCATGCCCCTTTGTCCTCCAGCCTAAACTTTCCAGTCCCCTTATATCAGGAAGTTACTAGGTAATGCACTAGCTCAATGAAAAAATTAATTTGAACATCCACATCTTTCTTTCCCTTTCTATCTTCAATCTGTGATAACGTTACCTTCTTGTGAGAACTTCTCTAACTTTCCTATTTAAAATTCTCTCTGTCTCTGTCTCACACACATATGAATCTTTTCCTGCCTTACTTTTCTTCATGGTGCTTTTATCAGATGTTATTATTTTTCTATTCCTGCTCGTCCAACTCAAAAATAAACATTGTTGAAATCTCTATCTGATGTATCCAACCTTGTATTCCCAGTGCCTACACAGCAGCAATTGGTTCATAGTAGACACTAAAAACTTTGGGTTGAAGAAATGAATAAACTCCTTCTCTGGGATTAACAATTAGGGATTTGAAGCCAATAGAAGAAATAATATAATGTAAGGGGAGCTTTTCTTAGTCACTTTAAAAAATATCAATGCCTAAAATACTGTACATTTTCTACCTGGTGTGCTGGAAAAAGTTGAATAGTAACCAAGTTACTCATACAATTGACAATAGGAATAAATGCAAATCAAAAATAAACCCCCTTTTGCTCAGTAAACCATTTGTTTTCCAGGCAGTCTTTTACTTTGTCACTGATTGCATAGTCCTTAGGTTCTACCAAACCATGAGGATATAACAGAGCACAGCACAACATGGTTGATTTGGTGTTTTACACTAATTCATATTGTATGAAATAATTATGATATTTATGTAAATGCTGACACTGGTGTGGTCAATGCCTGGTCAAAAATTTCTGTATAGGACTTGTTTGGGGATTGCGAAGGACTAGAAATCAGCCATGGCTAAGGAGCTTCGTTAGAAGTTTCCTTTGAAAAGTTCCACTTTTCATAAGACTGAGCCACAATCAGTTTTTTGCCTGAAAACATAGAAGAGCTAATAGAGAATATCCCACCCCCTTAACCACTGAATGTGATTGAGATTCTTAATACTCTGAATACTGATGAACTAGAGCATAATTATTTTATTTTCAATTTATATCAATATGGTATATTTCAGACTGGCCATAATTGGAGCTGCTTTTAAGCAGAATTATAAACCAACCCCCTACTTTTTTTTATTTACACAGAAAGTAAACAATCTAGAAATGAAGTCTTTTATTTTCTGTGGTATCACTCTGTAAATATGGGTCTCTTTTCAGATGAGATGTCCATAGGAGATAGATTTGGCCCTATCTAAAGAAGATGAGCAGGAGGTGATATAATTTATGAGCTGAACTAACAGAAGGGTGCTGAGTTGGATTTTATTAAACTAATATTATGGCTTGCAAGGATGGCATGTCAGATGTCTCACTCATTTTAAAGATTGTGCCATTTCAATAAATCATTTTTATAACTTTAAATACATTATATAGGTGCAATGCCAGTAGAGAGTATGTTTAAATATGCCAGACACATTGGTTTGCTTCACTACATCCTGTGTTGTTCATTTCATTTTCTAAAGATGTAGTTATCAGATTATTTTCATGAGCTAATCCATGTTTTAGTTGTATTCATAAAGTCTTGATTTGGTGCTGTTATGCTTATTTGATTCTTCCTTGCACATATGTAATCAACCCATGTGAATATCATTACAGTGTTTCTCTCTTCCTTCTTGCACAAAGAGCTAAAGGAATCTCCTGTTTTAATTCCTTTGCCCATGTAGTACAATGAGAAAACAATACACAAGATGCATTTGGGGAAATTTACCATAAGATTTCATCTGAAAGAGTTGTGTTATGTAAGATAATGCATTGTATTTCAGAATATTTAAGGCTGAATTTTTTTTACTGTGTGAACTCTATACTATTTTCTTTTCCCCCCCAACTTCCCCTCATTTAACAGCAGACAAACCCAGGGAGCACTGAATGAATCCGATGATCCTGAAACAGGCTGTCTAACTGATAACAAGCCAACTTCTCGACACTTCTATCCTGTCGCCTTGCTGCTTGTCAGCTCACACCTGCTAGTTGTGTGGCTTATTTTAAGTCTGGCGTTACTCTTAGCCAAATACCAATAAGTTTTATGTTGTATTCCTTTTTCTTTTCTACAAATGACAATGAACTTTAAATTATGGGGACAATGCTGTAATATTTTTACATTTTCAAATTCACAGAATTTAAAAAATGTTAAATTGTGTTTAGTTTGTTTTTCCTAAAATCTAAAAAACAAAAAGTACTATGCATTAGGTGGATTATTTTGCTCTTTTGTTCATGGAAAGGTGTTTCCCACTGTTAACTAGCTCAAGAAGAATTTTTAAATTACTGTCTTTGGAATAAGACAAAGAACAGAATCCTGAAAGCTTGAAGTTCTGAACCTCCTGTCCTCATCCCACTAAATTTATTAAAGAAATTAAGACTGAAATTTGCACAAACACTGAAACCCTGAGACAAGTTCTAGAGATGTGGGAGGTTGCAGACTTTATTTCCACTGTGCTAATATCATAGATGCCATCTGCTGATAGAAATTTTTTTTAACCTGTTTTACTTCTTTGCTGCAATTAACTCTTTTCTGTCAAGTAACTTTATGGAGAGAATGGCTATTTATGTTTTGTAATTAAATTACCTGTTTGTATCTCTTGTTTGGGTTGATTTGGCTTTCAGAGGACTTTTCTATTCTTTTTAACAAGGTCTTGTTTGTGTCTTGATGTACCATTCCCAGCACTTGTGACTTTTGTACTGTCCGTGGACAAGCACTCTTCCTTTATAAAGCTGAGACTTGGCCCAGGCTGTTCAGAAAGCCATTTTCTCTCTTCCTTGCACAGCTAAAATAATAAAATAGAGATGAAATTTTTCTTTAAAAATCTATAGGGCCAGACTTAATAAATTAAATGCCTTATTTCTAGAACCTGCATCCTTAGGGCTACATATAGATTTTAATGTGTTTTAAAGAGACTGAGAAATTAATTTGTGGAAATGTTATAAAAAGGCAGATATATTTATGAAACTAAAGTGGAGCTGTATTGTGGAGCAAATTATATTTAAAGAGTTTATTAAATTTTAAATGTTAAGAGTAAAGAGACTTAAGTCATCTCTTTCAGAGGGCAATAATGGTATTGGGCCTGGCCTAGGATTTAATTTTGTAAGATGTATCATCACTTGTGGAAAAAAAAAATGTAGAGTTGAATCTTTGTTATTTTTACTTGGATGGTTGCTGCAACTCTGCATTAAACAAATAAAGCATATTTATTTATTCTGTGTTTCATGAAGTTGTACTTTTTCCCCTTTCACCAGAGAAGGATGCCGCATAGAGAATGTACTGAAGAATATCAAATGCAGAAAGTATGCTTTCAACATGCTACAGCTGATGGCTTTCCCCAAGTACTACAGACCTCCAGAGGGGACTTATGGAAAAGCTGACACCTAAGTTTACCAACATGTTAATAAACAGGAACACAAATACATTTCAGTTGGATAATCTTCACCTTGGTCTTTTTTGTTTGTTTTTATTGTCATGAATTTGTGGTGGGGGAGATGATCACAGATGTTTCCCAAAATCTAGGAACTACTTCAATTCATCATCAGCATATTGCTCTGAAAGAAATCCATTTTAAAAAATCTTACATGATTCAGTACTGTCATTTCTAGTTCTAAGCTTCTATGTGTTGAGCCTAGCTGATTGAGATTGGTTCACAAAGTGTAAATTTCATTCATGAGTATTTAAATGTTTCTGAGGAAACATGGATCATTTCAATAGGACTAGGGGTGATTCACAGAGCACCACTCTCCAACCAAATGGAAGAGAGGAGAGGGGGAAAAGGAACATATTTTTTTTGTGATACAACTTAATAGCCTATGAGAACACAGTCAACCTGAGAATCAATGTAAGGGATTTAAAAAAAATGTGTAGCCACTCAATTAGGTAGAGTTAACTCATGATCTGGAATACTGAGGCAGTTTGCAGGTATGTTCCACAATGATCTCTATCATCCAGTCAAGGTGTGACTCCTCCCTTGCAACAGGCATATGCATGGAGTGAGTAAAGTGGTCAACAGACCTTTCAAAACCATGGCATCTTTTCAGAACTCTGACTTGGGTTGTGTGATCTAGCTGTGAATGTAGCAATATAGAACGTTTAATAGAATGATAAGCAAAACACTGCAATGATCTAAAATTACAAATAAAATAAAAATGAACAACATTTTGATACCCAAAATGAAAATTCCCATCAGCCTGAACTTTATGTTGTGAAGTTCATGAATGTCAGTGAGGTATCTCTGAGATGTTTCTTAGCAGTCATCCTGGTGTAAGCATGCAGTTATGGCATAGGTTTGTGTGTGTTAATAAGCCTTTAAAACATATGCAACCACAACAAATGATAAAGTAAAACAATTATTTTCTGTTGCCCTGAATATCAAACTTGCCCTTGCCCTTACTCAGCAAAATAACATTTATAAGTTTTCCAAAATCCCAAAGTAGAAGTTTCCTTAAAAAAATCATCTTGTATAATACCAGTATTCAAACATGGGTAAGGTTAATCACCCCCAATCACTCAGGAGATAGTTGCAGAATTTGAATTACAATCTCTTCTTACTTTCCTAGCCTGTGGCTTGTCACTTCTCCAAATTGCCATGCTAAATATGCATGAAAATTGAGGGAGAATGCTAGTTAAAAAGAAATTAGGATTTATCACTGGAATTGAAACTAAGAGTACAAAAGTCTGAACGAATGAAACTTTTCTCCAAATTTTACAAATTCTTGTTCCTTTCTCATTAGAAGAGCATGCTATCCAAAGCATAAATCTCCCTTGAAAATAACAGAGGCTTCTTAAGCCCTCTCTTAGCTATGATCAATGGATGATATTATGCTTCCCATAGCTAATGTGATAGCTCCTTGCCTAGGATTCCTGTTGAAATAAGGATTCTAGCCCCATGTTAAGTTTTTCAAATTACTACAAATTTTAGATAAGCATTTGGAGCTTTTTATACTAGAATTATCAATTTTTTATTTTAGCTAATTACCTGTGGGCATTATACTTGAGGCAGGTACCAAACTACTTACAGCCTTTTTAATGAAAATGTGCTGTGTACTTTGAATCCATTCATAGACAAAATTACCTTGATGTTCTCTTAACTCATTCTTTATTTTAGTGATTAAATACAACCTTTGAGTTGTTCAATATCATTTGAAAATGGTAGGATTTGTGGTTATTTTCATTACCCTATTAGATTTAAGATAGGCTGGGATGACAGAGGCCTCCTTGAATAGCTATGAAGCCTCATTCAGCATATCAAATGGTAGTCTGAGTTCTAAGAAACCTTAAGTAATTTATCATTCTGTAAATACTCTTATAAGCAATAATTTTTATTTGTATTTTTGAAAACAAACTACTTAAATATGGAAAAATATTAACTGGAAAGCCAGCAGTAGGGTTTTCTATTTTTAAAAGACATTTCAAGGATTTCCTGTAATCCCAGCACTTTGGGAGCCAAGGTGGATAGATCACCTGAGGTCAGGAATTGGAGATCAGCCTGGCCAACATGGTGAAACCCCATCTCTACTAAAGATACAAAAATTAGCTGGATGTGGTGGCACACACGTGTAATCCCAGCTACTTGGGAGGCTGAGGCAAGAGAATCGCTTGAACCCCGGAGGCGGAGGTTGCAGTGAGCTGAGATCATGCCATTGCACTCCAGCCTGGGTGAAAAGAGCGAAACTCCATCTTTAAATAAGTAAATAAATGAATAATATAGAAGTCTCAAATTATAGTGCTTACTGTAATACAAATGCTTATGAATTTTCATTCATTACCATAGTCATCTGCATTTCCTTATAGAAAGCCTGTACTGGTGCAAACTTCTAAAAGTGGATTTCATCAAGAAAATGTGTTTCATAGAGACAACAATATTGCTTTTTTCCTGAGAGGCAGTTCATTCTTAAACAACCACTTCACTATTTCTTAAGTTATTAAGGCTAAATCAAAGAGCAAATGTTAAAGTGTTTAAATCTCTCTTGAACAAACACAGCCACAGTCATGCTATTCTATCTATATTTTCACTTAAAAGATACACCAGCAGACCTATTTTAGGAGGTCATATTGAGCCAAAAAATGAACTGAGCAAATGACATTTCCAAACTCTTTTTTTGCTCAAAAATAATATGTTCCCCTTTGATATTAAATGCAGATATCAATTCTGGATTAGCTATTTACTGAGCCCTAGGAAAAACATATTTAAAGACAAGGAAACCATTCATTTACATCTCATATCATTGCTTTTTGCTTTTAAATATCGCCTTGAGGTTTGTCTACACTCTGCCAAAACAATCCCTGAACATAAGTTTGGTCAGCCTCATAATTCAGTGAGTCGAGCAACCATTTGTTCCAAGTGATAAATTGTACTAAATGACAAACTGCCCAATCAGGGCAGAGCTCCATGGACCCAGCCTCCAGCCCTTATTTTATAAGACTAACCCCTCTTCTGAAAAACTCTGAAGGCTTAAAAGCTAGCATTTGGATGGAGGATACTTCCTTTTTATCCTTCAGCTATGTATGGCACTTTACATAAAATAAGAGGTAAAAAAGGAGAGAAACTGATGTGTATAAAGTAATGCCTTTCTTCCCAAGCAAATCAAACCTCTCCCTATGTAAAAGTTGATAGTGTACCAAGAGACACAATACCACTGGTGGGCTGGAACTAGCTCGTTCTGATGCATAAAAGTTGATAATTAAAGTACCAGAAATTTTGTAAGCTAGTTGTTAAACATTACCATTATTAAATATGAAATTATAAAACACAGTGGAATACATTAAAAACCAATGTAATAATCAAAACATACCACTTCCCAATTATTTTACTACCTTATACTATTTATTAGTACTCTTGAGTCTATTTAGGTCTATTACATCTTTACAGTGAAAACAGGATACAATATTGTGCTACTGTGGGTCTCTTCCTGACTGCAGATTCAGTAACATGGTGTTCGTAGCTTGAAACTGTCCACAGTGGGAGTATTTAACACCATAGAAACTGGCTGGCAAATGCTACAAACTAGCAATTTTAATTCCTGGAAAGGCAATTGTTGAGCATTTACCAGCACACAATGAATGCCATATTCTTTTTTTTTTATTAGGAAATAAATTATTGGAGGCAGTATAAAATTATTTAAAAAGTATCAAATGCAATCCCTTATCTTCAGATGGCTATAATTTTGGTTATATAAATGTTTTGGTTTTTACCTTCTTTAAAGACTCCTATTAGGTTAAAAGTCATATTTGATGACTATATTTTATTCATAATTAAATTATTAAATCACCTTTTCTCCTGATAATGCTTTGCCAGAGAATTCTTAGCAATTCAACTGTAGTCTAAGCAATAACTCAGGGCTAAATTCAGGGAACTGTTAGCCCAATCAGATATCACTAAAAATGTACTTCACCATCTATTTTGGAGTTTATAATTTTGGCATTTGCTAAAAGTAGGAAAAACAGTAACATATTACTGTGCCCAGATTCTAATAAATATAGCTCAATTGAAACCAAAACTGTTACATTAAACAAATTACACTCTGGCACTATGCTAAATCACCACAGATGTTTTAGGTGTTTGATTTCCAAGCAGGATGGTATATCATTTGTTTGGTTCAATATATGAGGCACCATTTGTAGTCTTTTAGGAAATAAATTAGCTTTTATCACAGATTTAGGAAACTTGTCTAAAAAAACTGTGATCATCAGTTACAGAGGGAAGGAAACATATTGAACACAAGGCATCATAGTAGCTGGAGGCCTTAAAAATTATGCACGACCAAAAAGAATGATTTGGTGAGAGATGTGTAGCTGATTGACAATTTTAGTGTGAATTCATATTCATTTAACCCAGCAGCAATCTACATAAGCTATGCTTTTTCCCACCTGTATTTATGTTTCTTAGCTTATAAAGTCCCAATATATTATATCTTTTGTTGCTTTGGCAGTTTTAATTTAGAGCTCTGCGTTCACAGAGATGCCACCTATAGCAAAAACTATCTTTAAGAATTGGAAAATAAAATGAATGTTTTAGATAAAATATTGCAAGCCATTATGTGTAGAGTTAATGTATGGAAATTTGCATTTGTTTTTCTGAATCATGGTGTACATTAATCACTCATTGAATTCTATTTCTAAGCAAATAAGAGAATCAAACATTTCTAAAAGGAACATATGTCTTGCTATTAATAACAAGGAGACAGGAAAAATAGTAAGGTAATATAAGCAAAAAAAAAAATGTAATGAATTTAGCTATCCTAAATTGGAATTTTTACAGATTGCATGCATACTTAGAATTTTAAATTTTTAAAAGATTTACAATTGAGTATGGTACCCACAGAGAGTGAGTACCAAGGGAAGGAAGACCTAATACAAGTGATGTTGCCTGATAAATCACATCTTGCCAAAAAAAATATATTTTAGTAAATACAGTTCTTTAGGAAGAAAAATGTTGCCCTTTCACACTCACAGTGTAAATACATTCATAATATTCCTTCAATCATCTAAATTACCGCCAGGTCATGAAAGGACGCGATCAATGATGACCTATTGCACTCACAGGTAACATTGACTCAAATTTTGGCAATATTGCTATATTATCTAGATAATTCTTGTGATGTTTTTATGTCACTATCAACATTAAAAATATTTTGTTAAACAACTATGAAACTTTCAAAAGTTTGCATATAACTGTATGGGCACTCTCATTTCACTGCATACATACAATACTTTGTATACACATACTTCTCGTGTGGATATTTTATAATTTTATTTAATCTAACATTTAACTTTTAGGTTTTTGTGGTACTCATCTGAAAGGTTGGCATTTGTTTTCTTTTTATGTTATATATGTATTTTAGATGAATCAATAATGTGTATTCCTAGAAATTTTTTCTAGGCATAAATAGATCATTTTATGTTGGCATTTAAGAGATATCATTTTTGTTTTATTGTTCTGTGTAAACCATATTCATTGTACACTGTGTGTATATTTTTGTTTAAATAAATGATTTTTATTTTTTATGTTTCTGTCTTTTTCTCCCCATTATACATTGTTTCCATTTTCATCACTACAGAAATGTTTAAACCTTAATTAAAATATTAGAAATGTAGCATAAACAATATTCCAATTCCCAGTTAATTTTCTACTGGGCCGCAATTACAGTGAAAATTTTTCACTGATGCCAGTTTAATCTCATTTTCACCAGCGGAATTTACTTTTCAGGATGGCTATTCCATGGAAGCAAGATCAACCGCAGTTTGCCCGGGCATGGTGGCTCACGCCTGTAATCCCAGAACTTTGGGAGTTCGAGACCAGCCTGGCCAACATAGCGAAACCCCTTCTCTACTGAAAATCAAAAACAATGGCTGGGTGTTGTTGCATGCGCCTGTAATCCCAGCTACTTGGGAGGCTGAGGCAGGAGAGTCACTTGAACCTGGGAAACGGAGAGGTTGCAGTGAGCCAAGATCGTGCCACTGCACTCCAGCCTGGGTGACAAAGCAAGACTTCGTCTCGAAAAAAAAAATATCAACCACAATTTTAAGTTGGTTCAGAACCAGGTGTTAATGTTTAACATGGAGCAAATCATTAACCTTGTGTGCCAAGATTATATGTAGAGTCATTTAAACACACCAAGATAATTTTTTCTTAGACTATTTAGGTCTAATCATTTATAATTTGTTATAGCAATTGATAGTAGAAGGCAAATTCCAAAAAGCTCTAATTATATCATGTTGCAGAGGAATTAGCCAAATGAAGCTCCTGCTTACAAGCAATGAAAGAATGAATTTTTGCCACCTGGAGATTTTCAAAAACATATCTGATCCTGCAGCAAGAAATATTCCTCTTCCGTAATGTCTTCATCAGTAAATGTTAGTATAACATGTTTTTCTATAGCTGAGCAGGAATAATGCTGAAAGTAGCTCCTTGGTGAAACAATGCATACTGAATTCTAGCAAAATGCTGCCTGCTATGAAACCAGAAGAGTAGACTGAATGAAGTAGTAGTACCCTTAAACATCCGTATAAAGATTCCTGTGTTTTAAGGGAATGACATACCACTCAAAATCAGAGTACAACAAAGGACTCAGAAAATTTCTCCCAAGGCTTTATTTTGTTTTTACCAGAGGGTAGAATCAGGAGAGCAGGTAGATGTGGCTGGAGTTTGTCAATCTAGAATCTATTTTCAGCCAAAGCAGCCACGTGGGTATGACTGTAACTCTAGAACTACATGGAACAACACACACTGAGTTCTCTGTTCTCTCAATGGTTTTGATGCATAACAGGAACTCAGGAACCTAAGTCTTTTAATAAACTAAGTCCAAAGAGAAGGCAATGGGGAAAAGCACATTTGGGTAGCACTCCAGGAATGTGGTACTCAACTGTTAAAAGCTATCTTCCGTCTCTTAATTCATATGACTTGATTTTCACTGTAGCCCTCAAATAAATACAGTATTAATACTTCTATTCATATTAACAGAATAACAGTGAAAATACTGACCTGCCTTTTGCCTAGTATGATGGTTTCTCTGTTCTTAGACCAATTGACCATAGACCACCATCTCCTTTATAATTCACCTCCTTTGACTTTGAGTATGATACACACTTCCAACACTCTCTAGTCTCAGCTACCACTTCTGCTTCCTTTCCCTGTTCATTGAATTTGGGAATTGCCCCAAAATCTAGACTTGATATTCTTTGTTCAGTTAACATTCTTTCTTGAGGTCTACAGCTGTTATTTCTAAGGCAAATACTCCAGCATAGGGCTAAAGAATGTCAGCTTTTAAGTTTGAATGCCTGGATACAAATCTTGGTTCCCACACTGATTAGAATGTGGATCTATGTCAAGTTACTTAATGTTTCTATGTCTTCACATTCTTATCTATAAAGTCAGTGTATCAATAATATGAATTACCATTTCTTGGTGAAAAGTGAGAAAATGTGTGTATAGCCCTTTGCGCAATGACCATTGTGCTGTGTCTTCTCTGCTAGCTCTCAGCATGTTTTCCAATTATATTTTATGTCCCTGGAGTCCCACCACCTAAAAGAGAATGGCTGGAAGACTAAAAACTCCCTTTCCCTGGTGCACTTACCATGAGAGTTCATGATATGATACAGGGTCTGCCAATGAGATCCACTTATACCATATTTGGAAGGCAGAAAGGAGTGGGAGGCAAATTATTATTTGTTTTTTATACCAGTGTGCACAGACAAGTATATTGCAGTAGAATGCAAGCAGCAGTTAGACTCCCATATCTATTATCCACCTACTAGGTTGTCAGTTGAGGTGGCTATGTCAGCAGTGGTGACAACCATAGAGGTAACATTTTCCTGCCCTCTGGCTAGCAATAGCACTTGGTAACAACTGGATCAGAGACGTTTGAATCCAGAAGACTGATAAGGGTCTTGCAACATAAGGTTCCGCCATGTTTTCCAATGATTTTATAAACATCTAATTCCCTGTAATAAATGTTCTAAATTATTTTCTTCTAGCAATAACTGGATTTTATATCCATAACTGATACCCTTAGTCTAGGGTATATATTTTCAAATTTGAAAGTTGTTGCTGATTAACCTTTTGATCTTCTATTTTTATTTGGGCTCCTGCATTACCTTTACCAAGTCTCTGCTGGCTATTTGTGAATGTATTAATATATGTATTTAAATATTCACAATTTCATTGCACATACAGCCTTCCCAGGTTTCCTGTCTCTTGTTAATGGAATCTATATCCTTGTCCAAGAAGTTCACAAGTTTGAATCAGCTTTGACTCCTCCATCTCTGTCGACATATTCTGTTTGTCACTAAGGTTTGTCAATTTTACCACCACCTCTCCTCATACTTTTACTTTCTTATTCCTTTAACAAAGCAATTTCCTTTCTGTACATTCTTTATTACTTTTATAACTATAGTTCCATCCAAACTAAAACTATAGTTTCATCCAAACTTTCACTTCTGGTAGTCAATGAAATCTACAGTTTGGCCTCACTTTCCCTATTGAGGCTTATTTTCCATCCCCTGTGGTTTTACCTTCCACACATATCCATACTAGGAGTCTATGCACATGATAAATATATCATAAACACATACACAGACACACACACACTGTCTTTCAGGTTTTCACTGATATGATTTCCTTTCTTTCCACAATTCTTGAAGCTACTGCTCAAAGACTAGCACATATGCCTCTTTTTCCCAAGCAATCTTCCCATATCACTCTAAATGGAATCATTCTCCTTTAATTCTTCTATATCATGCCCTGTATAATTCATTTATTCATTTTTATACTCATTTGTACATTCAGTAGATCCTTCTGAGTATCTGTGTAGCTGGCACTGAGGTAGGCACAGGGTGTTAAGCGGTAGAAAAGAAGTTTCTTCCAATTATGGAACTTGCAGTCCAATCTAGTGATGGAGACCAAAAAAAAACTAAATGACAATTATTAATTATCACATACAGTATGAAGTACATGACCTAAGAGTTTTGACAGAGAACTATGATGTTGGTCAGGAATTACTTGTTTTAGGTAGGGTAGACAGAATTGAGCTCCCTGAGGAGATGTAACTTAAATTGAGCTATAAGGGAGGAGAAGCATCTAGCCAAAAAAAAAAGGTAAGAGGGGGGAACACAGGAGCAGCGTGTGAGGAGGGCTAGAGTATAGGCCACATAATTTGGGACTGGATGAGAGACAATAGTAGAGTTATCAAAAGTATTTCAGACCATAAAAAAAATTCAAGATTTACCTTACGTGCGATGGGAAGCATAAATAAGGTTCCAAGCAGGAGACTAAAGTGACCTAGTTTATATTTTTAAAAGATCATTCTAGGTGCTGTGCAGATAACAGATTATAGGGAACCAAGGCTCAAAGTGGTGAGGCATTTGGAAGGATATTGCAATACAGGGAGAGATAGCATTGTCTTGGACTGAGGTTGAGAAAGTAAAAATGAAGAGAAGTAGAAAGATTCATGTAAATTTTGGGGAGAAAGAGTAGCAGGTCTTGCTGATGGTTTGGAGTTGGAGGAGAGTGAGCGGAAACAGGTAATCAAAGTGACTTTCAGTTTTCTGACGAGCAACTGAAAGGTAGTAGTAACTCATTGAGATACAGAAATGTGAAGCAGAAATAGGTTTTGGGGGAAAATCAATTGTCCGGCTTCAAAAATGTTAGGTCCAGCTGTCTCTATTTCATCGAATCCAAGAAGAAAGTCAAGTATATTCACAGATAATAATCTAGAGTTCAGAGGAGAGTCTAAAAATGGGAATGTAATAGCGTAAGCTGTCAGCATATGTGGATGAATAAAAACAAAGTAGTAGTCACTACTTGTTGGGTGAAAGTGACAAAAAAAACTAGATAAAACAAAAAAGCAATTTCTTGACTCAAATTGAAAAAGAACAGAGGTTGAGTTTTAGGCACACCTGCTGCCTGATGGTTAAATGATGAGTTCTGTCTGTCTCAATGTGATGTAGTTTGACCGTGTCCTCATACAAATCTCATCTTGAATTCCCACGTGTTGTTGGAGGGACCCGGTGGGAGGTAAGTGAATCACGGGGGAGGGGGGGTGGGTCTTTCCAGTTCTGTTCTCATGATCGTAAATAAGTTTCACGAGATCTGATGGTTTTATAAAGGGAAGTTTCCTTGCACAAGTTCTCTTCTCTTGTCTGCTGCCTTGTGAGATGTGCCTTTCACCTTTTGCCATTATTGTGAGGCCTCCCCATCCACGTGGAACTGAGTCTGTTAAACTTCTTTCTTTTGTAAATTGCCCACTCTCAGATATGCCTTTATCAGCAGTATGAAAACAGAATAATACACTCTGTCTCCCTCTCCACCCTAGGTCCAACTTGTCATTTAGTTGTGTTTTCTTGTCTGTCTCCTTCACTAGATTGAACTGTATGTGTACAATATTATATACTATATGTGCTATATATTTAGCATTGTTGGGGAGAGGGGTGGTTGGCTATGCTTCCCTCTCCATGCCATTTTTCAGAAAGCCCCTGCTGGCTCCAGGCTTACAGGGTACTTTCAGCTTGTGCCTCACAAGGGAAAAGAAATTCTTTCCCACCTACCAATTGTAGCAATCCCTAAAAGGACTCTAATCAGTCACTGTGTGTGGGAGGAGACTCTAGAGGGCCAGCCTGGCCATCTTTCCACCTTTGTGGCAGGTGAAGTGGGCAATTAAATGGTAGCTCCACCATGTCATATAGCACTGGGAAGGAGCAATTCCCAAAAGGAGATGACATGCCAAACAGATACCCACTTCATCTGGGGAGCAAGTATAGTGAGAAAAAAGCCTGAGATCAAGCTCCCAGGGGCCCCAACATTAAAAGGTTGGGTTATGGAAAAAATGGCCTGCTTTTTAAGATTTTACTGTGAATTTGCATTTCACTTAGAGTCTAAAGTTTCTAGTAAGATAAAAATAAAAAGCAATTTCACTGAGAAATAAATGTAACTAAGGAAACAGTTATAATCCTACAATAAGAGGCAAGAGGTCTAAGGGTGTCTTATTTTGCCATGAACCCTGAATGATCTGCTGTTATTTTCCATTTTCCAACATGTAAACCGAATATAGCATTTTCTGTGCCCGCCCCTTGATAGCTCCATGAACAAGTACTGAATCCCCTTGAATTCAAGGATTCTAGAAAACATACGTTGGCTCTTAAATATGGTTTCATTTCAAAGGTCTCTGACTTACTTCTAGAGAAAAGTGTGGATTTAAATTTATTTTTAAAGAGAAGAAAATGTAATGATAAATGCCCTTTTATCTCCATTTCATGTTTTTAAATGAAGAGCAACCTCTAGGATAATATTTGTGGTCTCTCATGACACATTACACAACTAGCCATTCACTTAGTGACTTACTTGACTGGCAAATGTGGGGAAAGGAAATACACATTCATAGGCTACCCATGATCTTTCTTCCTTTTTCTGATAGTTACCTGCCTAGAGATGATATTTTCTTTTAGAAAATTGAATAGGAGGGCATATTTTCCAACTTATTTGATGAGACCATTATTACTCTGATATCAAAATCAGACATTACCAGAGACAAAACTGCTAACCAAAATTATCTGTGAAAAGATGAAAAAATACAAAAATTTTAACAAATCAAAATCAACAAGTGAAGTTATCATAGGATAATATGGTTTAACATCCAAAAATCAACATAATCTATCATATAAACAAACTAAAAGTGAAAATATGATAATCTCTATAGATGTGTAGAAAGCATTTTACAGAGTCTAAAATTTATTCCTGAGAAAAACTATTTAAGAAAACTAGAAGTAAAATGGAAACTCCTCAACTAATAAACAACATTCTGTGCAGGCTAACATGAACAATTTATTTAACGGGAAAGAATTCTTTCACTCAGATCTGAAACAAGACATAGATGTCTACTGTCACCACTTCTATTTGACATTGTACTGAAGGTTCTAGCCAGATCAATAAGGCAAAAATGGCAGATATATTCAAATGAAAGATGTTTAAGTTGTGTTTATTTGTGTTTATTTGCAGACAATGTGATCTACTATGTAGAAAATCCAGTAGAATCTCTATAAAAGCTGGAAGTAATAAATGAGGTAACAAAGTTGCAGAGCATAAGATCAATATACAAAAATTAATTGCTGAGGGGGTAGAGCAAGATGGCAGAATAGAAGGCTCCACCAGTCATCTTTACTACAAGGATATCAATTAAACAATTAACTATACACACACACCCCAAAGAAAACACCTTCATAAGAACAAAAATCAAATGAGCATTCACAGTACCTGGTTTTTAACTTTATATCCCTGAAAGAGACACTGAAGAGGTAGGACAAACACTCTTGAATCACCAACATACCCCTCCCCCATCCTCCAGCAGCAGTAACATGGCATGGAGAGTAATGCTGTGCACTAGGGAGAGGGAGATTACAGCAACTGTGAGGCACTGAACTCAGTGCTGCAGTGTCATAGTAGAAAGCAAAACCAGTCCAAGCTCAGCAGACACCCACACATGAAGGCAGTATTTAAACTAGCCCTAGCCAGAGGGGAATCACCAAGCCCAGTGGTTGGAACTTGTGTGCCCCCAAGTCTTGCCATCACAGGCTATACTGCTGTGGCACTCAAACTTAACAGGAAGTCTAGGACACAAAGATTGCAATAACTAGGCAAATCCTAGTGCTGAACAGGGCCCAGAGCCAGTGCAATGGGGGAACACAGCCTACTAAGACACCAGCTGGGGAAGCTAAGGGAGGGCTAGCATCACTCCTCCCCTATTCCTAGGATACACAACTCATGGCTCCAAAAGAAACACCTTCCTTCTGCTTCAAGAGAGAAAAGAGAAGAGTGGGGAGGATGTTGTCTTGAATCTTGGATACCAGCTCAACCACAGTGAGAGAAGACACCAATCAGAGTCATGAGGCTCCCTTTCCATGCTCTACCTCACAGATGACATTTCTAGATATACCCTGGGCCAGAAGGGAACTTTCTGCCTTGAAGAAAATGATCCAGTCCTGGCAGGATTAATCACCTGCTAACTGAAGAACCATTGGGTCCTGAATAACCAGCAGCAATACCTAGGAATACATAGAGGACCTTGTGTGAGACTCTGTGACTAGATGACTTCAGGTGAGACTCAGCACACTCCTAGATGTGGTGGCTATGGAGTGAGAATCTTTCTGCATAAGAAAAGATGATAAAGTAACAGGGGCTTTGTCATGAATTTGAAGTACCAGCTTGGCCAGAGTTGGGTAGAGCACCAAGTGGGCTCGTAAGGCCCTAATTCTAGGAGTTGGCTGTTGGACAGCATTTCTGGACCTGCCTTGTGTCCAAGAGGAGCCCACTGCCCTGAAAGGTGAGTTCCAGGCCAGGCAGCATTCACTACAAGCTAACTAAAGAGCCCTTTGCTTTAAGGGGACATTGGCAGTAGTCTGGCAATTCTCCCTATTGGCCTGCAAGGGCAGTGGCTATGAAGTGAGGCTCCACTGCCTTTGGAAAGAGAAGGGAAGAGGAGGAAGGTCTCCTCCTTGTGGTTTGAGTGCCAGCTCAGTCACATTGCAATAGAATACCAAGAAGACATGTAAGAATTTTTTTCTTCCTTGCTCTGTCGCCCAGGCTGGACAGTGGCACAACCTTGGCTCACGGCAACTTCTGCCTCTGGGTTCAAGGGATTCTCCTGCCTCAGCCTCCCGAGTAGCTGGGACTACAGGCACACGCCACCACACCCAGCTGATTTTTTACATTTTATTAGAGACGGGGTTTCATCATGTTGCCCAGGCTGGTTTCAAACTCCTGAGCTCAGGCAATCTGCTGGCCTCGGCCTCCCAAAGTGCTAGGATTACAGGTGTGAGCCACCACACCTGGCCGACTTCTAAGGTTTTTGACTCTAGTTCCTGGCTTTCAGATGGCAACCAGATGGCATCCCTAATGGAAAGAACACAAGCCTGGCTGGCTTTTTCTCCTGCTGATTGTCGAGCTCCAGGACCTTGAGTGAACATAGGCAGTAGCCAGGGAGTGGCTTGTCCAAGGGCAAGACCCAGTGGAGTGCTGGCTTCAGGTCTGACCCAGCACAGTCATAGTCATGGTGGGCACAGAGGTGCTTGTGTCACTCCATCCATAGCTCCAGGTGGCTCAGAACAGAGAAAGAGAGAGAGGCTCCATTTGTTTGAAAGTAAGGCAAGAGAACAAGAGTTTCTTCCTAGTAATCCAGAGAATTCTTCCAGATCTTGTCCAAGACCATCCAGGCGGTAACTCTATGAGTCCACAAGAACCACCAAGTTATTGGGCTTGGGGTGGCCCCTAAAGCAGACACAGCTTAGATCACAATACCCAAGTCCTTTCGAATATCAGGAAAGCCTTCTAAAGATGAATGGGTACAAACAAGCCTAGACTGAGAAGGCTACAATAAATACCTAACTCTTTAATGCCCAGATATCAAAGAACATCTATTAACAATCAACACCATCCAGGAAAATATGACCTCACCAAATAAACTAAATAAGGTACCAGGTACCAGTCCTGGAGAAACAGACATGGAAGCTCTCAGAGAATTCAAGATAGCTATATTGAGGAAACTCAAAGAAATTCAAAATAACACAGAGAAATAATTCAGAATTCTATCAGACAAATGTAACGAAGAGATTGAAATAATTTAAGGTAATCAAACAAAAATTCTGAAGCTGAAAAGTACAGTTGGAATGCTGAAGAATGCATCAGAGCCTTCTAAGAGCAGAACTGATGAAGTGGAAGAAAAAAATAGTGAGCTTGAAGACAGGCTATTTGAAAATAAAGTCAGAGGATACGAAAGAAAAAAGAATAACAAACACTGACGCATTCCTGCAGGATACAGGAAGTAGCCTCAAAAGGGCAAACCTAAGAATTACTGGCCTTAAAGAGGAGGTAGAGATAGACATAAGGGTAGAAAGTTTATTCAAATGGATAACAGAGCACTTCCCAAACCTAGAAAAAGGTATCAGTATCCAGGTATAAGAAGGTTATAGAACACCAAGCAGATTTAACCCAAAGAAGACTACCTGAAAGCATTTCATAATCAAACTCCCAAAGGTCAAGGATGAAGAAAGGATACTTAAAGCAGCAAGAGAAAGGAAACAAATAACATACAATGGTGCTCCAATACATCCAGCAGCTGACTTTTCAGAGGAAACCTTACATGTCAGGGGGAGAGTGGCATGATATATTTAAAGTGCTAAAGGAAAAAAACTTTTACCCTAGAATAATGTATCTGGTGAAAATATATTTTAGACATGAAAGACAAAGGAAAACTTTCCCAGAAGTATAAAAGCTGAGGGATTTCATCAACACCAGACCTGTTGTAAAAGAAATGCTAAAAAAGAGTACTTCAATCAGAAAAATATGGACTTTAAGGAGCAAAAAGAAATTATCAGAAGGTACAAAACTCACTGATAAAAGCAAGTACAAAAAAAAGCAGAATTTATAACATTGTAACTGTGGTGTTTAAACTATTCTTAAGTAGGAAGAATAAATCAGGAACCAATAAAAAATAATAACCACAACAACTTTTTAAGACATAGATAACACAATAAAATATAAACACAACAAAAAGTTAAAAAGTTGGGGGGTGAAGTTAAAGCATAGAGTTCTTATCAGTTTTCTTTTTGCTGATTTATTTATTTGCTTATGCAAACAGTATTAGGTTGTTACAAGGTTACAATAATGGTTATAAGATAATATTTGCAAGCCTCATGGTAACTTCAAACCAAAAAATGTATAATGGATACACAAAAAATAAAAAGTAAGAAACTAACTCATATCACAACAGAAAACTACATTTGCTAAAAGGGAAGCTAGTAAGGAAAAAAAGAAGAAAAATAAGAGAACAAAACAACCAGAAAGCAAATAACAAAATGGCAGGCATTAAGTCCTTACTTATCAATAATAACATTGTACATAAATGAACTAAACTCTCCAGTCAAAAGAGATAGAGCATCTGAATAGATAAGAAAACAAGACCCAATTATATGTTGTCTACAGGAAACACACTTCATCTATAAAGACAAAAATAGACTGAAAATAAAGGGATGAAAAAAGATATTCCATGCCAATGGAAACCAAAAAAGAGCAGGAATCACTATCCGTACGTCAGATAAAATAGAGTTCAAGAAAAAAACTGTAAGAAGAGACAAAGAAAGGTCACTATATAATGCTAAAGGGGTCAGTTCAGCATGGGAATATAACAATTTTAACCCAATTTGCACCCAACACTAGAGCACCCAAAAATATAAAGAAAATGTTATTAGAGCTAAAGAAAGAGATGCCAAAACAATAATATAATAATAACTGGAGACGTCATCATCCCATTGTCAGTATTGGACAGAACCAGACATAAAATCAACAAAGAAATATCAGTTAATCTGCACTATCAACCAAATGGACCTAACAGATATTTATGGAACATTTCATCCAATGGATGCAGACTACACATTCTTTATCTCAGCACATGAATCATTCTAAAAACAGATCAAATGTTAGGTCAAAAATCAAGTCTTAAACACACACAAACACACAAACAAACAAACAAAAACCTGAAATACTATCAAGTATCTTCTCTAACCATAATGGAATAGAACTCAAAATCAATACAAGAAGAATTTTGAAAACTACACAAATTCATGGAAATTAAACCATATGTTCCTGAATGCCCAATGGGTCATTGAATAAATTAAGAGGAATAAAAAATTTCTTAATTTTAATCTTCTAAAAAAATTAAAAATTTCTTGAAACAAAGTATAATGGAAACATAGCAAAACCAGCAATAGGATACAGCAAAAGCAGTACTAAGAGGAAAGTTTATAGCTATAAGTGCCTACAATGAAAAAGAAGAAACACTTCAAATAAACAACTTAATGATGCATCTTAAAGAACCAGAAAAAGCAAGAGCAAACTAAATGCAAAATTAGTAGATGGAAAAAAAAATTATGAAGATTAGAGCAGAAATAGATAAAATTGAAATGAAGAAAACAATACAAAAGATCAATTAAACAAAAAGTGTTTTTTTAAAGTTAAACAAAATTGACAAACTTTTAGCCACACAAACCAAGAAAAAACAAAGAACTAAATAAATAAGAGCTCAAAAAGGAAACATTACAACTGATACTGCAGAAATTCAAAGGATCACTAGTGGCTACTATGAGCAAGTATATGCTAATAAATTGGAAAATATAGAAGAAATGAACAAATTCCTAGACACATACAACCTACCAAGATTGAACCATGAAGAAATCCAAACCCTAAACAGACCAGTAACAAACAAGATTGAATCTGAAAATCCTGGGACCCTATGAATTCACTGCTGAATTCTACCAAGCACTTAAAGAAGAATAAATATCCATCCTACTTAAACGATTCCAAAAAACACAGGAGGACAGAATACTACCAAACTCATCCTATGAGCCCATTATTACCTTGATACCAAAATTAAAGACACATCAACAAAGGAAAACTACAGGCCAATACCTCTGATTAATATTGATGCAAAAATTCTCAACAAAATACTTGAAACCAAATTCAACAAAACAATAAAATGATCTTTCATCATGACCAAGTGAGATTTATCACTAGGATATAAGGATGGTTCAACATACTTAATCAATGTGATACATCATATCAATAGAATGAAAGACAAAAATCCATATGATCATTTCAATTAATACTGAAAAAGCATTTGATAACATCCAACATCCCTTTATAATAAAATCCCTCAAAAAACTTGGTATAGAAGAAACATACCTCAACATAATAAGAGCCATATATGACAGAGCCACAGCTAGTATCATACTGAATGGGGAAAAACTGAAACCTTTTCCTCTAAGATCCAGAGCATGAGAAAGATGCTTACTTTCATCACTGTTATTCAACATGGTACTGGAAGTCCTAGCTAGAGCAATTAGACAATATAAAGTTATAAAGGACATCCAAATTGGAAAGGAAGACGTCAAATTATCTTTGCAGATGATATGTTCTTGTATTTAGAAAAGCCTAAAGACTCCACCAAAAAAAAAAAAAAAAAAAAAAAACTATTAAAACTGATAAGTAAAGTTTCAGGACACAAAAATCAGTAGTATTTCTATATGACAATATTGAACAAATCTGAAAAATAAATTTAAAAGTAACCCCATTTACTACAGCCATAAATAAAATTAAATACCTAGGAATTAACAAAAGAAGTAAGAGATCTCTAAAATGAGAACTATAAAACACCAATGAAAGAAATTGAGTAGGATACCAAAAACCAGAATGATATTCAGTGTTCATGGATTAGAAGAATCAATATTATTAAAACATCCATACAGGCTGGGCACGGTGGCTCACGCCTGTAATCCCAACACTTTGGGAGGCCAAGGAGGGTGGATAACGAGGTTAGGAGTTCAAGACCAGCCTGACCAAGATGGTGAAACCCCATCTCTACTAAAAAGTACAAAAATTACAGCATGCCTGTAATCCTACCTACTTGGGAGGCTGAGGCAGGAGAATCACTTGAACCTGGGGGGCGGGGGTTGCAGTCAGCAGAGATTGGGCCACTGCACTCCAGCCTGGGTGACAGAGCGAGACTCAATCTCAAAAAAAAAAAAAAAAAAAAAAAAAATCCATACTACTCAAAGCAATCTACAAATTCAATGTAATCCCTGTCCAAATTCCAATGGCATTCTTCACAGAAATAGAAAAAAAAAAATTCCTAAAATTTACATGGAACCACAAAAAAGCCAGAATAGCCAAAGCTATCCTGAGCAGAAAGAACAAAACTGGAAGAATCACATTCCCTTCAAATTATACTACAGAGCTATATAACCAAAACAGCATGGTACCAGCATAAAAATAGACAATGGAGTAGAATTGAGAACCCAGAAACAAATCCACACACGTACAGTAAACTCAACTGTACTCAATTTTCAACAAAGGTACCAAGAACATTTGTTGAAACTCAATTTTCAACAAAGGTACCAAGAACATACACTGGAAAAAATACAAACTTTTCAATAAATAGGGCTGGGAAAGCTGGATATCCATATGCAGAAGAATGAAACCAGATCCCTATCTCCCACCATATATAAAATGAAATAAAAATGGATTAAAAAGACCTCAAACTATGAAACTGCTCAAGAAAACATTGGGGAAACTCTCCAGGACACTGATCTGGGCAATATTTCTTGAGTAATACCCCACAACAGACAACCAAGGCCAAAATGGACAAATGGGATCACATCAAGTTAAAAAGCTTCTACACAGGAAAGGAAAGGATCAGCAAAACAAAGAGACAACCCACAGAATGGGGGAAAATATTTGCAAACTACCCATCTGACAAGGGATTAATAAGTAAAATATATAAGGAGCTCAAACAACTCTATAGAAAAAGAAATCTAATAATCTAATTAAAGATGGGCAAAATATCTCAATAAATATTTTTCAAAAGAAGATATACAGATGGCAAACAGGCATAATAAAAGGTGTTCATCATCACTGATCATTAGACAAATGCACATCAAGACTGTAAAAAGATATCATCTCACTGCAGTTAAAGTGGCTTATATCCAAAAGACAGGCAATAACACATTCTGACAAGGATGCAGAGGAAAGTGAATCCTTATGCACTGTTGGTGGGAATGTAAATTAGTGCAACCACTATGGGAAACCATTTAGAGTTTCCTCAAAAAACTAAAATAGAGCTACCATACCACCCAGAAATCACAATGCTGGAAATCAGTATATCAAAGAGATATGTGCACTCTCATATTTGCTGCAGTACTGTTCACAATCGCCAAGATTTGAAAGCAACCTAAGTGTCTATCAACAGACGAATGGATAAAGAAAATGTGGTACATATACACAATGGAGTAGCATTCAGCATGAACAGGAATAAGATCTTGTCATTTGAAACGACATAAATGGATCTGGAGGTCATTATGCTAAGTGAAATAGGCCAGGCACAGAAAGACTAACTTCACATATTCTCACTTATTTGTGAGATCTAAAATTCAAAACAATTGAACTCATGGAGATAGAGAGTAGAAGGATGTTTGCCAGAGGCTGAAAAGGGCAGTGGGAGGGTGAGGGCTGGGAGGTGGATATGGTTAATGGGTTAAAAAAAATATACAAAGAATGAATAAGACAGAATGAATATAACAAACAGGGTACCATAGTCAATAATAATTTGATTGTACATTTAAAAATAACTAAAAGAGTATAATTGTTTGTAACACAAAGGATATATGCTTGAGGTGATAGATACTTCATTTTCCATGTGATTATTATGCATTACCTGCCTATATAAAAACATCTCATGTACCTCATAAATATGTACACCTACTATGTAGTCACAAGTTAAAAAATTAAAAATTGAGTTTATATTTCTAATAATCACTTTAAAAAGTACCATTTATAAAAGTACAAAAATAAACTAATGAAAAAAGTTGTTTAACAAATGATGCTGAAATAATTGGATGTGCATATAAAAAAAGTAAACCTTAATACCCCAAACATTATACCAATGTTTACTGAAAATGTAAATGTAAAACATAATACTATGAAGCTTTTAGAAGAAAGTATAGTAAAAGTATTTTTGACCTTGGATTAGGCAGAATTCTTAAATGTAACATCAAAAATGTAAGTCATAAAAGTAAAATAATTGATAAATTGAAGTTTACTGAAATTAGAAACTTTTGCTCCACATTCAAAATAGTTAAGAGAAGGAAGAGCCTAGACACAGACTGAGGTAAAATATGTACAAATCACAAACTAGGCATCAAAGGAACATTCCTCAAAATACTAAGAGTCATCTATGACAAACAACCAACATCATACTTGATGGGCAAAAACTGAAGAGGCATTCCTTTTGAGAATCGGAACAAGACAAGGATCCCTGTACAACATATAAACATGTTATATTTAACATAGTACTGAAAGTCATAACCAGAGTAATCTAGGCAAGAGAAAGAAATAAAGGGCATCCAAATAGGGAAAGAAAAGTAAAACTATCTTTCTTCACAGATGACATGATCCTATACCCAGAAAAATCCTAAAGATTCTGCCAGAAGCCTCCTGGAACTGATAAATGATTTCAGTAAAATTTCAGGATACAAAATCAACATATGAAAATCACTAGCATTTCTACACACCAATAACATTCAAGCTGAGAGCCAAATCAAGAACACAATCCCATCTACAATAGCCAAAAATACAATAAAATAAAATGCCTAGAACTACATCTAACCAAGGAGGTGAAAGACTTCTATAGGGAGAACTAAAATACACTGCTAATAAAAATCATAGATGACACAAACAAATGAAAAAGCATTTCATGCTCATGGACTGGAAGAATCAATATCATTAAAATGCCCATGCTGCCCAAAATGATCTACCAGTTTAACACTATTTCTATCAAAGTAGCAATGTCATTATTTACATAACTAGAAAAAACTATTCTAAAATTCATATGGAGCCAAAAAGATCTCAAATTGCCAAAGAAGAACAAAGCCGATGGCATCACATTACCTAACTTCCAACTATACTATAAGGCTATATTAACTAAAGCAGCATGGTTCTGCTACAAAGACAGACATGTAGTGCAATGGAACAGAAAAGAGAACTCAGAAATAAAGCTGCACACCTACAGCCACCCAATCTTAGCTTATTTTTGTTTAATTTGTCCAAGGGGAAAGACTCCCTATGCAATCAGTTGTAGAAGATAGGTGGCTAGCCATTTGCAGAAGAATAAAGCTGGACCCCTACCTTTCATCATATACAAAAATTAACTTAAGATGGATTGGAACTTAAGATGGATTAAATATTTAAATGTAAGATATCAAACTATAAGAATCCTAGAAGAAAACCTAGGAAACAACATTCTGGAAATCAGCCTTGGGAAAGAATTTATGAGTAAGTCCTCAAAAGCATTTGCAACAAAAACAAAAAATTGACAAGTGGGACCTAATTGAACTAAAGAGCTTCTGCACAGCAAAAGAAACTATCAACAGAGTAATAAGACAATCTACTAAATGGAAGAAAACATTCACAACCTATTCATCCAACAAAGGGCTAATATACAGAATCTATAAGAAATTTAATTGGATAAGCGAAACACAAATAACCCCATTTTTAAAAAATGAGAAAAAATACATGCAGACACTTCTCAAAAGAAGACATACAAGTGGGAAACAAACATAAAATAAAATGCTCCACATCACTAATCATCAGAGAAATGCAAATTAAAACCACAATAAGATACCATCTCACACCAGTCAGAATGGCTATTATTAAAAAGTCAGAAAACAACAGATGCTGGTGAGGCTGTGGAGAAAGGAGAATGTTTATATACTGTATGTGGGAATGTAAATTAATTCAGCCAATAGAGAAAGCAGTTTGAAAACTCCCCAGAGAAATTAAAACAGAACTGCTGTTTAACCTGCAATTCCACTACTGGATATATATACAAAAGAAAATAAATATTTCTATTGAAAAGACACACACATTGGCATGTTCATTGCAGCACTACTTACATTAGCAAAAACATGGAATCAACCTAGGTGCCTATCAACAGTGGATTGGATAAAGAAAATACGGGACATGTATACCATGGAATACTATGCAGCTATAACAAAGAACAAAATCATGTCCTTTGAATTCGTATAAATGCAACTAGAAACCATTATTCTAAGTGAATTAACACAGAAACAGAAAACCAAATACCACATGTTCTCATTTATAAGTGGGAACTAAACACTGAGCACACATGCACATAAAAATAGCAACAATAGAAACTAGGAACTATTAGTGGGGGAGAGATGAAAGTGGAAAAGAGTTTTATTGGGTACTATGTTCAGTACTGGAGTGACAGGATCATTCATAACTCAAACCTCAGCATCACACAATGTAACCAGATAACAAACGTGCACATCTACCCCATGAATCTCAAATAAAAGTTTTTAAAAAAAAGAAACTGTGGTACATCCATACATTGGAATACTACTCAGCAAAATAAAACAATAAATTACTTATATTCACTACATTATTTATGAATTTTAAATTTGCTTTTGCTCAGAAATCATAGCCTAAAAGCCATTTACTACATGCTTCCATTATATGGCATCTTGGAAAATGAAGACTATAGGGATGAAGAACAGGTAAGTAGCTGCCAAAAATTGGTGGTGAGAAGAATTCTTGACTGCAAAGAGATTTGGGACTGATTGAATTACACTATGTTTTGATTATGGTAGCATAGAGAGTACTCCATGTGTTTGTCAAAATCCATGATCTGTATAAGATGAGTAGGTTTTACTGTGTCAGTTTTCCTAGATTATGTGTCAATTTTTAAATTAATGTTTTAATAATTGTAATTAACTTTTACAATAAAATAATAAAATGCATATTAAAGAACAAAGCTGGAGACATCATGCTACCTGACTTCAAACTATACTACAGGGCTACAGTAACCAAAACAGCATGGTACTGGTACAAAAAAATACATAGGCCAATGGAGCAAAATAGAGAATGCAGAAATCAGACTGCACAGCAACAACTATCTGGTCTTCAACAAACCCGACAAAAAACAAGCAATGAGGAAAGGATTTTCTATTCAGTAAATAGTGCTGGGATAACTGGCTAGCCATACGCAGAAGATTAAAACTGGACCCTGTTCTTATACCATGTACAAAAATTAACTTATGATGAATTAAAGACGTGAATGTAAAACCCAAAGCTATAAAAGTCCTGGGAGACAACCTAGGCCATACTATTCAGGACATAGGCACAGGAAAAGATTTCATGATGAAGACACCAAAAGCAGTTGCAACAAAAGAAAAAAATGACAAATAGGATCTAATTGACCTAAAGAGCTTCTGCAAAACGAAAGAAACTATCAACGGAGTAAACAGACAACCTACAGAATGGGAGAAAATGTTTGCCGCAAACTATGCATCCACAAAAATCTAATATCCAACATCAATAAGAAACTTCAACAAATTTACAAGAAAACCACCCTATAAAAAAATGGGCAAAGGACATAAACAGAAACTTTTCAAAAGAAGACAGCCATGCAGCCAACAATTATATGAAAAAAACCTCAACTTCACTGATCATTAGAGAGATACAAATCAAACCACAATGAGAATGTCTATTATCAAAAAGTCAAAAAACAGTAGATGTTGGCGAGGTTACGAAAAAAAGAAATGCTTGTACTGGGAGTGTAAATTAGTTCAGCCATAGCTTATTGCTCCTAAGCTACAAACCATTAGTTCCAGCCATTGTGGAAGACAGTATGGTCATTCCTCGAGAACTAAAGACAGAAATACCATTCAATCCAGCAATCCCATTACTGGATATATACCCAAAGGAATATGAACCATTCTATTATAAAGACACAGGTACATGCATGAGATGCATGTTCATTGCAGCACTATTCACAATAGCAAAGACATGGAATCAGCCTAAATGTCTATCAATGATAGACTGGATAGGGAAAATGTGATACATACATACCATGGAATACTACTATGAAGCCATAAAAAAGAATGAGATCATGTCCTCTGCAGGGACATGGATTGAGCTAGAGGCCATTATCCTTAGCAAACTAATACAGGAACAGAAAACCAAATACTGCATGTTCTCATAAGTGTGAGCTAATATGATGAGAGTACATGGACACATAGAGGGGAACAGCACACACTGGGGCCTTTCAGAGGATGGAGAGTGGAAGGAGGGAGAGGATCAGAAAAAATGCTAGGCTAGGCTTAATGCCTTGGTGATGAAATAATCTCTACAATAAACCCCTATGACACAAGTTAAACTATTTAACAAACCTGAACTTGTACCCCTAAACTTAAAATAAGTTAAAAATTAAAAATAAAATTCCAAAAAAAGCACAAAGAGATACCACTATATTTCCACAACAATTACTAAAATTGAGATTTTACCAAGTCTTGACAAGAACATGGATGAATCTCAAAATAATTATGTTGAGAGAAGCCAAAGTAAGAGTTCATATTATATAATTATATTTATATGAAGTCTAGAGAATTACAAAGTAATCTATAGTGATATAAAGTAGATAATTGCTTGCCTGGAATGCAGTTTGGCCGATGGAGGAGTGGACTTTAAAATGGCATTAGAAAGCTTTGGGAGCAATGGATATCCACATTCCCTTGACTGTGCAGACAGCTTCATTGTATATGTGTGTGTCCATATATATGTGTACGTCCATATATGTGTGTACGTCCATATATGTGTGTACATGTGTGTGTAGAGAGATCAGGAAGATATAAAAATTAAAAACAATAAATAGAGCTGATCAATAAGTGGAGGAAATACCATTATCAAGAATCATAAGATAGTATGGTGTGTGTAAAAACTAATCAAATTGCACATTTTAAGTAAATGATATGTATAAAAACTATACTTTAATAAAGCTGTTTAAAAATGACACCAATCTTAAAAAAAAAAAAAAAACTCTTCCAAAAAATAGAATAAGGTTGAATGCTTTCCAACATGTTTTATGAGGCCAGCATAATCCTGACTACAATACTTGGTGAAAATAATACAAGAAAGGAAAATCATTAGCCAATGATTCTTATTAAAACAATTACAAATATTCTACTCACAATATTAGCAATTGAATCAATTGTCTATTTTTAAAAATTGCTACAACCAAGTTGAGCTTATTCCAGAAATGCAAGGTTGGAATAACATTCAGGTTTCCATCAATATAATTCACCACATTTGGAGAACAAAAGAGTCAAATCATATTATCTTCTCGATAGATGCCATAAAGTACATATATAATAAAATTCAACACCCATTTATGGCAGAAATTCTTAAACTAGAAGTAGAAAGGAAGTTATTTTATATTGTAAAAACTATTTTCAAAATTTATGCTGAAGGTTGAAATATTCATAACAGGGACCTAAAAAGAATGTTCTGTCTCTCCACTTTAGTATTGTATTGGAGGACCTAAACAGTACAATATGGTATAAAATGCAATGAAACTATCATACACAGGCAACGTGAGTTTTTAAGAGAAAATTCATTAAAATTAGATATAAATTATTAGAGTTAAGAAGTAAATATATCTAGTGATTGAATATAAGAAACGTAGAGAAAGCAATCCTATTTCCATATACTAGTAACTGAAAAAATAGAAATATAGTTTTTAAAAATACACAATATTCACTAGGAAAAATCAAATGCAATAGAATTTAACAAAATAAGCACATGACCTCAATGCAGAAAATTATAAAGCATTAGTGAGGGGAATTATAGAATATTTCAATAAATGGAGGATATTCTATCACCAAGAATCATAAGATGCAATATTGTAAACATGCCAATTTTTTCCAAGTTAATTTTTATCAGTGCAATCCCAAGCAAAACCCCAGCAGGCATTTTTGTGAAAACTAACAAGCTGATCTTTAAATTTATAAGAAAATTCAAGGATACCAAAAAAAAGCAAGAGAAAATTGAAGAACAAATCCGTAGCACTCATGCAGTGAAATATAAAGACTTATATAAAGGTATGTTAAGTAACTATTAGTTCAAGTTTAGATTCAAAGAATAATATATCATTGAAAGTATGGAAACTAACTCATATATATTCAGTCATTTAATTTGTAATAAATCTGCTACTGCAGGGTAGTGGAAAAAAGAAGTTACATTTATTTAATGATGCTAGGTAAATTGGACAGCTTGACCTTTGCCTTACTCCACATTAAAAACAAATCAATTCCAGGAAGACTTTAGATTTACCTGTGATAGACAAGATATTAAAGCTTCTGTATTATCTTTATGGTGATTAGTAGGTAAATATCTTTCAAATAGGACACAATAGCCCTAACTATCAAAGAAAACATTGATAAATTTGTCTGTACTAAAATGAAAATCTTCTGTTTTTAACAGAACACAAAAGCACTAACCATGGAACAAAATACTAATAAATTGCAATTACAGTCATGGGTCATATAACAATGTTTCAGTCAACAATGGACTGCATATATAACAGTGGTTTCATAAGATTATAATGGAGCTGAAAAATTCCTATTGCCTAGTGGCATCATAGCTGTCATAAGCCACAGTGCAACACATTACTTACTAGTGGTGATGCTGGTGTAAACAAATGTACCATGCTGCCAGTCATATAAAAGTTTATCTCATATAGTTATGTACAGTATCTAAAATTTGATATTGATAATAAATGATGATATTGATAATAAATGATGATGGTACTGGTTTATGTATTTACTATATTGTATTTATTATTATTTTAGATGGTATACTCCTATTTTAAAAAATCTTAACTCTATAGTATCCTCACGCACGTCCTTCAGGAGGTATTTGAATTATAATAATAATTATAGGAAATGACAGCTCCATGTGTGTTATTTCCCCTGGAGACCTTCCAGGGGGACAAGATATAGAACTGGGAGGCAGTGATATTGATGATCCTGATCTTGTGTAGACCTAGGCTAATGTGTGTATTTGTGTCTCCATTTTTAACAAAAAAGTTTAAATAGAAAAATGCTCACAGAGTGTGGGTATAAAGAAAATAGTTTTGTTCAGCTGTACAATGTGTGTTTTTACAAAGGTCACAAAAATTTAAAAAGTTCATAAAGTAAGAATGTTACAGTAAGCTGAAGTTAATTTATTTTCAAAAAAGGAAAAAAATAAATTTAGTGTAGCCTAAGTACACAGTGTTGAGCATGTCTATAGTAGTGTACGGTAATGTCCTAGGCTTTCACATTCACTTGCCACTCACTCACTCACTCACTCACACAGAGCAACTTCCAGTCCTGAAAGCTTCATTAATGGTAAGTGCCCCTATACATTTGGTAAGTGTACCAGTTTTGATCTTTTTTAACAAATATTGTATTTATTATACAATACACATAATGTAAAATTTACCATTTTAACCATTAAGTGTACATTTCGGTGGCATTAAGTACATTCATGTTATTGTGCAACCATCAGCACCATCCTTCTCCAAAACCTTTTTTATCTTCTCAATTGGAAACTCTATGCCCATTAAACAATAACTCCTTATTCCCACTTTGCCCAGCCCCTGGAAACCACCATTCTACTTTCTATCTCTATGAATTCAAGCACTCTAGGTAGCTCATTTAAAATGGAGTCATATATAGTATTTGTTCTTTTGTGACTGGCTTATTTCACTTAGCATAATGTCTTCAAGGTTCATCTGTATCATAGCATGTGTCAGAATTTCCTTCCTAAAACACCAAAAGCAATTGCAACAAAAGCCAAAATTGACAAATGGAATCTAATCAAACTAAAGAACTTATGCACAGCAAAAGTAACTATCAGAGTAAACAGGCAACCTACAGAATGGGAGAAAATTTTTGCAATCTACCAATCTGACAAGGGTCTAATATCCAGAATCTTCCAGGAACTTAAACAAATTTACAAGAAAAAAACAACCCCATCAAAAAGCGGGCAAAGGATATGAACAGACACTTCTCAAAAGATGACACTTATGCAGCCAACAAATATATGGGGACATAAAACCTCAGTTTTTATCTTTTATGCCATATTTTTACTGTATCTTTTCTAAGTTTAGATATGTTTAAATCCACAAATACTAGTGTTACATAGCCTACAGTATACGGTATACTAACATGCTGTGCACGTTTGTAGCTTAGGAGCAATAAGCTATACCATAAAGCCTAGGTGTGTAGTAGGCTGTACCATCTAGGTTTGTGTAAACACACTCTGATGTTCTTATCACAAAAACCTAATGACATTTCTCAGAATGTATCCTTATCTTTGAGCAACACATGACTGTATTTTAAAAAGAGGTACTCTCTTTAGCAAATGACATCATTAAGAGAGTAAAAAAAGTAACCTCTGAGTGAGAGAGGGTATTTAGAATACTTATAACAAAGTAGTTAATCCAGAAAATGTAAGTAACTACTACAAATCATTTTTTAAACCCCACACAGATAATTCAATCAGGGTTAAAAGTCGTAAACTGTCACTTTACTTTCTTTAGTAATTTGGCAAACGCAAATTAAAACCACATTGAGCTGCCATTATACACTTATCAGAATAACTAGCATAAAAAACCTGGCAGAACAAGTACTGATAGGAAAATACGAAACAGCTGGGAATTTTATATATTGCTAGCAGAAGTGTAAATTAGTGCACTAACTCTGAAAACTGGGCAGAATCTACTAAGCTGAACATATGCAACCTCTTTACCAGCAATTCTACTCCTAGGCAGTGGCATACCTAGAATGGAGTGGTGGAAGAAATAAGCCCTGGGTGAAGGAAATTAGAGTGTTCCTTGCATTTAGAGAGTTGAACAAAACAACTAAAACAGAAAAAAGAATAAAAGATGGTCTGATTTTTTATCGTTCATAATATTTCAAAATAGTAAATAACACAAAAGTCCATCAATAGTAGAATAAAACTTGGTATATTCAATGAAATTTGTACAATAAAAAATAAACTAGTGTTACATGTAAATACATATGTGAATGTCTCAAACATGGTTATGCTTTAATAAATTGTATATACCACATAAATGTTAATTCAGAGAGCTCCCAGTTATATAAATGCATGGACTCATTTGCATGTGTTTATCTGAGGAGTAAGTTTCTTACAGCTCAGAATTTTAAAATCCATGTCTCCACTCTTGTGATACTATGTATTTCTGCACAAAAAAATCATTAGAAGCCGGGCACAGTGGCTCACGCCTGTAATCCCACCACTTGGGAGGCTGAGGTGAGCTGAGCGTCAATGGCAGGCACCTATAATCCCAGCTACTTGGGAGGCTGAAGCAGGAGAATCACGTGAACCCTAGAGGTAGAGGTTGCAGTGAGCCAACATCATGCCATTGCACTCCAGCCTGGGCAACAAGAGTGAAACTCTGTCTCAAAAAACAGCTTTAAAGATTATTGATAAAATACATTTTGTCTAGATTATGCAGGTCAGATATTAGGTTTGCTAAATGCTTTAAGGTCATAAACTGCTTTGGCTTTTGAAAATTGTTCGATTTATTTTAGAGACATTGAAGTGAGGCCTGGGGATATATGGAATCATCCATGTCCCCTAACTATGCAAAGAAGGTTATAAAGAAAAGATATTTTATATGAGAAAGGATGTTCTATGGTAAATTCTTGTCCTAAAGTAAAATGACTGGTTGTTTAAAAAGAGGAATGTTTAGGAAATGTCAGAAAGTCTAAACATGTTGTACATGGTCTGTGTAAGTTGTGAAAGAATTTATGAAAAGGAATTTATGCCAGAAGTGTTATATAATTTAAAGGTGATTAAGCCTCCTAACGCTTCATAAAATGCCACTATAACTCTTAACTGTTCAGCTTACCTGCTTTACATCTAGGTAAGGCCTGGAACATGTGAAGTTAGATGCTGAAAAGAGTCAGACCTCGTCTGCATTTCTCTCTGGGTCCTAGGCTCCACACTTAGTACATAATTAAAATCCTTACTTACCAACGTTTTCACCCAAAGTAAAAGTTGCTAAGAATTAACATTGTAATATGTAATTGAGACTACTGGAAAAGTAGGTTTACATGCAAGGTGTGTAAGGTGAATGAAATGTGTTTTTTATAAGATATTATAAGAATGTACAGGAATGTACATTTTTGCCTAGGTTATAGGGTTAAAGGATTGTTTAAAATAAAGCTAAAGGTTTGAACAAGGTGTGAAAGGTTTATAAAAAATTAAGTGTAAAAGAGTCTATGTTTGAACATATTGGCTAAAGTTAAAATGGTATTCAGTTTTTTCCATTAATTGGATCAAAGGCAATGGCAACAAAAGCCAAAATTGAAAAATGGGATATAATTAACCTAAAGAGCTTCTGCACAGCAAAAGAAACTATGATTAGAGTGAACAGGCAACCTACAGAATGGGAGAAAATTTTTGTAATCTCTCCATCTGACAGAGGGCTAATATCTAGAATCTACAAAAGAACTTAAATTTATAAGAAAAAAACAACCCCACCAAAAAGTGGGCAAAGGATATGAACAGACTCTTCTCAAAAGAAGACATTTATGCAGACAACAAACATTTGAAAAAAAAAGCTCATCATCACTGGTCATTAGAGAAATGCAAATCAAAACCACCATCAGCTACTATCTCAGGCCAGTTAGAATGGCAATCATTAAAAAGTAAGGAAACAAAAGATGCTGGAGAGGATGTGGAGAGATAAGAACACTTTTACACTGTTGGTGGGAGTGTAAATTAGTTCAACCATTGTGGAAGACAGTGTGGTGATTCCTTATGGATCTAGAACTAGAAATACCATTTGACCCAGCAATCCCATTACTGGGTATATACCCAAAGGATTATAAATCATTCTACTATAAAGACACATACACACTTATGTTTACTGTGGCACTGTTCGCAATAGCAAAGACTTTGAACCAACCCAAATGCCCATCAATGAAAGACTAGATAAAGAAAATGTAGCACATATACACCATGGAATATTATGCAGCCAGAAAAAAAGATGAGTTCATGTCCTTTGTAGGGACATGAATGAAGCTGGAAACCATCATTCTCAGCAAACTAACACAAGAACAGAAAACCAAACACTGCATGCTCTCACTCGCAAGTAGGAGTTGAACAGTGAGAACACATGGACACGGGTGGGGGTCAGGGAATCACACACCAGGGCCTGTCAAGGGGTGGAGGACTGGGGGAGGGATAGCATTAAGAGAAATACCTAATGTAGATGACCGGTTCATGGGTACAGCAAGCCACCATGGCACGTGTATACCTATGTAATGTGTATACCTGTACATTCTGCACATATACCCCAGAACTTAAAGTATAATTTTAAAAACATAGTTTATTTAAAAGGAGAAAAAAATGTAAAACCATAGCGGTATCTCAAATGTCATTCTGTGAGACTAGAAAGTGTAGAATGGTGAATTTTCCAAGTATAGTAATTGTATTTCCAGATAGGGTAACTATTCTTTAAAAGAAGATTTCTACTAATTGAGCTTAACTTCATAGATCATGAACTCCAGATAACCAGCACTGATGAGCATCCTGGCTGGACTAAAATCAGTAAGGTTTTCACCATCTTTTCTCTTTAAATGCTGTTTGAATTTCTGTTATGGCCTTTGTCAACAGCAATGACTAGATTCTGATGAAGGGGCTAGAAGTAGCTTAATTTTAAGTCTAATGCCAGCTACTGACAATTGTCTATGTATTTCTTAGTAATTCTTCAGATGCTTAAGTGAGAATATGAGAGACTTGGCATTAAACTAACCTCTGGGGCCATGAAAGAACTATGCCTGTTCCAGCGAGATCTCAGACTGCATCTGCTTCAGAAATGCCACCTCTACCCAGATGTGGAGGACCCCTTGGGCTGAGACTGAGCAGAATGAGAAATTGGTGAAGTCTTACATTCCTCTGGATTTGTAACTGATAAGAAAAAGAGAATTTGAATTTGCAGTTTAAAATTATTTTAGATTTTGACATTTTAGCACTATAATTAACAAAAGTATTTAGCCTGCAGGTTATAAGTATCCTCTAGAATTTAATAATGGAAATAAATTTGGGCATCTTCATTTGTTGTCATTTTATATAGGCTAACCTTTACATTATCATTTATTCTTATTACAGAAACTTTAATATACTATTTTGGACAAGGCTGCTGAGTCTAATTGTTAAAAAACAAAACGAGAATGAAACACAGGGGCTTGGAGTTATTGGTATTCTATTCTGCCTCATTTAAGGGATTTGTGGTGGCAATACAGTGATATTAGTAGTATTCTCAAAGGAACTTTGGTGATTTTAAGGACAGCAGCCTCAGGAAAGTGAAAACAGAAACTCACAGATTGCTAATTTCTTCCTACAGGTTGACTATGGATTTATTGATTGAACTGAATGGGCAAATACGACAACGGCTGAGGAATGTTGCTGTGAAGGGAGGAGGGTTTCTCTATTTTTCTGTGGGTCTAGAAGGATATCCATTCCTTGTCTCTACCCCCAACTTACCCCAAAGGGGAAAAGTGATATATTTGAGTAATGGATTTGGGAAGAAAAATCAGTATGTATAACTATCTCACTTCTACTCATCTTGACCTCAGGATTTTCCATCTGTAGAAAACGTGGTCTGGTCTCCTTCCACCTATAACACAAATTTACTGGCAAAGGCTCTGTTCCTGTTGGAAAAACCTGAAGTTTTCCAGGGACTGAGTGGGTAAGTTCGTCCAAATCTGATGTTAGCATTGGTGAGTTTGTCACCATGTCCCTAAGCTATATTTTATTAACTGAACTATCTTTAAAGTGTTGATACTGACTTACAGTTTCAGTTCAGCAATAGAGAGCTAGAAAGAATGTTTTTCTTACCCTTACAGCAGAAGTAACACTACACAAACTGCAAATTAACGACTTTTCCTCAATTTGTCACACATCTGAGTTTCCATTTAGACCAATATTCACTAACTCCCATAGGGAACAAAGGCATTAATCAACAGGAGAATAGGCAATAAAAACTGTTACCTTAGGGCACTGGTAGAAACCCATGGAGGCTGGGGAAAGAAAACAAAGAAAAAGAAAAGTAAGCTCTAGCCTTAAAGGAGAGTCAGGAAAGAAAAACAAAAGTAAGCTCTAGCCTTGAAGAAGGGTCAGGAATATATGCTATGCAGAGCACTACAGCTAGAGGAGAAACAGAAGCTAGTAAAGGTCACACACCTAAGAACCAGGGACACACAGCCTGCCTAAAACCAAGACACTTATTCACACCATCACAAACAATCTCTGTTTTTTGACCCAACCACCAGACTGTCAAACCTAAAGTAAAAATAAAAGTAGAATACATCTAGAAGAGCTGAATGGAGAGCTGTGCTCTGGAGTGCAGCATAGAGAAAAGATCTAAGGCAAGTTTATTAGTCTGTTCCTGCTGCTAATGCCTTAGACTGCAGTAATTTAATCAATGGAAATGTATTTCTGACAGTTCTAGAGGCTGACAAGTTCAAGATCAAGGCACTGGCAGATTCCATGTCTGGGGAGGTTCTGTTTCTCATAGATGGCAATGTTCTCACTTGGTGGAACGAAGCTCCTTCAGTCTTCTTTCATAATGGCATTCATCTCCTCCCAAAGGTCTCACCTCTTAACGCTATTACATCAGGAGGTAAGTTTCAATATATGCATTCTGAGGGTTGGGGGAGGACACAAACATTCAGACCATAGCAGAAAGGAAGAAACAAACATTGAGAACATAACTTCTGACAAACCAACCCTCCTGCTAAAAACCAGGAATCACTACAGACATTTGAATGTTCTGGGACACAAAGGGTAACAGTGAGAACAACAAAAGTCAAACCCAGGCTAGATTTGGATTAGATGAATACACACTCCCATGAAAAAGGCCTAGAAGAAGGAAAGGCATATTCATTTCCAAGCATTAAAAAACCCACAATAACCTTAGTATTTATTGTCCTAAAAAACATGCCCAGCATTTAACAAATAATTGCAAGGCATACAAAAAGGCAAGAGTAAACACATTGCCATAAGACAAGGCCATCAGAACCAGGTTCACATAACAATAATGTAGAAACTCTCAGAAAGGGAATTTAACTTAAACTATGATTAATATGTTGATGGTTCTAATGTAAAAGATTAGAAGTATAAAAAATAAGATGGAAATCTAGAGAAGAGACATGAAAATCACAAGATAAAATTGAATGAGAATGCTGAATATTAAAAAGACACTAAGATATGTGAAAAGTGTCCTTTAGTCTTGTTAGTAGGCTGAATATAGCCAAAGAGAGAATCAGTGAGTTTGAAGATAGTTCAATAGAAATTACCCAAACTGAAAGAGAAAGAGAAAAAGAGGAACACAGCAACAACAACTAAAACACAGAACAGAGTTTCCAAGAAGTGTAAAACAATATCAAAAGTTTTGATATATGAGTAATAGAAGGCCTTCACTGAGAATGGAAAGAAAACAGGACAGAAGAAATAGTTGAAGAAATAATGCCAGAGAAGTGGCCAGGATTAATGACAAACACAAAACCATATGCCAAAGAAATTCACAGAACACAAAAAAGGATTTAAAAAACTAGGCATATCATATACAAATTGCTAAAGATCAATGACTTGGAGAAGATAAGGAAAGTAGACAAAAAATAAAGCACATTATGTAAGAGGAACCAGAAACTATTCATTATTTTTTTTAAAGAAGCTTAGATTGCTTAGATTTCTGATTGCTGATTTTTCTTTAAAAATAAATTGTAGAATAAATTGCCCTGTAAGTGCTTTAACTATATCCTATATATTTAATACATTTAATTTTCAGGTTTGTTAAAAAAAAAAAAAATTTTCAGGTTTGTTTAGCTTAAATTTATGTCTGCCACTTTGCTTTTAGTTTTCTATATTCTTTATCCATATTCCAAATGTATAATATAATCACTTGAAAATGAATAGGAAGAAAACGTGTTTTGACTAGATGCATGCTTTATTTTTATGTAAAGAGGAAGATAACTGTATATAAACACTGTAATCTACTTGATAAATTGTATCCCACATGAATAGAGACTATCAAGTTATACTATGCTTGGACAAATAAGTAATTATTTTGTAAATTTTGAGAACCAAGTTTCTGAGACAGGAGTTAAAAAAAAAAGGCTAGACTATATCTTGTAGTACTGGATTGATAGAGATCAGTATAAATTCATGTTTATATGTAAATATATTCATATACATATATACATACATGTATGCATATAAACATATGTATGCACCCACAGATAAAGGGATATAGAAGTATAGATTCCTATATATACATGGATATACATACATTTCTTAGCTCTGTCCATTAAGAGAACCTGGAATACAAAAAGGAAAAAGTCAGCAACTTTATAACAGAGAAGCTTGGCAGACGTCACCTCGACCAGGTGATTAAGGATAAAATCACTAGGAATAAAATATATCAACATTATGTGCCCTCTGTTACATGCAATGAGATGGGCACCTTGTTTCTCTGGTATTCAAAAAAAGGACATCTCTGGAAGAAAGGCAGCAGCCCCAGTCCGGGGCTTATAGATAAAACTCCCATCTCCCTGGGACAGAGCACCTGGGGGAAAGGGTGGTTGTGGGCGCAGCTTCAGCAGACTTAAATGTTCCTGCCTCATGGCTCTGAAGAGAGCAGCGGATCTCCCAGCACAGTGCTTGAGCTCTGCTAAGGGACAAGGTATCTCCTTAAGTGGGTCCCTGACCCCCAAGCCTCCTGACTGGGAGCCATCTCCCAGCAGCAGTCAACAGACACTTCATACAGGAGAACTCTGGCTGGCATCTGGCGGGTACCCCTCTGGGACGAAACTTCCAGAGGAAGGAACAGGCAACAATCTTTGCTATTCTGCAGCCTCTGCTGGTGATACCCAGGAAAACAGGGCCTGGAGCGTACCTTCAGCAAACTCCAGCAGAGCTGGAGCAGAGGCCTGACTGTGAGAAGGAAAACTAACAAACAGAAAGGAATAGTATCAACATCAACAAAAAGGATGTCAACACCAAAACCCCATCCGAAGGTCAACAACATCAAAGACCAAAGCTAGATAAATCCACAAAGATGGGGAGAAACCAGCACAAAAAGGCTTAAAATTGCAAAAACCAGAACGTCTCTTCTCCAAAGGATCACAACTTCTTGCCAGCAAGGGAATAAAACTGGATGGAGATTGAGTTTGATGAATTGACAGAAGCAGGCTTCAGAACTTGGGCAATAACAAACTCCTCTGAGCTAAAGGAGCATCTTCTAACCCAATGAAAGGAAGCTAAGAACCTTGAAAAAAGTTAGACCAATTGCTAACTAGAATAACCAGTGTAGAGAAGAACATAAATGACCTGAAATTGCTGAAAAACACAGCACGAGAACTTCGGGAAGCATACACAAGTATCAATAGCTGAATCAATCCAGTGGAAGAAAGGATATCAGAGATTGAATATCAACTTAATGAAATAAAGCTTGAAGACAAGATGCAAGGAAAAAGAAACGAAGCAAATAAAGCTTCCAAGATATATGGCACTATGTGAAAAGACCAAACCTACATTTGATTGGTATACCTGAAAGTGACAGGGAGAATGAAACCAAGTTGGAAAACACTCTGCAGGATATTATCCAGGAGAACTTCCCCAACCTAGCAGGACAGGCCAACATTCAAAATTCAGGAAATACAGAGAATACCACAAAGATACTCCTCAAGAAGTATAACTCCAAGATACGTAATCGTCAGATTCACCACGGTTGAAATGAAGGAAAAAAATGTTAAGGGCAGCCAGAAAGAAAGGTTGAGTTATCCACAAAGGAAAGCCCATCAGACTAACAGCGAGTCTCTCTCCAGTAAGCCTACAAGTCAGAAGAGAGTGGTGGTCAATATTCAACATTCTAAAAGAGAAGAATTTTCAATCCAGAATTTCATATCCAGCCAAACTAAGCTCCATAAGTGAAGGAGAAATAAAATTCTCTACAGACAAGCAAATGTCAAGAGATTTTGTCACCACCAGGCCTGCCTTACAAGAGCTCCAGAAGGAAGCACTAAACATGGAAAGGAACAACCAGTACCAACAACTACAAAAACATACCAAATTGTAAAGACCATCAACACTATAAAGAAACTGCATCAACTAATGGGCAAAATAACCAGCTAGCACCATAATGACAGGATCAAATTCATATATAACAATATTAACCTTAAATGTAAACAGGCTAAATGCCCCAATTAAAAGACACAGACTGGCAAATTGGATAAAGAGTCAAGACCCATCGATGTGCTGTATTCAGGAGACCCATCTTATGTGCAAAGACACATATAGGCTCAAAATAAAGGGATGAAGATCTACCAAGCAAATAGCAAAAAAAAAAAAAAAAAAATGCAGGAGTTGCAATCCTAGTCTCTGATAAAACAGAGTTTAAACCAACAAAGACCAAAAGAGACAAAGAAGGGCATTACCTTATGGTAAAGGGATCAATGCAACAAGAAGAACTAACTATCCTAAATATATATGCACCCAATACAGGAGCACCCAGATTCATAAGGCAAGTTCTTAGAGACCTGCAAAGAGACTTAGACTCCAGTGCAATAGTAGAAGACTTTAACACTCTGTCAATATTAGACAGATCAACGAGACAGAAAATTAACAAGGATATTCAGGACTTGAACTCAGCTCTGGACCAAGCATGCCTAATAGACATCTACAGAACTCTCCACCCCAAATCAACAGAATATACATTCTTCTCAGCAACACATCATGCTTTCTAAAATCAACCACATAATTGGAAGTAAAACACTCCTCAGCAAATGCAAAACAACTGAAATCATAACAAACAGTCTCTGAGACCACAGAGCAATGAAATTAGAACTTAGGATTCAGAAAATCACTCAAAACTGCACAACTACATGGAAACTGAACAACTTGCTCCTGAATGACTACTGGGTAAATAACAAAATTAAGGCAGAAATAAATAAGTTCTTTGAAACCAATGAGAAGAAAGACACAATGTACCAGAAGCTCTGGGACACAGCTAAAGCAGCGTTTAGAAGGAAACTTATAGCACTAAATGTCCACAAGAGAAAGCAGGAAAGATCTAAATTTGACACATTAACTTCACAATTAAAACAACTAGAGAAGCAAGAGCAAACAAATTCAAAAGCTAGCAGAAGACAAGAAATAACTAAGAACAGAGGAGAACTGAAGGAGATAGAGACATAAAACATCCTTAAAAAAAAAAATCTATGAATCCAGGAGCTGTTTTTTTGAAAAGATCAACAAAATAGACTGCTAGCTAGACTAATAAAGAAGAAAAGAGAGAAGAATCAAATAGATGCAATAAAAATGATATAGGGGATATCACCACTGACCCCACATAAATACAGACTACCATCAGATAATACAATAAACACCTCTATGCAAATTAACTATGAAATCTAGAAGAAATGGATAAATTCCTGGACACATACACCCTCCCAAGTATAAACCAGGAAGAAGTCGAATCCCTGAATAGACCAATAGCAAGTTCTGAAATTGGGGCAGTAATTAATAGCCTAGCAACCAAAAAAAGTCCAGGACCAGATGGATTCACAGCCGAATTCTATCAGAGGTACAAAGAGGAGATGATACCCTTCCTTCTGAAACTATTCCAATCAATAGAAAAAGAGGGAAACCTCCCTAACTCATTTTATGAGGCCAGCATCATCCTGATACCAAAACCTGGCAGAGACGCAACAAAAAAAGAATATTTCAGGCCAATATCCCTGATGAACATCAATAAGAAAATCCTCAATAAAATACCAGCAAACTAAATTCAGCAGCGTGTGAAAAACCTTACCTACCACAATCGAGTCAGCTTTATCCCTGGCATGCAAGGCTGGTTCAACATATGCAATCAATAAACATAATTCATCACATAAACAGAATCAATGACAAAAACTACATGATTATCTCAACAGATGCAGAAAAGGCCTTTGAGAAAATTCAACACCACTTCATAATAAAAACTCTCAATAAACTAGGTATTGATGGAACATATCTCAAAATAAGAGCTATTTATGACAAATGCACAGCCAATGTCATACTGAATGGGCAAAAACTGGAAGCATTCCCTTTGAAAGAGGCACAAGACAAGGATGCCCTCTCTCACCACTCCTGTTCAACGTAGTATTGGAAGTTCTGGCCAGGGTAATCAGGCAAGAGATAAAGTGTATTCAAATAGGAAGAGAGGAAATCAACTTGCCTCTGTTTGCAGATGACATGCTGTTAAGCAACTTCAGCAAAGTCTGAGGATACAAAATCAATGTGCAAAAATCACAAGCATTCCTGTAAGCCAATAATAGACAAACAGAGAGCCAAATCACGAGTGAACTCCCATTCACAATTGCTACAAAGAGAATAAAATACCTAGGAATACAACTTACAAGGGATGTGAAGGACCTCTTCCAGGAGAGCTAAAATCACTGCTCAACGAAATGAGAGGACCCAAACAAATGGAAAAACATTCCATTCTCATGGATAGGAAGAATCAATATCGTGAACACAGCCATACTGCCCAAAGTAATTTATAGATTCAATGCTATCCCCATCAAGCTACCATTGACTTTCTTCACAGAATTGGAAAAAACTACTTTAAATTTCATATGGAACCAAAAAAGAGTCTGCATAGCCAAGACTAACCTAATCAAAAAGAACAAAGCTGGAGGCCTCATGCTCCCAGACTTCAAACTATTCTGAAAGTCTACAGTAACCAAAACGCATGGTACTGGTACCAAAACAGATATACAGACCAATTGAACAGAACAGACACCTCAGAAATAACACCACACATCTACAACCACCGGATCTTTGACAAACCTGACAAAAACAAGAAATGGGGAAAGGATTCCCTATTTAATAAATGGTGTTGGGAAAATTGGCTAGCCATATGCAGAAAACTGAAACTGGACTCCTTCCTTACACCTTGTACAAAAATTAACTCAAGATGGCTTAGAGACTTAAACGTAATACTTAAAACCATAAAAACCCTAGAAGAAAACCTAGGCAATACCATTCAGGACACAGGCATGGGCAAAGATTTCATGACTAAAACACCAAAAGCAACTGCAACAAAAGACAAAATTGACAAATGGAATCTAATTAAAGTGCTTCTGCACAGCAAAATAAACTATCATCAGAGTGAACAGGCAACCTACAGAACGGGAGAAAATTTTTGCAATCTATCCATCTGACAAAGGGCTAATATCCAGGATCTACAAAGAACTTAACTTTACAAGAAGAAAACAACCTCATCAAAAAATGGGCAAAGGATATAAACAGACACTTCTCAAAAGAAGACATGTATGCAACCAACAAACATGAAAAAAAGCTCATCATCACTTGTCATTAGAGAAATGCAAATAAAAACCACAATGAGATACCATCTCATGCCAGTTAGAATGGCAATCATTAAAAAGTCAGGAAACAAAAGATGCTGGAGAGGATGTGGAGAAATAGAAATGTTTTTACACTGTTGGTGGGAGTGTAAATCAGTTCAACCACTGTGGAAGACAGTGTGGTGATTCCTCAAGGATCTAGATCTAGAAATACCATTTCACCCAGCAATCCCATAACTAGTTATACACCCAATGGATTATAAATCATTTTGCTATAAAGACACATGCACATGTATGTTTATTGTGACACTGTCCACAATAGCAAAGACTTGGAACCAACCCAAATGCCCATCAATGATAGACTGGATAAAGAAAATGTGGCACATATACACCATGGAATACTATGCAGCCATTAAAAAAGGATGAGTTCACATCCTTTGCAGGTACATCTATGAAGCTGGAAACCATCATTCTCAGCAAACTAACACAAGAACAGGAAACTAAACACCATTTGTTCTCTAAGTGGGAGTTGTACAATGAGTACACATGGACACAGGGAGGGGAACCACACACTGGGGCCTTTTGGGGGCTGGGGGGCTAGGGGAGTGTTAGCATTAGGAGATACACTTAACATAGATGACTTGTTGATGGGTGTAGCAAACCACCATGACATGTGTACCCCTATGTAACAAACCTACACATTCTGCCGACGTATCCAATAACTTAAAGTATAAGAATATATATAATTCTAGTTCAATGGTAAATGAATTCAATATTTGAGGTGATTAAAAAATCTGTAATATTTGTCTAATAAATCAGACACATCCAAATTGAGGGACATTCACACAATACCTGACTAGTGTTTTTCAGAAGTGCCAAGGTCATAACAAAGAAATAGGAACAGTCATGGATTGGAGGAGACAAAAGAAACATGACAACAAAAAACCAAACACCGCATGCTCTCACTCATAGATGGGAATTGAACAATGAGAACACATGGACACAGGAAGGGGAACATCACACTCTGGGGACTGTTGTGGGGTGGGGAGAGGGTGGAGGGATAGCATTAGGAGATATACCTAATGCTAAATGACGAGTTAATGGGTGCAGCACACCAGCATGGCACATGTATACATATGTAACTAACCTGCACATTGTGCACATGTACCCTAAAACTTAAAGTATAATAATAAAAATAAATAAATAAATAAAATAAAATAAAATAAAAAGAAAAAGAAACATGACAGCTAAATGTGATTTGGGTCTCTAGACTGGATCCTGAAACAAAAACAACATCAGTGAAAAAACCAGGGAAATCCAAATGAAGTCTGTTGTTTAGTTAATAGTATTGTACCATAGTTACATAAGATGTTAACATTAGGAGAAGCTAGGTAAAGTTGTACAGAAACTCTATATCATCTTTACAGTTTTTCTGTAAATTTAAAATTATCTCAAATTAAAAAATCAACTCTACATGCTTATACTTTCATTGCTGACATCCTTACTCCTTGTCTTCCTCATTTGTTCAGTGCTTGGTGAAGAAAAAAAAAAGAGGTTATAAATTAACTCTCTAAAATCTCCCTGAAAGTTTTTTGTAAAATTTATTCATTTAAAACTGTAACATAATGAATAACTACATTAGGTTAATGTATTTATGTTTAATGCATCTAAACCTCGGTAACAGTCTTAAATTTAGTCAGGCTTTGGGGTTTAGTGTGTGACTTCATTATGTTGTGTAAATTTATCCATTTGTTCTTTGAAACTTTAAATTTTTAATGTCTTTAATTGAGTTTGATTGTTTTAATATGTCACCTTTGAAAATGTCATTTTTCTTCCTAATAACACTGTACACTGACAATTATGAACGTATTGGTTTTCCAATAGATTGTTTAAATAATTTGAGTAAATTAAAGGCTAGAAGACCGTGTATGAGATTTTATTTGAATTATTTTTTAGTAAAATTCAAGTATCTTTTTTAAATGCAATGCTTTAGGAAATGGCTCGAGCAAGACATCATATATAAATAGAAAAATGTAATCGTTTATTATTTTGAAATCCTTTACATGTGAGTATGACTTGTAAGAAAAACATTTCTTGAAATTATTAGTTCTTAGAGTATTTGTCTTAGGAAACAAACTTCATGGATATTAAATACACACACTCCTTGACTTACTATGAGGTTGTTTCCATAAATCCATCATAAGTAAAAAAATATTGTAAGTCATAAATGCATTTAATGCTGGCCCCATAGTAGATGGTCCCTGACTTATGTTGATTTGACTTATACTTTTTTGGCTTTACTATGGTACAAAAGCATATGCATTCAGCAGAAATTGTAACCCAATTGTAAGTTGTTAAGGAGCTCAACGTACAAGGGGGTTATGTCCTGATAAACCCACCATAAAGTCAAAAAATCATAAGTTGAACCATTGGGAGTTGGAGACCCTTTGTGATTTTGTTCTATACCTACAGAATTGTACTGGAAATTAGTTTTTAATTCTGTATTTTATATATACACACACTTTTTTGCCTTTACATTCTTTTTACAATAATGTCTTTGCTAGCATGGAGTTTTCAACATTTAAAGAATGAGAGCCTTCAAAATTTACAACTAAAGAATTTTAAAAGCTTTTCTGTACAAATTTAAATGTCACAGATGTTGCATTCATAACTGTTTAAAATCTTTAGATCAGTGTGGACCAACTGCTAAAGATGTTCTGGACAAGTGGGAAAAGCACTTAGACAAATGTAAGCAAGTGAACATTTGTGACTCTCCTGGAACCAGAAACCAATATAAGACTAACAAAAATTTTTTTAAATATATTAAGATGCATAACAAATTATCAAGAAGAAGAAGAAAAAAAAGAAACTGCCTGGAATGCACAACTGACTTTGCTCACAGATGCTGTGCTAGAATAATATTTGAAGGCAAAGTAAATCATCAACAAAGCTAAAAGGCACCTGCTGCTCTACCAAGGTGATTTCCACTTCATTAAATCCACAGGGAGGAAGATGAAAAAAAAGAGATTACTTAGATTATGCCCTTTAAACTATCTAGAAGATTCAACATGAACTTCAGTGTAAATTTTAATATATTATTAGTATTCAATGACTGCTTATTGAATTGTGCTTTGATTAGGGAAGGCTGTGTTAATGCTAAGATATGGAATAAAATATATTTCTTCTTTGACAAGATAGCATTTGACATTATTAGAAGAAAGTAAAAAGTAAATGGCCACACCCATTTCTGATGAGTACTATGTATTGTACTGCAACTATCCATGAAGTCATTTTCAATGTGGGAGTTTATAGAGTAATTTTCTATTTGTTTGATCATTTTTAAATTCTTAGACAGTCATCTGTCTAAAGTGATTGAGGATTTGTTTTACCTGAAGTGGCAATGATCTTTTGCAGTCCCTTTTTGTCCTAACCATTCTTTGTTCTAAGTCTAATTTTTAAATAGACATTTTAAAGGAGTGAAATCAGCAAGATGGCAAAATAAGATTTCTCAGGCTTCCCTTTCACCCCATGGAAAATGCAACTAGCAACTATCCACAGTCCTTAGCATCTTTGTGAAAACTCCAATAACAAGCCTGAGACATCCATGTGGTCCACAGAATTGAATAAAAACTGAATTAGAAGTTTAACAGAACTGGTCTCCTCCCCGAAGTTGGCACAAAGACAAGGAGTGTATTCCCCTGGGTCCAGGGTTTCTACAGGGGGAAAAGAGAACCAGAAGCAACAATCCAGCTTCTCTAGCATTCCAAGACCCTTCCCAGGAAGCCCACTCTGGTCTCACCTCATAGGGACCAATGGGGTAAGGGCAGGGCTTGAACACCCAGCAGCAGGTAGAAACAAAGAAGGGCAGTGGAACTCACAAGTGACCAGCCCACTGACCTTGGTAGTGCCTCTATGTTCCTGACAGCTGTGACATTCTATCGGAAATACCACCCAACTGGATAGCCCAACCACAAAACTGAGCGGCTACTTTCAGAAGCACAATGAGAAGTTCAACCTGGCTAGTCTCCACGCTCAGCTTCAGAGCCTAACCCAATCCCCTGCACAGGCAGGGAGACGATGGCCTCTGTATTTTGGAGAAGTATAGGGTTTTGAGACCCACTGGAAAACGGTAGAACAGGTTTTGCAAGGAGGGAATAAGGACTGAGTAGAGGGTACCTCCTTATGCTGGAACATCCTATTTACAGGGGAAAAACAAACCTGGTCTGTTCTAGGATCTATGTGTTTCCTTAAAGCCTTAGTTTGATTACATCACATTTAGCATGAGTGACTCCATTTTAATTTGGTTTAGTTTGCTGTTGCCTAGGGCATGAGCTTAGTCCAAAATAATGGCCTCCGATAATTTTTTAAAAATTCCTTCTTTTTGGACAGGTTCTCACTTAGGTGACAGTGTGACCGAAACTTAGGGCCTTATCGCCATTCTCAGTTACCATCATTTTGAGTTTCCAGTCTCAGCATGTCATTCATAGGTTATGGTGTCCTCATGGTTGTACATTTCCTTCAGCTCTTGTCATTCCAGTCAAAGAGAAACCATTTGATATTCTACAGATGATGCATGCAAACATTTAAAATCTTTGAAAGAATACACTGCACAGTGCACAAGGGAGACTCTTAATATGACTGTCGGGAGGATAATACCAAGAATTTGGAGTATGTTCCCTACCCAGGGTCCCTATAAACCAAACCCGCTAAAATTAAATAAAGAATGAGCTAGATGAAGAGTCTATTTGCTTGACTAACTGGTCTTTTCATTAACCCCCTACAACTGAATTTTTATAATCTACATTTGATGTGTTTCTCCATAGGCCACAAGTGTCAGCAGCTGCACAGGTACTTTTCTGTTGAGCCTATTATTTAACATAACAGTCATAAGAAAATTTAAAGTCTGTTGTGTAATGATAGCCTTTAAAGTAGAAGTTGCTGTAGAGCCTATTATGAGGGAGGCATTTCTAATTATTGCCTCTTTTACTCTAAACTATGGAAAAAGGACCTAACAAATGATATCCTTTTAGAAGATTGAAGGCCCCCTGGCAATGTTCTCTTTAATCCATAATGTAGGTTAAGAGGAGTTTTGACTGATTATGAGGCAACGTATGCATCACTAAAGTTTCTCTCCTACATTGGGCCTCCATCTTTTAACTACTAAAGTATAAGGCTACTAATGTATAAGGCTGGCTGCAAATCCTTCACAAATAAAAGTGTACCCTATAAGTGCACATAATAGATTCTCTTTTCATTTCTATTGTTCATAGAGACATAAACAAGGAAAAAAATACAAAGATAAGAATCTCATGATAGTAGAAGTCTTGATCCATGATCCTGGGAAAAGCTGTTCACATTAAGAATGCCATCTTCTTCTGGGGAGAAACTTTCCCGGTTAGTTTTACCTTAAGGGTTCCAATGGGTGTATAGTTCCAGGAGTGTGGAGGGACCCTTCTCAGTTGTGAGGTTATGAACCCAAGGTTCAAGGCTCCAAAGTTTTGCTGTAGCGTGGATGGCAAGGACAGTCCTTCTCTGATGTTCTCAGAAAATCCAATCTTTGGGTTCTAGATTGTGAAGGAATTGTCCTCAGTGAACCATAAAAAGTGTTCTTTACCTGGTGAAAATATACTATAGCATAATAATCTACCACTTTAACAAAAGCCCTCTTGCATGGGAAAGCTTTTATATAACCAGAAAACATGCATTGAAAATGACAACTGAATGAAATCTCTTTATAAATGTTTAAATGGCCCATCAAGTAGCCAAATACACCTGAAGCTTTGATTGTCTTCCCAGGAATATAGAACCAAACATTTGTTTTCAACTATTTCCACAATTTATAAGTCACCACATCAATATATTCAATTTGTATTATTTTTTTCTTTTTTACGACAAGTCATGAAATATAGAACCTTTAATAACAAAAGCTTTAAGGACTCAGGAAGGACAAGGTGGCTGTCCTGGTTCTTCATGAGTCCATGATTAACATTGGACATTTGTCCTTCTTGAATACCAGTTGTTTCTCCAACTTAGATCCATAGCACTGATAACTAATGGGTTATCATGGGTAATTTGACTTAGACCACGGAGTTCATTCGAATTGTATATTTAAACAATTTTAGTATTGGATGTTTTAGCATGATAATCTAGAACTTAGTTTGACCATAACGTAAGACTTTTATAAACGTCTTATAACACTTCATAATTTTTTCTCAGAGGAAAATAATGTTCTAAGAAAACTGTTGTGCTTTTAATGTCCAATTAATGGAAAAAAACTGAATACCATTTTAACTTTAGCCAATATGTTCACACATAGAATCTCTTACACTTAATTTTTTATAAACCTTCCATAACTTGTTCAAACCTTTAGCTTTATTTAAAGTAATCCTTTGATCTTCTAACTTAGGCAAAAATTTACATTCCCATATCTTCTTATAATCTCTTATAAAAAACACATTTCATTCTCCTTACACACCTTGCAAGTAAACCTACTTTTCCAGTAGCCTCAATTACATATTACAATGTTAACTCTTAGCAACTTTTACTTTGGGTGAAAACATTGGTAGGTAAGGGATTTTAATTATGTACTAGTTGTGTAGCCTAGGACCCAGAGAGAAATGCAGATGAGGTCTGACTCTTTTCAGCATCTAATTCCACATGTTCCGGGCCTTACCTAGATGTAAAGCAGGCAAGCTGTACAATTAAGAGTTATAGTGACATTTTATGAATCATTTAGGAAGCCTAATCACCTTTAAATTATACAACACTTCTGGCATAAATTCCTTTTCATAAATTCTTTCACAACTTACACAGACCATGCACAACACGTTTAGACTTTCTGATATTTCCTAAACATCCCTCTTTTTAAGCAACTAGTCATTTACTTTAGGACAAGAATTTACCATAGAACATCCTTTCTCATATAAAATCCTTTTTCCTTATAATCTTCTTTGCATAGCTAGGGGACATGGCTGATTCCATATATCCCTAGGTCTTATTTAGAATTCAATCTAAAATAAATCGAACAATTTTCAAAAGCCAAAGCAGTTTATGACCTTAAAGCATTTAGCAAACCTGATATCTGCCCTGCATAGACAAAATGTCTTTATTTCATCAATAATCTTTAAAGCTGTTTTTTTTTTCTGGGTTTTTGTGTTTGTTTTTGAGACAGAGTTTCACTCTTGTCACCCAGGCTGGAGTGCAATGGCGTGATCTTGGCTCACTGCAACTTCTGCCTCCTGTGTTCAAGGGATTCTCCTGCCTCAGTCTCCCAAGTAGCTGGGATTACAGGCACCTGCCATGACACCTGGCTAATTTTTGTATTTTTAGTAAAGACAGGATTTCACCATGTTGGCCAGGTGATCTGACCTCAGGTGATCCACCCACCTCGGCCTCCCAAAGTGCTGGGATTACAGGTGTGAGCCACTGTGCCTGGCCTAAAGCTGTTTTTATTTCCCAAAGATTACTAAAGTTATATGAACTAAAAGGCATTACAGTTTTTATTTTGCTTTCAATATATTTAAGTGCTTATTTTTGTTTAAACCAATTAGAGCTCTTATATAAACATTACACAGAACGCATATATAATTACACAGACAGAAGACGATTACTACAGTAGTTGTAAGATTTATAAGTATCTTAATTGGTTATTGACTTTATGGTGGAGTCCTTGGAAGAACAGGGCCAGGAAAAGGGTCTCTCATGCCTCTTGTTTTCCCCAAGGAGTCCAAGCTGTTAGAGCTTGAATATCTACATTTAATTAAGCTGACTTTTAACTCTTTAATAATAGCACTCTTTAATAAAGTCCTTTTAAAAGTTCTTATTACCTGATTTTAGCCAGGCCAGACGGTCGATATTACTGGCTTTTGAACTTTACCAAAGGTAACCTCCCAGGTGCCCAGATAAAGGAAATTTAAGATAGTCCATGAAGGAAAAGAGAATAAGCAAGGTCATGCAGATATTAAACCAGAAAGGACTCACTTTCTAAGAAGGGAATTGAACCCAGACCGCCAGTGTGAAAGGGCAAAATCCTTAGCTACCGTGCTATATAGCACAGGTAAATCTCTGCTACTTTTCCCAGAGGAAGTTTGGAGTAGTTAATTTTGAGCTTGCAAAGACTTTTAATTACTCTAGATAATTTTTAGAGCAAACTATGACATAAACCCTAAAATTACTGTTCCCTGGAAGGTGGAGACCAAGAGAAAGTACTGCCACCTGGTTACAAGGTCAAACTCCTAAGGACTTAAAACAAGATGGAGACCCTACCCAGTTTGTTTGTTTGTTTTAGGGAATTGCAGCAAAGTTTGTTACTGACCAGGTTGCTGGGCCATCTTGAGCAGCCAGCTTATGGGGTCATAAGCCCATGTTTTATCATAAGGTATCCTTTGACACAGAAAAGTGAATTCATAGCACGAAATAGAGCAGATGAACTACAGCTTAAAACTAGCCTCAGAATTATTTTTCACAGTAAAAGTTTACAGAGGAGATAAGCAGTGATTTTTAACCATTCATGCAACCATTTGCACAGAGAGAGACAGAAAAGCCAGAAATCTGACTAATAAGAAATTCTTACCCTTTTGCCAGCATGCCAGGCCTCTGGGTTCCCTTTCCCTGAGCAGTCCTAGTGATCTGACTTGTGGCATCATCACCCTTGGGGGCCAAGCCGCATCATAAAAGAAAGTTACCTTTTTTCATTCTGGCCAGAGCAAAATACCCGTAATAAAATATAGACATGAGCCACCCTGCTTAGCACCCAATATCAAACTGGCAAAGTTTAAATTTGCCCCCAGATGGGTCTCGTCATCTTTAATCCAACCTCTGATTAGGAGTTTCAACATGTGGTCTCTGGGCAAGATGGTTGCCCTGAGTAACAGAAAAGACAAGAAAGGAAAAGAAGAAAAAGGAAAGTGTTGCCTGTGGCAGGATGCGGAAGGTGAAGAGCTCAGGGGTGCCAGAGCAAGACTCATTCATTTCAGTGATACAGAAAAGTGCAGGCGGCCACTTGTTGGTAGCGAAGGGATCTTTTCCAACATTCCCATCAGCTCTCAAGTTTCTCCTTTTTTTGTGGGGGAGGAAAAAGCTTGCCATGTCCCATGATGCCACACATGGCTAATCCTGTCACCTACAGCCACTAGCAAAGAGTGCAAGGCAGATTATTCCAAAGAGAATAGCAGTGGACATCCCGTAGTGCCAAACCCGTTCTTAAACGAAAGGGACTTTACCAAAAGTCCTCATTTTTAAAGGTACTTCAATGCATTGTTATTCATTCAGAACTTTGCACTGTAAGTTATCTTTAGTAAGATTTTGCCATTTCTGTAAGACTTTGCTGCCTCCCTGACCTTATGTAGAAGCCAGAAGAAACTCAGTTTTTCAGAAATTAAGAATGCCATTTTTACCTAAAATATTGGCTTTCCTCTCAGGTTCTCTTGATTAACTTAGCCAATGTATTTTTTTCCTACCTAAGCACGCAAGAAAAATAAAACAAAGGGATAGAACACAAAAATCCCTGTGAATTGTCAAAAGCCAAAAATTTATAACCCCTGCAACATGATTGCTTACTATCAGTTCCTTTCTGACCCAGTCAGAGGTAAGAGGCCTCTAACTGGATGCAAATCAGTTAATTCCTGGGTCAAATCCATTCCTGGGTCCAGTCCAGTTTCTGTCATGACTCCAAACCCAGTTTGGATCAGAAGTTTGCTCAAGGAAACTAGAAGAGTTGAAAACACAAATCCGTGGAGCTCTGAACCCCAAGTGGGAACTTACCTACCATCTCCAGGCACTCTGAGAGATCAATGGATGCAAGTGAGTCCTGCAGGTGCCTTGTATTTTCACTCAGCGCTCCTGGTGGGGCTCGCTAGAAGCTCCACTTCAGATCCTGCTTCTGACACCATCTGATAAAGAAAAACTTCAGCTGAATTAAATTTAAAGGAGTTTAATTGAGCAATGAATGATACATGAATCGGGCAGCCCCCGGAATCACAGCAGATTCACAGAGACTCCAGGGTGCCTCCTGGTCAGAACAAATTTATAGACAAAAAAAAAAAAGTAAAATGACGTACAGGAATCAGAAGTGAGGAACAGAAACAGTGAGATCAGTTACAACTCGGTGTTTGCCTTATTTGAATGCAGTTTGCACATTCAGCAGTCTATGAGTGGCTGAAACATGGCTGCTGGGATTGGCCAACATTCAGCTATTGTTACAGGTGCACACTACTAAGTTAGGTTTTCAGTTTTGTCTGACTACACCTGGTCCTTCAAAGAGAGGTACTCATTTTGCAAGTGGAGACTTCCGCCTTGATGTTGAAGGCTGCTGACTAATCATAGTGGTGGATGCTGAAAATTTGGGAGTGGCTGTGGCAGTTTCTTAAAATAGGACAATGAAAAAGTTTGACTCTTCCTTTCACAAAATAGTTCTCTGTAGCATGTGGTTTTGTTTGATAGCATGTTGCCCACACTAGAACTGTTTTCATAATTAGAGTCAAACCTTTCAAACCCTGTCACTATTTTGTCAACTAGTGTTATGTAATAGTCTAAGTATTTTGTTGTAATTACAACAGTGTTCAAAGCATCTTCATCAGGAGTAAATTCCATCTCAAGAAACCACTTTCTTTGCTCATCTATATAAAGCAACTCCTCGTTTGTTCAAATTTTATCATGAGATTGCAGCAATTTAGTCATGTCTTCAGGTTCCAATTCTAATTGTAGTTCTCACAATTTTCACCATATCTGCATTTACCTCCTCCACTGAAGTCCTGATCTCTCAAAGTCATGCATGAGGGTTGAAATAAACTTCATCCAAGTTCCTCTTAATGTTAATATTTGGCCTTCTTCTATTAATCATTAATATTCTTAATAGCATTTTGAATGGCAAATCTTTTTGAGAAGGGTTTCAATTCAGTTTGCCCAGATCCATAAGAGGAATCCCTCTATGGCAGCTATAGCCTTATGAAATATATTTCTTAAATGATAAGAATTGAAAGTCAAAATTACTCCTTGATTGATGGACTGCAAAATAGATGCTGCGTTAGCCAGCATGAAAAATCTTTAATATCCTTGAGACCTCTTCAATGACTAGGTGCATGGTCAAAGAGCAATAATACTTTGAAAGTAATCTTGTTGTTCTGAGCAGTAGATCTCAACAGTGAGCTTAAAATAATAGATAAACTATGGCTATAAACATATAAACAGTAAACTATGCCTTAAAAGGATGTGCTGTCATCCAGGCTATGTTGTTCTAGCACAGGCAAAGCAGATTTATCATAATTCATAAGGATCTTAGGATTTTCAGAATGGTAAATGAGCATGGGCTTCAACTTAAAGTCACAAGCTGCTTGGCTTCTGATAAGAGAGCCGCACTGTTCTTTGAAGTTTCGAACCCAGATTTTGATTTCCATCCTCTAGCTATGAAAGTCTTAGATAGCATCTTCTAATGGAAGGCTGTTTTGACTGTATGGAAAATATGCTGTTTAGTATAGCCACCGTCATCAATTATCTTAGCTAGATCTTCTGGATAACTTGCTGCAGCTTCTACAGCAGCACTTGCTATTTCACCTTGCACTTTTTTTTTCTTTGAGATGGAGTCTCGCACTGTTGCCCAGGCTGGAGTGCAGTGGGGCAATCTCAGCTCCCTGCAAGCTCTGCCTCCCAGGTTCACGCCATTCTCCTGCCTCAGCCTCCCGAGTAGCTGGGACTGCAGGCACCTGCCACCACACCTGGCTAATTTTGTATTTTTAGTAGAGAAGGGGTTTCACCGTGTTAGCCAGGATGGTTTCAATCCTTTGACGTCATGATCTGCTCACCTCAGCCTCCCAAAGTGCTGGGACTACAGGTGTGAACCACTGCGCCTGGCCCACCTTGCACTTTTATGTTACAGCTTTTTTCCTTAAGCTGTATGAACCAACCTCTGTTAGCTTCTTAGCTTCTTTAGCTTCCTTACCTCTCTCAGCCTTTACAGAATTGAAGAGATTTAGAACCTTGCTCTGAATTAGGTTTTGGCTTCAGGAAATGTTGTGGCTAATTTGATTTCTATTCAGGTCACTAAACACTCTTCATATCAGAAATAAGCCTGTTTCATTTTCTTATCTTGCACATGCTTACTGCAATAGTACTTTTGATTTCCTTCAATAACTTTTCCTTTCCATTTACAACTTGGCTAGCTATTTTGCCCAAGAAGCCTAGATTTCCATCTATTTCGGCTTTTGACGTGCCTTTCCCAATAAGCTGAATCATTTCTAGCTTTTGATTTAAAGGGAGAAACATGGAACTCTTCCTCTCATTTGAACACTTTGAGGCCATTATGGTGTTATTAATTGATCTAGTTTCAATATTGTCACATCTCAGGGAATAGGGACACGTGAGGAGAGGGAGAGAGATTGGGGAATGGCTGGTAGATGGAACAGTGAGAACATATACAAAATTTATCAATTAAGTTCATCATCTTATATGGACATAGTTTGTGGTATCCCAAAATAATTACAGCAGTGATTTCAAAGGTCACTGACTACTGGTCACCATAACAGAAATCATCACAATAAAAACGTTTAAAATATTATAATAATTACCAAATGTAACACAGAGACAAAAGTGGGCATGTGCTGTTGAAAATGAAACCCATAGGCTTGCTCAACACAGGTTACCACAAACCTTCAATTTGTAAAAAAATGCAATATTTGCCTAGCACAATAAAGCAAAGCACAATAAAACAAGGTAGGCTTGTATTCATATATCATAGCATCACTTCGTACCCCATACATATACACACTTATAATTTGTCGATTTACAATAAAATTTGTTAAAATAACTAAATAGGCCAGGTGTGGTGGCTCATGCCTGGATTCTCAGCACTTTGGGAGGATCACCTGAGGTTGGGAGTTCAAGGCCAGCCTGACCAACATGGAGAAACCCCATCTCTACTAAAAATACAAAAATTAGCCAGGCATGGTGGCACATGCCTGTAATCCCAGCTACTTGGGAGGCTGAGGCAGGAGAATCACTTGAACCTAGGAGGCAGAGGTTGCGGTGAGCCCAGATTGTACCATTGTACCCCAGCCTGGGCAATAAGAGCAAAACTCCATCTCAAAAAAAAAAAAAAAAAAAAAAAACCTAAATAATAAACATATTAAAGAAATGAACCCCAAAGATCCAAGTAGTGAAAATATGAAATGGTTAATTTTCCTAAGGCGTTATTAGTATTCCTATGTCAAAAACATACTGTCTCTGTTGTTTAGTTTTCCTCATTTTAAATGGAGTCAGTACTTCCATCCAAAATGCAGATTTAAAAAAAAGGATTTGTGTTTTGAAAGAATAGATTATTTATAGAGATCTGCAGCCCTCGGATCTTGGCTGTGATTCATAAATAAAAGACTATTGTTGCATTGTGATTCTTATAGTATTTTTGAGAAATGAAGCCTATATTGAGTGTGTAAAATTGTTTTCTAATTTTTCAATTTCCTTGTAAAAGAAATAAAGTATATCCTTTTATCCTAGCTCCAGGAGATAACTGGAAATATCCTGAAGACATCTGCTATCCTAAATGGATGCAATTCTATGGCATATATGACTTCTATTAACCAGGAGTTGTATTTTCCTCTATGCTAGCATTTTACTCTCTCATCTAAACTGCCTTTATACATAATTACTGATATGGCTTGGCGGTGTCCCCACTCAAATCTCATCTTAAACTGTAGTTCCCATAAGCTCCATGTGTTATGGGAGGGACATGGTGGGAGGTAATTGAATCATGGGAGTGGTTGCCCTCAAGCTGCTGTTCTCATTATAGTGAGCGAGTTCTCTTGAGATCTGATGGTTTTATAAGGGACTCTTCCCTCTTTGCTCGGCACTTCTCCTTGCTGCCATCATGTGAAGAAGGATGTGTTTGCTTCCTTGTCCACCATGATTGTAAGTTTCCTGAGGCCTCCCGAGCCATACAGAACTGTGAGTCAATTAGACCTCTTTTATTTACAAATTATCAGTCTCAGACAGTTATTAATAGCAGCATGAGAAAAGACTAATACAGTGAAGTGGTACTGTGGAGAATGGGGTGCTTCTATAAAGATACCAGAAAATGTGGAAGCAACTTTGGAGCTGGGTAACAGGCAGAGGTTGGGACAGATTGGAGGGCTCAGAAGAAGACAGGAAAATGCAGGAAAGTTTGGAACTTCCTAGAGACTTGTTGAAAAAATGCTGACAGTGATATAGACAGTGAAGTCCAGGCTGAGGTGGTCTCAGATGAAGATGAGAAGCTTGTTGGGAACTGGGGTAAAGGTCACTCTTGCTATGCTTTAGCAAAGAGACTGATGGCTTTTTGCCTCTGCCCTAGAGATCTGTGGAAATTTGAACTTGAGAGAGATGATTTAGGGTATTTGTCAGAAAAAATTTTTAAGCAGCAAAGCATTCAAGAGGTAATTTGGGTGCTGTTAAAATCATTCAGTTTTATGTATTCATAAAGATATGGTTTAGAATTAGAATTTATGTTTAAAAGATAAGCAGAGCATAAAAGTTTGGAAAGTTTGCAGCCTGAGGATGCAATAGAAAATTTCTGAGGAAAAATTCAAACTGGCTGCAGAAATTTACTTAAGTAATGAGGAGCTTAATGTTAATCCACAAGACAATGGGGAAAATGTCTCCAGGCCATGTCAAAGAATAGCCCCTCCCATCACAAGATTGAAGGCCTAGGAGGAAAAAATGGTTTCAAGGGCCAGGGCCAGGGACCCCCTGCTGTGTGTAGACTAAGGACTTGGTGACCTGCCTCCCAGCCACTCTAGCCATGGCAAAAAGGGGTCAATATGTAGCTCAGGCTGTTGCTTCAGTGGGTGCAAGCCTCAAGGCTTGGCAGCTTACACGTGGTGTTGGGCCTGATGGTGCACAGAAGTCAAGAATTGAGGTGTGGGAACCTCTGCCTACATTTCACAGGATGTATGGAAATGCCTACGTATCCAGGCAGCAGTTTACCACAGGGATGGAGTCCTCATGGAGAACCTCAGCTAGGGCAGTGCAAAAGAGAAAGGTGGGGTTGGACCCCCCCACACAGAATTCCCATTGGGACACTGCCTAGTGGAGCTGTGAGAAAAGGACCACCATCCTCCAGACCCCAGAATGGTAGATCCACCAACAGCTTGAACTGTTTGCCTGGAAAAGCCACAGACACTCAATGCCAACCCATGAAAATAGCCAGGAGGAGGAATTTCCCTGCAAAGCCACAGTGGTGGAGCTACCCAAGGTTCTATGAGCCCACCTTTTGCATCAGGATGTCCTGGATGTGAGACAATGAGTCAAAGGAGATTATTTCAGAGCTTTAAGATTTAATTATTGCATCTTTGGATTTTGGACTTGAAAAGGGCCTATAGCCCCTTTGTTTTGGACAATTTCTCCCATTTGGAATGGCTGTATTTACCCAATACCTGTGCCTCCATTGCATATAGGAAGTAACTAACTTGCTTTCAATTTTACAGGCTCCTAGGTGGAAGAAACTTGCCTTGTCTCAGATGAGGCTTTGAACTTGGACTTTTGGGTTAATGCTGAAATTAGTTAAGAATTTAGGGGGAATTTTGGGAAGGCATGATTGTGTTTTGAAACGTGAGGACATGAGATTTGGGAAGGGTCAGAGGGGGAATGATATGGTTGGCTATGTCCCTACCCAAATCTCATCTTGAATCATAGTTCTCCTAATCTCTACATGTTGTGGGAGGGACCTGCTTGGAGGTAATTGAATCATAAGCGTGGTTAAACCCATGCTTCTGTTCTTGTGATAGTGAGTGACTTCTCAAAAGATCTGGCAGTTTTACAAGGGGATTTTCCGTCTTTTGTTTGGCACTTCCTCTTCCTGCCATCATGTGAAGGACATGTTTGCTTCCCCTTCAGCCATGATTTTAAGTTTCCTGAGGCCTCCACAGCCATGTGGAACTGTGAGTCAATTAAATCTCTTTCCTTTATAAATTACCCAGTCTCAGGCAGTTCTTTACAGCAGCGTGAGAATGGGCTAATACAATTACCAAATCACACTTTTTTTTATACTTTAAGTTCTAGGGTACATGGGCACAACATGCAGGTTTGTTACATAATACATGTGTGCCATGTTGGTTTGCTGCACCCATCAATTCATTATTTACATTAGGTATTTCTCCTAACGCAATCCCTCCCCAGCCCCCGACCCCCAAACAGGCCCCAGTGTGTGATGTTCCCCTCCCTGTGTCCATGTGTTCTCATTGTTCAACTCCCACGTATGAGTGAGAACATGCAGTGTTTGGTTTTCTATCCTTGTGGTATTTTGATGAGAATGATGGTTTCAAGCTTCATCCATGTCCCTGCAAAGGACATGAACTCATCTTTTTTTATGGCTGCATACTATTCCACGGTGTATATGTGTCATATTTTCTATATCCGGTCTATTATTGATGGACATTTGGGTTGGTTCCAAGTCTTTGCTATTGTGAATAGTGCTGCAATAAACATATGTGTGCATGTTCTTTACAGTAGCATGATTTATAATCCTTTGGGTATATACCCAGTAATGGGATTGCTGGGTCAAATGATATTTCTAGTTCTAGATCCTTGAGAAATTGCCACACTGTCTTCCACAATGGTTGAACTAATTTACTTTCCCACCAACAGTATAAAAGCATTCCTATTTCTCCATATCCTCTCCAGCATCTGTTGTTTCCTGACTTTTTAATGATTGTCATTCTAACTGGCGTGAGATGGTACCTCATTGTGGTTTTGATTTGCATTTCTCTGACGACCAGTGATGATGAGCATTTATTCATGTGTCTGTTGGCTGCATACATGTCTTCTTTTGAGAATTGTCTGTTCATATCCTTTGCCCACTTTTTGATGGGGTTGTTGTTTTCTTGTAAATTTGTTTAAGTTCTTTGTAGATTCTTGATATTAGCCCTTTGTCAGATGGACAGATTGTAAATTTTTTTCTCCCATTCTGTAGGTTGCCTGTTCACTCTGATGATAGTTGATAATAGTTTCTTTTGCTGTGCAGAAACTCTTTACTTCAATTAGATCCCAATTGTCTATTTTGGCTTTTCTTGCCATTGCTTTTGGTGTTTTAGTCATGAAGTCTTTGCCCATGCCTATGTCCTGAATGGTACTGCTGAGGTTTTCTTCCAGGGTTTTTATGGTTTTAGGTCTTACATGTAAGTCTTTAATCCGTCTTGAGTTAATTTTTATATAAGTTGTAAGGAAGGGATACAGTTTTGGCTTTCTGCATATGGCTAGCCAGTTTTCCCAGCACCATTTATTAAATAAGAAATCCTTTCCCTATTGCTTGCTTTTGTCAGGTTTGTCAAAGATCAGATGGTTGTAGATGTGTGGTGTTATTTCTGAGGCCTCTGGTCTGCTCCATTGGTCTATATATCTGTTTTGGTACCAGTACCACACTGTTTTGGTAACTGTAGCCTTGTAGTATAGTTTGAAGTCAGGTAGCATAAGGCCTCCAGCTTTGTTCTTTTTCCTTAGTATTGTCTTGGCCATGCAGACTCTTTGGGGTTCCATATGAAATTTAATAGTTTTTTTCCAGTTCTGTGAAAAAAGTCAGTGGTAGGGTGATGGGGATAGCATTGAATCTATAAGTTACCTTGGGCAGTACAGCCATTTTCACGATATCGATTCTTCCTATCCATGAGCATGGAATGTTCTTCCATTTCTTTGTGTCCTCTTTTATTTCATTGAGTAGTGGTTTGTAGTTCTCTTTGAAGAGGTCCTTCCCATCCGTTGTAAGTTGGATTCCTAGGTATTTTATTCTCTTTGTAGTAATTGTTAATGAGAGTTCACTCATGATGTGGCTCTCTGTTTGTCTGTTCTTGGTGTATAGGAATGCCTGTGATTTTTGCACATTGATTTTGTATCCTGAGACTTTGCTGAAGTTGCTTATCAGCTTAAGGAGATTTTGAGCTGAGACAATGGAGTTTTCTAGATATACAATCATGTCATCTGCAAACAGAGACAATTTGACTTCCTCTTTTCCTAACTGAATACCCTTTATTTCTTTCTCTTGCCTGATCTCCCTGGCCAGAACTTCCAATACTATGTTGAATAGGAGTGCTGAGAGAGGGCATCCTTGTCTTGTGCTGGTTTTCAGAGGGAATGCTTCAAGTTTTTCCCATTCAGTATGATATTGGCTGTGGGTTTATCATAAATAGCTCTTATTATTTTGAGATGCAATCCATCTATATCTAATTATTGGAGTTTTTAGCATGAAAGGCTGTTGAATGTTGTTGAAGGTCTTTTCTGCATCTATTGAGATAATCATGTGGTTTTTGTCATTGGTTCTGTTTATGTGATAGACTATGTTTATTGATTGCGTATGTTGAACCAGCCCTGCATCCCTGGGATGAAGCCAACTTGATCGTGGTGGATAAACTTTTTGATGTGCTACTGGATTCAATTTGCCAGTATTTTATTGAGGATTTTTGCATCAATGTTCATCAGGAATATTGGCCTAAAATTCTCATTTTTTGCTGTGTCTTTGCCAGGTTTTGGTACCAGGATGATGCTGGCCTCATAATATGAATTAGGGAGGATTCCCTCTTTTTTATTGAATGGAATAGTTTCAAAAGGAATGGTACCAACTCCTCTTTGTACCTCTGGTAGAATTTGGCTGTGAATCTCTCTGGTCCTGGACTTTTTTTGGTTGGTAGGCTATTAATTATTACCTAATTTCAGAACCTGTTATTGTTCTATTCAGAGATTCAACTTCTTCCTGGTTTAGTCTTGGGAGGGTGTATGTGTCCAGGAATTTATGCATTTCTTCTAGATTTTCTAGTTTATATGCATAGCAGTGTTTATTGTATTCTCTGATGGTAGTTTGTATTTCCATGGGATCGGTGGTGATATCCCCTTTATCATTTTATATTGCTTCTATTAGATGCTTCTCTCTTTTCTTCTTTATTAGTCTGGCTAGTGGTCTATCTATTTTGTTGATCTTTTCAAAAAACCACCTCCTGGATTCATTGATTTTTTGAAGGTTTTTTTGCGTCTCTATCTCCTACAGTTCTGCTTTGATCTTAGTTATTTCTTGTCTTCTGCTAGTGTTTGAATATGTTTGCTCTTGCTTCTCTAGTTCTTTTTATTGTGATGTTAGGGTGTCAATTTTAGATCTTTCCTGTTTTCTCTTGTGGGCATTTAATGCTATAAATTTCCCTCTAAACACTGCTTTAAATGTGTCCCAGAAATTCTGGTATGTTGTGTCTTTGTTCTCATTGGTTTCAAAGAACATCTATTTCTCCTTCATTTTGTTATGTACCCAGTAGTCATTCAGGAGCAGGTTGTTCAGTTTCCATGTAGTTGTGCAGTTTTGAGTGAGTTTCTTAATCCTGAGTTCTAATTTGATTGCACTGTAGTCTGAGAAAAAGTTTGTTATGATTTCAGATATTTTTCATTTTCTGAGCAGTGTTTTACGTCCAATTATGTGGTCAATTTTAGAATAAGTGTGAGGTGTTGCTGAGAAGAATGTATATTCTGTTGATTTGGGGTGAAGGGTTCTGTAGATGTCTATTAGGTCCACTTGGTCCAGAGCTGAGTTCAAGTCCTGCATATCCTTGTTAATTTTCTGTCTCATTGGTCTGTCTAAATTTGACAGTGGGGGGTTAAAGTCTCCCACTATTATTGTGTGGGAGTCTTAGTCTCTTTGTAGGTCTCTAAGAACTTGCTTTGTGAATCTCGGTGCTCCTGTATTGGGTGCATATATATTTAGAAACATTAGCTCTTCTTGTTGAATTGATCCCTTTACTATTATGTAATGCCCTTCTTTGTTTCCTTTGACCTTGTTGGTTTAAAGTCTGTCTTATCAGAGACTAGGATTGCAACCTCTGCTTTTTTTGCTTTCCATTTGATTGGTAGATCTTCATCGATCCCTTTAATTTGAGCCTATTTGTGTCTTTGCACGTGAGATGGGTCTCCTGAATACAGCACACCAATGGGTCTTGACTCTTTATCCAATTTTCCAGTCTGTGTCTTTTAATTGGGGTATTTTGCCCATTTACATTTAAGGTTGATATTGTTATGTATGAATTTGATTCTGTCATTATGATGTTAGCTGGTTATTTCTCCTTTTAATTGATGCAGTTCCTTCATAGTGTTGATGGTCTTTAAAATTTGGCATGTTTTTGCAGTGGCTGGTACCGGTTACTCCTTTCCATGTTTAGTGCTTCCTTCAGGGGATCTTGTAAGGCAGGCCTGGTGGTGACAAAGCCTCTCAGCATTTGCTTGTACATAAAAGATTTTATTTCTCCTTCACTTATGAAGCTTAGTTTGGCTGGATATTAAATTCTGGGTTGAAAATTCTTCTCTTTAAGAATGTTGAATATGGTCCCCATTCTCTTCTGGCTTGTAGGGGTTCTGCAGAGAGATCCACTGTTAGTTTGATGGGCTTCCCTTTGTGGGTAGCCCAACCTTTCTCTCTGGTCACCCTTAACATTTTTTCCTCCATTTCCACCATGATGAATCTGATAATTATGTGTCTTGCGATTGCTCTTCTCAAGGAGTATCTTCATGATGTTATCTGGATTTCCTGAACTTGAATGTTGGCCTATCTTGCTAGGTTGGGGAAGTTCTCCCAGATAATATCCTGAAGAGTGTTTTCTAACTTGGTTCCTTTCTCCCCATCACTTTCAGGTACACCAATCAAACGTAGATTTGGTCTTTTCACATAGTCCCATATTTCTTGGAGGGTTTGTTCATTTCTTTTCAGTCTTTTCCCTCTAATCTTGTCTTCTTGCTTTATTCATTAATTTGATCTTCATTCATGGATATCCTTTCTTCTGCTTGATCAAATCAGCTACTGAAGCTCATGTATGCTTCACAAAGCTCTCATACTGTGGTTTTCAGCTCCATCAGGTCATTTAAGCTCTTCTCTATACTGGTTATTCTAGTTAGCCATTCATCTAAACTTCTCAAGATTTTTAGCTTCCTTGTGATGGGTTAGAACATGCTCCTTTAGCTCAGAGAGGTTTCTTATTACCAAGCTTCTGAAGTCTACTTCTGTCACTGGTCAAACTCAATCTCCATCCAATTTTGTTCCCTTGCTGGCAAGGACCTGTGTTCCTTTGGAGGAGAAGTGGTGTTCTGGTTTTTGGAATTTTCAGCCTTTCTGCTCTGGTTTCTCCCCATGTTTGTGTTTTTATCTACCTTTGGTCTTTGATGTTGGTGACCTACAGATGGGCTTTTGGTGTGGATGTCCTTTTTGTTGATGTTGATATTATTCCTTTCTGTTTGTTAGTTTTCCTTCTAACAGACAGGACCTTCAGCTGCAGGTCTGTTGAAGTTCGCTGGAGATCCACTCTGGACTCTGATTTCCTAGGTATCACCAGTGGAGGCTGCAGAACAGCAAATATTGCTGCCTGATCCTTCCTCTGGAAGCTTTGCCACAGAGGGGCACCTGCCCGTATGAGGTGTTTGTCGGCCCCTTGTCTCCTAGTCAGGCTACACAGGGTTCACGGACCCACTTGAAGAGGCAGTCTGTTTGTTATCAGAGCCCGAACACTGTGCTGGGAGAACCACTGCTCTCTTCAGAGCTGTCAGGCAGGGACATTTAAGTCTGCAGAAGCTGTCTGCTGCCTTTTGTTCAGATATGCCCTGCCCCCAGAGGTGGAATCTAGAGAGGCAGTGGGCCTTGCTGAGCTGCAGTGGGCTCCATCCACTTTGAGCTTCCCTGTTGCTTTGTTTAAACTGTGAGCATAGAACCGCCTACTCAAGCCTCAGCAATGGCAGATGCCCCTCCCTCCGCCAAGCTCCAGTGACCCGGGTTGATCTCAGACTACTGCTCTAGCAGCAAGCAAGGCTCTGTGGGCCTGGGATGCACCAAGGCAGGCATGGGGGTGGAATTTCCTGGTCTGCCAGTTGTGAAGACTGTGGGAAAAGTGCAGTATTTGGGCAGAAGTTTACCATTCCTCCAGCTACAGTCACTGACGGCTTTTCTTTGTGAGGAAAGGGAAATCCCCTGACCCCTGGTGCTTCCCTGTTGAGGCGACGCCCCTTCCTGCTTTGGCTCACCCTCCATAGGCTGCACCCACTGTCCAACAAGTCCCAATGAGATGAACCACGTACCCCAGTTGGAAATGCAGAAATCACCCGTCTTCTATGTCGATCTCGCTGGGAGCTGTAGACCAGAGTTGTTCCTATTTGGCCATCTTTGAAAATAAATCACTAAATTACACTTCTTAAGATCAGCTGTTATTTCTACATTTATTTTGCAGATTTAGTTATTAGTAATTGGAATGACTATGTAAGTGAAAGAACTCTTTGAGAGGATGAGCCCTTATCAATTAAAAACTCACCTTTTATGATCTGGTTGTGCAGGGTAGGTTTTCTGGTCCCTCCTGTTAGGTAGAAAGAAGCAGTGACTTGTTTTCTTTTGCAAAGCAGAAAACCAAAAACACAAGGTAAAACTCAGTCACGTGTGTAGTGGTAGCCTGGAGATGAGCTTATGTCCCTAAACTCAGCCAATTGCTGAGCGTTACACGTTACGCCTTTTGTGAATTACATACGTGGTATCACTCTCCTATCACTGAAACCTATCATCAGATGCTGAAATCTATCACTGCAACACAAATCAGAAACTGCTTTCATAAAAAATACATATTAATGTCTCCTTCAGGAAGCTGTACATAAAGTAGCATTCTTCTTGGACTAGTGGAAACTTGGGAATCACTTTAGAATAAATTTAGTTAAACAAACTGTTCTATAAATAGATTCAATTCAGTTCAACAAATGTCTATTGAGCCTGTGTTATGTGCCAGGCACCATGCTAGAGGATTAGACTCAAGATGAAAGAAGATGAAGTCTTTGCCTTAAAGATTTTCACATTCTGGTGTATAAGACAGACAGAAACACTACAGTTTTAATACTGTGGAGGCACTTTCATATTACTCAGGGCATTTTGCTAGTCAAAAACAGAAAGATAAAGGAACAGTGAAAAAGAAGAGGCTTCCTGGAACACACTGAGGCTGAATTCTAAAGGATATATAGGGGTTAGCTAGGAGAACAGATAGAAAACATTTTACCCAAATTACCCCACAAAGTTTTAGAGTGAAAAAGCTCCATGCTTTAAGTCTGGTGGTGGTTGCAAAAAAAAATTACAGAAATATTTACAAAAACAAACAGATTTAATCAACATGTGGTAAGAGATACAGTACTTCTTTTACCAAGAAGAGTATAACAATCAGGAGTAGTCTTTGGCATTTGGGCATTCTTCAGTTTACCATGCTTTTTAGTCTGTCTGTTCATATATTAGTATATGCTTCATTTGAAATTTCAGATAAAAAGCTGATTTTTAAAAAGAAACAACCTATTTATATTTATTTATTCATGGAATTCTAAATGAATGGCAGAAAGGTGTGCTCAGACAGTTAAAGATGTGTGTGTGTGTGTGTGTGTGCACATCCCAAACAATACAACTCTCTTTGCATCAAACTTATTAAGTCGAATCAATTTTATAGACATGTGGACCAGAGCTTTGAGACTTAATTCCTCTTGATCTTCTGCCTGGTAAGTTTTATTTCCCACTGTTTCCTGCAATTTATTTTTTAACATTGTATTTGTTTGAATATCATTATGAAGAAAATAATATCCTTGACATTGTAAGGTGCAGAAGAGCATTCAGACATTTCAGTGAGAAAGCAATCAAATAAATTCACATATTCAGTGCTTTTGTCACATGGTCAAAGTTAGAAATGCATTTTATTCATGAAGTCTGGGAATATTTAATTGTTAAGACCCCAAGGGTGTGCAGATCAATGAGCTACATAGAGATAAGGAGAAATTTACAGCATACTTCTTATTCTCCAGAAATATATAATTTAGATGGGACGAATAAGCTAATATTTGTTGAGCATCTGTTACATGCTCGCTCAATGATAGGCATTTGTTTTAAATTATTTCATTTAATTTTCAGAACAATTTTGAAATAAGGCTCAGGAATATCAAACAATCTATTGTCAGCTAGAATTCAAACCAGGACTTCTGATTCCATATTAAGTACTCTTGGTACTTTGACTTATTGATGCTTTCAGCAATTATACACAACTGTGGAGAGTTAATGATTATAATATGGGTTATATTCTTATTCAAATTCCTTTATATTCCTTATTCAAATTCCTTTAAAATAAAACTATCTCCTAATTTTTATATCTCATCAAGTTGGGTTTTCTTAAATTCTATCTAAGGAAATCTAAATATCTATTTATTGTAAAGATGTTGACATGTTTATTGTAAATGTTGTCCTAACTACTTTATGGCAATTATCTCATTTAATCCTCAAAACAACTGTACAAGGTAGATAGCATTTTTATACTGGTGAGAGAATGATATGATATTTATCCCCAGTATGAGGCTGGATCCCGTTTTGCTCCCAACTACTCTACAGCTTACTCCCAGCAATCTTGAAAACGACATAGTCCCTCTCAAACAATATATGTGAGTGGGAAAATGAAAAGTTGCAGATGTTTTTCATTTAAATGGAGTTTAACAAACCTTCTGTTTGTATTCATTCCTACAAACTTCCTAAACTCACTAAAACCTAAGAACTGGTATGTTTTCGTGGTCATTGTACAACTATGATAATATCTGCCTTTAGGAAGGATGTCATTCGATTTAAGATATTTGCAAATAAAAATTAAAAAGAATTGTATTACTGAAAATAAATAATATATCCTAGGTTAATTCTTTTGTCAAATATCACCCAGACTAGAAATCTTAGACAGAAATCCCATTTGTAAAAATAGTACAAGTACACACTCACTAAGTTTTATTTCCTGTAACACCAGGTTGATCTGTTTAAGCCTAGTGATTGTAAAAATTACTCATGTTATGCATTCCAGGGAGCCCAGGAGCCCCATCTCAGTGGCCAGGCCAATCAACATAGCTCTATTTGCAATCACAAGACATCATGAGGCAGCGAATAAGGAGGGTACCTTTCTGGACCTAATGACCACATACTTTTTTGTAAACCCCAGGAGCCACTTTTAAAATACTGTTGAGAGAATACATCTGCTGATTTTTATACGACACTGTCACAAATCTTGAACAGTTTGAAGGGGTAGCTCCTGACTCCTAGGATATTTATTTTGTTGTCCAAATCTGGATGAAGCCCTTGTTCTAAGAGGATAACAGTTTGTTGGACAATTTTGAGGCCTGGCTCTACAAGTTATGCAGATGGATGTATCCTCAGGCAGCCTGGTAACCTGCCAATCTCTCCAGAGACCCATCAAAAGTCCAAGTGCATCCAAAAACTAGTTTAGGAATGATACAAGAGTACCCTGCCTGACTTCTAGCATTCTCTTTTGGTAATATAAATGCAGAAATGGTGAGGAGGTAACAATTGTCCCAAGGTAATCATAGAATTGATCATATAATGCATGGAGCTGAATATTAGTTTTTAATGGATCAAAGCCCATTTGTCCACCTACAACTAGATTTTTTTCTGATAAATATTAGTAATCTTCGAAAGTTAGAGGTAAATGAGAAGACAGCTCTTCCTCCTCTCCAACTGTTGAATGAAAGCAAGTTTCAGACAGAGTTCTGTCTCACTTGCAGATATTTAGTAGTAAGCAGGTATGAAATAGGGACACAAACCCTTGTGTATGAATGAACAGTCCCTTGGGTGTTCTGACAAACATTAAATGAAAAGTTCACCCCACGGCAAATGTGACATTATTTTAGCTAACTACGTTAATCTGGGTCATGTGACCAAAAACCTGCTGGAATCACTGACTAAACACAGGACCATTTGGGAATGAAACCTAGATTCTTAATTCTATGATGAGGGATGAAGAGCTCATTCTAGATTCTTATATTCGATTCATGCAACTTTCTCCACATTTCAGCTCATTGACAGATCTTCAACACCATTCACTTCACCAAAGAAAGATAATCTTTAATTTTTGTTTAAAAAAATAGGAAAATATAATGTTGGAGAGACATGAAGCTAGCTGAAGCTTGTAGTAGCCACATCTGGAATATGTCTTTTAAATTAAATGCTAGCTAGCCTTCTCTGGAATGTATACTAATGATTAAAACATCTGACCATTGCTAGGATATAGATTTAAACTAACATTATTGAAACAGAAACATTTTAATAGCTCAAAAGGATAGTAAGCATTTAGAGGATTTTTTGTTTGTTTATTTAAAATGTATATAAATTGTTTAGTAAGCTCTTCTAGTTTTATTTCAAATATAATCTAATATCTTAATTTGTATAATTCTAAAAACTTTAAATTCAGGGTAAACAACATTGACAGTTATTAAGAATTAAAATAGTTATGCCTCTAGCCCATTTGTTCTCTACATCTCCTCTAATTTCTTAAAAAGATTGCAGTATAGAGAAAAGAACATAAATTTTGAAGTCAGATCTAAAGTCAAATCCCAATTTTTCCATTTCCTCATTGTGTAAATTGAACAACTTGCTGAAACAAAATTCACTTCCTCATCTGTTAAATGAGATAATAATATATATGTCATGGAGTAGTTGTGAGGATTAAACGGAAAAACAAAACATATGTTTTTGGCACATACGAGATAGCCACTAAATAAAAATTATCATGATATTTATTATCAGGAGGGTTTTGAAAATAAAAATAAAATGTTAGGTTTTTCAATTATTTAAATAGGTGACAGAGCAAGATCTACAGCTCAAAAGCCTTGGAAGTTCAATACTATTCCTTGTCCTGAGTGTGGACATTAATGTCTTCTATTCGTAAAGGGAAGTAAGGCAGAAAAGCTATTCAGGCTCCGACTGTAGATCATTCATGTTCTCAGCCTTTTTTCCTTCTCTAACTGCCTTCCTCTTAAAAATGCTGTATTTGTTATTAGTATTTTACCTATCAGAACTGTAGTATATTAATAATTATACCGACAAGAAGAAAGGAGAGGTTATGTAATGTAGGAAGTAAGCGTTTTTGTTATTGTGGTTTATGGTGTTGATTTATTCCATTTTGTTCTATTTCACTGAGTGCAGAAAATGAAATTTAGACATCATATACAAAGTTTTAGGCTTTATTTCTTCTCTTAATGTATAGATCAATACCACACCCCTCTACTCTGCAGGTGTAAAAAAGAAAAACTCTCTGAGAAAACTTCCTTGAGGACAGTTCTTCAATACTCTCAGAGTGAAAGACAGAAAATAAAATTGTTAGTCTATTGATTTACCAGCAGGGCTTACAGGGCCATGTCTAAAAACAGTTTGTTTTAAAAGGCTGTAATCATCTCATGAGGAAGCTCAGAACCTAATCTGTTAAAAACATTTTTGTATCTTCAAAAGGGCAGGTGTTTGCTACTTATTCTCGTTAACCTGATGAGGAATATTTTGACTTTGTGCTTTTCTTTTAACTGCATTGAGAAACTAGAGCTACCAATATGCTTTGGTACAAAACAGTTACGAAGGTCATTTTAGGAGTGAATGAAATAATTACTAACATCTGTACTGTAATTTACACTTTATAAAAATTATATAAGCAGGATATATAGCTGCTGTTATAGATTAGTTGCAAATATTTTGAAGGTGATATTCATTTTTCTTCATAAAAGAAGTTCAAATGAAATGATTATATAATTGAATTTGACAGGAGAATGGAAATGCATTTTTTTCAATGTGAATTTATCTGAAGGTAATGAAAAATAATCAGAATAATGCTTTCTTTATCCATTCTTAAGGGGCTAAAAACAAGTTTGCCATTTTATTTTGTTTGTGGTGATTAGCCATTTCTTGAAATTACTCCATGTGCAATAATTATACTCTTAGAGACAAGAGTATGACTGGGGGTGGGTTCCTAAATTACCCAGCTAACACCTGCTTGCTCCGGCTGTGGATTACTCACAGAACCATGCACTCTCAGAGAAGATCTTAAAGATGTTCTCCTAGTCCAGACTCAAGTTTGCTGTTTAAATTTTCTCTGTAGTATAACTTTCAAATTATCCCCCATCCTCTCTAGTGATAGAGAACATATCGCTTGGTGGGGTACCACCAAGCCCCTGAAGAATAACAGGGTACTAGGCAAAGAATACCTGACTTAGGAATCAAAAGATCTGGGGTAGAATGCTGACTGGCTTTTACAAGCGTGGGTTGCCTTTGAACTTAACATTCCTTTCCTGATCTATAAAACGAGAAAGTTGAGTTCAGAGACATTGTGAAGAAATTATTAGGCTTAAATGGTTCTGTCATGTCAGTATCTTCAAAACTTCATTGGTCTAAATTTTCTAGGAGCAAAGGTGAAGGCATTTCCATATCTTGCTCAGTTTCACAGAGAGAGTTTTCTAAATTCTGTCATTATCTAGCTTCTTCTTCTATCCTTTGCAATTCCTACAAACCAGAAATTAGAACTACTGTTGAGGTAAGTATAACATTAGTAATGCTGGGTAATGCATCATATCAGAAAACTCATTTTCTGGTTGACCAATCATTAGTGGTACTAAGATTAAACATTGTACTAAGGGGCTGAAAAACTGTTTCATTGTAGTTATTTTTTCCTCTTTGCACGTCAGAGATATTTAGAAAATGGTTACATTTGCAGCTTTTCATGTTTCTCATCAATCATTCATGTAGTTGTTTCAGATGATAATTTTTACCTGGATTAGTAGGATCATTAGGAGTTCCAAAATGATGATTATGTAATCCAATAATTTATTCTAAATTTTAATTGGCCTTCGGTATTACCCTTTCATGAAAGCTTGTAAGTTTCCTTATAAACTCTATTCCACTGCATCCACTATTACTTTGCTTGTTTTTAGAACAGTATCGAACAGCTTATGCACATGTTAACATTTAACCTGTAGTGAATCCCAGATATCTTTATTTTACTTATACTCAGCTAATCATTCCACCATATTTTCAGTTGCATCATCTCTCCTCCAGCCCAGTTTAATCAATGCACGTATTACAAAGGAAGTCCATTCTTCATTGTTTGCTTTTATTAGGCAGCACTAGGGCTCAAAGTGTGTAGAGAACATCATCCTCAGTCTCAGTCCCCAAAATGAAGTTGCCATTTAGTGCACGACATAATTTATTTGCTAAAATGTATGCTTGTAGCTTTTTTGTAACAATATCCATCTCTAAAGCAGAAATTGTCTGTCACCTGGTAATCTCTCCAGACTTATGTATCACACATTCATTTCTAGGCCACAGATTTTTGTTTTTGTTTTTCAGTCAAACTACATATATTTTAAAGATTAAATTGCCTATTTAGTATCTTTCCTTTCAATAGACATATTTTATACCACAATAGACATTTAAGAAAGACTTCAGGGAATATGTTAATGTAAAATTTTAAAGCCAATTTTATTATCTCTCTAATTCATCTGATTAGTCACCTAATCAAATAAAAATATGTTAAGTAGTTACATAATGCACAGATTATTTCATTAGTTTCCAGCCAAATTTTCATATGACAAGGACTTTTTTACGTAGACCTAATTGTTTTCAATTATGTAGAAGGTTTAAGGCATCAATACATTCAAAATACTAGAATGTCTCATTTTTCTTGGCTTTGTGTGAGAATAGGTTGTTTTTATTTCCATTGAAATAGTTAATAGGGTTAACCAGAGTTAATAAGAAATGTTTAAGTGTTCTGAATGTTGGCTTTTTGACAAATGTTCTCTCAATTTAAACTGTTAAAACTTTATAATCATACAAAAGCCACCTCATCCTTTTAAACTACACAGATTAGTTTCTTCTTCTTCCAAATCATGTTTAATCATTTTCATGAAAGTATTTTAACAAAAATTATCTCTTTTACTACTTGTTTCAAAATATTTGCTAAGAAGGCAAAATATTAAATCATAGAGACAAATTTAGGGTAGGAGACTAACTGTGTGCTGGGTCAAAAGAATTAAAGTTTTTATTTAACAGAAACTGCTTTCTTCCCTTAAAGCCACAGGACAAATGTTAAGTTGCAATTGGTGTTCCCTAAGCATTTTTCTGGAATTTCAAAAACAAGATTGTATGCTTCACGTAAAAAGCTGACTTTCTCATTGGGAACATTTTAATTATCCCAAATGAGTTAATGAGCATTTAAATGAAAAGTGTTGAAAAGGCAGCCTGTCACAATTTATGGCAATTATTTTTTATAAAAGAAAAACATAAACAAGTAATAACAATTTCGAAAATGTCTCAAGCATTGACATTCTCACAACTTGTTTTGAAGGCCAAGATAATTGGCTTTAGAAGAAATGATAGCATTATGCAGGCATTTTCTTATTTCTCACTTAACGAGAGTACAAAATCATAAAAATGGAATCCATTCTTACCACAGTTTAAATACCATTTATGACCATTCTCTGTTTCCATTGGCTGGTAGAAATGAATGTGTTGAGCTTAACAGTCCACAAGACTATCAGAATTATAAAATACGGCCAGGCACAGTGGCTCATACCTGTAATCCCAGCGCTTTGGGAGGCCAAGGTAGGTGGATTGCTTGAGCTCAGGAGTTTGAGACCAGCCTGGGCAACATAGTGAAACCTCCTCTCTACAAAAAAGACAAAAAAATTAGCCGGGAATAGTACCACATGCCTGTAGTCCTAGCTACTTGGCAGGGCTGAGGCAGGAGGATCGGCACTCACTGCACTCTAGCCTGGGTGACAAAGTGAGACCTTGTCTAAAAAATAAAAATAAAAAACAAATAACAACAACAATAACAACAAAAGCTATAAAATATAATTAAAGGATAGGTTATATTTGGAAATTTTGAAATATTTGAGATGAAAGTAAGTTTCTTCAGTAAACATAAATATTTTAATCTAAACTTCTTAGATCTATAAGAGGCCAAGAGCATATAAATAGCTATAATGGCTCTGCTTCCTCCCAAGAAACACTGCAGTTTTGCTTTTTTATAAAATATAATCATCCGGGCGTGGTGGCTCATGCCTGTAATCCCAGCACTTTGGGAGTCCGAGGAGGGTGGATCACAAGGTCAGGAGATCAAGACCATCCTGGCTAACACGGTGAAACCCCGTCTCTACTAACAATATAAAAAACCAGCCAAGCATGGTGACACGTGTCTATACTCCCAGCTACTTGGGAGGCTAAGGCAGGGGAATTGCTTGAACCTGGGAGGCGGAGGTTGCAATGAGCCGAGATCATGCCACTGCACTCCAGTCTGGGCAACAGAGTGAGATTTCATCTCAAAAAAAAGAAAAAGAGAAAAAATATATATATATATATACACACACATATATATACATAAATACATATACACACACACATATATATACACATATATATACACACACACATATATACACACAGACATATATATACATATATATATATATTCAAAGTTCAATAAATGTAATGAGTATCTTAATTAAAAACAAAATTCAAATATTCTCATCCTCTGTCCATCTGTGTGGGCAGAATTCTAATATAATTAACAGGGAGCATATCTAAGACTTTGGCAACAGCAATTGCAATGCTAGTAAACTTACTGTGACATGACAGAAAGTGTATAGCTTTGGAGTTAGCCGGATGTGATTCATGTCCAAAATTTCTTACTACTTCAGGTGAATTACTGATTTCTAAATCTGTATTGTAACCATTCTTATATCTACCTTACTCAATCATCTGAAGACTAAATGAACTTATGTTTGCAGAGGAAATGAAGAAACTAAATTTGGGTTTTCATATATAGATCAAATAGGGAAATGCCAAGACTGAGAATAAACTTCTAGCTTTAGAAATGCAAGAAATGGTGAAACTGTAAGAATGCTGGAAGAAAAAATAAAAATATGTAATTAATATGATATTAAGAGAAAGGTGGTGAATAGTACACAGATTTTTGAATCTCCAGTGAATGAGAGATGTAATTTTCTGTTTCTGCCTTCTCTGTGCTCATGCTAATGATCAAGCTAGTAAGTTGAGCAAATTCGTGTTTCCAATAAAGGGCTGAGTTGTGCCATAACTAGAATATTCTGGGATCAAACTTATTAAAAGACATTTGGTAACACTGGCTAAATTTGAAAACATTTCTCAATAGCACATCTGAAGGATACTGATGTTTGTAAAACACAAATGAAAAATATGTGCTATTACAACATTTTCTTAGAAACCTTGTATCCAATAGTTTATTTACATCAGAATGAATTGGCCTAGAGTTCTCTTCGTTTTATACTTTTCTTTGCTCATTATAAGAAAAATTATACAATTGACTTTTGAACAACACAGGTTGAACTGCACGGATCCACTTACATATGGATTTTTTTTAGTAAATATATCGAAATTTGTTTGAGATTTGTAATAATTTGAAAACACTTGCAAATAAACTGTGTAGTGTCAAAATATTGAAAAAATTAAGAAAAAGTTAAGCATGTCATTTCTGTAAAATTATAACTGCATAAGATTAACCATACTATATACTGAACTACTATAATAATTTCAAGCCACCTCCTGTTGCTACTGGGGTGAGCTCGAGTGTTGTGTCTGCTTGAAACACCCTGTGATGATAACCATCTCTATATGAGCAGTTAGTATCTCCACCAAATTGCATATTTCAGTAAAAAGTAATCTCCCACAGTTCTTGTGTTTTTTTCTTCACATTTAGTGCAATACCATAAAAGTTGAATAACACCATGGGACCCATGCAAAGTGACACTAATGATGCTTGAAGTGCTCCCAGTAATCAAAGAAAAGTCATGACATTACAATAAAAATTGAATTGCTGCATATATACCATGGGTTGAGGTCTGTAGTGGTTTTCCACCATTTCAAGATTAATGAATCCAGCATAAAGACTGCTGTTAAAAAAAAAAGAGGAAAGAAAATTGGTGAAATTATTGCTGCAGCTATGTCAGCAGGCACAAAAACCTTGTCCTTTGGCTGAAATACCTTTGTATCATATATTGAACATGCGTATTTTATGTGGGTGCAGGATTTCTGTAAGAAAGGCATAACTATGGACTTTAATATAATTCAACAAAAAGCAAAGTTACTGTATAACTACGTAAAGCAAAAAGTAAGGTGAAGGATCTAAAGCTGGAGAACTTAATACCAGCAAAGGATAGTTTGATAATTTTAAAGAGAGGTTTGACTCAAAAAATGTCAAGACAACAGGAGAAGCAGTTGCTGCCAACCAAGAGACAGCAGAAAAGTTCCCAGATGCCATTAAGAAAATCATCAAAGAGAAAGGATCTCTGCCTGAACAGATTTTTAATGTAGACAAATGTGCCCAATTCTGCAAAAATTTCCACAAAATACATTTTTTAGTTGTAACAAAGAGAAGCAAGCACTAGGATTTAAGACAGAAAGACTTGGGTTAACTCCATTGTTTTGTGTAAATTCAGTCAGATTTATAATCAGGACTGCCCTTCTCTATAAAGCTGCAAACTCTTCAGCCTTAAAAGGAAAAGACAAACACAAGCTGCCAATCTTTTGGTTGTATAAATAAGAAAACCTAAACAAGGAAAGCCCTTTTAAATATTATATTTCATTAAAAGGGCTTTTTCTGAAATATTAGATTGGTGCAGAAGTAATTTGATGGTGCAAATTATCAATTGATCTGTTACTTTTGCACCAACCTAATATAAATAGAAATATTAGGTTGGTGCAAAAGTAACAGATCCATTGATGATTTGTCCCTGAAGTCAGAAAATACCTTGCCACTAAGAGACTGACATTTACCGTTCTTTTGATATTGGACAATGGCCCTGGCCACCCAGAACCCCATGAGTTCAACAACAAAGGTAGGTGAAGGTGTCTGCTTACCCCCAAAAACAACATTTCTAATTCAATCTCTGGATCAGCGGGTAATAAGGATCTTTAAGGCTTATTATACACAGTACTCTAGGAAAAAAATATCAACACTATAGAAGAGAACCCAAATAGAGACAACATCATGAAAGTCTGGAAGGATTACACCATTGAAGATGTCTTCACTGTTATAGGAAAGTTGTGAAAGCCATCAAGCCTGAAACAATAAATTCCTGCTGAAGAAAACTGTGCCCAGATGTTGTACATGACTTCACAGGATTTATGACAGAGATAATAAAGAAAATCATGAGAGAGACTGTGGATATGGCAAAAATGGTGGGTGACAAAAGGTTTCAAGATACCGATCTTGGATAAATTCGAGAGCTAATAGACACCACACCAGATGAATTAACACAAGACGACTTGATGTAAATGAGTGATTGTGAACCAATGTCCAAGGATGAGGAAGAAGACATAGAAGCAGCAGTGTGGGACAACAAATTGGCATTAGACAATCTGGCAAAAGGACTGCAATGATTCAACACTTCTTTTGACATCTTCTATGACATGAACCCTTCTATGATATGGACCCTGAAACAAAAATAAATGGTGGAAAAAGGAATGGTGCTGTATGGAAACATTTTTAGAGAAATAGAAAAGCAAATTTGTCAGACAGAAAACAACGTATTTCTGTAAAGTTACATCAAGTGTGCCTGCCTATCCGGCTTTCCCTTCCCCCTCTTTCACCTCTTCTGCCTCTTGTACTTTAGAAGTGCGAGAGATAACAAAACCAACTCCTCCACTTTTTCCTTCTCCTCAGCCTACTTGGCACCTAGACAATGAGGATGAAAACCTTTGTAATGATCCAGTTTCACTTAATGAATAATAAATATATTTTCTCTTCCTTGAATTTCTTAATAACATTTTCTTCTCTCTAGCATACTTTATTGTAAAAATGAAGTCTCTAATATACATAACATACAAAATATGTATTAGTCAGTTGTTTATATTATCAGTAAAGCTTTCTGTCAACAGTAGGCCATTAGTAACAAGTTTTAAGGAGTCAAAAGTTATACATGGATTTTCATTTTTGTTGCTTTTGTTTGTTTCTTTGATTGGTTGGGTATTTTATCAGCTAATGGTTCTTTATTCATTTTTTTCATAGTTTCAACTTTTATTTTAGATTCAAGTGCACATTTATTTAGATTCAACGTGCAAGTTCATTACATGTCACCTGAAAGCTGAGGTTTGGAATGTGAATGATTCCATCATCCAGATGATGAACATAGTACCCAACAGTTAGTTTTCAAACCTTATCCACTTCCTCCTTCCTCCCTCTAGTAGCCCCCAGTTTCTGTTGTTGCCATTTTTATGTCCACGAGTACACAATGTTTAGCTCCCATTTATAAGTGAGAATATGTGATATTTGATTTTATGTTTCTGAGTTAATTCACTTAAGATAATAGCATCCCCCTGCATCCAGTTTGCTGACAAGGACATGACGTAATTCTTTTCTATGGCTGCACAGTATTCCATGCTGTATATGTGGCATATTTTCTTAATCCAATCTACATTAATGGGCACCTAGGTTGATTCCATGTCATTACTATTACGAATAGTGCTGCAATGAATATGCAAGTATATACATCTTTTTGGTAGAATGATTTGTTTTCATTTATATATGCCCAGTAATGGGATTCCTGAAGCCTAATGGCAGTTCTCTTTAAGTTCTTGAAGAAATCTCCAAACTGCTTTCCATAGTGGGTGAACTAGTTTACATTTTCACCAGCAGTTTACAAGCATTACCTTTTCTCTACAACCTCCCTAGCATCTGTTTGTTTTTGTTTTTGTTTTGTTTTTTGACTTTTTAATAATAGCCACTCTGACTGGTGTGAGATGATATCTCATTATAGTTTTGATTTGCATTTCTCTGATGATTAGAGATGTTAAGCCATTTTTTATGTTTCACGCTGCTATTAATAGTATGTCTTCTCTTGAGAACTGTCTGTTCATGTCTTGTGTATACTTTTTAATGGAATTATTTGATTTTGCTTGTTGAATTGTTTAAGCTCCTTATAGATTCTGAATATTAGACCTTTATCCAATAATACTTTGCAAATATTTTCTCCCATTCTGCAGGTTGTCTGTTTACTCCCTTGATAGTTTCTTTTGCTGTGCAGAAGCTCTTTAGTTTAATTGGGTCCCACTTGTCAATTTTTTATTTTGTTGCAATTGGTTTTCAGTATTTAGACACAAATTCTTTTCCAAGGCCAATGTCCAGAATGGTGTTTCCTAGGTTTACTTGTAGGATTCTTATCATTTGAGGTCTTACATTTAAATGTCTAATGCATCTTAAGTTAATTTTTGTAAATGGTAAAAGGTAGGGGTTCAGTTTCATTCTGCTATGTATAGCTCACCAGCTATTCCAGCACCACTAATTGAATAGGAATTCCTTTCTCTATTTCTTATTTTTGTCAACTTGCTCAAAGATCAGATGGCTGTAGGAATGTGACTTTATTTCTGAGCTCTCTATTCTGTTCCATTGCACTATGTGTCTGTTTTTGTAGCAGTACTATGCTGTTTGGGTTACTGTAGCCTTATAATATAGTTTGACGTCAGGTAATGTGATGCCTCCAGCTTTGTTCTTTTTGCTTAGGACTGCCTTGGTTATTTAGGCTCTTTTTTGGTTCCATATGAATCTTAGAATAGATTTTCTATTTATGTGAAAAATGACGTTGCTAGTTTGATGAAATAGTATTAAATTTATAGATCAATTTGGGCAGTATAGACCACTTTAATGATTTTGATTCTTCCTATCCATGACCATAGAATGTTTTCATTTGTTTGTGTCATCTACAATTCCTGTTAGCAGTGTTTTGCAGTTCTACTTGTAGAGTTCTTTCACTTCCTTGGTTAGATGTATTCCTAAATATTGTGTGTGTGTGTGTGTGTGTGTGTGTGACTATTTTAAATGAGATTGTGTTCTTGATTTTGCTCTCAGTTTGAATGTTATTGGTATATAGAAATGCCACTGATATTTTTACATTGATTTTGTATCCTAAAACTTCACCGAAGTCATTTATCAGTTCCAGGAGCCTTTTGGCAGAGTCTTTGGGGTTTTCTCAGTATAGAGTCATGTTATCACTGAAGATAGATAGTTTTCCTTCCTTTTTTCCTATCTGGATGCTCTTTATTTCTTTCTTTTGTCTGATTGCTCTGGCTAGGACTTCAAGGACTATGTTGAATATGAGTGGGGAGAATGGGCATCCTTATCTTGTTCCAATTATCAAAAGAAATGCCCGTTCACTCTTGCCCATCCAGTATGATGTTGTCTGTGAGTTTGTCATAGATGGCTCTCAGTATTTTGAGGTATGTTCTTTCCTAGTTTCTTGAGGGTTTTTATCATGAAAGAATGTCGGATTTTATCAAAGGTTTTTTCTGCATCTATTGAGACTATCATATGGTTTATGTTTTAAATTCTCTTTATGTGGTGAATCTCATTTAATGATTTCTGCATGTTGAGCCAACTTTACATAAGAAGAAAGAAACCTACTTGATAGTGGTGAATTAACTTTTTGATGCCCTGCTGGTTTGATTTGCTACTATTTTGTTGACGATTTTTGTGTCTAAGTCCTTCAGGGATATTGGGGGATATTGGCCTATAGTTTTCTTTTTTTACTGCATCTTTGCCAGGTTTTGGTGTCAGGGTGATTCTGACTTCCTAGAATGAGTTAGGGAGGAGTCCCTTCCCCTAAGTTTTTTGGAATAGTTTCAGCAGAATTGGTACTAGCAGTTCTTTGTATGCCTGACAGAATTCAGCTGTAAATCCATCTGGTCTGAAGCTTTTTTTTTTCAGTTGGTAAGTTTTTTACTACTGGTTCAGTTTTGGAACTTAATATTGGTCTGTTCAGGGCTTCAGTTTCTTTCTGAGTCAATCTTCGGAGGTTGTGTGTTTCCAGGAAATTATAAATTCCAGAAATTTATGTATTTCCTCTAGATTTTCTATTTTGCGTGTGTCTTAGTCCATTCTTGCTTTGCTCTAAAGAAATATTTGAGGTGGGTGATTTATAAAGAAAGAAAGAATTATTGGCTCATAGTTCTGCAGAATGTATGGAAAGCACATGCCAGCATCTGCTTTGCTTCTGGTGAGGCCTCAGGGAGCTTTCAACCATGGTCAAAGGAGAAGGGGGAGCCATCGTATCTCATGGTGAGAGTGGGAGCAAGAGAGAGCAGGAGGTGCCACACTCTTTTAAACAATGAGATTTCACATGAACTCAGAGTGCGAACACACTCATCACAAAGACAGCACTAAGCTATTCATGAGGGATTTGCCCCAATGACCTAATCATCTCCCACCAGGCCCTACATGCTGAGGATTCCATTTCAACATGGGATTTAGCGGGAACAAACATCCACATGATATCAGAGTGCTTAGAAGTGTTTATAACATTCTCTGAGGATTTTTTTGTGTTTCTGTGCCATCGGTTGTAACAACCTTTGTCATTTCTGATTGTGCTTATTTGGATCTTCACTATTTTTTCTTTGTTCATCTAGCTATCAGTCTATCAATTTTCTTTATCTTTTCAGAAAATCAGCTTTTGGTTTTGTTGATTCTTTCCAAGGAGTTTTGTGTCTCAATTTTATTCAGTTATGCTCTGATTTTAGTTATTTATTTTCTTCTGCTAGCTTTAGGATTTGTTCATTCTTACTTTTCTAGTTCCTTTAAGTTTAGTGTTATATTGTTAATTTGAAATCTTTTTAACTTTTTGAAATAGAAAATTGGTGTTATAAATTTTTCTCTGAACACTCCTTGTCTGCATCCTAGAGATTTTGCTATGTGTGTCTCTGTTTTCTTTTATTTCAAATATTTTTTTTCTGACTTCATTTTGTTGTTTACCCAGAAGTTATTCAGGAGCAAGTTGTTTAATTTCCAGATAATTGTGTGGTTTGGGGAGATTTTCTTTGTATTGATTGCTATGTTTATTCCTTTGTGGTCTGAGAGTATGGTTAGTATGATTTAAATTTTTTTAATTTATTAAAACTTGCTTTATGGCTGAAAATGTGGTCAATCTTGGAGTACGTTCTGTGTGTAGATGAGAATAATGTATATTCTGTGGTTGATGGGTGGAGTATTCTGTAGATTTCCATTAGTTTCAGTTGGTTCAAGTGTTGAAATTAAGAACAGAATTTCTATGTTAGTTTTCTGCCTTGATGATCTGTCTAATGCTGTCATTTGGGTGTTGAAGTTTTCCACTATTATAGTGTGTTTGAGTCTTTTCATAGATCTAGAAGTTGCTGTTGTATGAATCTGAGTCCTCAAATGTTGGTTGTATATATGTTTAGGATAGCTAAGTCTTCTTATTAAATTGAATGCTTTATCATTATGTAATTTCTTTCTTTATCCTTTTTTACTATCTAAGGTCTGTTTTATCTGATATAAGAAGAGTGACCTTTGCTCCTTTTTGTATTCCATTTGCATGATAGCTCCTTCCCCAACCTTTTATTTTGAGGCTATGTGAAATGGTCTCTTGAAGGTAACAGACGAAAGGGTCTTTATATATATGAATATATATATATATATATATATATATATATATATATATACACACATACACACACACAGACAAAACTTCCAACTCTGTGCCTTTTAAGTGGGGCATTTAAACCATTTACATTCAAGGTTAATATTGATATATGAGGTTTTCATCCTATTATGAACTTGTTGGCTGGTTGCTTTGTAGTTTCTATTGTTTGGTTGCTTTATAGGGTCTGTGAGCTATGTACTTAATTGAGTTTTTGTGGTAGCATGTATCATTCTTTTGTTTCTATGCTTAGAAATCCCTTAAAGTTCTCTCTTAAGGCTAGTCTAGTGGTAACAAATTCCCTTTGTGCCTGCTTCTCTGGACAAGCTTTAGTTCTTTTATGAAAATGGGATATGAAATTCTTGGTTAGATTTTTTTTCTTTAAGAATGCTGAAAATAGGCTTTCAGTCTCTTTGATTGTAAGGTTAGCTGGATTGTAAGGTTGCTGTTGAGAAGTATGCTGTTAGCCTGATGGGGTTCCCTTTGTACATGATCTGGCCTTTTTCTCTAGCTATTTTAAGAATTTTTCTTTTGAGTTAACCTTGGACAATCTGGTGACTATATGCCTTGGTGATGTTTGTCTTGTATAATATTTCTTGTATCTGAATGTTTACTTCCCTAGCAAAATTAGAAAAATTCTCTTGAATTATTTCCTCAAACATATTTTTCAGGTTGTTTACTTTTTCTCCTCCTCTTTCAGAAATGACAATAATTCATAGGTTTGTTTGCTTTATATAATCCAATGTTTCTTGAAGAATTTCTTCATTTTTAAAATTATTTTTTTTCTTAGTTTTGTCTGACTGGGTTAGTTGGAAAGACCAGTTTTTGAGTTTTGAATTTTTTTTCTTCTATTTGGTCCAGTCTATTGAGAAAGCTTCGAATTGAATTTTGAAGTTCCTTAAATGAGTTTTTCAATTCCATAAAGTCTAACTGATTTCTTTTAAATATCTTCACCTCTTCATTTATTTCTTGATTAGCTTTAGAAATTTCTTTGTGTTAGGCCAGGCATGGTGGCTCACATCTGTAATCCCAGCACTTTGGGAGGCCGAAGCAGGTGAATCACCTGAGGTCAGGAGTTTGATACTAGTTTGACCAACATGGTGAAACCGTCTCTACTAAAAATACAAAAATTAGCTGGATGTGATGGTGGGTGCCTTTAATCTGAGCAACTCAGGAGACTGAGGCAGGAGAATTGCTTGAACCTGGGAGGCAGAGGTTGCAGTGAGTTGAGATCATCCCATTGCACTCCAGCCTGGGCAACAGAGCAAGACTCCATCTCAAAAAAAAAAAAAAAAAAAGGAAAGAAATCTCTTTGTGTTGATTTTCAACATTGTTTTGGATCTTGTCAAGCTTCCTTGTAATCTGTGCTTCAAATTCTTATTTTTTTAAGTTATAACAATTGAATTAAAACTGACAACAATATAACTTCAAGGGCAAACAATCATTCTACTTCTTTTTTTTTAGTTCAGAGTACATGTGCAGGTTTGCTACATAGGTAAACTTGTATCATGGGGTTTTGTTGTACAGATTATTGCATCACCCAAGTATTAAGCCCAGTACTCATGAATTATTTTTCCTGATCCTCTCCCTCCTCCCACCCTCCACCCTCCAATAGGCCCAGTGTGTGTTTTTCTGTTCTATCTGTCCATGTAGTCTCATCATTTACCTCTCACTTATAAGTGAGGATATGTGGTATTTGGTTTTCTGTTCCTGAGTTAGTTTGCTAAGGATAATGGCCTCTAGCTCCATCCATGTTCCTGCAAAGGACATGATCTCATTATTTTTTAATGGCTGTATAGTATCCCATGGTATATATACTACATTTTCTTTATCCAGTCTATCAGTGATGAGCGTTTCGGTTGATTCCACATGTTTGCTACTGCGAATAGTGCTGCAGTGAACATACAGATGCATGTGTCTTTAGAATAGAATAATTTATATTCCTTTCAGATATACCCAGTAATGAGATTGCTAAGTCAAATGGTATATATGTCTTTAGGTCTTTGAGAAATTGTCACACTGTCTTCCACAATGGTTGAACTAATTTACACTCCCACCAGCAATCCTTTTTCTCCACAACCTTGCCAGCATCTGTTATTTATTGACTTTTAATACTAGCCATTCTGACTGGTGTTAGATAGTATCTCACTGTGGTTTTGATTTGCATTTTTCTAATGATAAGCGATGTTGTTAAGAAGGAAATTTATAGCACTGAATGCCCACATAAAAAATTAGAAAGATTTTGTTAATGACCTAACATCACAACTATAAAATCTGGAGAACCAAGAGCAAAAAAATACTAAAGCCAGCAGAAGACAAGAAATAACCAAAATCAGAGGTGAACTGTAACTGTGAACTGAAGGAGACAGAGACATGAAAAAACCATTCAAAAGATCAACGAATCCAGGAGCTGTTTGTTTTTTTCTTTAAAAAAAAAAAAAGAAACTAAGAAAATAGACTGCTAGCTAGACTAATAAATAAAAAAGATTAAATAAACACAATCAGAAACAACAAAGGGGATATTACCACTGACCCCACAGAAATACAAACAACCATCAGAGAATATTATGAATACCACTATACACATAAACTAGAAAATCTAAAAGAAATGAATAAATTCATGATTGCATACACCCTCCAAAGACTGAATCAGGAAGAAATTAAATCCCTGAACAGACCCATAATGAATTCTGAAATTAAGGCAGTAATAAATAGTCTACCGAACAAAAAAAGCCCAGGACCAAAGGGATTTACTGCTGAATTCTGCCAAATGTACAAAGAAGAGCTGAAATCATTCCTACAGAAACTACTCCCAAAAAATTGAGGAGAAGGCACTCCTTTCTCACTCATTCTATGAGGCCAGCATCATCCTGATATCGAAACCTGGCAGAGATACAATAAAAAAGGAATGCTTCAGGCCAATATCCTTGATGAACATCAATGCAAAAATCCTTAACAAGGTGCTGGCAAAGCAAATCCAGCAGCACATCTTTTTGAAATAGATGCAGAAAATTATTTCAATAAAATTCATCATTCATTCATGTTCAAAACTCTCAGTAAAGTAGGTATTAAAGGAACATACCTCAAATATGAAGAACCATCTATGACAAACCCGCAACCAACATCATACTGAATGGACAAAAGCTGGAAGCATTCCCCTTGAAAACTGGCACAAGACAAGGATGCCCTCTCTCTCACCAGTCCTATTCAACATAGTATTGGAAGTTCTGCTCAGGGCAATCAGGCGGGAGAAAGAAATAAAGAGCATCCAAATAGGAGGAGAGAAAGTCAAACTATCTCAGTTTGTAGATGACATGATCCTATATCTAAAGAACCCCATTGTCTCAACTCAAAAGCTTCTTAAAGCTAATAAACAACCCCAACAAAATCTCAGCATACAAAATCATTGTGAAAAAAATAATTAGCATTCCTATACACTGACAACAGTAAAGCCGAGAGCCAAATCAGGAACGAACTCCCATTCACAAATGCCACAAAAAGAAAAAAATACCTAGGAATACAATTTACAAGGGAGGTGAAAGATCTCTACAAGGAAAACTACAAACCACTACTGAAAGAAATCAGAGATGACACAAACAAGTGGAAAAACATTCCACGCTCATGGATAGAAAGAATCAATATTGTTAAAATGACCATACTGCTCAAGCAATGTACAGATTCAATTCTATTCCCATTAAACTACAATTGACATTCTTCACAGAGCTAGAAAAATCCATTTTAAAATTAATATGGAACCAACAACGAGCTCAAATAGCCAAAACAATCCTAATCAAAAAGAACAAAGCTGGAGGCATCACTCTACCCAACTTCAAACTATATTACAGGGCTACAGTAAACAAAGCAGCAGACACATAGACCAATGGAACAAAATACAGAACCACAAAATAAGACTACAACTATCTGACCTTCAACTAACCTGACAAAAACAAACAATGAGGAAAGGATTTCCTATTCAATAAATGGTGCTAGGATAACTGACTAGCTGTATGCAGAGTATTAAAACTGGACCCCCTTCTTATACCATATACAAAAATTAACTTAAGATGGATTAAAGACTTAAATATAAAATCCAAAACTATAAAAACCCAGGAAGACAAACTAGGCAATACCATTCAGGACATAGGCACAGGAAAAGATTTCATGGTAAAGATGCCAAAAGCAATTGCAATAAAAGCAAAAATTGACAAACAGGGTCTAATTAAACTAAAGGGCTTCTTCACAGCAAAATAAACTATCAATAGAGTAAACAGACAACCTACAGAATGGGAGAAAATTTTTGCAAACTACACATCTGACAAAGGTCTGATATCCAGCATCTATAAGGAATTTAAACAAATTTACAAAAAAAAAAAAAAAACAACAACCTCATAAAAAAGTGGGCAAAGGAAATGAATGGACATTTTTCAAAAGGAGACATACATGTGGCAACAATCATATAAAAAAAAAAGATTTGAATTCCTTATCTCTCATGTCTGAGTATCCATTTTGGTTAGGGACCACTGCAGGAGAGCTAGTGTGACCTTTCGTGGTGTCACTACACTCAGAATTTTTATGGTGCCATAATTCTTGTGTTGGTTTCTTCTTATCTGGAGATTCTGGCACTTCTGATTTTTGTAATTATTTTTGTACAGGTAGGAATTTTTCTTTTACTTTATTTCTTTATAAACTTAGTGGTTTTCTGTCTCTTTCTCTTTCCCTTTTCCCCCTCCCTAGGGGGTGTGACTATAGAGAATGTTGGGTAAGGTAGAGAATGTTGGGTAAGGTCTTTTTGCTTTTGCACTTCTTTTGGTGGGTTTTATACTTATCTTTGCAGTCCAACCTACAAGCCAGTAGATGGTATTTATGGATAAGAACTGGATGGGGCTAATATGGCTGGGTATATACCTGAGCCTTGTTTACTGAGAGAAGGTCTCTGTTGCCTCAGGCAATGGACTGATCTGTGGATTGCACAGTGGTTTGAGCTCCCTGTTCAGCCCTGGGGAGTGAGGACTATGATGGGCAGGTCCAGACTAGGCATGCCCACCTGCAGGACCCTTGATGACAGGCACAAGCACTAGTGCTAAAGAAGAATCTAATGGGTGGCCTCCAAGCACCCAGAGGTGCACCTAGGCATTGAGCTGATAAATCTTCTCAGCTCCAAGTCCTCTGCATGATTAGAAAGGCTGGCCTAAACTCTCAATCTAGGAGAGTGGGTTCTCCAGGTACCTGGAGGTCTGCCTGAGTGGGTAGTGCAGAGGGTGCTGCTGCACCACAATCTCTGCTCCAGGATCTCTGCACAAAAAGGGTACAGTGGCTCAAGCTACCAATCTGGGTGAGCAGGTACTTTGACTACCTGAAGATCAGTCTAAGCATGCAACAGAGAGGGCCGTGCTGCATCACAATCTATATCCAGGGCAAGTAGGGTGGAACTACTGAACCAGGTGAGCAGTTGCTCTCAATGCCTACAGACTTGCCTAAACATAAAGTGGAGAGAGACTCCCTGCACCAGGATCTCTGCACAAGGAGAGTGGGCTGGGGCAAGCTGCTGATCCAGCAGAATGGGTGCTCTGAATACCTGGGAATATGCTTGGGCATGGCCTGGAGAGGACTCTGCACAAGAAGGATGGGGTGTCTCGCATTGCTAGTCAATGTGAATGAGTGCTCCAAATGCTTGGAGATCTTCCTAGGCACAGAGAGGAGGGGGCCCTGGTGCACCATAATCTCAGGGGAGCAGGCTGGGACACCCAGCAGTGACTCACTTAGACCAGTTCCAGGTCACCAAGGTGGCTCTGGCTTCAAATCACCCAGCAAAAACTGTAGCTGTAGCAGCCCTCTCCCCAACCCAGGCCTGGGATGGGGAAGAAAGTAACTGCAGTGACTGCTGCTGAGTAGCTCTTTATGATTCTGGTTGTGGAGGCCCCTACTCCACTCCAGAGCAAGTGCTCCAATCTCTAGTCTACGATTGAAATGCCTGCAGGGCCATGCTGCCAGGTCACCAAAGAATGGCTGACTGTTTTAACCTGGATTCAGAATGGCATCCTGCTCTTAGTCCTGAGGGTCCATGGGAAATGCCTGCAGCTTTTCTCACTCTCTTTCTCTCTCAGACCTCCAAGTCTCTTCCCAAAATAGTCCTGGGCTTGGGGGAAACAAAGTGCTCTCCCTCAGCCTGGGTTGCTCAGATCCCCAGTGGAAAGGTAAGTCACAGAGGGAGGCTCTCTGCCTCTCACGTGTACTGGAACTTTACTCACTTTTATCAGCCAGATGCTGTCAAGGGGGCTATTTGCCTGCATCTCCTCCCCAGGGTTTGGGGCTTTTTTTCTGATTTTGGTGGATTTCTCTTTTCCTTCTTGAGTTAAAGTTCAGAGAGCTGATTTTTATGTGAAACCTCTAATTTCCATTGTAGAATATATATATATATGTATGTGTATATATATATATATGTATGTATATATATATGTATGTATATTTATATATATATATGTATGTATATATATATGTATGTATATTTATATATATATATGTATGTGTGTATATATATATATATATATATATATTTTTTTTTTTTTTCAGGTACACAGGAAGTCAATGCCCCTAACCACCATGGTATTCAAGATCCAACTGTACTAAGGTTATAAAAATTGTCATCCCTAGGCCTATATATGTCTATATAACTTTAGTAATCTATGTCCAGAAAGACACAGTTTACCATTCTAACGTTTGTATTATGAAGCTTTTGAAAAGTGTTTTAGCGAATACCCAATGACTATCAATGTACAAACATTTTATCTTTAAATATTTGATAACATAATAATCAGTCTACTTTTATCCTTTTATGAAGAAGTATATTAGAAAAAGGAATGTTTATTCCTTCATATTTTACATAAATTTAATTTTTATTATTAAATTTTATTATCTATTAATTTTAATTCACCTATGATATTTTATTCCCATAAAACCCCAATATATATTAATGGTAATTCCATTCAAAATTTAGTTTCTTTTGGGAACAGGCCCCCAAGTCTGGCCATAAATAAATTCTCTGCAGCACTGTGACATGTTCCTAATGGCCATGATGCCCACACTGAAGGTTGTGGGATTACCAGAATGAGGGCAAGAAACACCTGGCCCACCCAGGGCTGAAAACTGCTTAAGGTGTTCCTAAGTCACAAACAATAGCATGAGCCATCTGTACCTCAAGGACATATTCTTGCTGCAGATAACTAGCCAGAACCCATCCCTTTGTTTTGGCCCATCCCTTTGTTTCCCATAAGGAATGCTTTTAGCTATTCTATAATCTATAGAAACAATGCTTATCACTGGCTTGCTGTCAATAAATATGTGGGCAAATCTCTGTTCGTGGCTCTCAGCTCAGAAGGCTGTCAGCCCCCTGATTTCCCACTCCACACTCTATATTTCTGTGGGTGTGTCTTTAATTCCTCTAGCACTGCTGGATTAGGGCCTCCACAACTGTGCTGGTCTCAGCAAGTCATGCCCATATGTGGGGCTCGAACCCAGGTCAAAGGGTCACCAGAGCGATGGTTGGAGAATGTGAAATGAAGCTGGAGGACACCTGAGTACTCTTAAGCAATCCCCGTGGTGAATAAGAAGGGGAGCTTGGAAGCATCAGGGTAACAATGGGACAAGTGTGGGCTCTGGTTCGATCCACTTTGGAAGCTTTTCATACTGATGAGGAGGAGGAAGGGAAGTATAACAAACTAACAGAAGAGGTAACACAGCAGGTTTGTTTGCCAGCTAAAGCTAAAGTGGCAAAGGAGGAAGAGGTTCATCCCTACCCTTCTGCACCCCCTCCTTATTTTGAAGAAAAAGAGTGGCCTGACCTTCCAGATCTTTCTTTTCTGAAGGACACTGGGCAAAAAGTAGCTGGCCCCGTGACTGTTCGAGCAGTGTCTCGAGTGACCACTTTCAGTTCTATTCAGGCAGGAATCCAGCAAGCTAGAAAAGAGGGTGATTTAAAGGCTTGGCAGTTCCCTGTTAGAATACACCCACCTGATCAACAGGGAAATATTATAGCTACATTTGAGATTTTCCTTTTAAAGTACTCAAAGATTTTAAACAAGCTATTAATCAATATGGACCAGGTTCTCCTTTTGTAATGGGACTGTTAAAAAATGTTGCTGTCTCCCGTCAGATGTTGCCAGAGGGGATGATAGGATTACTTCTAGGTAGGTCTAGTTTAAATTTAAAAGGAGTGCAAGTACAAACAGGAGTCATTGATTCAGATTACAATGGGAAAATTCAAATTGTTATATCTACTTCTGTTCCCTGGAAAGCAGAGCCAGGAGAGCGTATAGCACAGCTCCTGATTGTGCCATATGTGGAAATGGGGAAAAGTGAAATTAAATGAACAGGAAGATTTGGAAGCACAAATAAACAAGGCAAAGCAGCTTATTGGGTGAATCAAATTACTGATAAATGTCCTACCTGTTAAATAACTATTCAGGGAAAGAAATTTAAAGGTTTGGTCAATACAGGAGTGGACATTTCAATCATTTATCTACAGCACTGGCCATCTCTGTGGCCAATTCAACCCACTCAATTTAACGTAGTTGGAGTTAGTAAAGCCCCTGAAGTATATCAAAGCAGTTATATTTTGCATTGTGAAGGGCCCGATGGACAACCTAGGACTATTCAACCAACTGTAACTTCTGTACCTTTAAATTTATGGGGGAGAGATTTATCACAACAATGGGGAGCACAAATTCTAATTCCAGAGCAATTATATAGCCCTCAAAGTCAACATATGATGCCTGAAATGGGGTATGTCCCTGGTACGGGACTAGGAAAAAATTTTCAAGGTTTGAAGGAACCACTTCAAGTGGGAAGACAAAGTTCCCACCAAGGTTTAGGATATCATTTTTGATGATGGTGATTGTTAAGCCTACCTAAAGGCCAGATTCTATCAGCAGCAGAACAGCATCTACAGAAACCAGCTGCAAAGACACAGGCAGAACAACTGGTTTGGTGGAGAGATCCGATAACAAAAAGTTGGGAAATAGGTAACATAATAACTTGGGGAAGAGGTTATGCTTGTGTTTCTCCAGGCCAAAACCAGCAGCTGATTTGGATACCATCAAGACACCTGAAACCTTATCATGAACCAGATGCCAAGGAAGAGATTCCTGGAGGATCCCGAGGACCCTAAGGTTGCAGCCATGTTGAGACTGACACTGAGGAGGACTCCAACTGTCACGAGCAACACCCGTCGAACACAGCCACCCACCTGGGGACAAATCAAGAAGCTGTCACAGATGGTGGAAGAAAACCTGAGGAAAGTGGGACAACCAGTAACAATGAGTAATTTAATGATAGCTGTGATAGTGGTGATCACCATTGCCACGAGTATTCCTTCAGCAAAGGCTGACACAGAGAACAATTCTATTTATTGGGCATATTTATCAATCGTGGCTGGCAATAATGCCTGGATGTAAACATTCTATGACACATTTACACATCCTTTCTGATCTCAGTATTTACCATAATAAATCTGCTCCTATAATTGAGGCATACTGCCTTCAAAAACTTATTCATAAACAGAAGTGGACCTGGCCAGAAAAAATGAATGTACTTGTTTGGGAAGATTGCATTGCAGAACAGGCAGAGGTGCTGTGCAACGATTCCTATGGAATCATTATTGATTGGTCCCCTAAGGGGATGTTTGGCTTGAATTGCACCTCTCAGTCTGCGTGCCACAGCCACACTATGTTCAGCTGGTTGGAAGAAAATGGTCAGATGGTAGAAATGGTAAGAAATCTGACAAGAGTTCCTATTACCTGGAAACATGGCGACATAGTGGCACCTCAACCTCAAATGACGTGGCCTGCTGTAGGAGCTAAACTTAAGGATTTGTGGAAACTATTAATGGCTCATAATAAGATCAAAATTTGGAAAAGAATAAAAAAGCATCTAGAAGGACCCTCTGCAAACTTGTCTTTGGATATTACAAAATTAAAAGAACAAATATTTAAAGCATCCCAGGCACACCTGACCTTAATGCCAGGAACTGGAGTCCTTGAAGGAGCTGCAGACAGGTTAGGAGCTAGTAACCCATTAATATGGATAACAACACTTGGAGGCTCTGTGATTTCAATGATGATTGTGCTTTTAATCTGTGTTGTCTTTGTATAGTCTGCAGATGCGAATCCCGACTCCTGCAAGAAGTAGCTCACTGTGATAAATCCACCTTTGCTTTTATCATCTTGCAAAAACAAAAAGGGGGAACATTTTGGGAACAGACCTCCAAATCTGGCCATAAACAAAATCTCTGCAGCACTGTGACATGTTCCTCATGGCCATGATGTCCACACAGAAGGTTGTGGGTTTACCAGAATGAGGGCAAGAAACACCTGGCCCAGCCAGGGCTGAAAACTGTTTAAGGTGTTCCTAAGCCACAAACAATAGCATGAGCCATCTGTGCCTTAAGGACATATTCCTGCTGCAAATAACTAGCCAGAGCCCATCTCTTTGTTTCAGCCCATCCCTTTGTTTCCCGTAAGGAATGGTTTTAGTTAGTTTATAATCTATAGAAACAATGCTTATCACTGTCTTGCTGTCAGTAAATACGTGGGCAAATCTGTTTGTGGCTCTCAGCTCAGAAGGCTGTCAGCCCCCTGATTTCCCATTCCACACTCCATATTTCTGTATGTGTGTCTTTAATTCCTCTAGCACCACTGGGTTAGGGTCTCCACAACCAAGCTGGCCTCGGTAAGTTTCTTTGCTTATTTTTTAATGGATTATGAGAGATGTATTGAGAATAAATTCCTTTGACTCTCTTTCATTCTGCTTCTTTGGCCTGTCTTCAGAATAGCCCACTGGTTTGTTACATCTGATGAAGTTATTTCTTCACTCTTGTTTGATGACTCTTAATAATTATCAAGTGAAAATGAGAAAAACCAAGTATTTTCTTGCCTGTTTTCATCTCTACGGTCCCCCACACTCTGAAAAACAATAGAGATTTTATTTAATATTGAGCTCTGGGGTCTTATGTATTGGCCTAGATTCTGCTATTTCTTAATTATACCTTGACTCTATTATTTTAATGTACTTTCCATAACAATTAGGAGGAGGCAATTTGTAGTCACAGAAAGCTCTTCAGCAAATGTATATCTCTGGGAGTTTTTGTTACATCATTTTCAATAAAAAAAATTAAGCAACCCAGCTAATTCTAACATTAAGAACACTATAATTGTGTCCTTCAATACTTCTCCAGATAGTTACTGTCTAAATGCTCTTTATTTTGATATTGTTTTATAAGATTAAAATTTTGATATATTATCCCAAATACACGTTTCTCATTATTTAGCAGGCACTGGGTTATGAGACATAATTACTTGATCTTTGGGTTATTATTTCGATGCATTCTCCTGAATTTTCAGACTTCGCCCCCTTCCCTTCCATCCTGCCTTACTTTCTTCCTTTTTATCCTATGTCATTATCAAAGTTAAGCAAATTCATTGGTGCCCTTCTTCAGGAAGCCTCAGGATGGGGTCATTTCCTGCTCTAGCAGGATAATAGCTGGATACTGAAATTCATAAGAAGATAAAATACTCTGACTTACTGACCTTTTAGTCCAGACTTTGCTGCAACTTTTACTACAAGTGTCTAGATCATTTTCCTTCCTGAATCAATGGCTTGGTTTCATGACTCTTACTTGGCTCTCAAAATTCTAAAAACAGAATTTTATTTGTCAGGAGTATTATTTTCACATGACTCTCTTACTTGTAGATTAAATTCAGTATGGCCCAAACCAAACTTATCATCTCTTTCCCATTAAGCCAATTATTAAAACTATATTTCCACGCATTATTAGTGAGATCATACTGTTGGTTGTCAAAGCTAAACATAAAGATAATTATCTTTAATTTTACCCTTTCTCCTACATTTATATATATGATCTAGCCATAAGCGAAAATAGCAAAAATATAAACATCACCAAATATTAGACCCTAATGGGCTTCAGGCAATGTGTAAAGTACATTATGTAAATCATATCACAATATGCTTATAAAGCAAACATTCACCCCAATTTTGAGGTGAAGTTAAGGCCAGAGAGATTACAATATTTGTTCATAGTCAGTCAGATGGCAAAAACTGGATTTTTAATTCAAATATATCTGGCCATAAATCCATATTCTACCATTCTAGTTATTTATTTTTTTCTGTATATTTCTATTGCCTATTATGTAGTGCAGCCCAAATTAACTTTCATTTAAAATGAATATGATAAATGATAGCCTTTTTATTTTTATTTATTTATTTATTTATTTATTTATTTATTTATTTATTTTTGAGACAGAGTTTTGCTCTTGTCACCCAGGCTAGGGTGCAATGGCACGATCTTGGCTCACTGCAACCTCTGCCTCCTGGGTCCAAGAAATTCTCCCACCTCAGCCTCCTGAGTAGCTGGGATTACAGTCACCTGCCACCATGCCCGGCTAATTTCTGTATTTTTAGTAGAAACAGGGTTTCACCGTGTTGGCCAGGCTGGTCTTGAACTCCTGACCTCAGGTGATCTTCCCGCCTCGACCTCCTAAAGTACTGGGATTACAGGCGTGAGCCACTGCACCCAACCAATTTTATTATACATTTAAAAATAACTGAAATAGTATAATTGGATTGTTTGTAACATAAATGATAAATGCTTGAGGGGATGGATACCTACCAAAATTAACTTAAGATATATTAAGGATTTAAATGTTAAGACCTCAAATTGTAAAATCCTAGAAGAAAACTTAGGAAATGCCATTCTGGGCATCAACCTTGGGAATGAATTTATGATTAAGTCTTCAAAAGCAATTGCAACAAAAACAAAAATTGACAACTGGGACCTAATTGAACTAAAGGACTTCTGCACAACAAAAGAAACTATCAACATCATAATCAGACAATCTACAAAATGGAAGAAAATATTCACAAACTATTCATCCAACAAAGGACTAATATCCAGAATCTATAAATAACTTAAACAGTTGAATAAGCAAAAAACAAATAGCCCAATTTTTAAAAATGGGCAAAAACATGAAGAGACACTTCTCAGAAGAAGACATACAAGCTACCAACAAACATGAAAAAACACTTCACATCACTAATCATCAGAGAAATGCAAATCAAAACCACAATGAGATACCGTCTTACACCAGTCAACATGGCTTTTATTAGAAAGTCAAAAAATAAAAGATGCTAGTGAGGTTGTAGAGAAAAGGGATTACTTATACACTGCTGGTGGCAATTGTGAAAAGCAGTTTGGAGCTATCTCAAAGAACTTAAAATAGAATTACTATTTGATATTGTTTAGCTTTGTGTCCTCACCTGAACCTCATGTTCAACTGTAATCCCCAGTGTTGGAGGTGGGACCTTTTGGGAGGTAACTGAATCATGGGGGTGGATCCTTCATGAATGGTTTAGCACCATCCCTTCAGTGCTGTTCTTGTGATAGAGTTCTCAAGAGATCCAATTGTTTAAAAGTGTATGGCACATCCATCTTCTCCCTTTTCCTCCTGCTCTGGCCATATAACATGGGCCTATCTCTTCCCCATTGCTTTCTGCCTTGATTGTAAGTTTCCCGAGGCATCCCCAGAAGCAGCAGGTATTATGCTTCCTGTACCACCTGTAAAACCATAAGCCAATTAAACCTCTTTTCTCTATAAATTACCCAGTTTCAGGTATTTCTCTGTAGCAGTGTGAGAATGAACTACTACATCCATCAACCCAGCGATTCCATTATTGGGTTTATACTCAAAGGAATATAAATTGTTCTGCCATAAAGACACGTCTCTCATATGTTGGTTGCTGCAGAGGCCCTTTATCCAAATAAGGTCACATTCACAGGTTCCAAGGTTTAGGGTACGAATATATCATTTTGGAGATAATCATTCAATGCAGTATACTCTCCCAGACCCTCCAGAAAGAATGCAGCACTGCTGACATCTTAATTTTAGCCTAGTGATACCCATTTTAAACTAATGACCTCCAGATAATAAATTTGTGTTATTTTAAGCAAGTTTGTGGTCATTTATACAGCCATAATAGGAAACTATTAGAGTTCATCTCAAATTCTCTTTCATCCAACCAGGGGAATTTTGTTGAAACCACTGGGCAAAAAATACTTATTTCTATGGAAATTACTAAAATGGAAGGATATGAATCAGGAACTAACTAACTTAACTCTCAGGGATTTTTGCCAGAGAATGAAGCTAATAGTAAGTGTGGAAGTCATTAGGCTATTCATTCTACATTTCCACTTTTGCAGCATTCGGGGCAAATGGCAACACTGTCTTTCTTGGTCCTACTCTTTGAGGTGAGGTGTGACCATATGACTTGCTTGGCCAAGGAAATGTGAGCATTGGTTATAGTTATCATTTACAGGCAGATGTTTAAGAACCAGTGGTGAGTCATAATACTCTCCAAGTTGATTGAAGAATGCAACAATAGGGAGCCTCCCTCACTGGGGTAACCAGGTAACTATAATTCATGTAGGACATGTAGCATGGTCAGCAGCCCAGCCAATAATGGTTGGCTAAGTAAAGCTAAACCAAAAGATGGCAAGGAATTTGTAATGGGCAGGGGATACAGGATAGATGAGATTGCCTATCAGCCTCTTTCAAGTGTTTGGATCCAGTAGGCTTTTCAGTTATGTGAATGATTCAATTACTCCTTTTCTTTTTCTTTTCTTTTCTTTTTTTTTGAGATGGAATCTCACTCTGTCACCCAGGCTGGAGTGCAGTGGCATGATCTCGGCTCACTGCAACCTCCACCTCCTAGGTTCAAGCAATTCTCCTGCCTCAGCCTCCTGAGTAGCTGGGACTACAGGCGCCCACCACCACGCCTGGCTAACTTTTTGTATTTTTAGTAGAGACAGTGTTTCACCATATTGGCCAGGCTGGTCTTGAACTCCTGACCTTGTGATCCGCCTGCCTTGGCCTCCCAAAGTGCTGGGATTACAGGCATGAGCCACCGCGCCTGGCCCAATTACTCATTTTCAATGAAATAATTTTGAGTCAGATTTTTCTCACTTGCAACCAACAAGTGCTAACTAGTGCTAAATAGTACTGACAGATACAACTATTTTGACTAAATTGATTATTAATTAATTCATTCATTTTATACATTTTTATTGGAGCAAAATTATAAATATGTTCTAGGCATTATACAAAATACTTAGGATGCAGTAAGTACTATGACTTTATATCTGTGCTGTCTATTATAGTAGCTACTAGCCACATATGCCTGTTAAGCACTTGAAAAGTGGGTAGTCTGAAGTGAGACATGTTGTAGGTAAAAATAGCAAAGGACATTCACCTACATCTGTTCTAATTTCCTGTACTGTTTTCTATTTGTTTCAAATGAATTAGGTGATAGAGATAAGACTGCCCCAGTGGGCAGTGACTTTCTCTTCAAAGCCTCAGTAATATTGATTTGGAATTCAATAAATATACGATGAAAAAATGAACAAATAAATGACTAATCAATTGAATAAATGAATATATTGAGCATTATCTATATTATGCATTTAAACATTTATTATTACCGATGATCAATTATTACAGTATATTTTGAGTATATGTATATTTCATAATCTTTTGTATATTTGATTTGTAAAAAAAAAAAACTATTATTTTTATTCAGGGAAGACATCCCTCTAGCCTAATACAAAATAACAGCATCAGAAATGACACGTGTCCTTGAACTATTCTCTCAGTTTATATAAATCATTCACAGCTTCTTTTTTACTTGCTTATAAGTAAGTCAACTGAGATAATACTATTCAAATTCCATAAAGTTCTCCAGATTTTTTCACATTTAATGGACATATTTGTCAAACAATTATATGCATGAGGAATCTTATATATAGTTCATATGCCCTGCTTGGTAAACTAACATTCACTGGTTTAACATATTTTCATAAGCACATTCCAAGTATCAGCCACTGGGCTGATACTATGTATGCATAATTCATCCAATGTTTAGAATAACATTGTGATTATTTTCACATTTTACTGATGAAGAAACTCTCAGAATTTAACCAACTTCTCTATAGTAGCATACCTATTGGGTATGGTAGCTAGAATGCAGTCTTAACACTTAGTCTAAGAACCGTAATCTAGTAAAAATATTTTCTATATGTGTTTAATGTTTTATATAATTTAAACAAATCTTTAATAACAATTTCCCAAGGAAGCAATGTTAGATTTAAAGTAAATATTTAAAATATATAACAACCACTGTATCTTAGCAAATGGCTTTATGAGCAATTGCAGTAGAAGTTGTCGCCGTGATTGTATGGCAGGAGGGAATCTTAAAATGCCCTTTCCTGGAAGATGTCTGCAGTTTCTACCATCTCCACAGCCCTTCTCCACTTTTTGTTTGTTTGTTTTCATAAAAGTCCATGGAATAATTTTTAGAAGCCACACCCATTAGGTTTGTTCTTAGGATCTGTGAATTTGTGTTTCAAGTCACTGGGCTATTGCAGACAAGAAAAACATTATGTAATGGAAAAGGAACATTGACTAAGATATGAGAATCCTTTAATTCTAATCCAGGCTCTGCCACTAACTGGTGGTAAAACCTTGGAAATTTTACCTAAATTATTCGGGTAGCTACACCTACTAAATAAGAAGGTGGGTCTCTAAATGAGTTAGTTCTGAGAGAAGTTCAGCTGCTTGTTCTATGACCTTTCCTCTAGCCTCAGGGGAGGCTGGAAGATTTGACTCTTATGGACTTGTTGAGAGTGTATCTAGATTAAACTCAAGATGATTGTGAATCCAGAGCAAGTACCTATACCTCAGTTTTAAAATCGTTATTGGATAGGGAGTAATAAATATTAATGTAGTAAATAGCAATTTGTAATGAGAGGGCATAGGAAAGAGAGGTTGTAAAATATCAAAGAATCATTCGAGAGAATTTGCTGGAGTTGCAGAACATAAGTCTCCAGATCAAAAGCATTTCTATGTGCCAAATAAATAAATGAAAAAGTCCCACTCCTAGACTATAACTTTAGAACCAAAGGAATAAAGACAAGGTCCTAATAGTTTTGAGAGAGACAGATACATCATCTACAGAGGTATGATCAGACTGGCGCCAGTCTTCTCATCAACAACATTGGATACTCCATAGTCATAGAGCAAAGATTTCAGAAGCGTGAAATATATTTTGACTAAAATTCCATGTCACACGAAACTGTCATTCAAATGTTTGTACTAAACATTTTTGCTAAACATTTGTACTAAACTAAACACATTTTCAGACATACAAGTTTTCAGAAATATCACTTCTCACATACTCTTTGCTCTAGCAAAATGAGTGTGTAAACCAAGAAAAACAAAGACTTGAGTTCCAGGAAACATAGCCTAACGAACAAGAACTTCTGGATAACCACCTTGAAGCAAACCTAAAAAGGAACTTGTCCAGATGACCAGTGGAAGAAGAAAAAAAGAAAGAAAGTTTTATACAATACCTGAAAAGATGAACAGTTTAAATATAATATTGGAATAAAGAGATACAATGGGTAAAAAGAAAAAATTAAAAACTTTTGGTAAATGAAAAAGCTGCACAAGCATAAGATATTTGGCTTTCAAGTAAATTACATTTACATAGTTTGTTAATGTAATTAAAGCAGGCATTTGATTGTACTAGGAAATTGGTCGAATAAGAGATGAAAGAATAAGTATTTCTAAAATTGAATAATCAAAAAAATGACAATACAAGATATAACTTAGGGCTCTGGAAAGAAAACCAAAAATAATCAGCTAAAAGAGTTAAAAATGTTTGCTTCTGGATAGCCAGATTGGAGGATGAAAAGGGTCATGAAAAGGTACATGTGAAAGAAGAACATAAATATGTGTGTATGTTTGCGGTGTGTGTGTGTGTGTTTAGACCTCATCTTTGGTACAATGACTAAGAACACTGGGAGAGAAGAAAAATTCAGAAAGCAAATTGCATGTGGAATGAACAAAACTTCTGAAGCAGCTTTGGTCTTTAGCAACCTTAGTATTGGAGCAGAAAATGTTGACATGGGTGGTTTGTGAAGATTACACTAGGCCAGAAAGGTTTTTACTTTCCACAGTTAGCTTTCATTTGCTAAGACCTAGCTAAGAGTCCTTAAGCATTACTAGGTATTACTAGGTCACTAGGTATTTTTGACTTTGTCCAGTGGCTGCAATGTATTGTGGTTCTGACCCCAGATGACTTTCTGTAGAGGTAGGGCCAAAGGCATGGCCAGCACAGATGGCTTCAGAGTGCAGATTGTTGCAGTTTGACCTTGAATTTGCAGTGCAAGGCAAGGGCCTCAGCCAAGGCAGTTTCTTTGTCAGGTGCTAAGGCCTCAGGCGGCAAGCAGACGGCTATAGTTTATTAGGATGTAGGCACAGCTTGGCCTGGTATCACTGCCTAGGCTAAAGTGGGATCATTACCTGCCTGTACAAAGCAAGAGTGCAATGTTACATCTGAGCAACAGAACACTAGGTAGTTTCTATGTTGTCTTGCCTCAGGTGGCAGTAGGTAGCACTCCATTCTGAATTAAGAGCACAGGTTGGAACTGTGGAGCACTTGACCTTAAATGATGCATCTGGGCCAATTATTTTTGGTCTAAAGGTTCAATACTGTAATAGAAAATACTAAAGCTGGCTGGGCGCGGTGGCTCACACCCGTAATCGCAGCACTTTGGGAGGCCAAGGCGGGTGGATCACAAGGTCAGGAGTTCAAGACCAGCCTGGCAGACATGGTAAAACCCCATTAGTCAGGCACTGTGGCAGACATCTGTAATTCCAGCTACTCAGAAGGCTGAGGCAGGGGAATTGCTTGAACCCGGGCAGCAGCGGTTGCAGTGAGCTGAGATTGCACCATTGAACTCCAGCCTGGGCAACAGAGTGAGACTCCATCTCAAAAAAAAAAAAAGAGAGAGAGAAAAGAAAATACTAAAGAACATTGTAATGAGTTTCAAAATGATAGTTACTGTAGCTAGGCACATGGGTTTCACTGTGCCCAAGAAATTTATGAAACAGAAAAGAAAGTTAATTGTCTAAACTTCAGAGGGCCACCTGACCAAAGCACTGGCCCTTACTGGGAGCGCCAGCCTCAACAGCCTCAGTAGCAGTTGAAACAAATGTGGCTCTAAAGTGAGATCCTTTTCTAGGAGACAGGACTTTTTTAGGCCAAATCAATTCCCTTTCAACAGGCAAAAGAAGAGTACCAATGTACACAGGCTCAAAGAATGCCTTGGGATCAGTGCTACTCACAGCTCATCCTTGGGACTGCAATGCTCCAAAGGAAATGGAAGTTAAGAAGGTTAGCATAGGTTGGCAAAGAAAAAAAATTTTCTTATAACCCCTGGTAAAGTCTGCTGCCACTACAAATAAAGATGACAGCATTGTCTGAACATTGCCCTGTGATGGAGGAGAGAGTCTGGTGGAGGAGACAGGGAGGAGGCAACTGGATTCCCAGCCCCCTCCCCACCCCACACATGGCAAATTCATGGTGAAAACATTTATCATTTGCTAGGAGGCTCCTATCAATTAAGTTCACAGGTGGTCGATTCCAGAAATGTAAATAGGCTGGCTGATAAACCAGGTAAGTTGAAGTTCAGATTTTCACCGTCTACCATCTGCCTTTGTTCCTCAGACACCAATGAGATGGGCTTTGACAACACTACACACTGGTTTTGGGGAGCAGAATTGTTACCATGGACATTTGTCTAAAGGTTAAGCTTTGTCTTATATCCTAATAATTTGGTTTGAAAATTAAAATAACTAATTTCTTGAGAATTTATTTTTTACTAGGTTGACTCACCACAGCATAATATTTATTTAGAATTACATAATTATGTTAATATTAATATGATAATATATGTAGTATAATTATACATATATTACAAAATAATTACATCCATATGTAAATTTGTATAGACTAAACTTGGCATGCTCATCTCGGCCTCTACCTTTCTCTTCTTTGGGAAGCAGCCTACTCACAGAAGGCTTGAGTTCCACACTGTTTCTCCAGGGGCAGTACATTTTCTATTGGAGCTTGATCTCCCCAGGGCCAGATTTGCTTGTGGCTGGATGGATACATCTGCATAATTCTAATTCTGGATTCAGTTAGGTGACTCTTTGGTTTCTCACACAAAGCTATATTCTTCAACTGTGTTTATCAACAATAAAGACGTTGTTAGAGCCTTCACTTTATTTCTTTTTTCTTTTTTTGAGACAGGGTCTCACTCTGTCACCCAGGCTAGAGTATAGTGGCATGATCATAGCTCACTGTAACCTTGATCTCCTGGGCTCAAAGCATCCTCCTGCCTCAGCCTCCTGAGTAGCTTGGACTACAGGCACATACCACACCCAGCTAATTTTTTTTTTTTTTCAGAGACAAGGTCTTGACATGTTCCTCAGGCTGGCCTTGAACACCTGGGTTCAAGCAATCCTATTACCTCGTCCTCTGAAAGTGCTGAGATTATAGGTGTGAGCCACCATGCCTGGCTTATAGCGTTCAGTTTCTGTCATTTATTTCTCAATTGATTAAGACCCTGGGCAGGAAAGAGAGGTATCATTATTTAGTTCCTCTCAGGTATTGCTATGGTGTATGTATAATGTATTGTTATAAATGTACATATGTAAATAAATGAGCATATTATATATATACACAAATGTGTTTAAACATAGTATATATACACATATGTGTATATATATCAATGTGTAATATATGTATACTTGTATATATCATTTATATATGCTGTATCTCACATATTGCATATAATAAATATGCACGTACACTCACACATATATGTGAAATTGTCAAAATCAAAATAGTGTCACAAATGCTTTTAAAAAAATCAGACCAATAATGCCTGGGAAGGCCATGAAAAGAGGGTTTTTATGCTTGTATGCCTGATAACAAAGCCTAACACAAAAGACTACAAACACACAACTTACACAAAGTCCATCACAACCTTGCACAAAAAAATATTTCTGCAAGGACATCTGCCCAGCAACTCGCTGTCCACCTCAGGCTGGTCACTCTTGTTATTGATCTTTGATAATTAATTATATCAAAACAACCATATAATCCTCTTCATTCTTTTAAAGGCTTTGTCTTTCTTTACCTCCCTGAATACATATCTAGATTTCTATGGCATGCATATTCCCACTACAATCTTTATTCCCAAACAAATATCTTTTCTTTTAAAGATTCTCTCTCTGGTTACTTAGATCGGCACACACATTCATATATTTGATATACGTATACATACATATGGGGCAGGATGGGGCAGGTCTGCTTTGTTTAGATTGTGGGATTACTAGTGATATTTTACTTATCTTCTTTACATATTTCTATATTTCCACTTTTTTATGTATATTTATTAATCAGAAAAAAGTTACAGGGTTGAAATGACCAAGTTCAGTTGTCACCATCCCTTGTGTCCTGTCTCCTATCCATGTTACTCTTTTCTTTTCATAGAATGTCTTTATAAGACTAATGACAACTTATTTCAATGAATTTTGGGGCTTATTTATTTTACTCTTTGGTCACTTTCATGACTGTGTGGCCCCATTGAGAGGAACACTCATGGGTTAATTCAAGTTTGTTATCATGTGCACATAACAGCATGCCTGGCATACAGTGAGAACTTAAATACTTATTGATATTAAGATTCTACTTGAAAAAAACCTGTTTCCAGGTAATTGAATTATACTCCATTGAAATAATTGCAAAAAATAAGGGAGAAAAACAACACACCCAGATAGATGCAATGAGGTAATTGCACACAGTGATCATGCAATAGTTCAATAAGGTTATTATAAAAAGCCTAAAAATAAGACCATATTCCATGCAAAAGCAGATTTAGACCAGGCTGATTTAGGGTAAAATAAGGGAAATATGTTTGAAATTAAGCCTAGGCAAAATGATTATGGAAATATAGTGAGGCTGAGATGTGCTTAATATTTCCCCAGGGGCCATAACAATTTATCTTGCCAAATCAATAAATGCTGTTAACATGTCCCCTGAGAGACTAGATAACTGAGTAACTGGCTACAGATGTGACGTTTTTTTAACTTGTTTTCAGTTTGAGAGCCATATCAGGCACCTGCACAATGTAATGTAATGTGCCATCCCAATTTCTGTAAGGCCCTCAGAAATGCCAACATCAGCCTTGGGAACACATTGAAATCACCTGGAAGTTATAAGGATTATGAATTCTGAATCTACCCCGAGCTTTTGATTTAATTCACCTAGCGTGCAGCCAGAGCATCCAGTGGTTTAAACACTCCTAAGGTGATTCAAACATGCAGCCAGGATGGAGAATCACCACTTGAGGATCTTTGGAGGGCTTTAATGCAGTTTTTCTCTAGCTGGAGGTTGTCCTAAACAGACACACCTACTTCCTGCAGACTCAAGCAAAATCACACAGGTTGGTTCACAGTTGGCCTGGAATTATAAAGGGAATTTCTTTTTCACATTAGGGCTTTCATACCCAATTTAATGGTGCTTTCTAAGCCACCACCTCCCGAGAAAAATATGCTTTTGTTATATCGAGTGTTAACCTGTTCAATGCATGTGAAAGAATTAGTGATGAACAGCATGCTAAAAGTTAGGAAAAAAAATAATTACCTTTGAGAATGGAGACTCCATTTTCCTTTTTCACATGAAACAGTTGCAGAGTCTCATGTGTAGCAGCTGGATTGTAGAATTGCTTGATTGTAGAAAAGCATAATGTCAAAATGTATTATAAGTTGTAATAGCTGTAAAAAAGTACAAATGTGGCCGGGCGGGTGGTGGCTCACGCCTGTAATCCCAGCACTTTGGGAGGCCGAGGCGGGTGGATCACGAGGTCAGGAGATGGAGACCATCCTGGCTAACACAGTGAAACCCCGTCTCTACAAAAATACAAAAAATTAGCTGGGCGTGGTGGCGGGCACCTGTAGTCCCAGCTACTCAGGAGGCAGAGGTTGCAGTGAGCCAAGATGGCGCCACTGCACTCCAGCCTGGGCAACAGAGCGAGACTCCGTCTCAAAAAAAAAAGAAAAAAAAAGAAAAAAAAGTACAAATGTATTGATTAATCTAAGATACGCATTCTTTTGAAAGCAAACGCACACGTGTCTCATTCTAATTATTTAGCACACAGAAAATGTTTAATGCACTCCAAAATTTGCCGATTTTTTCCACAATAACTCTGTGTCTTCTCCAGGATTCATTGCCCAAAGACCGAGCTTACTATTCCCTGGCTTTAACACGTGGCAGTAGTTTGCTCTGGCCATCTCGCCACTTTTAAGATGTATCACCATATTATCTGTGGTGGTCTGAACATCTAGAAGGTTATCCTGAATAATGACTGAATCTCAGAGCTACACAGCCATCACAGTTCAGTATTTTTTCTTTTTTAAATACTGTTGACGGACCCTTCACTGATCAGTTTTTATGTTTGGCCCAGGAGCAGTAAAAGTGATACTCAAGCTGAAAATAGTTGGCTGGGCGCGGTGGCTCACGCCTGTAATCCCAGCACTTTGGGAGGTGGAGGCGAGCAGATCACAAGGTCAAGAGATTGAGACCATCCTGGGTAACACGGTGAAACCCTGTCTCTACTAAAAATACAAAAAAATCAGCCGGGCGTGGTGGTGGGCGCCTGTAGTCCCAGCTACTTGGGAGGCTGAGGCAGAATGGCCTGAACCCAGGAGGCGGAGCTTGCAGTAAGCCGAGATCGCGCCACTGCCCTCCAGCCTGGGCGACAGAGCGAGACTGCGTCTCAAAAAAAAAAAAAAAAAAAGAAAGTAGTTGGCCCTTAGCTATTTTTTTCTAACTATAAACCCTTTCAGTAATGTTACATTTCCTGTTGGCCATAAAAGAGTCAGAGAACTATCAGAGCGTCATTTTTGTGATGAAATATAACTATATTGTTGAGTAAAATACAGCTATGGGAAGTTAAATAAACCTACAGTGTGTTAAACAAACCTACACCTTGGAAGAGATTTGATTGTTAACATAAAGAGCTGATCAAATCTGTGATGCTGATGAAAATCAAGGGCAAAATTGTCATATTAAGGGTTTGAAAATGAAGAAAGCATCTTCCATTTAAATGCATACTAATTATGGGCATATGGAACTTGTCCTGATCCCATCTTCATAGGCTATAGATATCATTGAAATAACTCTTATCATTATCTTTCTCCCTCCATAAAGACTCTGTGTATTTATTGTTGGGTAATGTATAACTTGTATTCAGATCAATGGTTGATGACACAAAATTCTTATTTTTGTGTAATGTTTTTAGCTTACAATATAAGGATTAACTAACTATACAACAAGTATCAATTCTTAAGTGGTCCTAGTAAAGCATCTCTACTCCTGCATTTCTAATGACCACATATATTTTACATTCTTATTAGCCTTAGGAAAATCCCATTTTCCAATCAAAATTGTTCTTTCTTTCTTATCTTCAACTCATTATAGCAACACTAAGGTGGATTCACTGATTCTGTGTTCTAACCTAAATGGACCCTTGAATTCTTCCATTTTCTCTACTCCCTTGAACTTTTTGAAGTTGTGTTTATGTAATGAAGATTAAGCATAAGGGAGTTATAAAACTGATCTCAGATGGTAAGAACTTTAGAATATTCAGAAGTTTATAGCTTATTATTGACATTTGTTATACTCTGCTTGCATGTAGTAATTAGCAATGAATAAATAAACATCGTGATGTGAAGAAAAGGGAATGCTCACACATACTATTGGTAGAAATGTAAACTAGTACAGCTATTATTAAAAACAACATGGAAGATCCTCAAAAAATTAAAAATATGGCCACCATATTGACTAGAAACACTGCTTCTGGAGTATATTCAAAGAAAATAAAGTCATTATCTTGAAGAGATATCTGCACGCCCATGTGCATTCCACTATTCACAATAGCCAAAATACGCAAACTACTTCGGTATCTATCAACAGATGAAGAAAGAAAATAGGGCGTATATATATGCAATGGAATACTATTCAGCCTTTAAAAAGAAGGAAATCCTGACATTTTCAACAACATGGATAAACTTGGAGGACATTATGCTAAGTGAAATAATTCAGGCACAGAAAGGCAAATACTTCATTGCCTCGTTTTTACAGGGAATCTTAAAACGTTACTCCTAAAAGCAGAGAATAGAATGGTGATTGCCAGGGGATAGGGATGGAGCCAAAGGGGAGATGTGGTTCAAAGAATACAAAGTCTCAGTTATTCAGGATGTAAGTTATGGAGAGGTAATGTATAGTATGGAGTATAATTAATAATAATATACAGTTAATAATATTGTGTTGTAGACTTGAAATTTGCTAAGAGAGCAGATCTTAAGTGTTCTCACCACAGACACAGGCACACAATGTTAACTATGTGAGGTGATGGATATGTTAATTAGCTTGATTGTGGTAATCACTTCACAACGTATTTGTGTATCAAAATATTATGTTGTATACTGTAAATATATACTATTTTTTTTTTGAGACAGACTCTCAGTCTTGTTGCCCAGGCTGGAGTGCAATGGCGTGATATCGGCTCACTGCAACCTCCGCCTCCTGGGTTCAAGCAATTCTCCTACTTCAGCCTCCTGGGTAGCTGGAATTACAGGCACATGCCAGCACGCCTGGCTAATTTTTGTACTTTTTTTAGTAGAGACAGGGTTTCATCATGTTGGTCAGGCTGGTCTTGAACTCCTGACTTCAGGTGATCCACCTGCCTCAGCCTCCCAAAATGCTGGGATTACAGGCATGAGCCACCGCACCTGGCCTACAATTTTTGTTTGTCAATTCTATGTCAATGAAGCTGGAAAAAAAATTTTAAAAATGTAAGCCCCAGATATTGGGGTTTCCACTGGACAAAATTATAAATGAAACCACAGGCACAAGTTTCAAAGGCATTTAATGAGAAAACTTAAGTGAGAAAATGGTCACAAGTTAGTTTGAGAGTGTAAAACATTGAATTAGGCTTTATCTGATTAAAAATAAAATGGAGACCATTAGAAAATATTTACATATTTTTATCTCAAAAGTTTCAGTGATATCTATGCTCATTCATAACCAATTTTTCAAAACTTTTTCTGTCAGAGGGAAACTCTTTTTCTGCCCTCCTAGTATGTCCTGCCATGTGGACGGAGTGGATTAGTGTAACTGCTGGTTTCTCTTTGCCTTTTTACTGACTCCACCCTGGCTGAGGTTAGTGACTTACCAGACAAGTAATTTGGGAAAAACAAACTTATCTTTGTTCCTTTTGGAAGCAAACCTGCCCACAAGTTCTCTTCTGTTCCCCTGTACCATGAAGCTTATCCAGGATAATCAAATGGTGATTATTATTTCATTAAACGTATCACAATGTACTCATCATCTTAAAAAGATGTAGGTTTTTATTTTCATGTTGACTTTCTTCCTTGTATATCTTATTTTTTTTAGTTAAAATAAATAATTTTGCCAGTCTAATTTTAAAGCACAACATAGAATCTATTTCTCCTACAGCAGGAAAACCTTAAAAATGTAAAATGCTTACATGGCCATAACCAAAGCTGGGCATACTGACTCTAGAGTCAAGAACATGGAAAAAGCAATCTGGAGGGCAGAGTGTACAGCAGTTCTCTAAAGACTAGCTGAAGCCTGTGTTTGAGGAAGAAGAGAGCACCTAGTTCTTGCCTGGTCCTAACACCAGAAGGTCTATCCAATACATTGGCATGTGAATAGGTTTTCAGAGCAAAGCTTAATTTCTGGAAGGACTAAGAGGAAAGGCAGAGCCCTACAGAGCAATTGAAATGTAGGTGCAGTAAACAGAAACAGGGCAGGGACTAAGTTACTAGGATTGGAATGTATTGCAGGAGTGTGTATTTCACAGTATTATATAAAGTAATGATAGCCACTGTAATAGATAAAGTACCAAATATTAGTGGTTTTTTATTTTTTAAAAAAAACTTTATTTTTCACTCAGGTTGAAAATGAGTGTTTCTGATTGATGAATGTCTCACCTTCAAGCAGTAATTACGAAACTGCAGTCTTTACATCTTAAAATAGTGTCAGGTTTATCATGGGGGTTTCAAGGTTGTCATGCCCATCTGCACACAGCAGCCAAGAGAGGGGAAATTAAATGAAGGAGTCACAAGAAAGAGATTTTCATGGGCCAGGGATGAAAGTGACACACCCATCTCTTCAATCACACTCCACTGACCAGATCTAAGTGGTATGGCTGAAACTAACTGGGAAATGAAACTTGGCCATGCCATGGATAATGGGAGCTGTGGTCTAGGTGTGTTCTCTCAAAGAAGAAAATGCATTTGACAAGCAGTTAGCCAGTCTTTGACACACTCAGTAACTAGAATTGGGAAAATAATGAGACAGGCTTGGTAATGACTTTAATGAATGCTATGGTCTGAATGTTGGTATCATTCCAAAATTCATGTTGGAACCTAATACTCAATTTGATGGTATTAAGAGGTGGGACCTTTTGGAAGTGATTAAATCATAAGAGTTTCACCCTTATGGATGGAATTTCTGCTCTTATAAAAGAAGTTGAAGGGAGCTTCTTTGTCCCTTCACATGTGGGGATGCAGCAACAAGGTGCTATCTAAGAAACAGAAAGTGGGTCCTTATCAGACACCAAATCTTCCAGCACTTTGATTTTAGACTTTCTAGCCTCTAGAACTCTAAGTAATAAATTCCATTTTTTAAATAAATTACCCACTCTACAGAATTTTGTTACTGCAGCCCAAATGCAGTAGGACAAAGAGCTCTTGACTGATATTCTAGTATTTCCTTTTTCTTTGCAGGCAAGAAGTCTCAGAATCCCGGGAAGGGCTAAATCAACAAGAAGACTTAGTAACCCAGTCTTGAAGTTTAATAAGGCAAAAGATTGCCACAAAGAGATGTTGACAAATTAGATTTAATTTTGACCAAAACTAACTCTACTAATCAAAAGGAGAGTTTAGAAGGGATTTTAAAAACATTGTTGAAGATGAAGTATATAACAGAGAATATAGGATCAGAAATATTCTCAAGAATAATAAAAGAAATGGTTGCTGATAGCGGCAATGCCTTATTCACAAGAAAAGAACATTTGGTGAGTGCTGTTTCTCTTAGGAAAATTATGAAGTAATTTCTTATGAACCCCAAAACATTTCCATTTCATTACTTGTTCTGCTGAAGATGAACAATGCTGCTTGTCTTATAGACATTTATATCACTTCAATTACCAATATCTTCCTTGATTGTGCTATCAGCAGAATCAAAAGTTACCACCAAAATCTTTCATTGCTTTCTATCAGTTTTGAGAATTAAATAACAGTTTTCTCTACAGCTTTTCTTTTTTTGTACTTTTGGGCATATATGCATTTTTACTTTTGTTTCAAAATTACTCTACTGAAACTTTTCTACATTCACTTGTCATTTACTTCAGAAAAATAAACTCCCTGTACCTTGGGCTGATTCCTGGGTACAGGAAGCACAGTGGGACCACAGGGAGTGGGGCAACAGGAACATCAAGGTCCCTGGAGTAGAACCAAGAAGAATCCTTCATCTCAAGGCAAGGTGTGAAAACTCACTTCTGAAATTCCTTTTACAAGGCACTCATATATCTGCGAATCCCCAAAATGAAGTAGTAATAATAGAGAGTCATATTCCCTATCCGACATTCAAAATGCCAGCTGGTTATTTTCTTAACCAGCGTTCATCTGATCAATTTCCTAGGCATTGTGACTCTGCAGCAATTCATGAGGGGGAAGTGGTTGCTTAATTGCCCAGAAGAAATCCCTAGAAATGCTTCAGTAGTGACAACTTTTCTTCCTCTGCCCATGATCCATGAATAACAAAACAATTAAAAATGACAGTCAAACTGAAAATATTACAATGCATTCTCTAGTCAAAATAAAGCACAGAATTTAAATAATTATTTGAATAAATCACACATCTTCCCCACCAAAATATCCATCATTTTTATGGCTCACTTTGGAGCTCTCTAGTACATAATAACATATAATTTAATTATTTTCTTTACTTCATCATGTGTGAACACATTCAGCCAAAGGGAATAAAATGTCAGGAAATATTCCACTTGCTATATTCATCTATATCCCTCCCCAGCCTGTGGATCAGTTTCCTTAGAAGTAACTTTCTGCCATAAAAGAAGTCTTGGATTAAATATCACATGATTACTTGGATTCCAGTCCCTCTGCCCCTAGCTATCACTTTGTTTATGGATAAGTCACTCAATTTCTCTAGTCCTCATCTATGAAGTAAGATGGGATTTGAAGTCCAGGGTTTGAACTAATTCTCTGACTCTATAATAATTTCTCATCCTGTTAAAGAGAAAGTTCCTAAGATTAAGTTTCAGTGCAGCATTCAAAATGTATGTCTCCCTTTAAAAGTTTTATTTTAATTTTTGTGGGTACATTTATGGGGTGTATGAGATGCTTTGATACAGATATTCAAGGTCTGTAATATCTGTAATAATCACACCATGTAAAATAGGGTATCCATCCCCTCAAGCATTTATCATTTATGTTACAAACAATCCAATTATACTATTTCAGTTATTTTTAAATGTATAATAAAATTGGTTGGGTGCAGTGGCTCACGCCTGTAATCCCAGTACTTTAGGAGGCCGAGGCGGGCAGATCACCTGAGGTCAGGAGTTCAAGGTCAGCCTGGCCAATATGGTGAAACCCTGTCTCCACTAAAAAATACAAAAATTACCTGGGTATGTTGGCAGGCCCCTGTAATCCCAGCTACTCAGGAGGCTGAGGCAGGGAGAACTGCCTAAACCCAGGAGGTGGAGGTTACAGTGAGCCAAGATCGTGCCACTGCACTCCAGGCTGGATGACAGAGTGAGACTCTGTCTCAAATAATAATAATAATAATAAAATGTATAATAAAATATTATCGACTATAGTCACCCTGTTGTGTTATCAAATACTAGGTCTTATTCATTCTTTCTATTTTTTTTTTTGTACTCAGTAACCCATCCCTACTTCTCCCACCCCTTCACCACTCTTAACAGCCTCTGGTAACCACAATTCTACTCCATCTCCATGAGCTCTGTTGTTTTGATTTTTAGATCCCACAAATAAGTGAGAAAACATGATGTTTATCTTTCTGTACCTGGCTTATTTCACTAAGCATAATGACCCCCAGTTCCATCCATGTTGTTACAAATGACAAATCTCATTCTTTTTTATGGTTGAGTAGTACTCCATTGTGTAAGGAAATCAGTATATCAAAGAGATCTCCATTTTAATACCCAGTTTGTTGACTTTTAATTTCCTTTGGCTGAATCTGACAAAAATCATTTTTAAAACCTATTTTCCTCTGAATTATCACTGCGTAACAATCATAAACCTTTCTAAAATCTGTCATTTTCCTTTACATGCTCATAGAAACTTCTCCGCTGTTTATTCATCTATCTGCCTACTGCAGCCCAAACAAGCAAGTTTTACTACAATTCAGTTAATGTGTATCTCTATATTTTTTCTCATTGAGATTATTAGCATTAAAACACTTTGCAAAGTATAAAAAGTATCATACAATATTTAATTTTATTGACTGCTTTACCATTCTGTGACGTAGCCCAGGCAACTGGTACTTAGGTATGACAAGAAAATAAGTTTTCTTTTTTCTATTATGTTGTAAAACTAAACCTTCAGCATCTTATTCTCCAGGGTCTGTTCACACCATTCCCAGAAATCTAAATTTATATTATTCTTCCAGAGGAACCAAAATTGGTCTCCTTGAGGATATTCTTAATGGTGACCAGAATAAGTCAAGCTTATACATCTAGACTGGAATGATCGGGGTGTGAATATGAATTGAAACAAAAGGAAATTAATTTTCAGAGTGCATAGAAATGTTTTAATTTATTCCAGAATAAATTTTCTTATTACCAAGGCATTATGTGGCTTTTAATAAAGATAATACCACTAAAATGAGAATATCACCTGTCATTTTTCATGTGTGATTTATGAGGAAGGTGAGCTGCCTCATGATTAATGCACATTTAACACTATGTGACAAAAATATTATCTTATTGTGTGCTAAAGAGGTCACCTTTCAGATGTTCCACAATCATGAGCTTCTTTCCACATGTCAAGGTAATAATATTGGTTACTCAGTGAAGAACATTAAACTAACAGAATTTTTCTGACGTTTCAAAGGTTTACACTGATGTTGCTAATAGCAGCTACCTTTAATAGAAATTATGTTTTGAACACTGAAACCTTAGTTTACTCAGGAAGTAATAGTTCCTGAGTTCCTAACATGGTAGTAAATGGTTCATATATATTATTTCTAAAATGTTCAATTTATAAATTATCCCTATTTCCTAGTTGCTAAAACTAGTACTTGGAATGTTTAAATTTCTTCAGTGTCTCATAGTTAGTAAATGTTGAACAAGGATTTACATTCAGAACTGTCTGATTCCAAAACTGTTTAACCTCCTGAACTGTGCTGTTTATAATGACAGGCACCAGCCACATGTGGCTTTTGAGCAGTTGAAATGTGGCTTGTTCAAACTGAGATTTTGAAGACTTAGTACAAAAAAAGTAAAATATCTCATTAATTGTTGTTACATTAATTACATGCTGAAATAATATTTGGGTTAAATAAAATATATTATGAAAATTAATTTCATCTTGTCTTAATGTGTCTAGTAGAAAATTTAAAATGACATAATGGCATTTGCAGCTCACATTATATTTTCCTGGGCAGCATTGCTGAATACAACATTATCTTTTATTAAAATCCATAACATAGATCACGTGCTCACCAAAAGTAGTGTTCAGAAACATATATTGAAATTAGAAATTTCTTCTGGTCGGGCGCAGTGGCTCACGCTTGTAATCCCAGCACTTTGGGAGGCCGGGGCGGGCGGATCACCTGAGGTCAGGAGTTCAAGACCAGACTGGCCAAAATGGTGAAACCCCGTCTCTACTAAAAATCCAAAAAAAAAAAAAAAAAAAAATTAGCTGGGCTTAGTGGCCCTGTAGTCCCAGCTACTCAGGAGACTGAAGTAGGAGAATTGCCTGAACCCAGGAGGCAGAGGTTGCAGTGAGCCAAGATCATGCCATTGCACTCCAGCCTGGGAGAAAAGTCGAGCGAAACTCCATCTCAAAAAATAAAATAAAATAAAATAAAAGAAGCATCTTCTTAATAACACCAGTTTATAAGAGGTTTTTATTTAATTTCAAAATCATTTAGTAAATCTGTTACCAGAAAGGGGCCCCAATCCAGACCTTAAGAGAGAGTTCCTGGATTTTTTTTTTTTTTTTTTTTTTGAGACGGAGTCTTGCAGTCTCCCAGGCTGGAGTGCAGTGGCGCGATCTCGGCTCACTGCAAGCTCTGCCCCGCGGGCTCACGCCATTCTCCTGCCACAGCCTCCCGAGTAGCTGGGATTACAGGCGCCTGCCACCACGCCCGGCTCATTTTTTTTTTTTTTTTTTTTTTTGTATTTTTAGTAGAGACGGGGTTTCACCGTGTTCGCCAGGATGGTCTCGATCTCTTGACTTCGTGATCCGCCCGCCTCGGCCTCCCAAAGTGCTGGGATTACAGGCGTGAGCCAACGCGCCCGACCAGAAGAAATTTCTAATTTCAATATATGTTTCTGAACACTACTTTTGGTGAGCACGTGAGTCCCTGGATTTTACACAAGAAGGAATTCAGGGTGACTTCACAGAGTAAAGTGAAAGCAAGTTTATTAAGAAAGTAAAGGAATGAAAGAGTGGCTACTCCATAGACAGAGTGGGGCGCTCCCGAAAGTAAGAGGAGGAATGCGCCCACCTTAGGTACAATGCTTGCTTATATATAAGATAACAAAAATCAAGGGGGAGATGTGCTCTACTACAAGGATTTGTGATAAAGGACTGCTAATCTTTGTGTAACTACCATCTTTTCCAAGAGTCTGTATTATCTTTAAAATGAAACTTATTCTTAATCTAGGAATGGTTTTGTTCTTAAGATATTGGGACATCAGGACATTTTCTGGATCTGTTAAGTCCTGGGTCTGTTTCTGTTCTCTTAACCATAAACATCTTTTGACTAAGAATAGACCTGCTGAGACCAGCAGGTCTCATCCTCATTTTACCCGGCCTGTTCAAGATGGAGTTGCTCTGTTCTGACACCTCTGACAAATCTAGTTATTACTTTTTAAATCACCTTAAGGTAAAGATCTGGAACTATTACTTACTAAAGTTTATTTTTAAATAATCTGATTCACATTGTTAAATTAAATACAATTTTAAAAAGACAGTATCTCCATTCCTTAAATACTTCCTCTAAATGTAAAGAAAAAAAAAAAAAGAAAAGAAAAGAAAAAAAGAATGCTGGCTAATAGAAAAATTGTCCGAGGTCTGTGGGAGTTTCAAGTTAAGATACCCATAACAAATGTGTCTGTCACTGGGTTTAAGACACTGTTATTCAGTTTTTGAAATAGTATCCATGAAATAAAAACAAAAAAACAGAACAAAACAAAAAACCTTCAGCCCAAAATATACAACAAGTCTTCCAGATTGGAGGAGGAATTAAAGAATTCCTGTAATGGAAGCAATGTCATAGAAATCCTTACTGATACTTATCATCTTCCTGCATTACCCTAACATTGTAAAAGAAAACATTCCTCACAAGCTGTTTCTTGATCAGCCTTGTTGCAGTAAGTTCCATCTATGTAATAAGTTCCATCTCTGTCAATCTGGGCAGCAGCTTTTGCTGTGAGCTTGGGCTTCAAGTCTCAGAGCAGGGCTCACAACTTACATTACTGTATCATTCCCCTACTTACACTCATCCATGTATTCATTGGGAATTATGTCTTTGAGTCTATTCTGTGCCTGATACTGTTCTACGTGTTTGGGATGTATCAGTAGTAAAATAAACCAATCTCCCCGCTCTCCTGAAGTTTTAAAAGAACTCCTGGCCTGGGTTATAATATATGGAAGAGTCTCAAGGCCATGACTACTAGGAGAAGAATCAGAGTTATAAAGTAAAATCATTGACATGTGATCAGCTGGATTTATATCTGTTCTCCAGGCACTGAGTTAAGCTCTTTACATGTATTGTCTGAATTAAGCCCTTTTACATGTATTATCTCATACGATAATAGATATTAAGTGATATGTGCTGAGAAAACGTCACAAAGGTTTGCATTCATTTGAAATGTTTTATCATCCAAAATCTCATTCCATAAAATTACACAAGAAGCTTATGTAAGTTATAAAGTAGCAAATGGCATCAGATTCTTCAAGTAATAGATACTGTGGCAATTCATTGGCCTTAGACAGGAAAGAGAAATGGAGACACCGGGAGAGGAGTATATGGGCCTGAAACACTATTCATGCACTTTAAACTTCCCCTTCATTAGACCCATCTTAAATTTAATGTCATGTGTAACAGGCACATCATTGCTTGGTGATCTGGAAAATTGAGGGAAAGACATTGTCCTTGCTACATAGTAAATATCACCAGACTGATGATGCAATTGAATGAGCTACAGTCAGAGGAGCAAGATCTTGTCTTGGCACAGACTAACAGCATGACCTCCAAAGACTGTCTTGTGCTTTCAGAGCCTCTGAGCTCTCACCTGTGAAATAAAGGTGTTGACATGATCTCTGATATTCTGCACTGCTACTCCTGTGCCTAAAGGATTCACTGTGAATATTTCTTAAGTTGGAAAACAATATTTTTTTCCAGTCTCACTCTACTTCAGTAAAATCCTACACTACAGAACCAAAGATTTTAATGTGTTTTAGAAAAACATAGAACTGAGAGGAAAGAATAGTTTTTCATTTAGCTTAGAGGAATCCAGCTTTGGAAAATAGTTCTCTTAATCACATTTTACAAAGCAGATAAACATACACTTCTTTTTTTAGGGCTCCTTCTATCACCTTTTTAAAAGAGCCAAGGAAAAAAAATATATATATACATATATGTTTCTCTCTATATATATAGAACTAAAGTAGGGTTAGGGTTAAGGATTATATATGTAATTTTTCCAGGAAAAGTTAAAAGGTAGGAAGATACTACTTTTTCTGGCTTTCAGTCTTTCTGAATCCTTTATTCTTTGTGTGTATGATGGTAACTTTGTACCAATTTCCTAGTGAAAACACCACCATGGAATTGAAGGGACAGTTGCTTGCTTTTCTGAGTGTTAATGCAGTCCCTAGGAAGTCACCTGTCAGAGGAGACAGTGATTCAGCTGAACATTTGCCACCTTAATCTGGGATTTCATCTTCATTTTGATACAGTTTTATGTCACTGTTATTATTAGGTTCTTGTACTAAATTTGCTTCATGAACTTGTATATGTGCAACACATTGCTATATCTCTTAAGAAAAGGATTTAACCATTCATGTGCTAACTTTTCTTTGAAAAATAATTTTACTATTTGTATTTTAATTTAGTGCTTTGATTTATGTTTGAATAATTACATACGTTTGAAAAAGTCTACATAGAATTTCAGTTGAAACAGAAAATTAAAGCTACTTAAAACTCCTAGCACAACATCCCTGTCACTTTGGCTGCCTGCCAACAGTTACTGATATACATGTCTGGTGAATGTAGATAAGCGCTATAGGATATGCCAGGTGGACGTCTCACCAACGCCACATAGGCTACTACAGTCAGCAGTGATGAATGCCAAGGAGAGATACTTAGCTTTGTTTAAAGCCATTATTTATTGTCTTTTCTAATCATAAGAAGCACATGATCTAAGAAGATCATCTGAAGAATACAAAAACATATAGCCAAATTACTTTATGAAAGCTTAAAGCAAAATTTACATTACCAGCAGCATGATAAAAAAAAAAATCCTCTTTTAGAGCACTCTCTCCAACATTGGGAACTCTTTTAATTGCCAATTTAATAAGGCTTTGTGTTTTTAAATATGTATCCTTGATTACTTGTGAACTTAAATGTTATTTAATATGTTTATTTTTTTCTGTTGTGAATTTCTTATTCAGTCTTTTCTGAATTTTCTTATCAGTTGCGTGAGCTATTTAAGACTTTCTACTAGAGAATATTTAGAAGATAGAATAGCAAATAATTTTCATCCTCAGAGGTTTCTACTTCCATGTCATACCACAGCTCCCAGTTAGAGAGGTATACCTGGAGGATGTAGAAAAAGTGTTTATTTAATAGACTTTGGAGAGAATCTCCCCTCTGAAAAGAGAACGAATCCAAGAGGCTTATGGCCATAGCACAAGAAGATACGGCAAACAGAATGGAAAGGTCTTTGCTTCTTGAACAAGAGATATGTAAAAAAGAAGGGATAGATGAGAAAAGAAGTGAGAACATAATCCTAAAGGGTCTATCCCGGACTCCACACCCTCAGTGATTCACTTTCCAGGAGAATGCTTCAGTTTTTAGAAATATACAGATAGGCAACACCTGGAGTTAGGCCAGAAATTTGCTCATGTTACGGTATAAGAAGAGATTGCAAGCCCCTTATTTAACCTGCAAATCCTCTGATCCTCACAGGCCATTTTCCTTTCTGTGCTCTCTACCATCTCCATTTCCTATGATCATAGAGCACTGGAGAGGCTGGGGTCCTCAGATTGACCTGACCTCTCAGGATCCTCTTGTCTTCACTGCGGAGTAGCTGGGCTATTGATTCCCAGGACGGGTGACTTCTCACTATGATTGAGTCCCCTTTAGCAATTTAAGCTTGACATGCTGGCACCCTTCACTGGAGTCCTCAATTCTGGCCATTTGCCACTGGTTTCTACATCCTTGCCCGCCATGGTCACTTCACCTAGATTCAAGCACCACTCTGCCCTCTCAATAGGCACACTGGCACCTCTGGGTCCCTTGCTTGACATACAGAGACTGGTGGGACCAGGGGCACTTCCTGAGAGTCTATCTCAGCATCAAATGACACCTCTAAGCCATCACTCCAGTACCATGATGGATACCACATATATGTCTTCTAGAATATTGTCATTACTAGCCCCCTATGAGTATATAGTGAGGCAAGCCACTCTCTAGAGAGTCTACTCCATAACTCTTGGATGTTTTTAAAATCAGCTTCCCAAAATGTAAGCTCAAAAGATATGAGAATAGGGTGGGAGATGGTGATCAATAATTGAAGTCTACTTTCCTTCTCTGCTTGAATCTTCTTCCTCATCCCCACAATGCCTTGAGCCAGAAGGGATGTACATATCCTTCCCGTGTAGAACATTTCCCTTCCACCCCCGGGACTTCAAGATTCATGGTTGAATATTTAGGTGACGTGACAGCAACGGGAAATAGAAATTAACACAGACAAAAATAACATCTCTATTATGTAATTAATGATAAAAACTATATCCATCATGTTTATAGTGTATATTCTCTTGAGGTTGACTTTTCATTTTGTTCATCAATGTTTTTATGAATACGAATGTTAGATTTTTATGATTATGATTTTTATGTAGTAAAATATAAAATGTTTTTATTATGGATTTTTTAAAACTAAATATTGTATGTTTGAGAAGTCCTCAATTCAGAGCTCAGAAGAATGTTCATATAAATTATAAATAGTATTTTAAAATTTTATCTTTGTTATTAACTTTTCAGTGTATCCAGAATTTTGTTATATGCTAAAAATTAAACTTTATAGTTTTCAAAATAATCATCTAATGTTCCCAATCATTTGATGAATAGCCCTCCCATTCACTAATAATTGTTGATGTGTCCCCTTAACATAAAATTACTATGACTGATAGGGCTATCTATTTTGTTTCATTGATCTGTTGATTTTGTTTGGCAGTATTAGAAAATTTTGACTTAAAAAAATTGTATCTTTATGATATTAGTCTTTTTTTCTTAGCCTTTCTGGCTTATTTATTCTTTCAAACAAATCTTGAGTTAAAGTCTAAATAAATCTAGCTAAGATTTATTTGATTACAATTAACATTGTACAATTTGATTACAATTACATTAAGCCAAACTATTAATTTGGCAGATACTTATTGCTTTAAAAATAATTTTGCCATCAAGAAATATAGCATGCCTTTTTCTACATGTATTCCATAGGAATTTAATTTTTGTTTTTATGTGTTTTATAGTTTTTTTGTTTTGGTTTGTTTTTGAGACAAATTCTCACTCTGTTGCCCAATCTGGAGAGCAGTGGTGTGATCACAGCTCACTGTAGCCTTGACCTCTCAGGCTCAAGTGATCCTCCCACCTCAGCCTCCCAAGTAACTTGGACTGCAGGCACATGCTACCACGGCCAACTAATTTTTCTATTTTTTGTAGTGGCAGGGTTTTGCCAATGTTTCCCAGGCTGGTGTCAAACTCCTGGGCCCAAGTGATCTGCCTGCCCCGGCTTCCCAAAGTGCTGGGATTACAGGCATGAGCCACTACAGCCAGCCCCTTATAGTTCTTATAATAATTAAATTTTAAATAATTTATATTTTTACCAAGATTTTATTATGACATCTTAACTTTAGTTGAGTACAGCTGACATAAAGCTGTCACTATGTTTAAGCCACTCTTAATTGCTTTCTTTTTTGTACTCACATATTAACAGTTTCTGGTAAGTTCTATTTAACTTCCAAGTGGAAACTCATGTCATTTGCTCATAATTATTTTTCTCCTCTTGTTTAATAGGTAAATCCCTTATTTTTGAGCCTTATTGTATTTTCATATAATTCAGAAGAATTTTAAAATAATGTTATAGATAAGGGTTAAGCCAGAATCCTTGCCTTATTCTTGTTTTTAATGGGAATATATCTAACAATACATCCTTAGAATATGAGGAACTGATTTTTAAATGAAGTTGACAAAGTTAACAGAGACTTCCCAAATGTCTCAAGACTTACTTGTATACACATGCACACACACATGGTTTAACTTAGGAGTTTTAAATGTTTTATAAAGAAATATGAGATGTGTAGAGAGACTGTGGATCCACTGAAAATGGATGAGCAAACTGAAATGGGGTGTACTAGTTTCCTCTGGCTGCTATAAAAAATTACCACAAATTGAATGGCTTAAAATAGAAATTTTACATTTTTAGAAGCCAGAAGCACAAAATTAAAGTGTTTATAGAGCCACACCTCTTTGGGAGGCTCTAAGATAGTTCTTCGCCTCTTCTAGATTCTGGTGGCTGTCAGTGTTTGTTAACTTGTAGCTGTATCACTCCAGTCTCTGCCTCCCTGGCCACACTGCCACCTCCTCTTCGATGTTATCTACCTTGCCTTTTCTAACAAGGACACTTATAATGGCATTTAAGGCCTGACCAGAAAAATCTTAGATAATCCCCTCATCTCAAAATTCTTAACTGAATCACATCTGTTACCATGTAAGATAATAGTCAATCTTTTGCCGTATAAGTTAATATTTACAAGTCTGAGGATAGGCTATGGACGTATCTCTTTGGGAACTACCTCTCAACCCACCACATGGGAGAAGTAAGTTATTGGCAAAAATCTGATATGTCCTTTTCCCAGTGGCAGAAAAGAGTAGAACACCCACATTTTAGACTGCTCAGGGCGGTCATAACAAAATACCATAGGGTGGATGGGTCCAACAACAGACATTTATTTCTCATAGTTCTGAAGGCTAGAAGTCCAAGATTAAGATTCCAGAAAGTAAATTTCATTCTGAGGTCTCTTCTCATCGTTTGTAGGTGGCAGCCTACTCACTGTGTGCTCACAGGACTTCTTCATGTGTTAAAGGAGAAAGACATCTCTCCCTTCTTTCTGCTTCTCATAAAGTCACCACTCCTTCGAATTAGGACCCTATTTACAACCTCATTTAACCTAAATTACCACCCACAGGCCTTACCTCAGATTATAGTCACTTTGAAAATTAGAGTTTCAAACATAAATTTTGGGGGGAAGTAATTCAGTCCATACCACCCCATACTTTTTGTAAGTCTACTATGACCTCTCTTCAGTAAATGTTGCTTTATTAAATCAAACAAAGCACCCATTTTCTTTAATAATGGGATACATTTGGTAATGTCATTTGAAGAATAATCCTGATACAATATAATAAAGTGATCTCTTTGCTTGATAATCTGAAGTCCGTCAGTTTTATCAAGACAAAGGGAAGGAGGAATATATACACCTTATATGGCTGATGGCCTAAAAAGTATATTTAGAACTTGAGGAATTAAACATTCCACCAATATTCTGGGCTGTGTATATCAATTTTAAGGGAAAAATCTACCCTATCTTGTGGAAAACCCCAAGGACAAAGGGCTGATTCTGTTTAGAGGACTATTGAAGTGTTCATGAAATATCATGAAGTGTCATAGATTAACTGGCAGATACTCACTCCACTACACAAAAACATAAACTTAAATTTTTAAAATTGGTATTGGAATTGAAATTGCAGAAGAATTTAGTTTTTGTGCCATTTTGATAATAAAACTAATCTTTTAAAATTTTTTTTTGTTTTGTTAAATTCTGCGTCTTAATGATTAATTCTTAAAATTAGCTTGGTTCTCATATTCTCACATTATTAAGGACTATACTTTGGTCATTTACAGTTTCTAAGTTTTCTATGGCATTTCTCTTTTTATGTTATTTCCTTTTAGTCATTGTTATATAGCTCATTTTTAGTTACACAAATAGTAAATGAACATATTATTTTTGAAAAAATCCAAAGTGTTATAGATCAGAACAAAAACTTTTATGTCCTACCTTGATTTTGGTTCTGACTTTCTTCAAGGTACCTGCAGTATTTCATTTTCAAAATATGTGCTTTTCTGTGATTCATCTAGAAAATGAAGTTGATATACTTTTCTATTCATTGTATACACTCAGCTAGCTCTGTGTATGAAATGAGCAACTTGTGTGTGTGGATGGATATATTTTATATTATAAATATATGATGCTAATGCCTAGTGTAACATGCACAACAAACTTAAGAATTTTGTCATTACCCTTGATATCAGAACTATAAATATATTTCTCTTACATACTAACTTGGTTTAAAAATAACAAAAAAACAAATTGTGATTGCCTTGTGTTGGTACCAAACTCCTAAGGGCAAATAGTTATAAGAGCATTTAAATCACATAAGCAAGGAATTGAAAGCTTGTTAAACAAAGTCATTAAGGCAAATGCCCACTCACTGCAGACATAGTAAGCCCTATAATAACTCTGCTAAATGTTATCTCTAACGAAAGTTGCATTCATTGTGCTTAATTTACCTCAAATGCTTTTAAGAATAAACTCCTTTGCAGTGAGTTTCTGCAATGTGGAAGGTAAATAGTCCTTGGAGAGCATATTGCAAATTGTTATAAGAGACACATATCATTTTAAACTAAACCTTCAGCATCTGTTTCAGCCACTGATTACAAATGATGAAACTGACAATAATTCACACTTACTCCATAAAAAGGAAAGGTGGTGATTAAGGAGGATGTGTAGTCTTTATTCAATGCAAAGTACATCTGCTGTGTTTTCTCTTGTACCTGGCTATCTGGAAGAAAAGTTCCACCCTCCCACCATGAAATGAAGGTGGTTCTTATGCCGTTTGCAGTATTTAATTCAGCTCCCATGCTTTCCTTCTATACATACCAAATCTGATACTTGTTTTCACCCTAAACCCAATAAATACACTCTAAAGAGTTTACAATTGATTAATGTGATTTTAAAACTTAGCTCCTGTCATAACCCATGTATGGGCCATAAGAGATATTTCAACCTCCTGAGGAATGATACCAAAGCTATTCTAATATGCTACTGCTGCCACCATAGGCTTTTTTCCAGTCATGTGTTTTTCATGTAGGTCAGTTTCAATCATAGCAGTGAGGTGCAACCTTTGTTCTCTAAATCTTGGAATCATCTGGGAAATTCAAGAAGAATACAAAGACCTGGGTCACATCCTGAGTATCTGATAGTTTTTCTAGGATGCAGCCTGAATATCAGCTCTTTTTAAAATAGCTAAGCTTGAAAACCACTAAATGTATAGCAACTCTCTTACTGGCTTCACTTGTGTTGTTCATAACAGATGTTTGATTTTAATCACTCAACTAATGTACTACAACTTACATTTAGCCTAATATTTTCCTTTCCCCCTTTTCTTCAGACTCACCTAGACTTTTTTAGTTACAAGTCTTGTGACATCAGGTACCTTTTCTTTACCTGCTAATTGTTTACACTACACCTAGTCACCTGAATAACAGATATGTAGCAAGCTTATTAATTGTACAACATTTACTATTTATAAATAATCTGGCCTGGGCACGGTGGCTCACGCCTGTAATCCCAGCACTTTGGGAGGCCAAGGTGGGCAGATCACAAGCTCAGGAGTTCGAGACCAGCCTGGCGAATATGGTGAAACCCTGTCTCTACTAAAAGTACAAAAATTAGCCAGTTGTGGTGGCAGGCACCTGTAGTCACAGGTACTCGGGAGGCTGAGGCAGGAGAATGGTGTGAACCCGGGAGATGGAGGTTGCAGTGAGCCGAGATCATACTACTGCACTCCAGCCTGGGTGACAGAGTGAGACTGTCTCAGGGGAAAAAAAATATCTGGTAGAACCACATTGCAATAGGATGTCAACATCAGTTTCGGCTAGGATTTTAGTTTGCAAAATAGATAATATTGCAAATTCTAGATGAATACAGCCAGATATTTGTCTAAGAAGAAAGTATGTAAACTATTTTGCAAAGATCTTAATTGGCTATAAAGAAAACCAAAGCGAGGAAAGAATGCTGACTCACTAACAAATGGGTTCAATGAAATAACTTTATATTGGTTCATTGGTTGGTTCCTTGAGTCTTCTGAAAATGCCTTTATTATGAATCATCTCTCTGTCCCTTGATAAAACGGGAAGAGTCATGTGACAAGGAATATATACTTATCTATTATTTCTGTCATTTATTCATTGAACAGATATTTATTGCTTGCCTTGTATATAAGACTCATTTTTAGCCATTTGCTAAACATGCATGAATAAGGTGTCCCTCGGGGGACCAAAATGTATTTGGAAATGCTTGTGTGTGCATGTGTGCATGAACATGTGTGTAAGTCTAGCAGGGATTCTAAAGTTAGACAAAAGATATAAAACAAAATATGTATAACAGAATATGTAGCAAGTAGAAATAGATATGTGTGGATGTTTTTAAAAAGCATGTGCAATATTGTATTCCATTATAGTCGTAGATTTAATATTTTTTCAGTAAGTACAAAAAATGTATGGCATTGATAGGTTATAAGTACTAAAAGGCCACAAAACATGGCTGTAATGCAACATACATTATATTCATTCATTTAATGGGATAAAACATAATAGGATATGGAATAGAAATAGAGTGCACCATTTGGGATACTCAGGGAAGGATTAACTAAGATGACGTAAACTTGTCTCAGAGATTTTGGCTAAGCAGTGAAGTTTGTCTCATTGGGTAAATATCTAGTATCCCTTTTGTGACTAGTGGTATGTAGGGTTGATAACTATCATTACTCTCTACCATCACACCAGGTGGCATATTATGATGAAAGCAAATCTTAGACCAAATTCTGTTGAATGTATGTACATCTACTGAAAAATCAGCACAAAACAGTAAAACAGCTTGTTCTCAGGGCTTAGGCAAGTACCACTCTCTGTCTTAATTGCAAGAAAGTTTTACTTTGAAGGTTGATACAAATATCTTCTGATAACAGGACTAACCAGGCTCCAAAAGTGGAAGGACATAAGACTAACTGGGCTCTGGAACTTAAGTGGTGCACTGATGATATTCGTCTAGTCTATGGATGTACCCATTGTTTTTATTCTGTACTACTTTTATGCAGGTGTATGTGGCCTTTAGAAAGTATCCTAACTTACCACTTACCTTAAGAAGTGTTGATTTCACAAAAACAAAAAAACAAATTCTACTATCCTTTTGCTGATTTATAAATCCTTTGGTATAGATTCAAATAACAATATATGAAGTACTAAATACCTACTCACAGACTGTCAGTTATTTATCAGGGTACTTCAAAATGCTAACTAACCATCCCTATGGTATGTATTAAAACAATCTGGACAAATATATGCCTCCCACTTTTATATAAGCTATATTATCCCACAGCAAAAAATTAGATGAAATGTTTGAATTGAGACTTGAAGAGTGACTAGAAGCCTGCCTGTTGCATTAGAGGAGAGAGCATTCTGTGTAGAATCAATGGTATGCTGAGGTATATGGCAGAAGAGCATGGTACAAGTGGTTTGGTATACTTGAGACCAGAGTAGATGCATAGGGGTGACTGGATAAGTAGTACTAGCTAAACTACGAAGGCCTCATACACTGTGCTAATGTTCCCCAGTCTTCAATTCTATGAAGAGAACTTGATTATGGACTAGACAAGTAAGTTCAATATGAATTCTGTCCATTAATGAGGCATCTTAATATCACGGGAGTCAGGGTTGGTAGAAATGGTTTTTGAAAAAGAGTAGTGTAGTGTAGGAGTTAAAAAGATGGGCTTTGCAGACAACCAGATATGGGTTTGAATCTCAGCTTTGTTACTTACTAGCCGAGTTACTTCACTTCTCTTAAGCTTCATTTTGTCATCACAAAATGAGGATAACCACATTCTTCAAAAAGAGTTACATCAATCTATTTTACAAATGTTCCAGGTTAATTATGGAACTGGTTGCATTAGTTCTTTGTGTTTGGGAAGACGAAATTTTACTTCTTGAGCATAATTTCTCCTGCCTAGACATACTGCCTTGGGCCACCTCAGAAAAGGGCTTTTGAGGGGAGTTTTGTGACTGTTAGGCTACTCAATTTTTACAATAGAATGGAAATTCTATCCCATACCCGAGGGTTGTTCAATTATGTCTGCATACACTTTAACAACATTATACAAGTTTGCACTCCAGGAATTTATCTGAGTACAACATGAAATTTATTACTACATAATATCTACTTAAAGCTCAGTGGAGGGAGAGTTATTTATGGCTGTGGGTTAGAATTTAATAAATTTTTGTTTAACTCATACCCCACTCCTACTAAATTTTGTAGAATTCTATTTTAGACAGTTTAAAAATATATCCCTCAATTAAGTCAGAGGTGAGAAGAACACCCCGTTCTACCAAAGCATTGTAGAACTGTGCTTCAGGTTAGTTTTTATATGCCAGTTTTTATGCCAGGCCTTATACCACTGATCAACAGGTGAGGACATGTGAAACAGCCCTAGGAAACTGATTGCTGTATTTATTATGAGGATATTATTCATTATATTTTAAGGTGTCTTACTGTCGGGGCCAAGGGAATACTTCTTCTTTGCCCTGTAAAGTTTTGCTGAAAAGTCAACTCACAAAAGGCAGATTCGAGAAAAGGCATACACATTTATTAATATGCACATGGGGGAGAACCACAGAATGATTACCCAATCCCCCAGTGGGGTTCAGAAGCCTATATACCATCTTGAGTTTACCAAAAGAATGTGTGCTTGGATCCTTGCAAACCAGGCTATGGTGGCTGATATAGTTTGAACCTATGTCCCTTTCAAATCTTATGTTGATTTGTAATCCCCAATGTTGGGGGTGGGGCCTGGTGGAAGTATTTGGGTCATGGGGGCAGATCTCTCATGGCTTGGTGCTGTCCTCACAATAGTGAGTGAAATCTGGTGGTTTACATGTGTAAACCCTACTCTTCCTCTCTGTCTGTCTCTTTCTCTCTCTCCACTCCTCCTCTTGCCATATGCTGTGCCTGCTCAAGCTTCACCTTCCACCATGAGCGAAAGCTTCCTGAGGCATCCCGAGAAGCCGAGCAGATGCCGGCACCATGCTTCCTATACAACCTGCAGAACTGTGAGCCAATTTAACCTCTTTCCTTTATAAGCCACCCATTCTCAGGTTTTTTTTTTATAGTGACACAAGAACAGCCTAAGACAGTGGCAAAATAAGCTATGGGCTATGGGGGAGGGAGGGTGTTGGGGGAGAAGATGAGGCCTGGCTAGCAAAGGTGGTCTTGTTATGTAAATAAACTTCACAGGTAGCAGCCCTCAGAGAGAATAGATAGTAAATGTTTCTTTTAGATCTTTGAAGTAATTAGATTCTCAGTTAATCTTTCCTAGATCGGACAAGTGAAGGCCACAGAGAAAACCTGGCTGTATCAAGGTAGATTCTCTAGAGATGCAAATCCCTGCCTCTTCCGTTCCCCCAGGACAAAATACAGCTTTGCAAGGTTACTTCTGTTTGCAGGCTCTTGAAACAGCCACCTCAAAATACGTAAAAGAAATATATTTGGAGGTAAAATATTTTAATTTCCTTTACTACCCACAGGAACACATTCTCTCTGGTTTCAGTAACAAGAAGATAGTTCTCCTCATAAACTATATATATATATATATATATATATATATATATATACACACACACACACACATACACCTCTACATACAATATATATGTGTATATGTATATATATGTGTTTCACTCCATGCTTTCTCAGTACTAGTCTCATTCTTGGCTTCATCTTTCTTATCTTTTGTACTTAGTGATTTCCTATGTAAAGGTTTCCACATCTGTCATTTCTTGAATTTCTTGCAGCATATCTACTTTTATAATTTGTCTTACCTACATTATAGAAAAAAAAATCAGGCCTTTATACATGTAAAAAGATATCTACTATTGCTGGCTAAGAGCCTGTGCTTATTTTGTAAGGTATTGAATCACTGTGAACTATTTTCTTGGAGCAGACTGACATGGTTAGGTTTGCACTATAGAACGAGGGCTCTGGAAGCAGAGACAATGGAGAGAGGGAGATGGAGTTAATAATGTTCATCAAAATGTGGTCTGGATCCTGATATGGTTTGACTGCGTCCCCACTTAAACCTCATCTTGAATTGTAGCTCCCAAATCCCACGTGTCCTAGGAGGGACCTGGTGGGAGGTAACTGAACCCTGGAGGAGGAGTTTTCCCATGCTATTCTCATGATAGTAAATAAGTCTCATAAGATCTGATGGTTTTATAAAGGGGAATTGCCCTGCACACACCCTCTTACCTGCTGCCATCTAAGCATGTCTTGCTTCCCCTTCACCTTCCGCCATGATTGTGAGGCCTCTCAAGCCATGTGGAACTCGGAGTCAATTAAATCTCTTTCTCTTGTAGACTAATACAGCGATCCCTTGGTATTTGTTAAGAATGCATCTCTGTAGATAAGATCCAGGAATCTGCTCTTCAAATGACTGACAGTTTGTTGTCACCTGAGTTTGGGAACAACTGGAAGCCCTAGAGATGGTTTAGGAGACCCTTTCACTAAGCCAAGCAAACAATGATGACAGTAGTCTGAGTAAAGGAAGTAACCGTGAAAGTCAGGAAAACATTCCATTTGAGAAATAATTCTAAACTAATTGTTTTACCAAGTTCTTAGCCTTGCTCCTATTGAAATCAATGTCCTGGTCTATAGAATTTCTGAAATACTATGGCTAAATATAACGGCACGTCTAATAACAAAAGTTTTATCTAAAAGGAAACAGTTCAGCTCAACAGTTTCTCGAGTTTCTCCTTTCCTTCACTAAGGTCTGATCCCTGCCAGGTGGGGCCTTTGGCCTTTGATCTGGAAGCTTATCAGTTGCAGATGGCTCAGAGAAGCTGCTAAGATGTGAGACTGAACTGTCCTGAGAGGCAGCTGACTGTCAGATTTTTAGTTTCCACAAGAAACAATGTGACTATTTTCAGGACTGAACTGAACCAAGTCTTACCCGGGAAGCAATAGGGGATGCCTCAGGCAGTGGATGAATGAATTGTTTGTTTATCAGTCTCAGATTTGGAGGGAGATAAAGGCAGGATTCTGAAAGGACCTGCCAATTTTAATTCTAAAAGATCTCAGGTGTTTGCTCCTCAAAGCCAGTAAGAAATTTGAGAGATCACTCTCACTTCTGCCAGGCCCACAGGGAGATCCCTGAAGGATGCTGTTTATGAGTGACAGGCTTATTAGCAATGATGTGTTTTTCTTCTTGAGGTGCTCTTTCACAAGAAAAGATGTCCAAACAGGACTCTGACATCCACGCCCTTCTCTTTCTCCCCATATTTTATAAAAGTGCTTCCTACTTACCCAGATTTTTTATAAAATAAGTCTCACACTTCTATAGATTGAAGAAATGCCTGAATGAATGATATAAAGGCTATAATTTCTTCCTTTATCTTAAAATCCTTAAAACTGTAGTTGAGGAGGCAGGAAAAGGTGAAGAGACAGAGCACAGAGGAAGTTTAAGGCAGTGAAAATACTGTGTATGAGAATGGTGGCTACATGCCATAAAAATTTGCCCAAACCTATAGACTGTATAACACCAAGAGTGAACCCAATCCAGAACTATGGGCTCTGGATGATTATGATCTGTCCTCTTACCCAGTGGTTCTCAAACTTTAGCATGCATCATATTCTGCTGGAGAGCTTTTCAAATATAGAACACTGAGTCTCAAACTCAGTCAGACTGGAGTGGGGGCTTGAAAATTTTCATCTCTAACAAGTTTCAGATGATGCAAAAGTAGTCCACAATTTGAGGACCACTGCCACCTGATGAAGGGTTATCCAAAGTACATACTTAGAACAAGACCACACAGCTGACATGGGGGAAGGTGATACTAATACAAGGCTATGCTATACAAAGCTTTAAAAAAATAAAATCACAAGATTTATACTTATCTACAATGCAGGTACCATAAGGTAACCAAAATATAGTGTTCATTTCATTCTGATGGTGAGAAAAAAGTATTTCAATAGATAACTTTTTGGGTGAGGGTAACCAAAATCTCCTTGATGAATTACATTTGAGAAACAAGCTTTTATTTAATATTTGCTCACCAGAAAAGAATTCAAATCTGAGCTATAAAAAGAAAAAGAAGTAGAGAGAGTTTAGTAGAGACAATATTAGAAAACTTTTTGCCTGGAGGTAGAGTGTGGGCCTATTACCCTATAAAATTCTCTTTCAGCTGGAAACATGTATTTCCCAAGCTGACATGTTAGGCAATAAATCATTTTGTAAGAGGTTAGTATTGCCTAGAGACACTCTAAGATACCAGATTAATCAAAATTTAATTATGTCCCTCAGCTATCTTGGGTTTTTGTTTTATTTTGTAGTTGACTAGATCTTGGGTTCAAATCTAAGACTCTAGTGATTTACACATCTCTTACTACGAAGAGGTAAGTCAAGAAGTATTTGCCTATCAAAGCCAAGAGAATATTTTTGCAAAACACAAATCTGTCATTTCAAGGTACTTCCAACTCTATATGTGTGTCTGGTCAAAGACAAAAAGTGAACCGAAAAATGGAAGCAGACATGCCTGGCTGGAGGGAAAAGGTGTTATTTTTCCCATTGTTCCTCTTCTCAGCAGGAGAGATGTGAGGTTTGAATTTCAAATTAGTTTTACTGTCTGAAAGCAAGTATCAACATACAGTTCTGACCAAGGAAAGACAGGGATCCACATGTTAGTTGGGTGCCTAATGATATTACCTCAGAGGACTGTGCTCTTACATATTTTCATAGCAATCCTGTGAGATGATTATTACTATTTCCTTTTCACAGATAGGAAACTGAACCTCTGGAGGCTAGTAACTGCCTGGTGTCACCTGGAAAAAAGTGACAGAGGAGTAATTTGAGTCCAAGTCTATGTGGCTATAAATCCCTTGCTCTTGACATTATATACCATGCCCAAGATCTATCAAAAGCTCCATTTATTTCCCTGAAGAAGTGGGATTGAAATGTGCACAAGCAGTCTGCTTAAAGACAGCTACATCAACTCACCCTGCCCTACCTTCTTACTTGGAGGCCTCTCCTTCTCCTAGCTTCATGTTCTGATCTACATGGATTCTGGGAACTTCTTCACTGACATCTTCACGCAGATTTTGGCCTTTGTTTTTGCAGAAATGCAATAAAATGTTTTTGTTTTAATATTGCCAAAGTGAAACACAAAATATAAATGGCTTTGTGTCAGTGTCTGTTGCTACAAAGGAATACATGAGACTTAGTAATTTATAAAGAAAAGAAGTTTATTTTGCTCACAGTTTTGCAGGCTGTACATGAAGCAGAGTACCAGCATCTGCTTCCAGTGAGGGCCTAAGGAAGCTACGATCGTGGCAGAAGGTGAAAGGGAGCCAGCATGTCATATGGCAAGAGCAGGAGAGAGAGAGAAAGGAGGAAGTGCCAGGATCTTTTAAACAACCAGATCTCATGTCAACTCAGAGTGAGAACTCACTCATTACTCCCAGGATGGCACCAAGCCATTCATGAGGGATCAGCCCCATGACTCTAAAACCTCCCACCATGCCCCACTTCCAACATTGGGGACCACATTTCAAAATGAAATTTGCAGAGGACAAAGCATTCAAAACATATCAGGCTTACATAGGAATTTTTAAAATAGATGTGAGAAGCTGCAAGATAATTAAAAAAAAAAAAGATCTGAACTTTAAAATACAAAGTTAGCTCAGCAAAATTTTAAACGTGGGGGACAATGAGCAGAAAAGGAATGGGACATAGAATAAGAAGGAGAATAAAAGAGTAAAAGTATTCCCTGTTGAATTGTTAGTTTCTTCTTTTCATACGATACTAGAGAAATGTGTATAAATATTAGAAAAAATGCAAGCTTTGATAGAATAGAAAAATGCAGTAAAACTCTCATATAAGAAAAAAGGAGGTAAGAAGTAAATTGGTGAAACCGTTTTTTTTTATTTTTATAAGGGAACAAGAAAATAATAAAGCAAAATAAATAATACATATACAGCAAAATGTCAGTAATCAAATCAAATCAATTAAATTACATAAGTATTGCCTTTTAAAGTACAGAATGCAATATTAAGACTTTTTAAAAACTTTATGCTGTTTATAAAAACAAAGTATTAAAGCTGGGCTGACATTAAAAGACAATTAAAGAGTTATTATTCAAATGTAGCTGCGACCATATACACACACCCACACGCAGCCCCCACACACAAACATACACACTGACACCCATGTGCACATACACACCCACACACATGAGGGCACGTGCACACATGCACACATACATACAAGTAGTGGCTAGAAGTAATATACAGGAAGGAGTTTAAGGTTAAATTCACCCATCAGAATGAAGAATGACATTTTGTAATTTATTTTAAAAAGCAAAATTTTTTTTAAAAAATATAAATCTCAATGAGCCCTATACATATGTAAAATAAAAACCATGTAGGAGCAAAAAGAACTTATCAGAAATAGTAGATTTCAAGATATTTCCACAAGAATAGAACAGGCCTTATAAATCAGAAATGAATAATAATACTCGAATCTCAAATTTGATAAAGATATATAGAACTCTTGTATTTTGCTTACATCATTGAGCTTCTAAACATTGTGTTTACAAACCTAAACACAAAACCACCTTTCAATTTTAAAAAGTATAAGTCTTACAGATCAATTTTCTAATGTTGACCAGATATAAGGTTTATGAAGGTACTTTATTACATAAAAATTAGAAAATTAACTTTAAGATAGTGGTAAAACCAAAAAGTAATTTCAGTATAAAAATAGTATCTAAGAAATAATGGAAATGAGAAATGGCTATACAAAAATCTATTGGCCATATCAAAAGTTCTTCTCGGAGAAAAATACATAGTGTTAGACTTAAATATATTATTGAAGATAAAAGATTAAATATTAAAATAAAACTGGTACTTGTATCAGTCATGAGTTTTAGTGGGATTCAGAAAAATTTATAGGACCTAATCTAGAAAATAGAAAATAAATGTATCATAGGATGTGTGATGATTCATTTTATGTGTCAACCTGACTGGGCCACATGTTGCTCAAATATTTGGTCAGACATCATTCTGCGTGTTCTGTGAAAGTGTTTTTGGATGAAATTAACATTCAGATAAGTAGATGATCAAGTAAAGCGGGTTGCTCTCCCTAATGTGAGCGGGCCTCATCCAGTCAGTTGAAGGCCTGAAAAGAACAAAAGGCTAACCCTCCCCTGAGTAAGATACATTTCTTCTGTCTGACAGCCTTTAAGCTGCGACATTGGGGTTTTGTTCCTATTTTGAGACTCAGACCAAAACATTACTCTACCTCGGTCTCAAGCCTGCTAACCCTTTGTATGATGTATGAGATGATACCATCTGACCTCCTGGGGACTTCACATTTCCAATCCACCCTGCAGATTGTGGGACTTCATCTAATCCGTAGCCAAGTGAGCCAATTTCGTACGTATATATTCCATTGGCTCCATTTCTTTGTAGACCCCTGACTACAAATACAGTATGTCTGAGAATCTCCAGGAGATCCAGAGAATCAAGTTTGGAGGACACACGCCTCCAAACTTACAGCACTGGGTTCCTCCTATGAAACCCTGCTCACTCTGCCAAGAGGAAGCACCCAAGTTTGAGCCCCAAATCTTCCACCTGTCACTGCTGTGTCAAAAAGCTGATACCTCTGGTATAATGTACTTTACAAGTGCTATCTGAACCCAGTTTTGAAGTTGTGATTTAAAACTCTCATTTCCTTTCTTTGGGCAGTTCGCTAAGTCCCCACCCCAACCACTTCTCTTACAGGGCTCCCATATTCAGGGGCCACTAGACACACACACCAACCACCTCCCCATACTGGGGCACCACATCATGAGCTGCTAAATTCTCATATAGATAGATTATTCTAATCTGTGTGCTATGTCATCTACAGTATAGCTGCCTGCACCCTTGCAGGAAAGGAGCCTAGACAAACAAATTATAATTTCAATTTCTAATCTGAAGTGTCTTTTAAATTTAGAAACTTGCTAAATATAAGAGTGGTGCCAAAGGCACTAAGCAGATAAATAGAAAGGTAAATTTCTGTCTGGATACCCACCTTAAAATTTTAATGAGATAAAGTACAATATAATATACCAAAAGAAGGGAGGAAGAGGAAATTAATAAAATAAAACCTAAAGTTAATAAAACAGAAAAATAATAAGAATGACAAAACAGGATAAGGTAAAATAAATTTGAAAACTTAGAGAAAATAATTTCTTAGTAAGATTTAACTTACAACAAATATATTAATTAACATAGAAAAGATTGAAAATGTCATTACAGGCCGGGCGTGGTGGCTCACACCTGTAATCCCAGCACTTTGGGAGGCCAAGGCAGGTGGATCACAAGGTCAGGAGATCAAGACCATTCTGGCTAACACGGTGAAACCCCATCTGTACTAAAAAATACAAAAAAAATTAGCCGGGCATGGTGGTGGGTGCCTGTAGTCCCAGCTACTCTCCTCAGGAGGCTGAGGCAGGAGAATGGCAGGAACCCGGGAGGCGGAGTTTGCAGTGAGCCTAGATCGCGCCACTGCACTCCAACCTGGGCGACAGAGCGAGACAACGTCTCAAAAAAAAAAAAAAAAGAAAGAAAAAATAAAATGTCATTACAGATATGTTAATAAAAGAGGATCCAGATCAAGTGGCTTCACAACTGTATTCTATCTAAAGTTTAATTAATATATGCTCCTATTAGTGTTTAATTTATTCCAACCCATAAAAAGGTCTCAACATCACCAAAAAATTTTATTAAATCAGAATAACTTTAAAGTCAAAAACTGATCCCACAACACATACATTAATCTTACTATTTAATATAGAAGCACAAATTCTAAGTGAATATTAGCAAAGAGACTCCAGCAATATATCAAAATAGTGCTGCACGATGAGCAATAAAAGGCTTATTCCAGGAATGCAAGGGTGGCACAATTACTATGAAATCTCTTAATGTAATTTATTATATCCACAAACTAAGAGAGAAATATTATGTGATCATAACAGTAGATGCTAAAAAAGCATCTGATAAAATTTACCTGTCATTCTTAATGAAAACACTGATAAAAATAGAATGTCACTTAAATATTGTAAAAATACTTTACCTGGCTGGTGCGGTGACTCATGCCTGTAATCCTAGCACTTTTGGGGGCCAAGGTGGATGGACTGCTTGAGGCCAGGAGTTCAAGACCAGCCTGGCCGACATGGCAAAACTTCATCTCTACTAAAAATAAAAAAATTAGCTGGGCATGGTAGTACACGCCTGTAGTCCCCTGCTCAGGATGCTGAGGCAGGAGAATCACTTGAACCCAGGAATCGGAGGTTGCAGTGAGCTGAGATTGCACTACTGCACTCCAGCTCCAGCCTGGGCAACAAAATGAGACTCTGCCTCAAACAAACAAACAACAACAACAACAAAAATTAGACGGTCTGATAACCCAGTGTAAAAATAAATAAAGAAATAAAATATTTTTTTAAAAAGACTTTTTACCAAAAATTAACATTAAATCATTCAAACAGCAAACCTAAAACTATTTCAATGAAAATTATAAACCAGTCAGCAGGAATGCCTGCTATTACCATTGCCTCAAAGGAACTAACAAACAAAATGTTAATTTTTAAAAAATGTATAAGGAAGAGTTAAGTTATTTTATCATTACTTTTTTTGACCAATAATGTGATTGTGTGACAGTAAAGAGGTGCACAGAAACTTCCAGGATTAATAAGAAGTGCATAGGTGGCTGTTAGAACGTTAAGTATGGTATACAAAAATAAATAGGTTTTCTCTATCTTAGGCATAAACTGCTAGAAGTAGAAATGAAAATAACATTCACTCTAGCAATAAAAACCATATAAAGCCTAGGAGTATATTTAATAAGAAACATGTCAGACCTATAAAAATAAAACTGTAAAATATTAGTGATGAAAATAAAACAAGATCTAAATAATTGAAAAAGCATTTCATGTTTTTAAATAAGAATATTTGATGTCATAAAAATATCACACATCCCTAAATTAATATATAAATGTAATGCAATTCAATTTATTAATAAAATGCCAGCCAGATGGTGGGTGTTGGAGAGAATTGGATCCAGCTATGTAATGAAGAAGTCAAAATGCCAGAGATAAACCAGGGAAAGCATGAAAAAGAGGAATAGTGAGGGAAGAAGTCTTGTCTTACTGGTGTTGGGCCATATACCAGTCACTTTTAATCACTATAATATTAACATGAGAATAAACAAGTCAATTGCAAAGAACAGAAAAACCTGTAAATCAACCTTATATATTTGAAAATGTAATATGTACAAATGGGTAAAAATGTTACTTCATTTGAGCAAGAAGGGTAAAGAGTTTATTCAATAGATGCTGTTGGCACAAGGGTCATCAATATGAAAGGAAGTGAAGTTGAATATTTTTCTCACATGATGTGCAGTAATTGTGTCTAAACAAAACTTACAATAAATAAATAAATAAATAAATAAATAAAGTAGATTTTAACAGGGAAAGGGGAGAAGATTTTAATGTTGAATCAAATCTGAATATCTGGCAATGAATGTTATGTATGTCTAGTTGAGTTTTCATTTCAGACACTTAAAGTGACCTGAAGTTCATGCTGTGAAAGGAAAATATCTTGGGTCCCCAAAGTCACTAAGAAAACTCAAGCTGGAAACAGCTTAGGGCAAACCTGCCTCCCATTCTATTTAAAGTCAGTCACCCCTCTGCTCACTGAGATAGATGCATATCTGATTTGCCTCCTTTGGAAAAGCTAATCAGAATCTCAAAAGAATGTAATTGTTTGTGTCTCACCTATCTGTGACTTGGATGGTCCCTCCTCCCTTTAGTCTTCCTGCCTTTGCTTCAAGTTGTCCGGCCTTTCCAGACCGAACCAATGTACTTCTTACATATATTGATTGATGTCTCATGTCTCCCTAAACTGTATAAAACCAAGCTGTGCCCTGACCACCTTGGGCACATGTCATCAGGACTTCCTGAGGCTGTGACATGGGCATGTCCTGTTCTCAACCTTGGCAAAATAAACTTTCTAAATTAACTGAGACCTGGCCAGGTGTGGTGGCTCACGCCTGAAATCCCAGCGCTTTGAGAGGCCAAGGCAGGTGGATCACCTGAGGTCTGGAGATCAAGACCAGCCTGACCAACATGGTGAAACCCCGTCTCTACTAAAAATAAAAAAATTAGTTGGGCATGGTGGCACATGCCTGTAATCCCAGGCTTGGGAGGCTGAGGCAGGAGAATCGCTTGAACCCAGGAGGCAGAGGTTGCAGTGAGCCGAGATTTCGCCATTGCAAAATCTCGTTCCAGCCTGGGCAACAAGAGCAAACTTTGTCTCTAATAATAATAATAATTAATTAATTAATTAACTGAGACCTGTCTCAGATTTTCTGAATTCACAATGCCCAGGAGCAAGGAAAGATTAAACTCCTTAAATAAATGTTAAAGTGTGAAACAAGAGACAAAAAGCAAAGTTTGTTTGATTATGTATATCTTAATCATACTTGTTCAATATCCTGATTGTATCTGAATAAGGGCATTAGAAAAAATGGTGATCATGATATGTTGTCAATGTATTGAACAGTTATAACTAAGTAACATAGTTAAACTAAGTAACATAGTTAACTAAGTAACATAGTAACTAAGTAACAGTTTTTAACTAAGTAACTAAGTAACATAGTTTTAACTAAGTAACAATAAACATATACACAACTGCATCCCATATTTGCATGTACAGGTGTCTACATATATACAAACAAGGAGAAAGTTGTGGGAAAATGTTATTAACATTGATTACCTGGTGGAGTTTGAGGTGTGGGATAAAAGAAAGGGTTTTATTTTGCCTTTATAATCCTTTGTTATATAACTATACCACTTTTTATAATAAGGATATATTATTTTAATCGGAGACACTGCAAAGAAAACAGTTAGATGCAGAAATTAAGTCATGTCACAGGCAGCCTACCAGTCAAGCTATCCACCTACATCAGGCAGTGAGAGGAGCTCGGCAATGTGGAGTCTTCTAAGAACTCACAAAAATTCTCCACAAAGGAACCTAACAAACACTGAATCTGTCACAGTTGTTATGAAGGTGACCTTGATGAAAAATTACAGCCATAAGTAATTTTGTATTCTCTTACCTCACATCCTGCTTCTGCATCAGCCTCTTGCAGTTATAAGTAGCAGCTGATTAGTAGACCAAGAAAGGGAGTGAAAAACAGAGAAGCTGCCTACACCTTCCTTTCGTTTGCATTACAGTGTCCTGCTTAAGGTGAGGCCAGGATGAGGGAAGAGAAACGTCTTAACTAGATGAGAATTTAGACTTCTAATTGATATGTTTTGGATCTGTGTCCCCACCAAATCTCATTTTGAATTGTAATCCCCAGTGTTGGAGGTGGGGCCTTGAGGGAGGTGACTGGATCATGGGGGTAGTTTCTAATGGCGTAGCACCATCCCTCTAGTGCTGTTCTCTGGAGATCTGGTTGTTTAAAAGTGTGAAGCCCCTGCCCACTTTCTCTTTTCCTCCTGCGCTGGCCATGGTAAGACTCCCTCTCCCGCTTTGCCTTTTGCTGTAAGTAAAAGCTTCATGAAGCCTCCCCCACCAATCTTCCTGTACAGCCTGTGAAACTGTGAACCAATTAAATCTATTTTCTTTGTAAATTACACAGTCTCAGGTATTTCTTTATAGCAAGCAAGAACAGACTAATACACTAATTCACTTTTCCATTCAACAAATATTTCTTGAGTGCCTCCAGTGTACTAGCCACTGTTTCAGGTTCAAAGAATAAATTAGTACAAACACACACATACACACATACATACACTACACAGAAAAAGAAAAGGTCCTTACCCTCAAGGAACTTACCAGTGAAGGAAGATAGGAGATAAATAAAATCAGTGAATTATTTATTAAAAGGCAGGAAAATATGGCACAAAGAATACGCAATGCTGGGGCGGAAGTGAGGTTTAAAAATGTAAATAAGACGGTAAAAAAAAAAAGACGAGTGATTGGAAAAGCTATGGAATTTACTTGAGTTTTAATCAAGAGGCAGGAAAGAATATTTCGTAGGCTGAATTTAGTAAGGACTGGCAAGAAAGAATAAAGTATGGTATTGAGTACAAACTGGCTCACTTTACTAATATGATTATAATATAATTTAAGGACAAGAGCATCCAGAACAAAACTTCACAATTGCCAAAATCCTGTATGTTTAAAATGTGCTCGTTTGATATTCCATTTACACTCAGGGGAAAAAAAAATTCTCTACTTGCAGGGACCAATCTAAAGGCCTTAGTAGCTTCCTCTGCTGCTCTTCTCACAATTGGATGCTTTTGTAGTCCAAGAATAGCTCCACAATTTTCAGGAGGGAGACGTGGCTATTATTTGAGTTAAGAGTGTAGCTTCTCTCTGTGGTTTGTAGATAAGAGTGCACTTTTCAGGGTGGATGCCTGGAGGACTGGTTTTCTATAAATTCATTGTGTTCCTAAAGGTCAGAGCTTTTCTCTGGCTTCCTTGAGATATAGCATTAGTTTTATGAGATAGGCCCTTCACTTCATATTCATAATTCATCAGCTCTTGGAGTTAGTTAAAAAGGAAACTATTCTGTTTCCCTTGGCATTTTGTCAATATGTGATATTAATGAGCTTACAATCATAAATAGAGAATATAATGCAACTTTTCCCATTCTTGTGATCCAATTCATGTTATAGATAAATTACAATGCTATAGGTTGTTATAAGGTTTCTGAAACTTATGGTTTGGTAGACAGACACTAAACACAATTCTATTTTTTGGCCTACAATTTTATAAATGAATAAATAGTTTGTCTGTTTTCATAACTAGAACAAAAATACTATGAGGCTAACACTTTGTCTTATTAACTGTTGTTGGGAAAAAAAAGGAGTGAGAGATTCAATATATTTTAGAATTTTTAAATAATAATGCATATAATTAAATGGGTTCACCTAAAACAGAGATTAAATGTATCATTTATAACGTAACTGCATAGTCTGGTATCATGTACTTAGCATTATTGGGGAAAGGGATACTTTTCAGAACCAGATTAACATGAAAAAGCACTGTAAGGACAAGTGGAAAAAGAAATAATTATTAAATATTACTCTTTCCAGGTGTCTAATTTGCATTATTTTACTTACATAACACAACTATTTTATATATAGTGGTACACTTACCCTAATTTTACAGACAAGAAAACAGGTTTAAAGGGCTCAAGTAACTTGTCTAAAGTTAAGCAAATGGTAAATTATACAGAAGATATACAAACCCAGATCTGTGTGGTCCCAAACCCTAACGTTATTGGAGCTGCTGGGTCTTACCAAAGTCTAAGTCATTTTGATAAGGAGAAGAAGCCACCATCAATGTCACTTGCAGCTTTTTAAAAATTTAAGTGTTACAACTGTCAGGACTTTTTCTCATTGGGAAAGTTTGCACTGACAAAACTGGAGCCCTAAAATTCCACTTTCTGTGACCTGGACTGAAAGGTAACTAGTCTGTGTTTTTAGGATGGTTGACTAGTAAATGATTCAATTAAAAACTAGATGATTAAGGTATCATGTTGAGATACAGCCTCAATTCAAAAGAAATCACCAAAGTCAGTGTAGTAATATAAAAATGATTTTCTTCTTTTTGTTTTTCACAACTAGCACAAGTGGCTTGCCCTAAATCTTTTGCTGAATGTGTGCACCTTGAAGTAAGGCATGTTCTATAAATCTGGATAGTCTTTGTAATATGTATCAATGGGGGTCCTAACAAGAAACACAGGAGACAAATGAATTGCTTAAGAGATTGAGAGATATAACAAGAGCAAAGGATCTGAATAGATATTTCTCCAAAACAGAAAAATGAATAGTCAATAATTACATAAAAGGATATTCAGTATTATTAGCCATCAGAAGACTGCAAAGCCAAACCTCAATGAGATACCACTGCGTACCTATTTAGAGGATTATAAGAAAACAAAAAGACAGCTAATAACTGTTGCCAAGGACATGGAAAATTAGGATCTTCACATATTGCTGATGGGAATGTAAAATGGTGCAGTCACTTTGTGAAACAGTCTGGTAGTTTCTCAAAAGATTAAACATAGAGTGTCATATAACCCAGTAATTATGGTCATAGATATGTACTCAGCAAATAAACATAGAGGTTCATGTGAAACCTTGTACACAGATTTTCATACATTATTCATGATGGTCAAAAATTGGAAATGATTGAACTGTTCATCAATTAATTGATAAATAAAATGTGGTATAGCCCCAAAATATTATTCAGCAATAAATAGAAATAAAATACTGATATATGCTACAACATAGATGAACCTTAAAAGCATTATGTTAAGTGAAAGAAGCCAGTCCCAAAAGAACCATACATTTTATGATTTCATTTATATGAAATGTCACATTAATCAAATCTATGCAGATAGAAAGTAGATGAGTGGTTGTTTAGGGCTGGGGGTTGGAACGGGAAGACGACTGTTAAACACTACAAAGTTTCCATTTTGGGTGATGGGAATATTCTAAAACTGACTGTGGTGATGGTTGCACGACTCTGTACTAAAAATCTTTGAATTGTGTACGATAAATGAATAAATTGATATGCTATGTGAATTATATCTCAATAAAGCTATTAGTTAAGGGAATGTGTGTACATGCCCGGGAGAGAGAGAAGCAGAGGCAGAGAGAATGAAACTGAGGGGGACGCTATTTCCAAAAGGTGCGGGGCAGAGTTAAGCAACTCAGAGGGATGATGGAACATTCAAGCCCTGGCAACATGTGGAGCCATTCAGGCCTGCAGGCCTGAAGGTGAGAGGAAGACGCAGTGGCTAGAAGTGAAGAGAACTGTAGTTTTGAATGAAGAGAACTGAGGGGAGGAATGTCCAGCAGATGTAGCCTTTGATACAAGAACGCAGCAATTGTCAACTTGTGGCCTTGCATGGAGGGAGCCAGGAAAATATTAATTCTGATTTTTCCTGATTCCCACATTCCAATCTACAGCCAGTCAAATTCAGTCAGCCCCCAAAGAAGCTAAAGTTGTGCAGTCCATAGCAGTCAGCCTTCTGGGGCAGAGAGGAGGTGAAAGAGAATTAGAGTAAATATGGAGAAACAGGTGGAGCTGATGCAGCACAGCTGCCCTTCCGCAGAACACGCTGCTTGTGCCCTTTCACTCTCCTTTCCTCCCTGGCTGCCTGGAGGAAATCTGCTTACCTGTAAAAACTCAAATCAAGAATCACCACTTTGAAGGCTTTCAAACCACTCTGTCAGGGAAAATTGATTATTTCCTTTAATACATTTACTGATTCGTAGGTCTGGGTTTCCATGTAGCATGGGACTGCGACAGATAGTCCTAGATTCAGGTATTAGCTCTGCCACTTACTAAATGTGTGATTTTGGCCAAGTCAATCTCTCAAAGTAAAATATCTTCTTCTGTACAATGGGGATAATAGTATTACTTCAAAATGCCATTGTGATGATTCATTAAAACGATCCTTGTAAAGACTCAATACCTGCTTTGCATACAATAACCACTCACTGGCAGTTGTTTTGGAGGTGATGAGCCAGTGTTAGTTTTAGGGGGTGATGAGCCAGTGTTAGGACTGTGTAGTCCTTGGTGATGTAACTGCATCACTACTCTTTATATTCCTACTGTTTAATATTACCTAGACACATCCTAGGCATTGATTAAATATTTAAGGAAATGAATGCATAAATAAATGATGTTACTCTTTGCATTGGCCATTAAAATATCTCATCTCCTAAAGACCCTGAAGTGATTGTGATCTAAAACTTGAAGTACTACAGTTGTTCCACTGCCCCAGTCCCATTCACCCTATCCTGTCACATTTTTTACATTGCTTGACTCCACACCCTCCTCTCTATCCTCATTTCTTGAAAGGGCCATCAGTAAAGATTCTAAGTAGTCTTCCGACTTGTTTCTTCACTCCTTTCCAACTCATTTTCCATGCTAAACTGAATGATCTTTCAAAGCTAGTCTAATAAAATCACTTCTCTCTTGCTTCAACTCTTCAATGCTTCTCCACTGACATCCAGGTAAAACTGAACCTCCTTAGCCTTCCATTCAATGTCTTCCAGTATATGGTCCGCCTGCTTTTAAAAATAATTTTGTATCACTCTTTTGTTCTCCAATCCTATGAAATACTTCCAATTCCCCGAGAGTTCACACTAACCATGAACATTGTCTTAGTTTCTCTGCATGTGTTCTGGTCTTCTCCTTGGAGTTCTCATTCATCTATCTCCCTCCCACCACATCCTGGGTGCCTTTCTCCACTATCCCTGCTAACTCCTGTGCTTGCTTCAACACTGAACTCCTGTCACATCCTTCAGGAGCTTTTATTTTAAAAAAGTATTCTTACAGGCTAGTTTGTATGGCCTACTTTGTGCTTTCTGCTTTAGTTACACTGGCCTAGTTTCTGTTACCCAAAAATTGTAGACACTTTTCTACCTTAGGGCCTTCACCTTATCTCATTGATCTCTTTGGAAAGATTGTTTAACTTTCTCATCTTTTTCAAGTTTTTGCTCAACTTTCCTCAACAAAGCCTTACCAGACACCCCATTTAATACTGCAATCTGATTTCCACCCACTGTGTCCCATATTCCTGATCCTTCTTACCGGTTTTATGTTTCCTGAATTTTTTTTAAACAGAACTTGTCACCTTCTAATATCCTGTTAATATACTTACTTATAACATTTTTTTTTCTATGGGGAAGGGATTTTTGTTTGATTTGGTTACCAATTGTATTAATCCATTCTCACACTGCTATAAAGAACTACCTGAGGCTGGATAATTTATGAAGAAAAGAGGTTTAATTGACTCACAATTCCTCAGGGTGTACAGGAAGCATGGCTGGGAGGCCTCAGGAAACTTAGAATCATAGCAGAAGAGCGAAGGGGAAGCAAGCACGTCTTCACATGGCAGCAGGAGAAAGAAAGCAAAGGGGGAAGTGCTACACACTTTCAAACAACCAGATCTCATGAGAACTCTATCATGTGAACAGCAAGGGGAACTCCATCCCCATGATTCAATCACCTCCCACCAGGCCCCTCCTTCAACACGTGGGGATTACAATTCAACATGAGATTTGGGTGAGGAGACAGAGCCAAACCATATCACTGATATACCTCAAGTGTCTAGAACAGTGCATGACAAATATCAGAAATTGTAAAATTATTTTTTGAGTGAATGAAATAAAAAAATATATATAATTGAGCCTTGCATAACTGTATTCTAAAATTGTGTTTACTTGTCTTTTGCAAAAACATGCTTTTGGTTTTTGAGAACCAGGACTGTGCCTTATTTCCCTATGCATCTCTAATATGTAACTTAGTAATTGGCACATAATCGATGTACCAGATCTATGCCTGTGTACCAAATTTACCCCAAAACTTAGTACCTTAGCACAATCACCTCTTATTATTAGTCATGAGTTCTTGGGTCAACTGGGTGGGTTTTCTGTTGTCTGCTGGGTTCACTCATTTGCCTCTAGTCAGCTGTAGGTTGAGTAGCACTTTGTTGATCTTGGCTAGGCTTCACTACATCTCTGGGACCAGGGCGGGGACAGCTGGCTCACTGGCCTTGCCCTCATTGTCTCTCATCTTTTAGCAGGCTAGAATGACCTTGTCATAGAGTAAAAGTACACAAGGCCTCTTGAAGCCTAGGCCCAAAACTAGCACAATTTTGCTTTTGTCATCACATTCAATTTTTCAGGCAATTGACAGAACCATCCCAGTTTCAAGTGTAAGGGAAGTAATCTTCATCTCCTGATGGGAGTTGCTACAAAGCCACATGGCATAGAGCCCTGGTACAGAGAAGAGAATAATGGCAACACTTTTCCAAATGATTTATCACATTAGGCAAGTAAAAAGTGTGTGGTATGAAATAATAATAATCATAGCTGATGTTATTGCAGCCTTACTTTGTTCTAGGTCCTATGTTAAGTGTTTTATAAGCATTAGTTTATTGCATTCTGTAAAAATCTCTCTGAGATAGGTATTATTATTACTATTCTCTCCATGTTTCAAGTGGGAAAACCAGGCTTAAAGAGGTTAAGAAATAGAGGTATACTAAGTAAATATGGCAAACTAATGAATACCACATTCTTCTCCTGGGGTTATTGGAGAAGTCAGGTAAGTCTTATGGACAACAATAAGAATAATCCCAAAAGGCTATGTGAACATTCAGTTTAAAATTGTTAGACCTTGGAACTAGGTAGAGCAATGTTTTCCAAACATGTCTAATCATAAAGTTGCCCTAGGTACACAAGTTAAAAATACAGAAACCTAGGCTATATCCCCGACCAAACAAAACAGAAGCTCTAGAGAAAGTTTCAGTAATGTATAGTTTTAACTAGCACGTAGGTGACTCTTAGTGATGAGCAAGTTTGGGGACCACTGAACTAGAGCACTTTAATCCTAAATAACACCAGACTGTCAGGAGAGAGGAAGAGTATTTCAACCCTGATTCTCCTGGTGTGTACAAAGAACAAGTACATGAGTTCCTGGTGCTTCAGCCACCACTCTTCCTCTTCCTGGGTCAAAATCCATCGTTTTATGTATACGTACACACACACACACACACACACACACATATCAATATATATATCTACACACATGCAAATATATCTCCACCCTCCATCCCACAACAATGAGAGATTGTTTCTGATGTTTGGCTCCAACACAGCACAGCACTCTTAGGAACAGTGGTATGAGCCAATGTTCACATTACCATAATCAGGCTACCAGGGTAAAGTCAGAGCTACTGAACCATGTTATGCATTAATTGGGTGGAAAATAAGGAAGTCTGCAAGGGTTTAGATTTAACACAAGTTAAAGATATAGAAATTCAAGCTAAAATCTTTATTTAATCTCCACAAAAAGAGGTCTGCTCTTTGGGGATTTTAAGAGCCTTGCTTAATGATGAGATGAGCATATACTGCTGGCAAAGGCTGAAGGAAGCTGGTGTACATCATGACCTCCTTTGCTAGACTGCTCAGCACCAGTCTGTGCCAATCCTTTTGAGTACTTGTGTTTAATAACTTCTGATTTCTCCAAATTTTATTTTTCTCTCTATGAGGCAGTATGTACGAGCAAATTAAACCCACACAGTCAGTGGTTCCCAACAGGATGTCTGTGGGTGCTCTGTGGATGGGTTCCTTTGACTTTCTAGGCTTGCCACTCTTTGTCATAGGATGGTACTCACCTTTTGCATGGCAGCAGACCCTATAGTTTAAAGCAGAGGGAAGAGCTGACGTGAAGGAGAAGGGGAAAATGGAATTAATTTTTCTGAGAATGAGAAAGGTTAAGCAAAAATCTCTTTCCGTTCTCTGCTCCAGATGGTTGTTTATTTCTATTTGATATGTTTGCTTTATAATCATATTCTAGTTAAATAAAACAGCACCTTTCTATTGCATTAATCACAACTCTTATTTTTATTATTTTTCCCATTTTCACTGCATTATTCATTTTCTAAAAATATTTATTAGCTGATTCTCGGGGAGGAGCCAAGATGGCCGAATAGGAACAGCTCCCGTCTACAGCTCCCAGCGTGAGCGACGCAGAAGACGGGTGATTTCTGCATTTCCATCTGAGGTACCAGGTTCATCTCACTAGGGAGTGCCAGACAGTGGGCGCAGGCCAGTGGGTGCGCACACCGTGTGCGAGCCGAAGCAGGGCGAGGCATTGCCTCACCTGGGAAGTGCAAGGGGTCAGGGAGTTCCCTTTCTGAGTCAAAGAAAGGGGTGACGGACGCACCTGGAAAATCGGGTCACTCCCACCCGAATATTGCGCTTTTCAGACCGGCTTAAAAAACGGCGCACCACGAGACTATATCCCACACCTGGCTCGGAGGGTCCTACGCCCACAGAATCTCACTGATTGCTAGCACAGCAGTCTGAGATCAAACTGCAAGGCGGCAGCGAGGCTGGGGGAGGGGCGCCCGCCATTGCCCAGGCTTGCTTAGGTAAACAAAGCAGCCGGGAAGCTCGAACAGGGTGGAGCCCACCACAGTTCAAGGGGGCCTGCCTGCCACTGTAGGCTCCACCGCTGGGGGCAGGGCACAGACAAACAAAAAGACAGCAGTAACCTCTGCAGACTTAAATGTCCCTGTCTGACAGCTTTGAAGAGAGCAGTGGTTCTCCCAGCACGCAGCTGGAGATCTGAGAACCGGCAGACTGCCTCCTCAAGTGGGTCCCTGACCCCTGACCCCCGAGCAGCCTAACTGGGAGGCACCCCGCAGCAGGGGAACACTGACACCTCACACGGCAGGGTATTCCAACAGACCTGCAGCTGAGGGTCCTGTCTGTTAGAAGGAAAACTAACAAACAGAAAGGACATACACACTGAAAACCCATCTGTACATCACCATCATCAAAGACCAAAAGTAGATAAAACCACAAAGATGGGGAAAAAACAGAACAGAAAAACTGGAAACTCTAAAACGCAGAGCGCCTCTCCTCCTCCAAAGGAACGCAGTTCCTCACCAGCAACGGAACAAAGCTGGATGGAGAATGACTTTGACGAGCTGAGAGAAGAAGGCTTCAGACGATCAAATTACTCTGAGCTACGGGAGGACATTCAAACCAAAGGCAAAGAAGTTGAAAACTTTGAAAAAAATTTAGAAGAATATATAACTAGAATAACCAATACAGAGAAGTGCTTAAAGGAGCTGATGGAGCTGAAAACCAAGGCTCGAGAACTACGTGAAGAATGCAGAAGCCTCAGGAGCCGATGCGATCAACTGGAAGAAAGGGTATCAGCAATGGAAGATGAAATGAATGAAATGAAGCGAGAAGGGAAGTTTAGAGAAAAAAGAATGAAAAGAAATGAGCAAAGCCTCCAAGAAATATGCGACTATGTGAAAAGACCAAATCTACGTCTGATTGGTGTACCTGAAAGTGATGGGGAGAATGGAACCAAGTTGGAAAACACTCTGCAGGATATTATCCAGGAGAACTTCCCCAATCTAGCAAGGCAGGCCAATGTTCAGATTCAGGAAATACAGAGAACGCCACAAAGATTCTCCTCAAGAAGAGCAACTCCAAGACACATAATTGTCAGATTCACCAAAGTTGAAATGAAGGAAAAAATGTTAAGGGCAGCCAGAGAGAAAGGTCGGGTTACCCTCAAAGGGAAGCCCATCAGACTAACAGCGGATCTCTTGGCAGAAACCCTACAAGCCAGAAGAGAGTGGGGGCCAATATTCAACATTCTTAAAGAAAAGAATTTTCAACCCAGAATTTCATATCCAGCCAAACTAAGCTTCATAAGTGAAGGAGAAATTAAATACTTTACAGACAAGCAAATGCTGAGAGATTTTGTCACCACCAGGCCTGCCCTAAAAGAGCTCCTGAAGGAAGCGCTAAACATGGAAAGGAACAAACGGTACCAGCTGCTGCAAAATCATGCCAAAATGTAAAGACCATCAAGACTAGGAAGAAACTGCGTCAACTAACGAGCAAAATCACCAGCTAACATCATAATGACAGGATCAAATTCACATGCAACAATATTAACTTTAAATGTAAATGGACTAAATTCTCCAATTAAAAGACACAGACTGGCAAATTGGATAAAGAGTCAAGACCCATCAGTGTGCTGTATTCAGGAAACCCATCTCACATGCAGAGACACACATAGGCTCAAAATAAAAGGATGGAGGAAGATCTACCAAGCAAATGGAAAACAAAAAAAGGCAGGGGTTGCAATCCTAGTCTCTGATAAAACAGACTTTAAACCAACAAAGATCAAAAGAGACAAAGAAGGCCATTACATAATGGTAAAGGGATCAATTCAAACAAGAAGAGCTAACTATCCTAAATATATATGCACCCAATACAGGAGCACCCAGATTCATAAAGCAAGTCCTGAGTGACCTACAAAGAGACTTAGACTCCCACACATTAATAATGGGAGACTTTAACACCCCACTGTCAACATTAGACAGATCAACGAGACAGAAAGTCAACAAGGATATCCAGGAATTGAACTCAGCTCTGCACCAAGCGGACCTAATAGACATCTACAGAACTCTCCACCCCAAATCAACAGAATATATATTTTTTTCAGCACCACACCACACCTATTCCAAAATTGACCACATAGTTGGAAGTAAAGCTCTCCTCAGCAAATGTAAAAGAACAGAAATTATAACAAACTATCTCTCAGACCACAGTGCAATCAAACTAGAACTCAGGATTAAGAATCTCACTCAAAGCCGCTCAACTACATGGAAACTGAACAACCTGCTCCTGAATGACTACTGGTACATAACGAAATGAAGGCAGAAATAAAGATGTTCTTTGAAACCAACGAGAACAAAGACACGACATACCAGAATCTCTGGGACACATTCAAAGCAGTGTGTAGAGGGAAATTTATAGCACTAAATACCCACAAGAGAAAGCAGGAAAGATCCAAAATTGACACCCTAACATCACAATTAAAAGAACTAGAAAAGCAAGAGCAAACACATTCAAAAGCTAGCAGAAGGCAAGATATAACTAAAATCAGAGCAGAACTGAAGGAAATAGAGACACAAAAAACCATTCAAAAAATCAATGAATCCAGGAGCTGGTTTTTTGAAAGGATCAACAAAATTGATAGACTGCTAACAAGACTAATAAAGAAAAAAAGAGAGAAGAATCAAATAGACACAATAAAAAATGATAAAGGGGATATCACCACCGATCCCACAGAAATACAAACTACCATCAGAGAATACTACAAACACCTCTACGCAAATAAACTGGAAAATCTAGAAGAAATGGATAAATTCCTCAACACATACACTCTCCCAAGACTAAACCAGGAAGAAGTTGCATCTCTGAATAGACCAATAACAGGATCTGAAATTGTGGCAATAATCAATAGTTTGCCAACCAAAAAGAGTCCAGGACCAGGTGGATTCACAGCCGAATTCTACCAGAGGTACAAGGAGGAACTGGTACCATTCCTTCTGAAACTATTCCAATCAATAGAACAAGAGGGAATCCTCCCTAACTCATTTTATGAGGCCAGCATCATTCTGACACCAAAGCCGGGCAGAGACACAACAAAAAAAGAGAATTTTAGACCAATATCCTTGATGAACATTGATGCAAAAATCCTCAATAAAATACTGGCAAACCGAATCCAGCAGCACATCAAAAAGCTTATCCACCATGATCAAGTGGGCTTCATCCCTGGGATGCAAGGCTGGTTCAATATACGCAAATCAATAAACGTAATCCAGCATATAAACAGAGCCAAAGACAAAAACCACATGATTATCTCAATAGATGCAGAAAAAGCCTTTGACAAAATTCAACAACCCTTCATGCTAAAAACTCTCAATAAATTAGGTATTGCTGGGACGTATTTCAAAATGATAAGACCTATCTATGACAAACCCACAGCCAATATCATACTGAATGGGCAAAAACTGGAAGCATTCCCTTTGAAAACTGGCACAAGACAGGGATGCCCTCTCTCACCACTCCTATTCAACATAGTGTTGGAAGTTCTGGCCAGGGCAATTAGGCAGGAGAAGGAAATAAAGGGTATTCAATTAGGAAAAGAGGAAGTTAAATTGTCCCTGTTTGCAGATGACATGATTGTATATCTAGAAAACCCCATTGTCTCAGCCCAAAATCTCCTTAAGCTGATAGGCAACTTCAGCAAAGTCTCAGGATACAAAATCAATGTACAAAAATCACAAGCATTCTTATACACCAACAACACACAAACGGAGAGCCAAATCATGAGTGAACTCCCATTCACAATTGCTTCAAAGAGAATAAAATACCTAGGAATCCAACTTACAAGGGATGTGAAGGACCTCTTCAAGGACAACTACAAACCACTGCTCAAAGAAATAAAAGAGGATACAAACAAATGGAAGAACATTCCATGCTCATGGGTAGGAAGAATCAATATCGTGAAAATGGCCATACTGCCCAAGGTAATTTACAGATTCAATGCCATCCCCATCAAGCTACCAATAACTTTCTTCACAGAATTGGAAAAAACTACTTTAAAGTTCATATGGAACCAAAAAAGAGCCCGCATCGCCAAGTCAATCCTAAGCCAAAAGAACAAAGCTGGAGGCATCACACTACCTGACTTCAAACTATACTACAAGGCTACAGTAACCAAAACAGCATGGTACTGGTACCAAAACAGAGATATAGATCAATGGAACAGAACAGAGCCCTCAGAAATAACGCCACATACCTACAACTATCTGATCTTTGACAAACCTGAGAAAAACAAGCAATGGGGAAAGGATTCCCTATTTAATAAATGGTGCTGGGAAAGCTGGCTAGCCATATGTAGAAAGCTGAAACTGGATCCCTTCCTTACACCTTATACAAAAATCAATTCAAGATGGATTAAAGATTTAAACGTTAGACCTAAAACCATAAAAACCCTAGAAGAAAACCTAGGCATTACCATTCAGGACATAGGCATGGGCAAGGACTTCATGTCCAAAACACCAAAAGCAATGGCAACAAAAGACAAAACTGACAAATGGGATCTAACTAAAATAAAGAGCTTCTGCACAGCAAAAGAAACTACCATCAGAGTGAACAGGCAGCCTACAAAATGGGAGAAAATTTTCACAACCTACTCATCTGACAAAGGGATAATATCCACAATCTACAATGAACTCAAACAAATTTACAAGAAAAAAACAAACAACCCCAGCAAAAAGTGGGCGAAGGACATGGACAGACACTTCTCAAAAGAAGACATTTATGCAGCCAAAAAACACATGAAAAAATGCTCATCATCACTGGCCATCAGAGAAATGCAAATCAAAACCACTGTGAGATACCATCTCACACCAGTTAGAATGGCAATCATTAAAAAGTCAGGAAACAACAGGTGCTGGAGAGGATGTGGAGAAACAGGAACACTTTTACACTGTTGGTGGGACTGTAAACTAGTTCAACCATTGTGGAAGTCAGTGTGGCGATTCCTCAGGGATCTAGAACTAGAAATACCATTTGACCCAGCCATCCCATTACTGGGTATATACCCAAATGACTATAAATCATGCTGCTATAAAGACACATGCACACGTATGTTTATTGCGGCATTATTCACAATAGCAAAGACTTGGAACCAACCCAAATGTCCAACAATGATAGACTGGATTAAGAAAATGTGGCACATATACACCATGGAATACTATGCAGCCATAAAAAAGGATGAGTTCACGTCCTTTGTAGGGACATGGATGAAATTGGAAATCATCATTCTCAGTAAACTATCACAAGAACAAAAAACCAAACACCGCATATTCTCACTCATAGGTGGGAATTGAACAATGAGATCACATGGACACAGGAAGGGGAATATCACACTCTGGGGACTGTTGTGGGGTGGTGGGAGGGGGGAGGGATAGCATTGGGAGATATAACTAATGCTAGATGACGAGTTAGTGGGTGCAGCGCACCAGCACGGCACATGTATACATATGTAACTAACCTGCACAATGTGCACATGTACCCTAAAACTTAAAGTATAATAAAAAAAAAAAAGAAAAAAAATATTTATTAGCACAATTGATTTTAAAGATTTTTCTTTTCTAATACAGATATTTAAGGCTATAAATCTCTCTCAAAGGACCACTTGAGCCCATGTTGACCACATCTCTTAGGTGTTACTCTGTAAGCTTTTCATTATCCTTTATTGTCTTATAAATCTAGAAATTATTTATTTATCTTGCTCCTTCATTATTCATCATGAATTCTTCAACAGGGTTTTGTTTAAAATTTGCAAATATAAAGAAAAATTTTTAAATCTTGAAAAAAATTACTTCAGTTGTATTGTCATTAGATATCAAGATCTGTATAGTATCTATGGTACTTTTGAAATGTGTTGTCTTTATTTCCTTTATGATACAATATCATAATTTATCTTCCATATATGCTTGAGAAAAAATATACATTCTTTGATTAATGGCTGTAAAACTCTACATCTATGTGCACTAGTTTAAATTTGTTAATTGTGTTCAGATCAGTATTTTTTTCTATTATTTTGTGTACTTAACCTATCAATTGAGATATGTTGAAATCCATGACAGTGGATTTATCAGTTTCTCCCTTAATTCTAAATTAAGTGTATCTTAGGCTGGGCACAGTGGCTCACGCCTGTAATCCTATAACTTTGGAGGCCAAGGTGGGCAGATCACTTGAGGTCAGGAGTTTGAGACCAGCCTGGCCAACATAGCTAAACCCTGTCTCTACTAAAAATTCAAAAATTACCTGGGCATGGTGGTGCGCACCTGTAATCCCAGCCACTCAGGAGGCTGAGGCAGGAGAATAGCTTGAACCTGGTAGGCAGAGGTTGCAGTGAGCTGAGATCGTGCCACTGCACTCCAGCCTGGGCAACAGAATGAGACTCTGTCTCAGACAATAAATAAATAAATAAATAAATAAATAAACAAATAAATAAATATTAAGTGCATTTTAAAATTAGGTGCATACATGTTTAAAATTGCTATATCTTAGTTTGTTGAAACATTTTTCAGGAGATAATGATAGTTCATCTTTAATAAGTACTATAACTGCTCAATGGATTCTTCCTGCCTGCTGAACAGAAAGACAAAAAAACACTTCACTGAGACCATGGCGTTGCAGTAAAGAAAGGCTTTAATTGACACAAGGCCGGCTACATGAATAATGTAGTTATCACTCAAATCAGTCTCCCCAAAGAGTCAGTGATTAGGATTTTTCAAGAACAGTTTGGTGGGAAAGGGACTAGGGGTTGGGTGCTGCCTACTGATTGGGGATGTCATTATAAGGGTGTGGAAAATGATGCTCATGTGCTGAATCTATCTCTGGGTTGGGGACCACAGGGCTGGTTAAATCATGAGTCATGGGTCCACGTGGGGTTCTCAGAATATAAAAGTCTGCAAAAACTTCTCAAACAACCAATCTTAGATTCTACAATAGTGATAGTATCTATAGAACCATCTGGGGAAGTTACAAATTTTGCAACCTCCAGGAAAATGGCTGGTTATCATTTAACTATGCTTACATTTTAGCAGCATTCAGGCCTCTCTCATAATTCTAATCCTGTAGCTTTTCATTAGTTTTCCAAAGGCAGTTTAGTTGCAGAAAGGACTATCATCATCCTTGCTTTAAGGTTAAACTATAAGTTCTTCCCAAGATTAGTTTGTCCTATGGTCAGGAATGATCAAGCTTGGAGGTTACAAGCAAGATGGAGTCAACTATGTCAGATTTCTCTTATTATCATAATTTTACAAAGGTGGTTTCTGTACTTTATACATCCACACCCATTTTATCAGATATTAAATTAGTCCTATATACTTTCTTTTGGCATTTGCCTATGTCTTTTTACTTACCTTCAATCTCATACTTTGGATGTTCTGCTGCATTGTCTTTATTATTTCATGTCTTTATCCATTCTGTAAATGTATTGTTTAATCCATTTACATTTATTGTGGTTAGTGATGAATTTGTATCTGTTTCTGTCACTTTAATTTCTTGTTTTAGTTTTTTCTACTGTTTCTAAGTTTATTTTTTTTAACTTATACTTGTTCTTGTTTTAAATGGCAAGAATTTTAGCTAGTTCTCACATCTTTCGGTTCATATGCATCACCTTCCACCCTTCTTCATCAGGCTGAGATTCTCCAGACTTTTATTTTTTGGTTATTATTATTATATTTCCTCTTTTTTTGTTAGAAAAATTTTTAAGTGACATAGTTTTAACAAGCTTTTGATCCTTGTTTCTTCATATATATCTTATAATATTTCCTGGATTTTTTTAACCTGTGTACTTTTTCTAGAACTGTTTTCAGAATAGGTTTTAGTGTGGCAAATATCTGTGGCATTGAAAGTCTGAGAATATTTTAATCACATCCCTATATTTGAGTGACAATCTTCAGGAAGTGAATATTTACATTTTTGTGTGTATACTTAGGGCTTTTTGAGTGAAGAAAACAGAAATCTAGGTTAAAGGAGAAATCTTGAAAGCTAAATGATGATTGAATAGATTGTGAAAGAACTCTGGGTAGATTTACCTGCTTGAAGATAAGTGTTTAAATTTTAAAGGGAGATAAAGCCCAGAACCATAGATAAATTTTCAGAATTATAAATTGAAATGATGTCTTATCTTCTTCCTAGAGATACTTACTTACAGTCAAAAGATTAGGAACCCAGGGAGTTTTCATTTCTCTTCTCAAGAAGTTGTTTACATTGTGGAGATTAGACTTATCTCCTTCTCTTAGAAGAGAAGGTGCCCGTTGATTAGCTAATCCAAACAAATTTCCAAATTTAGAATTTCAGTTTTCCTCTCCTGAAGTATAAATCCCCACACGTATGGCATAATATCTGGCTCTCATCACATAATTTGTGGAGTATGAAGCACAGGGAAACAAGTACAGTTATTGCTTTAAATAATAACTTTGATCACCACTCCAGAAACCTCATGTTTGATTTCTGGATAAAAGTAAATGACTATTGATATTAAAGACTTACCAAGAGTTTGTCTATTTATAACATTCTGGTCTTTACTCTTCATCAATACTTTGAGAGTATTTTGTTATCGTATCATTCCCATTTTTATATTTAAAAAACGCCATCAATCCAATTCTTGATCTTTTATATGTAATCATGTGTTTCTGTAAGCTTTCAAAAAATTTCCCTTTGTTTTAATATTCAAACATACCATTTTAGCATGGATATATTACAGCAGGTAGCTAGTAGGACATGAGCAGAGCAGGAGAGGGATTCCCCTATCCCCCTCCACCCACTCCCCCTACCCTCACCCAAGGATATCAGGCAACCATTAGGTGATGGTCAGGCAGTTGTTAACTTTCTCTCTAATATAATAATCGGTCACAACCAGTGCCAGGGAAAAGCAGTCTTCCAATAAACAGAAACACCTGAAACTGGTGATCAGCAGCTTTCCAATAAGATCTCAGAAGTTGGGAGTTGGGCAAATGTCCTCAAGCATGTGCATTAAGAGACAAAAATGGTGGAGTTTAACTGGCATATGACCTTCTAGGGACATTTGACTGGTAAGGGAAAAATACCTCATGTGAGAATGCATACAATTCCAGTAAAAACACTGTGCATGCTCCCCTCCCAAGAGCTAGCAGGCCACTGTACATACAGACAGCCCACCCTAAGGAAAGAATCAGGGGATAAGGAATATAAGACCCCAGAAGCATGCTGATATGGTTTGGCTTTGTGTCCCTATTCAAATCTCATCTTGAATTGTAATCCCAATGTGTCTGGGGAGGGGCCTGATAGGAGGTGATTGAACCATGGGGGGCAGACTTCTGCTTTGCTGTTCTCATGATAGTGAGTGAGTTCTCATGAGATCTGATGGTTTAAATGTGTGTGGCTTTCTTTGCTCTCTCTCTCTCTCTTCTGCTGCCATGTAAGACAGGCCTTGCTTTCTCTTTGCCTTCCTCCATGATTCTAAGTTTCCTTTCTCTCCAGCCATGCAGAGCTGTGAGTCAATTAAACCCCTTTTCTTTATAAATTACCCAGTCTTGGGTAGTTTTTTATAGTAGTTTGAAAACAGAAGAATACAGAAAACTGGTACCAGGCATGGGGCACTGCTATAAAGATATCTAAAACTGTGGAAGCGACTTTGGAACTGGATAACATGCAGAAGTTGGAACAGTTTAGAAGGCTCAGAAGAGGACAGTAAGATGTGGGAAAGTTTGGAACTTCGTGGAGACTTGTTAACTGGTTTTGATCAAAATGCTAATAGTGATATGGACAATGAAATCCAAGCTGAGGTGGTCTCAGATGGAGACAACACAAATATTGGGAACTAGAGTAGGGTAACATTTGCTACGCTTTAGCAAAGAGACTGGTGGCATTTTCTCCCTGTCCTAGAGATCTGTGGAACTTTGAACTTCAAAGAGAGGATTTAGGGTATCTGGTGGAAGAAATTTCTAAGGAGCATTGTTAAAAAGTGGCCTGGTTGCTCCTAACTACGTATAGTCATCTGTGTTCACAAAGAGATGATCTGAAATTGGAACTTATGTTTAAAAGGAAAGCAGAGCATGTAAGTTTGGAAAATTTGCTGGGACCATGTGGTAGAAAAGAAAAACCCATTTACTGGGGAGGAATTCAAACCAGTGTTTTCAGAAATTTGCATAAGTAAAGGGGAACTGAATGTTAATCCTTAAGACAGTGAGGAAAATGTCTCCAAGGCATTTCAGAGATCTTCATGGCAACTCCTCCCATCAAAGACCTGGAGGCCTAGGAGGGAAAAATGGTTTTGTAGACTGGACACAGGGGCTCGCTGTTCTGTGCAGCCTTAGGACATGGTGTCTTGTGTCCCAGCCATTCCAGCTCCAGCTCCAGCCATGGCTAAAAGGGGTCAAGGTACAGCTCAGGCCACTGCTTCAGAGGGTGCAAGCCCCAAGCCTTGGCATCTTCCACGTGTTGTTGGGCCTGCAGGTGCACAGAAGGTAAGAGTTTGGGAGGCTCTGCCTAGATTTCAGAGGATGTATGAAAATGCCTGTATGTCTCAGCAGAAGTCTGATGCAGGGGCAGAGCCCTCATGGAGAATCTCCACTAGGGCAGTGCAGTGGGGAAGTGTGGGGTTGGAGCCCCCACACAGAGGTCCCCCGGGACACTGCCTGGTGGAGCTGTGAGAAGAGGGCCACCATACTCCAGACCACAGAATGGTAGATCCACTGACAGCTTACACCATGGGCCTGGAAAAGCAGCAGGTACTCAATGACAGCTTGTGAAAGCAGCTGTGAGGGTATACCCTGCAGAGCCACAGGGGCAGAGGTGTCCAAGACCTTGGGATCTATCCCTTGTATCATCTTGACAAGGATGTGAGACATGGAGTCAAAGGAGATCATTTTAGAGCTTTAAGATTTAATGAGTGCCCCACTGGGTTTCAGACTTGCATGGGACCTGTGGCCCCTTTGTTTTGGCCAATTTCTTCCATTTGGAATGGGAACATTTACCCAATGCCTGCACCCCCATTTTATCTTGGAAATAATGAACTTGCTTTTAATTTTATAGGCTCATAGGTGGAAGGGATTTGCCTTGTCTCAGATGAGACTTTGGACTTAGACTTTTGGGTTAATGTTGGAATGAGTTAAGACTTTGAGGGACTGTTGGGAAGGTGTGATTGTGTTTTGAAATGTGAGAAGGACATGAGATTTGGAATGGTCCAGAGGTGGAATGATATGGTTTGGCTCTGTGTCCCCACCCACATCTCATCTTGAATTGTAATCCCCATGTGTCAGTGAAGGGGTGTCATAGGAAATGATTAAATCACGGGGATGGACTTCCCCCTTTCTGTGCTAGTGACAGTGAGTAAAGATCTCACAAGATCTTGTTTGAAAGCATGTGGCACTTTCTGCCTCACTCTTTCTCCGGTAGCCGTGTAAGACATGCCTTGCTTCCTCTTCATCTTCTGCCCTGATTGTCAGGTTCCTGAGGCCTCCAAGCCATGTGGAACTGCAAATCAATTAAGTCTTTTTTCTTTATAAATTACCCAGTCTCAGGTAGTTTTTTTATAGCATTGTGAAAATGGAGTAATACACACGCCAGTGTATAAAACTCCAGTTCAAACCACACAGTTGATTTCTCAAGTTGCCTGCTTGGCCCTCTTCCAAGTGTACTTCACTTCCTTTCATTCCTACTCTAAAGCCTTTTAATCAACTTTCACTCCTATTCTAAACTTTACCTCACTCTTTCATTCTGCCTTATGTCCCTTGGTTGAATTTTTTCCTTCTGCAGAGGAAATAATTGAGATTGCTGTAGATGTGTGCAGATTCACCACAGATAGCAAATAGGTATGTGCTTTTCCTTAATGCTCCTCTTTGACCTATTATGGGTTGTTCAGTCTGAGACCTTTCATATTTTAAAAATTATTTAAAGTTTACCTATTTCAATTATTTTATTTTTCATAACTAATATAGCTTGATTTTTAAAAACTTTCATACCTTAATTATTCCTAATATTTTCCCTTGTCTCTTTTCATATGTTAATTTGGATAATTTTATATTCTTGGTCCTTTTGTTCTAGTACTTGTGCTCTATTAGAATCTTTAATAAAGCATGTTTAATTTCTTTTGAAATATTTGAACTCTTCAAAGACTTATTATTTTAGTTTGTGAGCTTATATCCCATGAGAATACTGGCTACACTGTCAGGCAGTACATGCAGAAGAAAAGCAGTCTCCAGTCTAGTGAGCTCCAGTCACCTCCTGGGATGAAGGAGCTGGATGAGCTCTTGGGGAGAGAGCCCCAGAGACCAAAAGATAAACAGAACAATAAAAACACTCCTAATTCCCGCAAATATGGGAGAAGTTTATTAGGAGAACCTCTTTAAATTATAATTTACTAGCCCTTGGAGAATTTGAATAGGGAGGTATTGGAAATAACTGCTTGAAAGTATTTTTTTTTTAAATCTCATCTTCATAGCTATAAGACTTCTTATCAGGCATGAATTTACTTCTGACGGTAACTGGACTAGAGCTTTGAGTAGCAGCCAGTGCAAAGATCAGGAACTGTTTGTCCTGAGGCAATGTCAGGGGAGAAGCAAAAGCAGAACTTTAAACAGTTCCTTTATTTGTTGTCTTCCCACAGCCTCACCTGGCTATTTCCTTCTTCAGGGAAAAGCTGCATCCCTGCACAAGGGTTCAAAATAATGCCTCTCATGCCAAGAATTTTTAAATTATTTTCTACATTTCTTTGTTGTTGTTGTTTTGTTTCTCCACTTTAAGTGTTCAAGTATTGAGCTTGGGAAAGAAAGCCAGCTGTCTCTCTGGTTTGACTTTTTTTTGTAGGAACCTTGACCTATGAGGGCATCTGACAACTAAAATGAGTGACTGAGGCATAACTCTTAATCACTGAGGTTTATTAAGCCTGCTTATGGTGCATCCAGGAAAAAGACAAGCCACAGACACATGTATGGCTGTTTCTCCAAAGAGGTTTTCAGGAAATTTAGTATTTATATCTTCCCTTAGAGTTGGAGGCGGAAGGTATGTAGGGAAGGAGGTTAGGCAAATAGTTACATTTCTGTGAGACTTTAGTTAGTGCCCAGTAAAACTACATTTTACATAAGACAAGGTGAATGTTTGAAAAGAAAAGCGGAGTAAAGGAAAAACCAATTATGCAGATATCTCTGGGTAGGTGGGGGAAATGAATCTGGCCTTTATTCTCCACCTGAGAAAATGAGCTTGTAATGACAGTATCAGTGTGGAGTTTTAGGAGCTAAAATTAGATAGCTCCTAAAGGTTATAATTGGCATGTGATTGTTTATGGAAAGCCAGCAAAAGATTTATTTCTGAAAGACCTGTGGAGGCAGTCCTTCAGCAGATGCTGGAGGCCTTTTACCTATCCATAGGGATCTGGCTGAGACATAGTATTAGTAACAGATATTCGTTTGGAAAAGAGTACTGCAAGACTCAGCCTTTTTTCCTTTTGCATAAGAAGTTTGGGGGATCCTGAGACTGTTTAATTTTCCTTTGCACATCTTAATATGGAATATTGCCCCAAGATTTTTTAAATTAAACTGTTTATTTTTTATACAGATAGATCTTATGTATTGTGCTTTACTTCGCTTTGCAGATACTGCATTTCTTTTTTTTTTTACAAATTGAAGGTTTATGGCAACCCTGCATCAAGCAATTCTATAAGCACCAATTTTCTAACAGCAAGTGCTCACTTCTTGCCTCTGTCATATTTTAGTAATTCTTGCAATATTTCAAACTTTTTCATTCTTATTATATCTGTTATGGTGATCTATAATCAGTGATTTTTGACGTTACTATTGTAATTGTTTTAGGTGCCATAAACCGCATCCATATAAGAGAGCAAACTTAATCAATAAATGTGTGTGTCCTGACCTCCCCATCAATCAGCCAATTCCCTCATCTCTCTCCCTCTCCTTGGACTTCCCTATTCCCTGAGACACAACAATATTGAAACTAAGCCAACAAATAACACTGCAATGACCACTATGTTCAAGTGAAAGAAAAAGTATCATTTCTCTCATTTTAAGTTAGCTAGAAATGATTAAGCTTAGTGAGGAAGGCATGTTGAGAGCCCAGATAGAGTAAAAGCTAAGCCTCTTGCACCAAATAGTTCCTCAGCATTACTGTTTCATTTTACATTCTACAATGTGTGAGTGATCCAGGTTCTCCATGTTGTCACAAGCACTTGGTATTGTCACCGCTTGCTATTTAAGTCATTCTGTTAAGTGTTTAGTGATATCTCATTGTTTTTAATGAGATATCATTGGTCTGAATTTGCATTTTACTGGTGGCTAATGAACTTAAGCAACTTTTCATGAGCTAAGTTCCCATCTGTTTTTCTTTGGTGAAATGTCTCATGATTTTTGCCCATTTTTAACTTAATTATTTGATTTTTCACAGTTGAATTATGATATGTGTATACATAGGTATATAGTATCTAGATACTAATCCTTTGTCAGATATGTAATTTCCAGATATTTTCACTGAGCTTATGGCTTATATTTTTATCTCTTTAAAAAAATTTTTCACAGAGCAAAGTTTTCTAATTTTGATAAGTTTAATTTATCACCTTTTCATTTTACATATCTTACTTTTGATGTCTAAAAACTCTTTGCCACAGACTAGATCCCAATCCCCCCATATTTTTAAAAAAGTTTTATTTTTACATTTAAATCTTTTATCAACTTAATATCTGTACAAGGTATGAAACTTAGATGAATGAATATATTTTTGCCCATGTAAGTCCAATTGCCCCAGCACCACTTGCTAATTTGTTGAATTACTTTTGCACCTTTGTCAAAATAATTTGTGTTACTACTGATTACAGTAAAATTACAGTGTGATATTGATAAAGAATGAACACATAGATCAGTGGAACAGAGTAGAGAGCACAGAAATAGACTCATACAAATATAGTCAACTGATCTTTAACAAATGGTAAAAGGAAGTTCGATGGAGAAAGGATTGTCTTTTCAATCCTTGGAGAATGATCTGCACAACCTAAAAGAAAATCTGCTGACCCAAGTGCACAACACTGGTAAATGAGATAAGCTTCCTGATACCGCTGCATGCCGGCCTCACAGGACACAGTGAGCCTGCTTTCATACCCAGTACATTGTTACTACACCCAGCATCTGAGAAAGTCACCATACAAAGGCCATCTATAATCAAGGAACTTATACAGAGTCTTTGCCACTGAAAGAACCCAGAACCAAAGCCAAATATTCTGCACAACACACATTATAGTCACATCCTCAAGGGAAGAAAAATCCCATCAAAATGCAGAAAATTTAAAAATATGGAGAGATAGCTTATCCAGATGAGAAGAAATCAGAGAAACAATTCTGAAAGTATAAAAAAACCCAGAATATTTCAACACCCCCAAAGGACCACATTAACTCTCTAGCAATGTGTATTAACCAAAATGTACTTTTTGAAATATCAGATAAAGAACTCAAAATATTGTCTTTTAAAGAAGGCCCATGATATCTAAGAGAAAGTTGAAAAGCAACACAAAGAATTCAGAAAAACAATTCGGGATATAAAAAGAGACAGACATTATTTTAAAAAAAAACAAAAACAGAACTTTTGGAAATTAAAAATTCACTGAAGGATTTACAAAATAGAGTTGAAATCTTCAACAATAGACTTGTCCAAGCAGAAAAATTATTTTATAGGTGGTAGACAGGTCTTTTAGAATAACACAGTCAGATAAAAATAAAGCAAAAAGAATTTACAAAGACTTTGAGAAATACGGGACTATGTAAAGCATCCAAACATATGATTTGCAGGTATTCTTAAGGGAGAAGAAGAAAAAGTAAAAAGTATGAAAAACCAGGTAAGGCAATAATTCAGGAAAACTTCCCTGGTCTTGCTAGAGATCTAGACATTCAGATACAATAAACTCAGAGAACTCCTGAAGGATACATTGCAAGAATCTCACCAAGGAATATAGTCATCAGAGTATCCAAAGTAAACATGAACCAAAAAGTGCTAACAGTGGCAAGAGAGAAGCATCTAATCACCTATGAAGGAAATCTCATCATACTAACAGTGGACTTCTCAGCTGAAACATTATATGCCAGAAGAGACCGGGGTCCTGTTTTCAGTCTTCTTAAAGAAAACAAATGCCAGCCAAGAATGTTGTATTCTGCTAAACTAATCTTCACTAATTAAAGAGAAATAAAGTCTTTTTAAGGTAAGCAAACACTAAGAATTCATCAACACTAGACTCGTCCTGTAAGAAATGCTCAAAGAAGTTCTAAACGTGGAAATGAAAGGATGATTCTCATCATCACAAAAACACATGAAAATGTAAAACTCACAGGTTATATGAAACAATTACACAACTGAGACTGCAAAGCAACCAAGTAATAACTAACATTATGGCAGGGACAAAACTTCATGTACCAAAACTAACCATAAATATAAATGGACTAAATGCTCCACTTAAAAAATATAGGCTGGCAGAATGGATAACAAAACAAGATCCAACTACATGCTGCATAGAAGAAACCTACCTAAATGGTAAAGACATTTACAGACTCCAAATAAAGGTGAGTAAAAAGAGACTTCATGCAGACAAAAACCAAAAGTGAGCAGGAATAGCTATGCATATATCAGATAAAACACTTCAAATCAACAACAGTTTAAAAAGACAAAGAACATCATTATATAAGATAAGGAGATGAATTCAACACGAGAGCACCCAGACTGATACGACAAATACTACAAAGTATTTGTCTAAGGCCTAAGAAAAAAATACAGATCCCAATAAAATTATAGTGAATGTCAATACCCCACTGACAGCACTAGACAGGTCATTGATGCAGAAGATCAAAAAAGAAATTCTGGTTAAATTGGATGCTAGACTTAACAGACATTTACAGAATTTTCTACCCTAGAACAATAGGATATACATTCTTCTTGCCTGCACAAGGGATAGTCTCAAAAATTGACCATGTGCTAGGCCACAAGGAAAGTCTTAATAAATTTTTAAAACTTGAAATAATATTAAGTACCTTATTCGAACCACAGGGGAATAAGACTATAAATTGACACCCAGAGGATCCCTTAAAACTACACAAATACTAAATAATCTGCTTTTGAATAATTGTTAGGTCAAAATGAAATTCAGGCAAAAATCAAAAAATTTTTGGAAAGAATGAAAATAGAATCAGAACATACCAAAACCTCTGGGATACAGCAAAAGCAGTGCTAAGAGTAAAGTTTATAATGTTGATGTCTGCATCAAATAGATAAGAAGATCTCATGTAAACAACCTAACACTGCACCTAAAACAACTAGAAAAACAAGAACAAACCATACCTAAAGCTAGCAGAAGATAATAAATAACAAAAATTAACAGAACTATATAAATTGAGGTTTAAAAAACACAATACAAATGATCAATGAAACAGAAAGTTGCTTCTTTGAAAATGATAAAATTGATAGAATACTAGCTAGATTAAAAAAGAAAATAGAGAAGATTAAAATAGGCACAATAAAAAATGATAAAGATGTCATTGCAACTAACAGGAGAGAAACAGAAAAGCTCATCAGAGGCTACTATGAGCATCTCTATGCACACAAAGTAGAAAATCTAGAAGAAATGGGTAAATTACTGAAAACATACAGCCTCTTAAGATTGAACCAGGAAGAAATAGAAATCCTGAACAGGTCAATAATGAACAGTGAAATTGAATCAGTTATTAAACATCTGCCTGGGGGTGGTGGGGGAAAGCCCAGGACCAGACAGCTGGATCCCAGCCAGTTTATTTCAAACAGGCATGGGAGAACTGAAACTAATCTTACTGAAACTGTTCTAAAAAATCAAGGATGAGGGAATACTCCCTAACACATTCTACAAAGCCAGCATCACCCTGAAAGCAAAGCTAATTAAGTGTACAACATGAAAAAAATACACAGACCGGCAGGGCATGGTGGCTCACGCCTGTAATCCCAGCACTTTGGGAGGCTGAGGCGGGCAGATCACAAGGTCAGGAGTTCAAGACCAGCCTGGACAACTTGGTGAAACCCCGTCTCCACTAAAAAAATACAAATTTTAGCCGGGCATGGTGATGTGCGCCTGTAATCCCAGCTGCTCGGGAGGCTGAGGCAGGAGAATTGCTTGAACCCTGGAGGCAGAGGTTGCAATGAGCCGAGATTGCACCACTGCACTCAGCCTGGACAAAAGAACAAGATTCCATCTCAAAAAAAAAAAAAAAAAGAAAAGAAAAAAAGAAAAGAATATACAGACCAATATCTCTGATGAATTGTAACGTATATACCACACTAAACAATATGTTATAAGGGAAACTGGGTAGGATGAGAGGCTATATAGGAATTTTCTGTACTTTCCACTCAATTTTTTATAAACCTAGAATTTCTTTTTTTGAAATAAGTCTAATAATAAAAAATAGTTGGGCATATTTTATGGTTCGACTTCTGCAATTTTTATTCTGTTCCATTGAGCTACTCTTCTACCAATACTATGCAGTCTTGAATACCTATACAGTTAGTCTTGAAATCATTTAGACTCATTAAAATTCTACCTTATTATTAATTAAATAAATCATTTTAGCTATTTTACTTTCTTTGTTTTTTTCATACACATTTTAGAATAATCTTGTCTGTATAGAGAAAAAATCTTGTGTAATTCAATAAAAGTTACATTAAATCTCTATATCAATTTGGGCAGAATGAACAGTTCTATCATGTTGAGGCTTCTTATCTATTTGATTTCTCAGCACTTTGTAGTTTCTAGAATACTCTTGATACCTCATACAGTCCTCTACATGTCTTGTTAGATTTATACCTAAGTGTCTCTTTTTTTCCTGATTTTAGTGGTATTGTATTTTTAATATTACTACCTTGCATTCTTTGCTACTATTTAGAAATATATTAGGTTGTTGTAAGAGTAATTTCCATTTTGGACTGTGAATTTTAAATCATTATAACTAGTCTCAAACATATCTTTATCAATCAAAATAGGAACCATTACAATCAACGCATTTTTGCCAATAAGAAATGTTTGCTTATTCTTGTAGTGTAAAAATCTGTGCTTCAGAATTTGATGCAATCTTGGAAAGCATTTTCTGCACCCTACTGGTTGTGGAAGTGTTTTCCCTGCAAAAAGTTGTTGAGATCCTTGAAGAAGTGGTAGTCAGTTGGCGAGGGGTCACGTGAATATAACAGATGAGGCAAAACTTTGTAGCCCAATTCATTTGACTTTTGAAGCATTGTTTGTGTGACATGGGGTCAGCCGCTGTCACGGAGAAGAATTGGGCCATTTCTGTTGACCAATGCCTGCTGCAGGCATTGCAGTTTTCAATTTATCTCATCGATTGGCTGAGCATACTTCTTAGATGTAATGATTTCGCCAAGATTCAGAAAGCTATTTTGGATCATACCGGCAGTAGACCACCAAACAGTGACAAAGACTTTTTTTTTGGTGTAAGTTTGGCTTTGGGAAGAGCTTTGGAGCTTTTTCTCCGTCCAACCACGGAGCTGGTTGTCATACAAAATCCACTTTTCATCACACATCACAATCCGATTGAGAAATGGTTCATTGTTGTTGCATAGAATAAGAGATGACAACACTTCAAAATGACAGTTTTTTAAAATTTTCACTCAGCTCATGAAGCACCCACTTATCGCTTTTTCACTTTTCCAATTTGCTTCAAATGCCAAACAACCATAGAATGGTCGACATTGAGTTATTCAGCAACTTCTCGTGTAGTTGTAGGAGGATCAGCTTCAATGATTGCTCTCAATTGGTCATCAGCTTCACATGGCCGGTCACTATGCTCCTCATCTTCAAGGCTCTTGTCTCCTTTGCAAAACTTCTTGAACCACCACTGCACTGTACCTTTGTCAGCAATTTCTGGGCTAAATGCATTGTTGATGTTGCAATTTGTCTCTGCTGCTTTATGATCCATTTTGAACTCAATAAGAAAATCGCTCAAATTTGCTTTTTATCTAATATCATTTCCAGAGTCTAAAATAAATATAAAATAAAGAGCAAGTAATAAGTCATTCGCAAAAAAAGCGAGAAATGTGCGTTAAAATGATGTACAACATAACCACATTTATTTAAGAATGTATTCCAATATCAAACAGCAAATTTCAACAATGCAACAACTGCAATTATGTTTGCACCAACCTGATAATGTAGCTTTTTATGTTTATGAAACCTCACTGAAAGCACTTACTAGTTCTAGGGGTTTTATTGTGTACAGCCCTTGAAAGTCTCTGTAGACAATCATGTTATCTGCAAAGTATGTAAGTTATAAAAGTCTAATTGGAGTATTTAATCCATTTAGTTTTAATGTAATTATTGATATTTTAGGGCTCAAGCCAGCCATTTTATTTTTGGTGTTTTGTTTATCATCTTTGCTTTTTATTTCTCTGCTTACTTTTTCCTGGAGCTATCTTAAACATTTTTTATAATTCAATTTTGATTTATCTGTAATATTTTTAAGGATGTCTCTTTAGACAGCTTTTTCATTATGAGACTATTTATGCTAGAAATAAGATTCTAAATTGACTGTTCTTTTTTTTCAGTGCTTGCTGTTTTTAATAATTTTTCTTTATCTTTAGTTTTCAGAAGTTTGACCACATGTTTCTTGGCATGTCCTTTGTTTTTTTCTTTTGGGAGTTCACTCAGCTTCTTGAATCTATAGGATTGTGCCTTATGCCAAATTTGGGAAGTTTTCAGTCATTATTTCTTTGAGTACCTTTTTATTCTCTCCCTTTTTTATCTTTCTTCCAGATGTAGATGGCATGAGAGTCAGAACTTTATTATAGTTTCACAGTGTTCCATGGTGGGCCTATCCTATACAAGCCTATCCTCAAAGTCCAAGGAAGTTGAGAGGCCAAAGAAAGAGGCTGGCATATCCAGTTTCTCAGAAATACATGTTTAATAAGGGCCTACAGATAGAAGCCATGTCTGTGTTTTGGGCTGTGGCGAGACCAGGTGTTGGAACCTCCTACATTCCGAAGGGATGTGTAGGACAATTGAAGTACAATAACATCAAGGTTGTTTTGACCTAAGAGCAGGATTTACAGTAAGTAAGTGCTCTTTGCCAAGAAACAAAAGACATACTGGAAATCTTAGAGGCCTTCCTAGAATAGGGGTTAATCAGATGTCAACATGGTGGATTAGCCTCCAAGATGAAGTTGCTTTAGCCTCCACATACAGGTTCCTAAAGCTCTATTTTTTTCTGTCTGATTTGTTTTACAGATTAAGTAATTTCTTTTTTCTATCTTGAAGTCCACTGACTCTTCTTTCCATTCTATTCAATTTTTTGAGCCCATTCATTGAGTTTTTTTATAATTATGGTATTTTTTAGTTCTAAAATTTCCATTTGGTTCTTATTTATATCTTCTATATTACTGTTGAGATTTTTCTTTTTTCTGAGACATTCTGATTTTTTCTCTAATATGTTTATAAATTGCTCATGAAAAATTTTTATGATGACTTTTAAAATCTTGTCAGATATTTCTAACATTGTTGTCATCTCTGTTTTGGCATCTGTTGATTGCCTTTTTTTCATTTTTGAGATCTTTCTGATCCTTGCCATAATGAGTGTTTTTCAATTGAAACCTGGATATTTTGGGTGTTTTATGGAACTCTTGTTCTTATTTAATCTTTCTGTTTAGCTGTCTTATTTTGACACCATTCTAGCATGGAAAGATGTGAGCACCACCTACTGCCAGGTGAGGATAGAAGCACAGGTTCCACAATTACATGCATTGACACCTGAGGGTAGGAAGATTCCTCATTGCTGCAGGAAAAGGATGGAGTTGTAGCTCTCCAGTAGGCCTCCACTGAACATCGCCTTGTCTGGAAGGGATAGGAGTGCCTTTTAACTGCTTCCCACAGAGCCTCTGCTTACACCAGAATGGAGGGGTCTTATTAGCACTGGCGTTGATGGCAATCCTGATTCTCTATTTAACTTCCTCTGATATCACTCCAGTCAGGAGTGGGTGGAGGTCACCTTATGATGGATAGAAATTCTACATCCACAAGTAGTCACCACTGACATCAAGGGGAGGGAGATGGCTTATTATCTACCCAATAAGGATGAAAGTCCTGGCTTTCTAATTGGCCTTCTCTGACACCACAAGGGAGGAATTAGGTGCCTAGAAAATGTGGAAGTCTACTTTCCCCACCCTTACTGGTAAGTGTGGAGCCACAGTTCTTTTCTGTGGTAGATGGCTAGAATAAAGCATTTACCGTATAAAAGATTTTTGTCTTGCTAGGTTGTTCCTTTCCTGGTACTTTGGCTAGAAAAAATGGCCTTTTATGGGTCTCTTATTTTCTGTATCTGTTGGTGTTTGCCGATTGCCAGCTTCTTCAACTGAGATATATGAGGCAAAGAAAAAACCCAAGTAACTTACCAGAATGTTGTTCCTTGAATCCAGAGTTTGCTAGCTAGTCTGTCTTCTTTTTCTACCTTCAATGTCTTCTTATGTTTGTTTTATATGTAATGTCCAGAGTTTTTAGTTGAACTTAGTAGAAGAAATAGGAAAAAAAAGATGTCTACTCCATCTTTCCAGAAGCAGAAGTCCTTCTCCCTGATTTTAAAACCTCAATTTACCAAGAAGTTTAGCTACAAATTTTACATACAAAAAAGTTAAGTATTAGTCATTTGCTAATCTGGCCACTAAACATTTGAGTGCAGCTCTTTTCCCTTTTTCGTCATAAAGGCTTAACACCTCCTTACACAAAAGATCTTCCATTGATTTTTGGAGGTGTTTTTTAATATTAACATTATCAAAACTACAGAGGTTTTCATTTTGGCATCATAATTTTAACATTTCAATGAAGAAATAAAAATTTGCCCTTGTTTATTTAAAAGGCTGAATAATATTCCACTGTGTGGACATATCACACTTTGTTTATTCATTTATCTGTCAATAAACATTGCTAAAATAACTAAATAGGAGGCAATTCACCTGAGGCAGCTTCAGTGCCCTGAGATCCAATATAAGCAACCTAAATCTAACTTGAATGCCTTCCTTGTAACTAACTTAGAGAGAGATAAAATTTAAACTTAATCAATCAGAAACCACTAACTTCAAACTGCATAACTAGAAATTTCCACTGGGTAATCCAAATAAGGCAACTACATAACTGTAAACAATTATTTTCTTTGCTTTGCTTTCCCACTCACCTTATAAAACCCTGTCTTTGAAACCTTTCCTCCCCGACCAACTAGCACCACAATTGAGTGCTGTCCAATTCATAAATTGCTGTTTGCTCAAATAAACTTTTAAAATGATTAATGTGACAGTTTAAGTTTTAATATTTTGGTTATTTTCACATCTTGGCTATTATGAATAATGCTGCAATGAACATAAGAGTGCTAATATCTCTTCAAAAACCTGATTTCAATTCTAGTGAATTGAACCAGAAGTAGAATTGCTGGATCATATGGTAGTTCTATTTTTAATTTTTTGAGGAATCTCCATGCTGTTTTCCCTAGTGGCTGTACCATTTTGCATTCTCACCAACAGTGTATAAGGGTCCCAATTTCTCCATATCCTTGTGTACACATATTATTTACTCATTTTTTTGTCTTGTTTTGCTTTGGTTTTATTTATAATGGCCATTGTAGCATGTATGAGGTGATATCTCATTATGGTTTTGATTTACATTTCCCTAATGATTAGTGATGTTGAGCAACTTTTCACACACTTGTTGGCCATTTTTATGTTTTCTGTTGAGAAATGTCCATTCTCCTTAGCCCATTTTAAAGAGGTGTTTGTTTGTTTATTTATTTATTTATTTATTTATTTATTTATTTTACTATTGAGTTGTAGAATTTCCTTATGTACTTTGGATTATAACCTCTTATCAGACATATGGTTTGCAAATATTTTTCCCATTCTATTAGTTGCCCTTTCACTCTATTGATTGTTTATCTTGCTGTATAGAAGATTTTTAGTTTGATGTCATTTCACTTGTCTGTTTTTGTTTTTGTTGCCTATGCTTTTGGTGTCATATGCATAAAATCATCCCCAAGAACATTGCCGTGAAGTTTTTTTCCCCTGTGTTTCCTCTAGAACTTTTACAGTTTGGGACCTTACATGTAAGTCTTAAATCCACTTTGAGTTCTGTGATTTGCAACAATGCAGATGAACCTTGAAAATAGTATGCTAAGTGAAATAAACTAGTCACAGAAAGACAAACATTGTATGATTCCACATATATGATGTGTCCAAAATAGTCAAATTTATGAACTCAATGAAAGGGCGGTTGCCAGGGCCTGAGGGTAGAGAGAATGGGGTTGCTAATCAACAGGCATAAAGTTTAAGTCAGGCAAAATAATAAGCTCTAGAGATCTACTGTGCAACATTGTACCAACAATAATGTACTATACACTTAACAATTTCTTAAGAAGGGAGTAGATCTCATGTTGTGTTCTTAACACAATAAAATACAATGAAATGAAAATTAGCCTTGAGGAGGCCTCTTGTTTAAATTGGAAGGAACTGCACTGATAAGATGTTTTCTTGGGAAAACTCTTTACTAGAAAAGTAATGAAAAGACTGAGCTTTAGATCAAGATTTTTTAAGTCATGAGTCCAGCAAAACAACACGAATACCATGACAACAACTAAAACTGAGTTGTCTGAACAGATTATAATAAGGGTACTTTTAATATTTTGGCCTGGGTTCAGATAAAGGTATTTGGGGCTGTGGACTAAAAGCTGTTAAAAAAGAGGCCTGCCTGCCTGCATGCCTCCCTTCCCTTCCCTTCTCTTTCCTTCCCTTCCCTTCCCTTCCCTTCCTTCCTTTCTTCTTCTTTCTTTTTTCTGCTTTTTAGTAAGGATGAGTAGGACATAGACCACACCAGCAACTTCAGATTGAGAAAAGAGATCTACATAATATCACCCTCTAAGAACAGGTGTTGGGGTAAAATCAGGGAAATATCAGAGTTTATATCAAGTTTTAAGTTTCTCATGTAATGAGCTCTCCTGTTTTGTTGTTGTTGTTGTTTGGTTGTTACCATTGAGTCTTCAATGAGGTTTTCTTAAATACTTGAGCCGTGAGTGATGTTTGAGGAAATTAAAGGTCTGAGTTACTCCCCCGATGGGGTAAAGCTTTGCTGACAAAGGACAACTGCTAGAGTCGCAGCTCTGACATTCAGTGCTGATCACCAGGGAAGCCAGAAGAAGGACCCAGATGAAAAGGACTATGGGAAGAAGAAGTTGTGTTCTCTGCATTGCATTCTGTTATATGGGAAGGGTGAAAAGCAGCAGTCCCCTAAAGTCTAAAGAAAGTGACAGTTTTCAAGTTATATCTCCTTTTCTTTATAAAATATTTTAGCATCTTTGCAACTTGGACCGTATCTCATTTCTATTAACCAGCCATAGCAGCTTCCAGAAAACTACCAGCCCCTTTCAAAGGTCATGCCTGTCCTTTTCCCTATTGAATATTTAAGAGTGAAAAGAATTGTAATTGCAAATGGCCAACTATTTTTAAAGATTCAAGCTTTTCCTCTTCCTTCAACACCCCCACCAGCCCCAGCACAGAGTGAAGCTTATTCTCAATTAAGTTCTCCTGTGCCTTATCCAGCCTGGCACAGAGACAGGCAGGTTGGGGCAAAGATAGGGCTCCAGTGGCTGAGGGGCCTCTCAGGCCATGCTGTGTCTGACTCTCCCAGCCTAGCTGAGTCCACTGCACCTCTCTGCATTGCCCTGGGGAGAGAGAAGGGGGTGCAGGTTTCCAAATGGAGTGTGAAAATCAAGAGATACATGTATTTATATGCAGTGGCATCTTAAAAACAAACAATGACAGTATTTGTCTCAGTTTTAGTTTTCTACTATTCCCTTGATTTTTGAATTTCTGCTAAATATTTCTTACCTGTTAGCTTTCTATTAATCAGAACCTGGATTTGTGATTGCGCTTCTCTCTGAAATATGCTGGCCTGATTATACACTGGAATGATGAGAAAAGCAACTTCTAATCATTAGCAATGTAAGAAATTCCTGAAAAATATTCAGTGATCACCTGTGAAATGTGGATGGTGATACTAGTCCTTGAATACATGTAGAAAGTAACAAGCATAATATCAATTTCCTTGCAGGATGAAGCTATCTCACATATGATAAACCTTTCATTTCACAGGCATCATTCTCTGTTTTCTGGTGCAAGGAAAATCAAAGGTCCTCTCATTAGTTTATTAAACTTCAATTCAGTTCCTAGAGATTTAATGAAATAGCCAATGTCTAAATGCTAGATAAGCTACTCATTTTATAAAGTGTTTTCCTACAATATATTATTACATCCCTCCCCTGCTTTTTTTTGTTGTTGTTGTTCAAAACAAGGCAATAGATTAACCTCTCCTCCTTCCTTCTCTGACATCCAACTTGATCTTATTCTATATGCATTAACTGAAAGCTGTTTTTATTATTGAGAAATCCTATGGCAACGTGATATAGGTGTTGCAGATTACATGTCAATTGTGAATACTATGTAGTAACTGCCTCCATTTGTCTTGGTCAGTTTGGGCTGCTTTAACAAAGTACTATAGATTGGGTGGCTCATAAACAACAGAAATTTATTTTTCAGAGTTCAAGAGGCTAGAAGTAGGAGATCAGAGTGCCAGGTTAGGGCACTCTGATGGTAGGGCTTTGGTGAGGGCTTCTGGGTTGCAGACTGCTAACTTCTCATTGCATCCTCACATGATGGGAAGAGGACAAGCTAGCTCTCTGAGTTCTTTTTATAAGGGCTGTAATCCCTTCCATTCTTATAGCCTAATTACTTCCCAAAGGACCCACTATCGGGGGAACCAGCCCCCAATATTTCAGCATACGTTCTTTCTATTTTCCCTAAGTGTCGGTCAGTCTGAGAAATAAAGAGAAAGTGTACAAAGAGAGAAATTTTATAGCTGGGCCTCTGGGGATGCCATCACATATTGGTAGGACAATGATGGCGACCCTGAGCCACAAAACCAGTAAGTTTTTATTAGGGATTTTAGAAGGGGAAGGGATGTACGAACAGGGAGTATGTCACAAGGATCACATGCTTCAAAGGGCAATAAAAGATCACAAGGCAAGGGCAAAATTAGAATTACTGATGAGGGTCCATGTCCTGCTGTGCATGCATTGTCTTGATAAACATCTTAACAGGAAACAGGGTTCGAGAGCAGACAACCAGTCTGACTAGAATTCACCAGGTTGGAATTTCCCAATCCTAGCAAGCCTGAAGGCACTGCAGGAGACCAGGGTGTATTTCAGTCCTTATCTCAACCACATAAGACAGACACTCCCAGAGCAGCCATTCATAGACCTCCCCCCAGGAATGCATTCCTTCCCCAGGTCTATCAATTATTAATATTCCTTGCTAGGAAAAGAATTCAGCGATATTTCTCCTACTCGCACATCTGTCTATAGGTTTTCTACGAGAAGAAAAATATGGCTCTATTCTGCCCAATCCCACAGCAGTCAGACCTTATGGTTATCTCCTTTGTTTCCTGAAAATCGCATTATTCTGTTCTTTTTCAGAGTGCACTGATTTCATGTTGTTAAATACACATGTTTTACAAACGATTTGTACAGTTAATGCAATCATCACAGCGTCCTGAGGTGACATACATACTCAGCTTATGAAGATGATGGGATTAAGAGATTAAAGTAAAGACAGGCATAAGAAATTATAAGAGTATTGATTGGGGAAGTGATAAATGTCCATGAAATCTTCACAATTTATGTTCAGAGATTGCAGTAAAGAAAGGCATAAGAAATTATAAAAGTATTAATATTGGGAACTGATAAATGTCCATGAAATCTTCACAATTTATGTTCTTCTGTGGTGGCTTCAGCCAGTCTCTCCATTCAGGGTCCCTGACTTCCCGCAACAACCCACCATGAGAATTAGATTTCAGCATATAAATTTTGAGGACACACACACATTCAGTTCATTACAACATTATTTCACAGAAAGTTAGGTTTTATGCAATTATAATTCTTATCCTATGGAAGAATCCTTTTCCATTATACTTCATTACCTCAAAGTAGCACTTAAATCTTCCATTGACTTTGATAACAAAGAATACAGTGTGATATGTCCCCCTGAAAAATATATTACTCATTATTTTGTTCCAGTGTTAGTATAGTATGTTTTAATAATATGATTTATAGCACAATTTGGTAATATAATTTATTTATGACAATTAACCAAATGATCTTTTGTCATAAGTTATCAAGGTTAGAATTATGGTTGTATAAATAAACTTTCTGATACAAATTTCTTTTTTAATTATTTCCATATATACTGTTCAGTATACTATGAATATGAAATTGTTTATTATTGTATATTCGTTATCACATTGTTAAGAAAAATTATCCAAAACTTCAAAATAGAGCAAAAGGATGACTGTGTGTCTTCTTAATGTTATTCTGGGCCATTGCCTAACAGATCCACCTAAGAATTCTCTATGATATATCTTTGTTTGAGTTTCTAAGTAACACTGATTAAATCTCAGATTCTGTGAAGTTACATGTTAATTTTTTTCAGAAAGAGATACAAATGATTTCTGGCAGTTAAAAAGATAAGTCCGTAAGTTATGGTTTTATTGCCCTATAAGATATTAACCAGTTTTTTTCTCACCTAGAAAACTTATTTCACACTTTATTTCTCGATTGCTTATTCAAATCTCTGTTCTTCAAGTACTCCTTGCAGCAACTTCATCTGTATTTTGGTTTGCTCTTTTTGAATGAATCAAAAGTGGCAATAGAATTTACCTTTGCTAACTTATTTTTCCCCTTACTCTGATTTTTTGTTTTGTTTCTGGTTCATGTTCAACTTTGGTTCTGGTTTTGGTTTGCACAAAGCCAATACATAGTTATCTATTAGGGACATTGAGCATTTATTATCTAAGAATGTGAGACTATAGGAAATCTGGTTTGTAGTTATTTTGTTTGTACATGTTTCCAGTGTCCTCTGGTCATTCATATACATGTTCAGTGATTCATTAGAAGGTCTCACAGGACTCCAGGCACCTTAATTGTACTCATGGCTATAGTTTACTACAGCTAAGACATAAAGCAGAATTAGCAAGGACAAAAAGCCTCATCAGGAGGGATCTGGAGAGATCTAGGCACAACTTCCAAAGTTCTCCCTCAGGAGGGTGTGCAATACACGCCCCTTCCTCCAGCAATGAACTGTGGTAACATGCACAAAGTGTTTCTGTCTGGGAAAGCCTGCTTTAGACAGAGCGGAAAGTTTTTATTGGAGGTTGGTCATGCAGGTACTCTCTACCTGTGCTACCAGCCGCGATTACCAAAAGCCCAGACTCCCAGAAGGAAAGCAGGTGTTCATCATAAATCACATTGTTTGCACAAACACTGTAGACAGGCTGGTACATTAGAGTTCAGTGCCCCCAGGCATGCAAAACAGCTTTATAAATTAGTCATGTGGGAAACATTTCAAAAGCCAAATTTTTAGATGCCAGTCAAGGTCAGCCGCACAAGCAAGCCCTTCTACAGAAATGTGAGAATTAGGAAACATCAAGCTTGCTGCGTTAACATTTTCTCGCATAGCATGTTTACTATTATGTACATTTGGACTCACGCCATAATCCCAGCACTTTGGGAGGCTGAGGTGGGTGGATCACGAGGTCAGGAGTTTAAGACCAGCCTGACCAAGATGGTGAAACCCAGTCTCTACTAAAAATACAAAAATTAGCCGGGCACGGTGGCAGGTGCCTGTAATCCCAGCTATTCAGGAGGCTGAAGCAGAAGAATAGCTTGAACCCAGGGGGTGGAGGTTGCAGTGAGCTGAGATCGTGCCACTGCACTCCAGCCTGGGTGATAGAGTGAGTCTCTATCTCAAAAAAAAAAAAAAAGAAAAAGAAAGTATGTGATGGTTACCAGATATGTTTTTTGAGATCTGTACTTTGGGATCTTAACCAGTGAGATTGTTTGTCCTGCATTTACTTTATTATTATTATTATTATTGCTTTACAGATGTTTTCATCTGCACTTCGGACTTTCCTTCAGGTAAGCTGAGAGGAAAAATTCTGTCTCAGGTGAAGAAAAAAAAAGTATTAAAGTATGTTGAAAAAGACAAACCTGGGCCAAAGGCTCGTAGTAGATTGAGATGAGGATTAAGAATTGACTAGGCTGGGTGTGGTGGCTCACGCCTGTAATCCCAGCACTTTGGGAGACCGAGGCGGGCAGATCACGAGGTCAGGAGATCGAGACCATCCTGGAGAACACAGTGAAACCCCTTCTCTACTAAAAATACAAAAAAAAAAAAAAAAAAAAAAAAAAAAAAAAAATTAGCCGGGCGTGGTGGCAGGCGCCTATAGTCCCAGCTACTCAGGAAGCTGAGGCAGGAGAATGGCATGAACCTGGGAAGTGGAGCTTGCAGTGAGCCGAGACTGCGCCACTACACTCCAGCCTAGGAGACAGAGCAAGACTCCGTCTCAAAAAAAAAAAAAAAAAAAAAAAAAAAGAATTGACTATTGGATTTAGCAACAAAGCATTTGACTGCATTTACTTTTGGTCCATAGCTGAAGTTGCTTGTCTGAAGCTGCATGCTGTCTGCCATGGACTGAAGTTTGTCGCCCACCAAATTCATATGTTGAATTCCTATCCCTCAATGTAATGGTATTTGGAGATGGGGTCTTTGGGAGGTAATTAGGTTTAGATGAGGTCATGAGGGTAGGACCCTCTTGATGAGATCAGTGCCCTTATGAGAGGACACACCAGAGAGCTTACTTTCTCTCCACCATGTGAGAAAACAGTGAGGAGGTGGCTGGCCATCTGTAAGCCAGAAAGCAGGCCCTTAATAGAAGCCTACCATTCTGGCACCCTAATATCAGACTTCCAGCCTCCAGGATTGTGAGAAAATGAACTTTTATTGTTTACGTATGTAAGCCACCCCATCTAGAGTATTTTGTGATGGCAGTCCAAACTGACTAAACACAGTCTGTGTGTCTATGTGCCAATAATTAAGCAAAACTTTTGCTTCTTATTGTCTGAGCTTAAAATATTTTCCTATTTTCAAAGTATGTGAATAAGCAGAATTATAAATTCTATTAAATGAAAGATCTCTGTTTCTAAGTAGCTTATAGAGACTAATAAAAGTATAATATATATATTTTTAAATGCTGTCATGACTCAGTTTTAAGGCTCTGGCTAGAGGCCAGTCTGTTCTCCATCTTAAGCAGTTGAGTAAGTTGCTTAACCACTTTCCACATTAGGCCATCATACATCCTCCCTAATTTCCCTGAGGCCAGGTACCAGACAACTAGGGACACACCTTAAGCCCCAGAACCCACCAAAATCATTCAAATTATCCTATCCAGGGAGCCTGTGAAACCCAGCTAATCCCACCAGAACTGCAAGACCTGAGCTGCCCCTTACAGCCACAGCTTGTTGCCACCTGTCACAGGGCACCACCTCGTGTGGCCATGCCTGGCAGTGTTGCAGACCTTTCTCCTTAGTTCAGCTAAAACTGGGTTCTTGTCATGTGACCAGGAAATATTAGGCTTGCGGACACATAGAAGGGTGAGGAGCAGAATTTATTTGGAGAAAAGGAAAAAGGAAAAATAACTCTCAGCAAAGTGAGAGAGAATCCTGCTAGCAGGTTTCCCACCTCACTGATTGAATCCCAGGTTCCCACCCAGGAAATGAAAACACCAGTCTCCTCCCTGCTGCAAATGGCTTGAACTTCCCGAGGCTCCACTCCGTCCTCCCAGTGCACAGGTGGGCAATGTTCAGAGAGAATCAGTTGGGAAAGGGCAGGCTTCATCTGAGACCAGCAGTCTGGGTTTTCAGCCTTCAGGCTGTTTCAGGCTTGAAGGCGGGGTTTTGCTGGGTACCCTTGGCTGCCTCTTGTCTCTATCAGCAGGCTTCTCTTGTTGGGAAGTGTAAGTAACAAAGAGTCCTGCCTTTCATCTATCTGAGTGTCAGTGTGCTGGTTCCGGCCATGAAAAGGATATTACCAAACATACAGTGTACATAACACAAGAAAACAAAGAGTTCCCAGGAAAAAATTTCTATTGCTTGGTATATACTATTATTGGTTTCTCCCCCTCCACCAGAGAATAAAGCCCTAATTTCCTAAGGCATCCTTTGTATATAATTAACTTTTCTCTGATGCATCTACATTACTATTAGGTATGTACTATCCTTGGGAGAATTGAAAAAATAGTCACTCAAATTATTTTCTCTGTTCTGTGGTTCAGTGAGGAATTCCACTCTAGAGAAACTATCTAAGCTTTTAGGGTTAAGAAAGAAAAACTTCTCTCAGCAATAGCTCAGTAATTTATTTATGTAGCAATTCACATTCATATGTTCAAAATGCATCCACGGAAAAAATGAGATTGGCTCAATGAGTTTTAAAAACAGTTATATATCTTTTTCCTGACTTTTTTCAGTGTAAAGTATAGAATAAACCTTTTTTTATAAGATTTGGGTTTGTTTTCTCACAAAAAGACTGTTAATATGAATGTCCTAAAATTCTATATTGGTTTATTGTTCAGATTAATGAATACTCTTCCATATAAACATTAAGATTATAAAACACATCAAATTATGTATTCAGTTAACCAAATTATAATTCCAGCAAACTTTTAGATATCAATAGTGATTGTGTTATTTTTCCATTTGTCAATCTAAACCAACCAGGATTCTGAGTTAAATTTAAAATCTTGATTAATACCATAATTAATACATAATCTTTGGAGGCATGGATAATTTCTAAGCAACACAGAATACTGAAAATTTGGTTACCAAGCATAGTTTTTATTTAAAATGTTACAGAGTGACTATACCTTTGAGATATGTTCAAGAACATTTTTATTTTTGCCACTTTAAGAGTGTCAAAGGAACGTGTGATTTTAGAGGTTGTGTAATGTGTACTCATGAGTTTCTCTGGTCTGCCAAAATACTTGTGTAAGACAGAGAGTTCTCAATCCTGCCTCCCACTTTTTGTTGTGAAGTAGAACTTTGTACTTTGGTTGAAAGTTTTAATTGCCATAGATGAGCATGACTCTAAATGGAAAAATTATGGCAAATAAATATAACCATTGTATTCAAGGTAATGAAATGTGTTCTTGTTTTTTTAAAGGAAAAAGATAATAGTTTTATTCTAAAATAATGTGTCAAGATAAGTAGATATAGAACGTTGTGTAAGGTTTTAGGAAAATAAACTTTTTTTTGGTCTGGGGTTATATCCCCAAAAAGTATGAGTCTGAAAAGAAGCAATGGAATGTGTTGGTACACTTTTGATGAGTTTTCTTATCAAGGAAAAAAAAATTGTGAATTCTTTACTACCAAGGCCTTGTAGTACTCAGTTCCTCTGAACAAGAAATGATAAAAGGTTAATTTTTAACTTTTGTGTAATTTTCCATACAACAGAAATGTTGCACCTCATCAGAATAACTTTTTTTTGTGCATTTTCCTTGCTTTGATTATCTACCCTTCATCATTTTTTAAAAAGTTATTTCTGAAAGAGCTAAGGTCTCTTAGAATTAGGTTACCTTTTGCTATATCTATTTTAAAATATTCTTTTGACATTATGATTAATAGGTAGCCAGGCTACACCCATTTATTTTTCTTAGTCACCCATGTTTCTCTCTTAATCAAGTGTCTAATCTCCTCTGATAATTCTTTTGATTTAGTCCTCCTTAAAAAGAGATTGTACATTCAAAGAGATTAATATCAAGATATCTTTTATACATAAATAATGTTTGGGGTATTCCAAAAGTCTCTGGATAACTATAGAGGTCCTTCTTTCACCTTATTAAGGGAGAAATACTAGTAATAATTAGGTTGTTTGATATACTTGATATTTCTTAATTAGTTCTTATTGGATGTACTTGGTATTTCTTAATTAGTTCTACCCTATTGTAAGAGCTGCATAGGAAGAGCTGTGAAATCAAGAGACACGGAACTTTTTCTAAATTAGTTTTGTATGGGGAAATATACTAATACAAATACATTTCAGTGAGTATCCCAAACAATCAAAATGAGTGACTGAGGCATAAGTCTCAATTGAGGTTTATTAAGCCAGCTTTAGGGTGCATCTGGGAAAAACAGCCACAGACACATAAGTGGCTGATTTTCCAGAGAGGTTTTCAGGAGGTTTAGTATTTATACATTTCCTTAAAGGGCACAGGGAGAAGGCACCTAGGAAGAGGAGAAGGTAGGCTGTAAGGCAAATGGTTACAAGATTTACTTAATGCCTAGTAAACCTACATTTTACATAAAATAAGGTAAATATTTAAAGAGAAAAAGTGAATAAAAGAAGACTCAATTATGCAGTCTTTGTCTTCATTCTGCACCTGGGATGATAAGATTATAATAGATATTAACAGTGTGGAATTGAAGAGACTCTAGTTTTATAATAGGAGCTAGACTTAGATTGTAGACTTAAAGTTACAATTGGCATATCCTCATTTATGAGAGGCCAGCGAAGAATTTACTTATGAATGATCTGTAGAGGCTGTCCTTCAGCAGATGCCTCAGACCTTTTGCCTTTCCATGGGAATCTGGCTGAGGCATGTTAGGAGCAGATATTCACTTGGAAAAGGATGCTGCAATTATCTTCTCTTTTGCACAAGACGGCTTGGGGTCTGGAGATTTTTTAATTCTTACTTACATCCCCATTATAGAAAGAATTGGAAGGCTCCAGGATTTAGGCAATGCTCTCACAGTTCATAATATGTTTTACCTTTAGAGGAAACATGGATCAAATCTTTATGATATCACTATCTATTATAACCCAACAGAGAATTTTACTCCCATTGAATCTTACAATGTTGCTTAATGTAATAAATTAATCACCAACAGATGATTTATACTCTCATGTTTACCTGAGGACTCATTATAAGCTACAGTTTAGGAATTTGGTCCTCAGAAAAGAATCATGTTCTCAGAACATCATAGAAAAGACTACCAGCTAATTCAAGGCATAGACTTTTGGATACCAGGGGACTGACTGAAGATTTCCAAATTTTTTTTTAGTCAAGAAACAGGCAATGTTATGAAGGCTTGGGTCAGATTGGTGAACCAAGATCTAATAGAACAAATTCTTGTTTGACCAAAAGAGTCAAACTCTGTAAAATATTTTAAAAGGTTTATTCTCAGAAAAATATGAGTAACCAAGGCCCACAGCACAGCCACAGGAGGTCCTGAGAACATGTGCCCAAGGTAGTTGGGTTACAGCTTGATTTTATACATTTTAGAGAACAGAAGTTATAGGCAAACATCAATCAATACGTGTAAGGTGTACATTGATTTGCTCTGGAAAAGTGAAACAGCTCAAAGCTGTGGGGTGGCAGAGGATGGGGGGCATCTTCCAGGTCATATGTGGACTCAAAGATTTTCTGATTGGCAATTAGTTGAAAGAGTAGAAAAGTTATTATCTAAAGACCTGGAATCAATAGAAAGAAGTGTCTGGGTTAAGATAAAGAATTGTGGAGACCAAAGTTCTTATTATGTAGATGAAGCCTCCAAGTAGCAGGCTTCATAGAGAATAGATGGTAAATGTCTCTTATCAGACTTTAAAAGGTGCCAGACTCTTAGCTAAATCTCTCCTGGATCAGGAAAAACATGGAAAGGGAAAGAGATTCTCTACAGAATGTAGATTTTTCTCGCAAGTGATAGCTTTGAGGGGCCATTTTAAAATATGTCAAATAAATCTACTTTGAGGTAAAATACTTAAATTTCTTTCAGGGCCCGCTATCTGTCATGTGATGCTAGACTACAGCCAGTTTGAAGTTTGGTATCTTCTTGCTACAAAAAGTCTTAAGATCTCCGTTTTAATGTTAATTCTGTTCAGTTGTGCCTGAATTCTAAAGGGAGGAGATTATATTGAGGCATGTCTGACCCATTTTTTCCATCATGGCCTGAACCAGTTTTTCAGGTTTACTTTGGAATCCCCTTGGCCAAGAAGAGGGGTTCATTCTGTCAGTTGGGTGTCTTAGAATTTTATTTTTGGTTTACACATTGATGAAGTAGGACTGAATGAGCTGGTGAGGAAAGTCTAAATGTGATTTTTCATTTTGAAATATTATTGGTTACATTTTTTAGTGTACTATTTTCTGATGGAAATCTGTTGCTATTTCTTTGTAGAATATACATTTGCAAACTAAAATGATACTTTAAAAAGTGGTATCTTTTTCTCACTGACATCTCCAGGAACAGGAACAAATACTGAGTCTCTACTTTTCATGGCAATGTACTTATTTGCGTAGATGCACTAAGATTCTGACCTCCTTTTTTACCAGTATGTAATTAGACAAATCCATTGTGAATCAAAGACACAGTGAGAATAAAACTCACTTATTCACATAAGAAAAGCCCACAATTAAGGAAAAGGGATTGTATTTCATGTATGGAAGCAATGTCTATAAATCCTTTCCAGAATACTGGTATGATAACAGGGTTCCTGCCTTACAGATATTAAGGAAGTTTGTTTTCTGACAGTTCAGGAACCCAGCAGATTTTGAAGACCTCAATGAGAGAATTTCACTAACATTACATATGCTGCAAGCAAAGTTTGGTGGAGATGAACCCCTTGCTTGGTTCCTATACTTGAGAAAGAAGAGCAAATAGAGGCTTTTAAAAGTTCAATCCTACATTCTTGATGAAATCCCACATATAATTTAATTCTCTGACAACACTTTATAATCACAAGGAAGGTCTGATAAGATAACACCCAAATTTGTAAACAAGTAAGCTGGTTGATGCTTGCCTTTTCAATGTCATACTGAAATGTTGTCTAACATACTCAGCCAAAGATTATTTCTCTATACAATGTGCTTTAGGTTGACTCACTATTTACTCATGATTGGGTTTAAACTGGGTGCAATTATATGATTAACAAAACTTATTTGTTAGAGATGCAAATAATTGCTGTCTAATAGAAAAAGGTTGCTATTCTATTGTAGGACATTAATCACTTTTGTTTCTGACTTAAACTTGTTTCAGTATGCCTTTCTAAATTGACTATATAAATCTCTTTGATGCTTTTTGAAGTAGTTTAACCATTCTGTTAGTTCCTTCATTAATGAGTTAAATATATTTTTGATGGGTTCTCACCACACTATTTATGTGTTTCATGACTTTAAGTTTCTTAAAATTATAATTCAGTGGCATAGTAGTTTGCAAAGCTAACAATTCAGATACAGCTATTAGTTCCTAAATACTATATTTGCTATTTAAGTAAGGAAGGTGCCATCTAGCATTGGGAAAGGTAGCACTTGATTATTTTATATTTGCATGTTTGTAAATACATAGACATACATCTTTATTAAAGTAGCCAAACATAGCATTCACAAATATAGTTAAGATTTAGTTAAAGACAAATACCTACTAAGAATTATTCTATGTCCCTGTTACAAGTCTCTCTTCTCTTTGGTTTATTGCTAATAACATCATTGTCAAATAATTAATTCTACGTTTATTTTATCATATACCTCCAATGAGAAATTATTCTTCACAAATACTTGCTTTTGCATGGACTATTTATTCACTGTCATGTGAAAAGCCTTGGTGCCATTATTGCTTCTGTTCTGTTGTTTACCTTTCCAGATTTTATCTATTCTTCAAAACTCAATTGACAGCCCTGGATTTATGAAACTTTTCCTTAGCCCTTTTAATAAAGTTATTTGCTTCTATAGTTCCAATCATATGTCTCTATTTTATTGGTTAGCATTTATATTGCAATTATTTATTTGTATGTTTTTCCCATTTGATGTTGAGAATCAGGAGGACAGTAACTTTGTCTAATGACTAAATAAAATTTGACCTGTTCCACAAAGCCTACTAAATTGAATCAATCCTTTCCCTTCTCAAGCATCTTATAATATTGACAGCCTCACTGATTATATTATTAAACATGTACTACTTATGATAGCTGTTGGATTTTTCTCCTTAACTGTATTTTAAATTGCATATGGTAAGCATTTAGTCTTTTTTTTTCTTTTTTCTTCAAATGAACTTCAAGCACATTGAAGGCAGAATCTGTGACATCCTGCTTGCTATTTGTATTCCACAAGGCATTACCATATTGTCTTACATTACAGTAGATACTCCATAAATATTTTGTTGATTTGATTTTGACTCTTACATATTGCTAACTTTAATTTTTGTTCATATTTGAGTAGAGGACAACTTTCTAAAATTCTCATAAATGTCAGGATTTTAAACAAATATTTTGTTTTCTTTGTTTTATGGGACATTCACCTAGTTCAGAATATAAGGTCAGTTTTCTCATGTTTTCTAGAAGTATGCCAGTATGCCAGTATTGTTCTTTGCCAGCTGTGACTTCCCTTCTATACTCAATCTGGGAAAATTTGAAACTGTTGCTTCAAGCTAAGCTTAGTAGACAATTTCTTTTTCCTGTGTACATTAGACTCTACTTCATTCCATAAAATATAAGCAGAAATTTGGGGTCAATAGATAGCAATAATACAAATTTCAGTAATTACTGTCTTGTTTTGTTTTTCTGGTCAACAATTGTATGTCCACGCCAACTCCTTTCAAATCAAATTTCTAGCAGGTAATGGATATTAATTAATACGCATCACTTATAATTATTGTTTATTGATTCTTTATTTTCTCATTTAAAGTACTGTGCAGCCTGCCTTCTGTTGTTTTAAATAAGATTTTGACTTAATAAATAGTTACCAGATATGGCATTTAGAATTTCAAATCTCTTTTAAGTTTTTTTCTTATTAGTCTTTCATCTTTACTACTTTACCAAAGTTGATTTTAGCAAAGTCACCAGTTTTTTATGCTGTGCTGAATCCAGTGGTTAATTTGTCATCCTTGCTGTACTTGACCAGCAAGCAGCACAGGCCACAGGTAATCACTTCCTCCACTTCTACGCTTTCTTCACTTTCAGGGTACTGTACTTGTTTTTTTCTCTCTATCTCATGAGCTCTCCCTCTGTCTACCCTGATGATTCTTTCCCATTTTTTAAATCTTTTAATGTTTTGATGTCCCAGGGACTTGGCTATGTTCTCCTACTCATAGTTTAGGTAATTTAATCTAATCTCATTCAGTACCATGGTTTTATATGTCATTATGGGCCAAAAATTCTGTTTCTCTCATGCACACCTTTCATCCACTTGAATATATTTTAAGTATCTTCAATTTAAAATTTCCCAAAATGAACTTGAAATTTTCCTTCTAAGTGCATTCTCCTCATAGTCTTCCCCATCCCAGTGTTTGTCAATGTCATCCTTCCAGTTGCATGATTTATTTTCCTCTCATACTTACATCCAATTCATCAGCAGTTCTATTTCAGAATATTTTCTGACCATATTTCACCACATTTGCTGCTATCATTCTGGTCCAATCAAGGATCATTATTGTAACTATTGAAGTAACTCCTAAGTGTTCCTTCTGCTTCTGACTCCCCATCACCACCTTTTTGTTTATTCTTACACAGCACTTAGGGTATTCCTTTTAAAAAAGTCAGATCATGTCACTCGTTTAAAAACCCCCACCTCAGGACATTTATACTTACTAGTCTCTCTGGCTAAAACACTTTTTTTTTTTTTTTAACATCCGTAACTTACTTCCTCTTTTTCCAGGTTTTAATCACATTCTTCATAAGTCATTCCTTCACCACCTTGCTTATAATTGTAATACCACCCCTACCAACACATACCAACTGCTTTTCTCCTTCCATAAGCCTTTTCATTTTCTAACATAACTATGTATTTCACTAAAAAATAAAAAACAAATGAACTGTTAGCCTCATCCTCTCATTATAATGTCAGTTCCATAAAGGCAGGCATATTTGAAGGATTTCTTCACTGCTATATTTCCAGTGTCAAGAGAAGTACCATATAGAGGGGATCAGTAAATATTTATGGAATTACTTAATTAATTTTTTTAAAAACATAGGATCAGACTACAATAAGCTCTGAAATTAATACAGCTGTATTTTTCATCTGACAGTTGAAAATTAGATGCCATTAAAATTAAAGCATATTATAGTATTTGAATATAGCGTCACGTTTAATCCAGAATATAATTAATTTATATATCCTTCAATTTACAAAGGATTTGTAACAGTTGTTTCTATTTGGATGTTGACAGTTATTTGAAAACTGTGATGGGACACTCAGCCTGTCAACCTTGAATTATGAAATTTGGAACATAAGATTAAGTATAGCGTTTATTCAAGTGCAACACTTGGGGATAGCCACCTGGGAAACATAGACTCCAAAAGAATGGGCCAGCCTTTTAAAGTGGGGAAGTTAAGGTTTTACTTATGTAGGCAGTTAACAGGGTTGCAACATTTTCCTTACAAGGTGGGTAAATACCTTATAGTGATTATCAATTTGCTACATTCCAAGGAAGATTGCTTTAACATTACATTAGGAGAAACAATGGTCTTAAGGGGTCTTCTCTCTGGCACTATTTGGTCTTTTCTAATCATTTACAGGACAGGACTGAGGAAGGGATTTAATCTGTAATCAGAGAGGCAGAAGTTCCAGCTACAAGCTACGTGACTCAGGCCACATAGCTATATTCGACTCAAGGCTCAAAATAATTTAAAGTTCAAACAGCTTTAAGTTTGAATTACTTAATTTCACATTTTTCCCTGATCATCAAGATTTTTCAAAGAAAACGTCAAAAACTCATAAATGGTTTTGGCTCCTTTTATGTTCAGGAGCTTCGTCCCATGTCACTAGGAAGGCTCATTGCTAGAGTCATGTACCATGGTGAGGTGAGTCTATTAGGCTTTAAAGCTGATGATGTATAGGCCAAATTTATAACACAAGTCAGGCTACACAGTCATATCTTTGATCAATGTAATTATTTGATTGAGTAATGTTCTCTTGGCCTCAGCCACTGATCTTAAGCAAGCAGAAATACAAATCATGAGTAACTTAATAACCAGAAAAATGACAAGTATCCTTATAATTATAATAATAACAACTTGAAGACTAGAATGAAATAGATAACTTAGTCCTAAGGGTAATCAAATAAGCAAGTCATTTAGAGGATCAGTGTTTCTTATGTCTTGTAATGATTTAGATTTTGCATTATTCTCTCTAGCTGAGTTTCCATTTCTCCAGAGGTGTTAACATAAGTACAACAAGTGGTATGAATTACCACACAGACATCTTCTTTTTCAGCCAATAAATAATCCAGGGGAATTTTATTATCTGGTACTACCTGGGTTAAGGAATTTAAAGATCTTTGTTGAGCTACAGCTCTCCTTTTGCTAGAAGAGTAGTAGCAGTTTTCAAACTGCTATAAAGAACTTCCCTGAGAAGGGGTAATTTATGAAGGAAAGAGGTTTAATGGACTCACAGTTCTGCATGGCTGGGGAGGCCTCAGGAAACTTACAATCACGGCAGAAGGGCAAACAGTCACCTTCTTCACAAGGTGGCAGGAGAGAGAAGAGCAGGGAAAACCACCACTTATAAAACCAGCAAATCCCATGAGAACTCACCCACTATCACGAGAACAGCATGAGGGAAACCGCCCAGATGATCTAATCACCTCCTACCAGGTTCTTCCTTTGACAGGTGGGGATTATAATTTGAGATGAGATTTGGGTGGGGATACAGAGCCAAACCATATCACTGACTAATGGTGGTTGATAGGTTTTGAATCATGTATCTATTGATATGGACTCCAAGCACTTGGAATTAGTATTCTCAAAATGCTTTCACGTATATTACCATCATACTTTGCTAATATAGTTGTCTTCACTCTGTAATGGAGAGAAAAGGAGAGAGTTCTTTCATATTTTCATGCAGGGACAAGACAGGCACAAAATGTCCCAAAAAGCATAAGCCCTCTACCTGCCAGCTACTAAGGAAATAATGTGCCCATCCTTGTATGGGCAAATCAGTTCCGATGCCACATACAAAAACATAGCCTGGGGAGGCTGGGTGTGGTCGCTCATGCCTGTAATCCCAGCACTTTGGGAGGCCGAGACGGGCAGATCACCTAAGGTTGGGAATTAGAGACCAGCCTGACCAACATGGAGAAACCCTGTCCCTACTAAAAATACAAAATTAGCCAGGTTTGGTGGTGCATGCCTGTAATCCCAGCTACTTGGGAGGCTGAGGCAAGAAAATCGCTTGAACCCCGGAGGCGGAGGTTGTGGGAGTAGAGATTGTGCCATTACGCTCCAGCCTGGGCAACAAGAGTGAAACTCTGTCATTCATAAATAAATAAATAAATAAATAAATAAATAAATAAAATAAAATAAAAACATGGCCTGGGGGAGCACAGGTGATTCTACTAAGAAATTATTGTTAATAGACTCACTCATGGGGAGTGCTGAAAATACCAAATTAAAACATCAGTTTCTTTCTCAGCAAGGATTACAGAATACGTTTGCATGGTGGCTTATTGATTTATTGTTGGCACTGTTTAGCCTGTAGTACAGGGATCGAGGAGGTCCATGGATATAATCTAGGTTAAAGTTTGGGCCAACCGCTAACAACAAGAGACAAATTAAAACAGTGTTTCAGGATAGGAAGAAGTCAGACCTAGGAAATTAATCCAGAGGGGAGTTGCTCCAAATGAGTGGTGACATTAAGGAGATCTTAAAAGTCAATGACAAACATTACTAATGACATATATTAGTCGTGAATAGATCTAGGAATTATATGGCAGATCCAACAATCAGATAGGTTTCTTCCAGTGGCAACACTGTGGGATAGTTTAACCAAAGTGTTACCATGTCATTCTAGGCATTGAGACAAAGGAACAACCATAAGGAAAAAAAGGGGTTCATTTTTTAAAAAATCAGACTCTTAACCCAACAGCTCTGCAAAGTCCTAAATAACAATTATTTCTCAAAAAGTAACAACAGTTCAAAAACTTCAGCAAGGTGTGACATAGACTTCCAGCAAACCAGGCCTGGGGTCTTGAGATTTCGCTGTCTTCCTCAGGTGCCATCTTCTTATCCTTGTGTTGACTCAATTTAAGTTGGAGGTCATTTTCCAGTGAAACATTCCACTCAGGAGATTCAGTCTTCTTTAAATGAGAACTATAAGTCCATGAAACTACACCTTCTAATTTTGCAGCACAGGGGTTAGTAAGAAGTACCTGATAAGAACCTCTCCATCTTGGTTGGAGAGTCCTTTAAAATAAGTCATTTTTTTTAAAATTATACTTTAAGTTTTAGGGTACATGTGCACAATGTGCAGGTTTGTTACATATGTATACATGTGCCATGTTGGTGTGCTGCACCCATTAACTCGTCATTTAACATTAGGTATATCTCCTAATGCTATCCCTCCCCCCTCCCCCCGCCCCACAACAGGCCCCGGTGTGTGATGGTCCCCTTCCGGTGTCCATGTGTTCTCATTGTTCAATCCACACCTATGAGTGAGAACATGCAGTGTTTGGTTTTTTGTCCTTGCGATAGTTTGCTGAGAATGATGGTTTCTAGCTTCATCCATGTCCCTACAAAGGACATGAACTCATCATTTTTTATGGCTGCATAGTATTGCATGGTGTAAATGTGCCACATTTTCTTAATCCAGTCTATCATCGTTGGACATTTGGGTTGGTTCCAAGTCTTTGCTATTGTGAATAGTGCCACAATAAACATATGTGTGCATGTGTTTTTATAGCAGCACGACTTATAATCCTTTGGGTATATACCCAGTAATGGGATGGCTGGGTCAAATGGTATTTCTAGTTCTAGATCCCTGAGGAATCGCCACACTGACTTCCACAATGGTTGAACTAGTTTACAGTCCCACCAACAGTGTAAAACTGTTCCTATTTCTCCACATCCTCTCCAGCACCTGTTGGTTTCCTGACTTTTTAATGATTGCCATTCTAACCGGTGTGAGATGGTATCTCATTGTGGTTTTGATTTGCATTTCTCTGATGGCCAGTGATGATGAGCATTTTTTCATGTGTCTTCTGGCTGCATAAATGTCTTCTTTTGAGAAGTGTCTGTTCATATCCTTCGCCCACTTGTGGATGGGGTTGTTTGTTTTTTTCCTGTAAATTTGTTTGAGTTCATTGTAGATTCTGGATATTAGCCCTTTGTCAGATGAGTAGATTGCAAAAATTTTCTTCCATTCTGTAGGTTGCCTGTTCACTCTGATGGTAGTTTCTTTTGCTGTGCAGAAGCTCTTGAGTTTAATTAGATCCCATTTGTCAATTTTGGCTTTTGTTGCCATTGCTTTTGGTGTTTTAGACATGAAGTCCTTGCCCATGCCTATGTCCTAAATGGTATTGCCTAGGTTTTCTTCTAGGGTTTTAATGGTTTTAGGTCTAACATGTAAGACTTTAATCCATCTTGAATTAATTTATGTATAAAGTGTAAGGAAGGGATCCAGTTTCAGCTATCTACATATGGCTAGCCAGTTTTCCCAGCACCATTTATTAAATAGGGAATCCTTTCCCCATTGCTTGTTTTTCTCAGGTTTGTCAAAGATCAGATGGTTGTAGATACGCGGCATTATTTCTGAGGGCTCTGCTCTGTTCCATTCGTCTATATCTCTGTTTTGGTACCAGTACCATGCTGTTTTGGTTACTGTAGCCTTGTAGTATAGTTTGATGTCAGGTAGCGTGATGCCTCCAGCTTTGTTCTTTTGGCTTAGGATTGACTTGGCAATGTGGGCTCTTTTTTGGTTCCATATGAACTTTAAAGTAGTTTTTTCCAATTCTGTGAAGAAAGTTATTGGTAGCTTGATGGGGATGGCATTGAATCTATAAATTATCTTGGGCAGTATGGCCATTTTCACCATATTGATTCTTCCTACCCATGAGCATGGAATGTTCTTCCATTTGTTTGTATCCTCTTTTATTTCATTGAGCAGTGGTTTGTAGTTCTCCTTGAAGAGGTCCTTCACGTCCCTTGTAAGTTGGATTCCTAGGTATTTTATTCTCTTTGAAGTAATTGTGAATGGGAGTTCACTCATGAGTTGGCTCTCTGTTAGTCTGTTATTGGTGTATAAGAATGCTTGTGATTTTTGTACATTGATTTTGTATCCTGAGACTTTGCTGAAGTTGCCTATCAGCTTAAGGAGATTTTGGGCTGAGATGATGTGGTTTTCTAGATATATAATCATGTCATCTGCAAACAGGGACAATTTAACTTCCTCTTTTCCTAATTTAATGCCCTTTATTTCCTTCTCCTGCCTCATTGCCCTGGCCAGAACTTCCAACACTATGTTGAATAGGAGTAGTGAGAGAGGGCATCCCTGTCTTCTATCAGTTGTCAAAGGGAACGCTTCCAGTTTTTGCCCATTCAGTATGATATTGGCTGTGGGTTTGTCATAGATAGCTCTTATTATTTTGAGATATGTCCCATCAATACCTAACTTATTGAGAGTTTTTAGCATGAAGCATTGTTGAATTTTGTCAAAGGCCTTTTCTGCATCTAGTGAGATATCATGTGGTTTTTGTCGTTGGTTCTGTTTATATGCTGGATTATGTTTATTGATTTGCGTATATTGAACCAGCCTTGCATCCCAGGGGTGAAGCCCACTTGATCATGGTGGATAAGCTTTTTGATGTGCTGCTGGATTCGCTTTGCCAGTATTTTACTGAGGATTTTTGCATCGATGTTCATCAGGGATATTTGTTTAAAATTCCCTTTTTTTGTTGTGTCTCTGCCAGGCTTTGGTATCAGGATGATGCTGGCCTCATAAAATGAGTTAGGGAGGATTCCCTCTTTTTCTATTGATTGGAATAGTTTCAGAAGGAATGGTACCAGTTCCTCCTTGTACCTCTGATAGAATTCAGCTGTGAATCCATCTGGTCCTGGACTTTTTTTGGTTGGTAAGCTATTAATTATTGCCTCAATTTCAGAGCCTGTTATTGGTCTATTCAGAGATTCAACTTCTTCCTGGTTTAGTCTTGGGAGGGTGTATGTGTCGAGGAATTTATCCCTTTCTTCTAGATTTTCTAGTTTATTTGCATAGAGGTGTTTATAGTATTCTCTGATGGTAATTTGTATTTCTGTGGGATCAGTGGTGATATCCCCTTTGTCATTTTTTATTGCATCTATTTGATTCTTCTCTCTTTTCTTCTTTATTAGTCTTGCTAGCAGTCTATCAATTGTGTTGATCTTTTCAAAAAAAACCAGCTCCTGGAATCATTGATTTTTTTGAAGGGTTTTTTATGTCTCTATCTCCCTCAGTTCTGCTCTGATCTTAGTTATTTCTTGCCTTCTGCTAGCTTTTGAATGTGATTGCTCTTGCTTCTCTAGTTCTTTTAAGTGTGATGTTAGGGTGTCAATTTTAGATCTTTCCTGCTTTCTCTTGTGGGCATTTAGTGCTATAAATTTCCCTCTACACACTGCTTTGAATGTGTCCCAGAGATTCTGGTATGTTGTGTCTTTGTTCTCATTGGTTTCAAAGAACATCTTTATTTTTGCCTTCATTTCGTTATGTACCCAGTAGTCATTCAGGAGCAGGTTGTTCAGTTTCCATGTAGTTGAGTGGTTTTGAGTGAGTTTCTTAATCCTGAGTTCTAGTTTGATTGCACTGTGGTCTGAGAGATAGTTAGTTATAATTTCTGTTCTTTTACATTTGCTGAGGAGTGCTTTACTTCCAACTCTGTGGTCAATTTTGGAATAGGAAATTGACCACAATAGGATGTTGTGCTGAAAGGAATGTATATTCTGTTGATTTGGGGTGGAGAGTTCTGTAGATGTCTATTAGGTCTGCTTGGTACAGAGCTGAGTTCAATTCCTGGATATCCTTGTTAACTTTCTGTCTCCTTGATCTGTCTAATGTTGACAGTGGGGTGTTAAAGTCTCCCATTATTATTGTGTGGGAGTCTAAATCTCTTTGTAATTCTCTAAGGACTTGCTTTATGAATCTGGTTGCTCCTGTACTGGGTGCATATATATTTAGGATAGTTAGATCTTCTTGTTGAATTGATCCCTTTACCAATATGTAATGGCCTTCTTTGTCTCTTTTGATCTTTGTTGGCTTAAAGTCTGTTTTTTCAGAGACTAGGATTGCAACCCCTTCCTTTTTTTGTTTTCCATTTGCTTGGTAGATCTTCCTCCATCCCTTTATTTTGAGTCTATGTGTGTCTCTGCACGTGAGATGGGTTTCCTGAATACAGCACACTGATGGGTCTTGACTCTTTATCCAATTTGCCAGTCTGTGTCTTTTAATTGGAGCATTTAGCCCATTTACATTTAAGGTTAATATTGTTACATGTGAATTTGATCCTGTCATTATGATGTTAGCTGGTGATTTTGCTTATTAGTTGATGCAGTTTCTCCCTAGCCTCAATGGTCTTTACAATTTGCCATGTTTTTGCAGTGGATGGTACTGGTTGTTCCTTTCTATGTTTAGTGCTTCCTTCAGGAGCTCTTTTAGGGCAGGCCTGGTGGTGACAAAATCTCTCAGCATTTGCTTGTCTATAAAGGACTTTATTTCTCCTTCACTTATGAAGCTTAGTTTGGCTGGATATGAAATTCTGGGTTCAAAATTCTTTTCTTTAAGAATGTTGAATATTGGCCCCCACTCTCTTCTGGCTTGTAGAGTTTCTGCCGAGAGATCTGCTGTTAGTCTGATGGGCTTCCCTTTGTGGGTAACCCGACCTTTCTCTCTGGCTGCCCTTAACATTTTTTCCTTCATTTCATCTTTGGTGAATCTGACAATTATGTGTCTTGGAGTTGTTCTTCTCGAGGAGTATCTTTGTGGCATTCTCTGTATTTGCTGAATCTGAATGTTGGCCTGCCTTGCTAGATTGGGGAAGTTCTCCTGGATAATATCCTGCAGAGTGTTTTCCAGCTTAGTTCCATTCTCCCAGTCACTTTCAGGTACACCGATCAGATGTAGATTTGGTCTTTTCACATCATCCCATATTTCTTGGAGGCTTTGTTCATTTCTTTTTATTCTTTTTTCTCTAAACTTCTCTTCTCACTTCATTTTATTGATTTGATCTTCCATCACTGATACCCTTTCTTCCAGTTGATCAAATCAGCTACTGAGGCTTGTGCATTCATCACATAGTTCTCGTGCCTTGGTTTTCAGCTCCGTCAGGTCCTTTAAGGACTTCTTTGCATTGGTTATTCTAGTTAGCCATTCGTCTAATTTATTTTCAAAGTTTTTAACTTCTTTGCCATGGGTTCGAACTTCCTCCTTTAGCTTGGAGTAGTTTGATCGTCTGAAGCCTTCTTCTCTCAACTCGTCAAAGTCATTCTCCATCCAGCTTTGTTGCATTGCTGGTGAGGAGATTTGTTCCTTTGGAGGAGGAGGGGTGCTCTGATTTTTAGTTTCCAGTTTTTCTGCTCCGTTTTTTCCCCATCTTTGTGGTTTTATCTACCTTTGGTCTTTGATGATGGTGACGTACAGATGGGGTTTTGGTGTGGATTTCCTTTCTGTTTTTTAGTTTTCCTTCTAACAGTCAGGACCCTCAGCTGCAGTTCTGTTGGAGTTTACGGGAGGTCCACTCCAGACCCTGTTTGCCTGGGTATCAGCAGTGGAGACTGCAGAACAGTGGATATTGGTGAACAGCAAATGTTGCTGCCTGATCGTTCTTCTGGAAGTTTTGTCTCAGAGGAGTACCCGGCCATGTGACATGTCAGTCTGCCCCTACTGGGGGGTGCTTCCCAGTTAGGCTACTCGGGGGTCAGGGACCCACTTGAGGAGGCAGTCTGTCCATTCTCAGATCTCCAGCTGCGTGCTGGGAGAACCACTACTCTCTTCAAAGCTGTCAGACAGGGACGTTTAAGTCTGCAGAGGTTTCTGCTGCCTTTTGTTTGGCTATGCCCTGCCCCCAGAGGTGGAGTCTACAGAGGCAGTCAGGCCTCCTTGAGCTGCGGTGGGTTCCACCCAGTTCAAGCTTCCCGCCGCTTTGTTTACCTACTCAAGCCTCAGCAATGGCAGGCACCCCTCCCTCAGCCTCGCTGCTGCCTTGCAGTTTGATCTCAGACTGCTGTGCTAGCAATGAACGAGGCTCCATGGGCGTAGGACCCTCTGAGCCATGCGCGGGATATAATCTCCTGGTGTACCATTTGCTAAGACCATTGGAGAAGCGCAGTATTAGGGTGGGAGTGACCCGATTTTCCAGGTGCCATCTGTCACCCCTTTCTTTGACTAGGAAAGGGAATTCCCTGACCCCTTTTGCTTCCTGGGTGAGACGATGCCTTGCCCTGCTTTGGCTCATGCTCAGTGTGCTGCACCCACTGTCCTGCACCCACTGTCTGACAATCCACAGTGAGATGAACCCAGTACCTCAGTTGGAAATGCAGAAATCACCCAACTTCTGTGTCACTCACACTGGGAGCTGTAGACTGCAGCTATTCCTATTTGGCCATCTTGGCTCCTCCCCAAGAAGTCATTTCTAATAGACAAAGTCTCCTAGTTGAAGTCTGTGATTCTTGAGTTCTTCCTCTCTCAGGCAATCACTATGGAAGGAAGCTTTTATTAAATTATTGTTTTTACTTAGATGTTTTATAAGGCTGCTGCAATAATATAACATATTGTCTTTTAACATCATAGATTCACAATTTCCTGGAGACAATTTCATAGGTTATAAACAGCTGGTGTTTACCAAAGGTGGTCAATCTTAGGCTAAGCAAAGCTAACAGAAGACCTTTGGCCAAGGAATTTAAAAGCTTCAGTTAATTTTGCCAAATGAGTTTTGATTATTCTGTTTGTGCATTTCACTATCACAGGTGACGGGTTGACACGCACAACGGAAATGTTGAAGAATCGACCAGATTTTACATATTGACTGAACTATTTGTCTAGTGAAATGAGTACCTCCATTGCTATGAATTTCTAGAGGAAGTCTCCAAGCAGCAATAATTTTCTCTGAGAGAATTTTACTTACCACGAAGGCTGTTGCTTTTCTACATAGACATGTTGCTACCCAATAAGAACACATACACATCATCACTACAATGTATTGCATCCTTGTCATGGTGTAGCTGAATAAAATCTACTTGCCATACCTAGAAAAGGCCTCTGGTAAAGGAAAATGACCTTGATAACTATATAAAGCTTTTCCTGGATTGTACTTTGAGCAGATATGGCAGCAATTGTACACCTTAAGAGCAACCATTGAAGACGGCTTTTAATAATGTTGTTGTTTTTTTCCCAAGTAATCAATTCATCAGGGCTCCAATGAGTTAAATCATGCACATAAGTTAAGATGGATGACTGTAATTTTGTTACAAGTATGGTTAGGCCATTTGGTTTATATCATAACCTGGTGTCAGGAATGTATGCTTCTCTTTTTGTTTCCAAATTTTCTTGTTCTGTTTTTGGAGCTTTGGATTGAGAAAATTTTATATCAAAATCAAATGTTTCTGTAAATATTAAAAAGGGTTGCTTTTTTTTGTTCAGATACATTTAGGGTAGGCCTTTTTGCTAATTTTTATCTGCTAATTTATTTCTTTTGCTTTCTGTAATGTCTGACTTTGAAGGGCCTGGAATCTTGATAATGGCTAATGATTGTGGCAATAGTATGGCTTCTAATAATTCTGAAGCCAGTTATTCTTTTTTTATGGACTGACTGGAAGAGGTTAAAAATCCTCTGTTCACATGGAATTCTAAAGTCATGAATTATCCCAAAAACGTATCTACTGTCTATACAAATATTTATTATTTTTGCCAATTGACAAGCTCTAATTAATATGATTAACTCTGCTTGTTGAGCTGAGATTGTTTCTAGTAGCTAAGCACTTTCTATTGCTCAATTAAAGATACCATAGTATAACCCGTCACATATGTTCCAAATTCATCCTTTAAGTAAGATCCATCTGTAAACCAAACAACATCAGTGTTAGTAAGGGGAGTTTCTTGCAGAAAAATGAGAGAGAAGCTAGTTAGTCAAGATCATTTCAATCATGTGGCATTTCCTCTCAAGGCAGGGGCAGAAGAGCAGCAGCATCAAAATTGCTATTACATCTGGAGATTGGAATATGATGAGCAGAAAGAAGAATTTCCTAAGAAGGCAGTCAACTAACTGAATAGTGTTGGGTGTGATGCAAGTTTAGAAGCACTTCTACAGAAGGTGGAACAAAGACAGTGAGGGAGATTCCATCACTATTTCTTCAGTTGCTGGTATTAACAGGATGGTAGCAGTTATTGCTCTCATGCAAGGTGGCATTCCATTACCCAAAGGGTCCAGATGTTAACTATGTAGTGTATCAAAACAAATTTCTTAGGGAAGTCAAAATTCTAAAAGTCTGTTCTTAATATTTGTGAAAAATAAGTTGGGATCTTAGCATATCCCTGAGTCGTGACTGTTCATGTGCATTTTCTGTCTTCCCAACTGAAAGTGAAGAGAAATTGACTGTCTTTATCAGTAGGAATGCTAAAGAATTCACTACACAGGTCTATTACAGTAAATACTTCACCTTTAGTTGGGATGACAGTCAACAATGTATATGGGTTTGATACTAGTGGATGTGAAGAGATGATTATGTTATTAATTGCTTTCAGATCCTGTAGAAATCTCCATCCTCTACCATTTGATTTTCTTACAGGGAGGATTGGAGTATTACATGGGACTGTACAAGGGGCAATCAAGCCTCTTCTTATGTAATCTAAGACTATAGGTCTCATTTTCTCCATGGCCTCTGATCTTAGAGGGTATTGGTTAAGGTTCAGAAGAGGTTTTGATGGATCAATTTGAATTTTGATTGGGGCAGCCAAGATAATTTTCCTAATACCAGTGGAAGATTCTGACCACAATTGATTGGGTACTATTATTAATAGCTCTTGTAATTCTTCATTATTTAATAATTTTGCCTCATCCATGGCAATATGAACTGCAATTCCTAAATTGAGATGATTAGATTTCAAAAACTATTTGTATCTAATAACTCTATTTTATCTTCTAATTGTAAATACAGTTCCCCGTTTGAGAGGATATGTGGGTGGACGCTTAGGAAACCAAGTAGAAAACTTGTGTTCCTAATCTAATTGAAAAACTATAGGTTCTGATTTATGAGTTTATATAGGAGTATTTGTTACACTCACCATCTGTAATTATTTTTTCTACAAGGAATAGGACTTTGAAATAAGATGAGATTATCACTCTAACATAGTTCAAGTGTCAATAAGAGTTGTGTTTATTCCGTATTTAAAATAATTCCAATTTCCCTGAAGCTATTCCTACAGAGAAAAAAGAAGGTCCCTTTGATGATCTTGGAACATCCTTATTCTTCTCTTTCTTTGGCCTATTGCTGCTTTTTTTCCATTTTAATTTTCCACAATCCTTTCTGAAGCATTTTGCAGTAATTGCAAAGTGGGGGAAAAGATTACTTTTGAAATTTAATAGGCCATTGAGGGGCTATGAGTTGGTTGGACAATTATTTTAATTGTAAACTCATAACCCTATTTGCTGTACCTTTTTGTTTAGCTTTCCTTTTTATTTTCTTTGGTTGGAACATGGGACATTGATAGTCAAAATTAAGCATATCATGAGTTTGACAGGTAGCCCAAATGGGGCTATTGTATCTTTATTATAATTGCCAATTTTTAATCTAATTTGTTTATAAAGTTTGAGTTAAGAAGAGTATTATTTTGTTGGCTAGCCTAACTTTCTTTTGATAGGTCTGAACATTGTTTAAAGATTTTTTCAAATCTTTCATAGTATGACATTACAGGGTCATCAATATCTTGTTGGCATGGTTATATTTTGTTCCAGTCAACCACTTTTTAGAAAACTAAGGGGAGAGTATCAAGTAAAGCTTTAGCAGTAGTGTAGGCTTATTGGGGATCTGCTTCTGAAAATGTGTGCAAGTTCTCTAAAGGATTTCTTCAATTCATGTTTGCTATCCAATCTTTGTCTTTACTTTCTGACAGCAATATGTGAATCAGTTGATACAGATCAGAGAATCTGGGATCATAAGCTTGGATGTTTAATTCAAATTCTCTAGAAAATCCAACAGGGTCCTGAAGAGGATCAGGGAATTCTTTAATCATGCCCTTGAATTATACCTTTGACCATGGTTGGACATAGAATATTTCTGAAATTGAGCCAGAATAGCAGAAGGAGGAAGAGGAAGGAGAGGAAAGTCTAAGCAAGGATGTTCTGAAAATGGGGGATAAAGAGAAGGATGAGCAGACAAAGGAAAAGAAATTTCAGGAGTCTGTGTTCAATTCAGAAATTATTTTAGACAATTTTTTGTTTCTCTTACAAAGGAATGACTTTATCAGAACCTCTTTTAGAGGTTTCTAAGTACCACTGAAAATAGCTCTACCACTTGTGTTTTGTTTTGTTATTTTAGAGCGAACTTTTTCTAATTGAGCATGCAGATAAACTAGTTTATGTATTTCAAAGGTACACCATTCTGGCCACTGTAATTTGGAGTCATTGCAAGTTATGTGTGACCAATTTTCTAAACATTTGCATGAAGAGGTGCCGTAATTATTAAACATGAATTCAGCTGATGTTTCTAGATCTGGTAAAGGAGGAAGACTTAGTTTTAGATGCATGATTACCCATAATTTCTATTTTCCTCTTGAAGATCAAAAGACTTCATGGAAGCTTTTTGTACCAAGTCTGCTGACTGTGGGAATAGTTTCTCAAGGTGTCACTCTTGAGTTGGTTCTTCCTTTTTATGAATCTTAGTGGTCCTAAGTAACTTGGGTGCTTAAGGCACTAGGTGATCAGCCTTTATGCATGCCCACCAGATTATGCAAGCTTTCCTGTATGTTCTTCTCAAGGGATTTCCAGTAAGAATATTTCATGTCATGAGTGATAGTGATAACTTCCAACACTCCCATAAGATGTTTGTCACCTAAGATGCCTCTCAGCTGGAGGAACAGTGGCTCTTATATTTAGGACTTATTTTGACCTCACAGAGAGTCTTTTATAATTTTGGTCACTCAGGAAGAAAGTTTAGACTTGTCAATTGAATTCGGCTCCAGAATTTGGCCAGTTTTAAAGATTTACAAACTATGCTTAACCCACAAAGACTCATTTCCTTTTTTCAAAGAGAAACTGATTTCTCCTTGATTAAAATTTTGAATGAGAGAAAAAGTTATAGAAACATCAACAAGTAATTCAAAATGAAACTTTAACCTTAGAGAAAGTGAAGTTAAGATGAAAGTCACAAATCTTGATCAGTAGAATCTCTAGAGAATAACAAATGAAACACTTCTGCTTAGCAATACAGCTTCAATTCCAACACTGTTGAGGAAGTGTGTATAGCTGAAATAATGTCCAACTTCAATCACACCAGGAAGTTCAGATCCCAAAAGGGGCCTTCCTTTACACTTTCATCATGATTCCCCAAGAAACATCCTATCAGAACATCTATTCCAATTTCAAATTACCTTTACAGAAAATTTTCTTTGCATTAGTATTCATTTCAAAGTTGTTAGCCTTCCAGAAAATGTTTTCCAGACACCAAATTGAAATCTCTAGTGGTTTGTTAATAGTTATTTCCTCTTGTCCCAGCACATTAAGAAAGAACAACTAATCATCAATCTCATCTTAAGATAGTAAATGACTGACTAGTAATAAATGCACGGTTATTCTGCTTAAATCTTACATATATATATATATGCATACATATATGCATATATATTTGTATTTGTTATTCAAACCTTCAATATTATCAACTGCCTTCAAAAATCTTCCCCCTATAACCATCAAACATTGCTCTTACATTTAGAAAAGGAAATGACAAAGAAAAGATAATACTAAATGAAACCTGTGTAGGGAGGAATAAACAAACTCAGTTTCTCCCATTATACTCTCAAAACACTCTTCTGACACCAGATTCATGGGAATTTCTCCCCAATAGCAAACAAGCACTCAATTCTGCAGTGGACATCAGCTGGGTGTCTTCTAATTAAATACAGTTTTGACATGATCTACCTGGAGACAGTATCAGATCCTGCAGTTTGAGAGTTCGGTCCCACAAGACTGCCCCCATCCATTTCCTAGGCCCAATGCAGGCCCCAGGTTGTTTTACCTATACTTCTGACTGGCCAGCAATAGATCGTGATTCCCATGATCCCCTCCTTGGGATTATTAATTTGGTAGAGTGACACATAGAACTCAGGGAAACACTTATGTTTACTGGTTTATTACAAAGGATGTTACAAAGGATACAGATGAAGGAAAATATAGGGCAAGGCATGTGAGAAGAGGCATGTAGCATCCATGCCTTCTCTGGGCGAACCACCCACAGGAACCTCCACGTGTTCAGCTATCTGGAAGCTCTCTGAACTCAGTCCTTTTAGATTTTTATGAAAGTCTCATTATGTGGACATGATTGATTAAATACTTAGCTATTGATAATTAGCTCAATCTTGAGGCCCTCTTCTCTCCCTAGAGATTCAGGGATGGAGCAGAAAGTTTCAACCCTCTAATTATGTCTTGGTCTTTCCTGTGACTAACTCCCATCCTGCAGCTACCTAGGGGCTGCCACCCATCAGTTAACTCACTGGCACACAAAAAGACATCACTTTGGAGATTCCAAAGATTTTAAGAGTTGCATAATGGGGACAGACCAAATACATTATTTTACAATATCACAACACCTTAGAATATTAGACTTCATCATTAATGAACATTAGGATCTATTTTCCTAATTGTGACACTAATTATCATTGACTGAAAAATGACACAGAAACTATTATAAGAACATAACATTTAAAAGACTCTTTTCCAACATTACCTTCAATGGCTGAAATCATAGAATCTTGGAACTGGAAGGCACCTTAAAATTACACAACTCAATGTTTTATTGTTTGAATTACATGGACAAAGTGATTCTGTCAGTTTTTTCCAAGCTGACACAAAGAAAAGTGACAACCAGAAAGGAATGTCACACAAATAGCTTATTTTTGGAGAAGAGCTATCATGCCCTGGATAATCCTTTTAATGTTTGTCCCTGTCCAAGAGCAGAGAGAAAAAATTCAAACAAAAATTCACATTAGCTTGTGTTACTGTCAGAAGGATACCTTTATCCATCGATGCTTTAACCCTACTTGAAACTCAGAGTATTTGTATGGAATTTGCTTTTCTTTTTCCTCTTTGAAATAACAGGTCTCAAAGCAACAGCAGAAGAAAACCAAGGTGGGAACTGCAGAGAACATAGAAGATCATAGCACACACATTTTTGCTCATGCCTCATGGGCTTTTACAAATATTGCCTTGAAAGGTGCCTAAAAAAGCTTGAGAAATGAGAGAAACCATTTCAATTTTAAAGACATCAGGGAAGATTCCACATGCATTTCTAGCTTGCATTTTATAACTTACTTGATGATGATGATGATGATGAACTGAGTGCTTACTTTCTGCCAGACACCATCCCAAGTACTTTCCATTATTAACCCATTTGTGCTCCTAACACTTGTATCAGATAAATGATACATTTATTACCATTTTACAGAGAAGGAAACTTAAGCACAGGAAGGTTAGGAGCTTGTTTAGATTAAGTGATTCAAATGCTAGCTTACATAGACATTTTTTTCTGCAACATTTTTCTAATGTAAGCAGATAGCATATCTCTTCTGAGAAATTCTGTAACAGTGATATCATTGGTTTGATTCACTGGCTATTTATTTCTTTTTTTTTTTCCGTTGTTAAGTACCCATTTTGTAATCAAACAGCAGTTATTCTATGGACCAGAGACTTCAGCTAGTCTCTTCTCTCTCTAAGCAGACAGATATTTGCCTAAAATTAATTTCTTTTTAAAATAAACTTTATCTAAAACAATTTTAGATTTGTAGAAAAATTGCAAGGATTATACAGTGAGTTTCTACATACACTACACCCAGTTTCTCCTATTATTTACATATTAATACTAGTATAGTACATTTGATACAGTTAATGAACTGATACTGATATGTCATTACTAAAGTCTACACTTTATTCCAGCTTCTTTGTTACCTAATGTTCCGTTTATGTTCCAGCATTCCATCTATGATATCACATTGCATTTAATTATTATGTCTCCTTAGTCTATACTTGGTTAATAGTTTCAGGAAATTTGTTTTTGTTTTTGTTCATTCTTTGAGGACTTCTACATCAACAGTCATGTTATCTGTAAAGAAAGTTTTATTTATTCTTTCCCAATCTATATGCCTTTTATTTCCTTTCTTTGTCTTAATGACCTAGCTAGGAATTCCAGTATAATGATGTCTAAAAATGGTTATGGACATTCTTACTTCATTCCTAATCTTAGGAGGAAAATGTCAAGTTTCTCACCATTAAGTATTATATCAGTTGCAAATAATTTGTAGGCAATATTTGTCAAGTTAAGGATGCCAATCATATCAAGTTGATTGATGGTGCTTTTCAGGTTAACTGTAACCTCATTTTCGGCCTTCTTGATCTATCATTACTGAAAGAGGGGATGTTTATGTCTTCACTTATAATAGCAAAAATTGTTTTCCTTCGCAGTTGTATTAGTTTTTGCCTCACATATTTTTATTCGCTGTTGTTAGGTGCAAAAACATTTATAATTGTTATGGCTACTTGGAGAACCCACTCTTTTATGTAGTGCGCCTCTTTATCCATGAGCATTTTTTCTTGTTTTGAAGCCACTTTGTCTGAAATTAACATGGTTGTTCCAGCTCTCTTTTGATTAGTTTTAGCATAACATATCTTTCTCCACCCTTCATGTTTTTTTTTGAGATAAAATTTACATAGCATAAAATTAGCAATTTTAAAGTTATTTAAAGCAATTTAGTGGCATTTAGTCTATCAACAATGTTGTGCAACCAACACCTTTGTCTCATCCCTAAACATTTTCATAACCTAGAAGGAAACGCCATACCTAATATGCAGTTATTCCTCAATCATGTTTCCCTACAGCCTCTGGTAACCATGAATACGCTTTCTGTCTCTATGGATTTTCCTAGTCTGGACATTTCATATAAATGGAATCATAATATGTGGCCTCTTATGTCTGGCTTATTTCATTTAGCATAATGTTTTTGAGGTTCACCCTTGTTCTAATGTATATTTGTACTTTATTATTTGGATAGCTAAATAATATTTCATTATATCTATATACTTACAATTTGTTTATCCATTCATTCATTGATGGACAATAAAGTTGTTTCTACCTTTTGGCTAAGGTGAATAGTGGTGCTACACACTTTCACTATTAACCCGAATCTTTATATTTAACATAGGTCTCTTCTAGACAGCTGTTTTTAGGTGTTCTTTTTTTAATCCATTCTGACAATTTCCATCTTTTAATTGGTGAATTTAGACTATTCACATTTAAAGTGATTATTGATATATTTGGATTGTTTGTAACCATTTCTTATTCATTGCATTTGTTCCTTATTTCTTTTTCCCTCTTGTCTGCTTTATGGTTTTAATTAAGCATATGTTTATTATTTTATTTTAAATCCCATCTTATCCTATCAACTTCACATTTTTACAACAAATTTTTAGTGGTTGTCTAGAGTTCACAATATACATTTTTTAGTAATCTATGTCTACCCCCAAATTATGCTATACCATTTCGCACATAATGCAACTATCTTGTAACAGCAAATTTCCACTTCCTCAATCCTTTCCCTTAAGTCATTGCTCCCATTTATTTTAGTCATCCATCTCCTATAATCACCCATTACATTGTTATTATTTTTTGCTTTCAACCAACAGTCATCTTTTAGATCAATTATGAATAAGAAAAATAGAAGATTTTAGTTTACCTTTCTTTATTCTTTCTATGATGTTCTCTCTTTCTCGATGTACATCCAAATTTCTGATCTATATCTCTTTCCTTCTCCCTAAAGAATTTATTTTAGATATACAATCATGTCGTCTGCAAACAGGGACAATTTGACTTCCTCTTTTCCTAATTGAATACCCTTTATTTCATTCTCCTGCCTAAGTGCCCTGGCCAGAACTTCCAACACTATGTTGAATAGGAGTGGTGAGAGACGGCATCCCTGTCTTGTGCCAGTTTTCAAAGGGAATGCTTCCAGTTTTTGCCCATTCAGTATGATATTGGCTGTGGGTTTGTCATAGATAGCTCTTATTATTTTGAGATATGTCCCATCAATACCTAATTTATTGAGAGTTTTTAGCATGAAGAGTTGTTGAATTTTGTCAAAGGCCTTTTCTGCATCTATTGAGATAATCATGTGGTTTTTGTCTTTGGTTCTGTTTATATGCTGGATTACATTTATTGATTTGCGTATATTGAACCAGCCTTGCATCCCAGGGATGAAGCCCACTTGATCATGGTGGATAAGCTTTTTGATGTGCTGCTGGATTCAGTTTGCCAGTTTTTTATTGAGGATTTTTGCATCAATGTTCATCTAGGATATTGGTCTAAAATTCTCTTTTTTGGTTGTGTCTCTGCCCGGCTTTGGTATCAGAATGATGCTGGCCTCCTAAAATGAGTTAGGGAGGATTCCTTCTTTTTCTGTTGATTGGAATAGTTTCAGAAGGAATGGTACCAGTTCCTCCTTGTACCTCTGGTAGAATTCGGCTGTGAATCCATCTGGTCCTGGACTCCTTTTGGTTGGTAAGCTATTGATTATTGCCACAATTTCAGATCCTGTTATTGGTCTATTCAGAGATTCAACTTCTTCCTGGTTTAAAAAAAAAAAAGAACTTATTTTAAGATTTCCTGCAGGGCAAGTGTAATGGCAATAAATTCTCTCAGTGTTTGTATATTTCAGAAAGTATTTCTCCTTCAGTTTAAACAAATAATTTGGCTTAATATAAAATTCTAGGTTAGTGACTAATTTTTCAACACTTCAAAATTTCACTCCCCTGTCTTCTTACTTGCATAATTTCGGAAGAGATGTTCACTGCACTTCTAATCCTTATTTCTCTATGGATAAGTTCCTTTTTTCTCTCTCTCTTCTGGCTCCTTTGTTTTTAGCATTCTGCTATTTGAATATGATATGCTTAGGTGTAGATTTTTGGGTATTTATTCCATTTGGTGTTTTCTGAGCTTGCTGGATCTGGTGGTTTGTTATCTCTCATTAGTTTTGGTAAACTCCTGGCTATTATTACTTCAAATATTTCTTTTTCTCTGTTCCCTCTTTTTTTTCATGTTGTAGACCAACTATGCATGTTTGATAATTTTTGAGGTTGTCCCACATTTCTTGGCCATTTTGTTGTGGTATTATTATTATCATTTCTTTTGCATCTCTTTGCACTTGATTTTGGAAAGTTTCTATTTGCCTATCTTCAAGCTCACTGATTCTTTCCCTGGCTATTTCCAATATAATCATGAACTCATCAAAGTTATTCTTCACTTCTGTTCCAGTGTTTTTGATTTCTAGCATTTCTTTTTTATTTTTCTTAGTTTCCACTTCTCTGCTTATATTACCTATCTGTTCTTTGATGTTGTCTACTTTTTCAAAGTTCCCTTTTTGGGCTTCTCTTTCTTCATTACTCTCTTTCCCTTGGTGAACTTACCAACTCTTATGGTTTTGTCACAAGAAAGCCGATGAACCCAGATTTTTATTTGTAGCCCTATTTTTTAAAAATCCATATCCACATATCTTATAAACTTTTATAGACTCTAACATAAATGGTCCAGCATTATCTAAAATGAACATATCCAAAATATAATCTCATGTCACTTCCATCACACTTCCATCCCCAATTTCCCTTGTTCTACTTCTGTTAATGTGACCATCATTAAGCAAGAAAAAAGATCTTAAATTGATCTTTGATTTATTTCTTAACCTCAAAATCTACTAAATAATTTATTAGATTTCTTTATTGTTATGGTTATTTCCTCCTTCCCAATTTTACTTGCAAGCTCAAGTTCAGGCTATCATTAGGTTTTACCTTGGCTTTTACAATTACCTTCTCATTGTCTGGTGATCCCCCATTTTTCTCTTCAAACAATGAATAGATTTATTTTTCAAATTGCCACTCTGATCATATTATTACATGTTATTAGCTATTTTAAAATCCACCAATAAGTCCCTGTTGGATACGAGAGTAAATGTGGCTTCCTGTGGAACTTGGCGTCCTTCACAATGTGATTAACCCCATCTTTCTAGTCGTTCCTTCTTTCAGTGTTCACATTCCCACAGTTCATCCAAAGTGAACTGCTGTAGATTCTGCCCTAATTCCCAGCCTGTGTGTTCGTTTTGTTCTATTTTTCAAGGATGATTTTGGTTTTTTGAATCTTTTTTCTTTCTCAACATTCATATCACATTTTATTATTATGTTTTTTAAATTTTACTTTAAGTTCCGGGACACATGTGCAGAAAGTGCAGGTTTGTTACATAGGTATATGTGTGCCATGGTGATTTGCTGCACCTATTGACCCATTATATAAGTTTTCAACACTCCCCCACCACCCGCCAACAGGCCCTGGTGTGTGTTGTTCCCCTCCCTGTGTCCATGTGTTCTCATTGTTCAACTCCCAACTATGAGTGAGAACATGCAGTGTTTGGTTTTCTGTTCATGTGTTAGTTTGCTGAGGATGATTTCTTCCAGCTTCATCAATGTCCCTGTGAAGGACATTATCTCATTCCTTCGTATGCAGTATTTAACCAATATTGCATAGTATTCCATGCTGTATATGTACCACAATTTCTTTATCCAGTCTATCATCGATGGGCATTTAGGTTGGTTCCATGTGTTTACTATTGTAAATAGTGCTGCAATAAGCATACATGTGCATGTGTCTTTATAGTAGAATAATTTATATTCCTTCGGATTTATACCCAGTAATTGAATTGCTGGGTTAAATGGTATTTCTTGTTCTAGATCCTTGATGAATCGCCACACTGTCTTCCATAATGGTTGAACTAATTTACATTCCCACAAACAGTGTAAAAGTGTTCCTATACAGCCTTGCCACCATCTATTGTATCCTGACATTTTAATAATTGCCATTCTGACTGGTGTGAGATATCTCATTGTGGTTTGGATTTGCATTTCTCTGATGATCAGTAATGCTGAGCTTTTATCATATGCTTGTTGGCCATGTAAATGTCTTCTTTTGAGAAGTGTCTGTTCATATCCTTCGCCCACTTTTTGATGGGGTTGTTTTTATTTTCTTGTAAATATGTTTAAGTTCCTCATAAATTCTAGATATTAGACCTTATTAGATGGGCAGATTGCAAAACTTTTCTCCCATTCTGTAGGTTGCCTGTTCACTCTGATGATAGTTACTTTTGCTGTGCAGAAGCTCTTTGGTTTAATTCGATCCCATTTGTCAATTTTGGATTTTGTTTTGATTGTTTTTGCCATTTTTGTCATGAAGCCCTTGTCCACGCCTATGTCCTGAAATTGCCTAGATTATCTTCTAGGGTTTTTATGGTTTTAGGTTTCACATTTAAGTCTTTAACGTTCTTGAGTTAATTTTTGTATAAGTGGAAGGAAGGGGTCCAGTTTCAGTTTTCTGTATATGACTAGCCAGTTTTCCCAGGACCATTTATGGAATAGGAAATCCTTTCCCCATTGCTTGTTTTTGTTAGGTTTGTCAAAGATCAGATGGTTGTAGATGTGTGGTGTTATTTCTGAGGTCTCTGTTCTGTTCCATTTTTCTATATGTCTGTTTTGATACAAGTATCATGCTGTTTTGGTTACTGTAGACTTGCAGTATAATTTGAAGTCAGGTACCGTGATTCCTCCAGCTTTGTTGTTTTTGCTTAGCACTGTCTTGCTATATGGGGACTTATTTGATTCCATATGAAAATTAAAGTAGATTTTTCTAATTCTGTGAAGAATGTCAAGGGTAGTTTGATGGGAATAGCACTGAATCTATAAATTACACTGGGCAGTATGGCCATTTTCACAATATTGATTTTTCCTATCCATGAGGATGGAATGTTTTTCCATTTGTTTGTGTCCTCTCTTATTTCCTTGAGCAGTGGTTTGTAGTTCTCCTTGAAGAGATCCTTCATGTCCCTTGTTAGCTGTATTCCTCGGTGTTTTATTCTCTTCATAGCAATTGTGAATAGGAGTTCATTCAGATTTGGTGCTCTGCCTGTCTATTGCTGGTGTATGGGAATGTTTGTGACTTTTGCACATTGATTCTGTAGCCTGAGACTTTGCTGAAGTTGCTTATCAACTTAAGGAGTTTTGGGGCTGAGATGATGGGGTTTTCTAAATATAGCATCATGTTGTCTGCAAACAGAGACAATTTGACTTCCAGTCTTCCTATTTGAATACCCTTTATTTCTTTCTCTTGCCTGATTGCCCCGGCCAGAACTTCCAATACTATGTTGAATAGGAGTGGTGAGAGAGGGCATCCTTGTCTTGTATTGGTTTTCAAAGGGAATGCTTCCAGCTTTTGCCCATTCAGTATGATATTGGCTGTGGTTTTGTCATAAATAGCTCTTATTATTTTGAGATATGTCCCATCAACCCTACTTTAATGAGAGTTTTTAACATGAAGTGATGTTTAATTTTATCAAAGGCTTTTTCTGCATCTATTGAGATAATCATGTGTTTTTTTGTCATTGGTTCTTGTATGTGACAGATTACGTTTATTGATGTGTATATTTTGAGCCAGCCTTGCATCCCAGGGATGAAGTTGACTTGATTGAGATGGATAAGTTTTTTGATGTGCTCCTGGATTCAGTTTGTTAGTATTTTATTGAGGATTTTTGCATAGATGTTCATCAGGGATATTGGCCTGAAATTTTCTTTTTTTGTTGTGTCTCTGCAAGGTTTTGTTATCAGGATGACGCTGACTTCATAAAATGAGTTAGAGAGGATTCCCTCCTTTGCAATTGTTTGGAATAGTTTCAAAAGGAATGGTACCAGCTCCTCTTTGTACCTCTGGTGGAATTCAGCTGTGAGTTCATCTGGTCCTGGGCTTTTTTTGGTTGGTAGGCTGTTAATTACTGCCTCGATTTTAGAACTGTTTATTGATCTTTTCAGGGATTTGACTTCTTCTTTGTTCAGTCTTGGGAGAGTGCATGTATCCAGGAATTTATCCATTTCTTCTAGATTTTCTTGCTTATTTGTGTGAGGCATTTATAATATTCTCTGATGGTAGTTTGTATTTCTATGGGGTCAATGGTGATATCCCCTTTTTCTTTTTTTATTGTGTCTATTTGATTCTTCTCTCTTTTATTCTTTGTTAGTCTAGGTAGCAGTCTATCTATTTTGTTAATTTTTTCAAAAAACCAGCTCTTGGGTTTACTGATTTTTTTGGAGGGTTTTTTTGTGTCTCCATCTCCTTCAATTCTGCTCTTATCTTAGTTATTTCTTGTCTTCTGATAGCTTTTGGATTAGTTTGCTCTTGCATCTCTAGCTCTTTTAATTGTGATGTTAGGGTGTTGATTTGAGATCTTTCTAGCTTTCTAGTGTGGGCAATTGGTGCTCTAAATTTCCGTCCTGACACTGTTTTAGCTGTGTCCTAGGGATTCTGATACATTGTCTCTTTGTTATTGTTGGTTTCAAAAAAGTCTTGATTTGTGCCTTAATTTCATTATTTATCCAGGAGTCATTCAGGAGCGGGTTGTTCGATTTCCATGTAATTGTGTGGTTTTGAGTGAGCTTCTTAAATAGTTCTAATTTGATTGCACTGTGGTCTGAGAGACTGTGTTATGATTTTACTTCTTTTGCATTTGCTAAGGAGTGTTTTACGTCCAACTATGTGGTTGATTTTAGAAAAAGCGCCATGTGGCACTGAGAAGAATGTGTATTCTGTTGATTTGGAGTGGAGGGTTCTGTAGATGTCTATTAAGTTCACTTGATCCAGAGCTGAGTTGAAGTCCTAAATATCCTTGTTAATTTTCTGTCTTGTTGATCTGTCTATATTGACAATGGGGTGTTAAAGTCTCACACTATTATTGTGTGGGAGTCTAGGTCTTTTCATAGGTATCTTAGAACTTGTCTTATGAATTTGGGTCCTCCTATATTGGGTGCATATATATTTAGGATAGTTAGCTCTTCTTGTTGAATTGATCCCTTTACCATTATGTAATGCCCTTCTTTGTCTTTTTTGATCTTTGTATGTTTAAAGTCTGTTTTATTAGAGCCTAGGAGTGCAACTCCTGCTGTTTTTTGCTTTCCATTTGCTTGGTAAATTTTCTTCCATCCTTTTATTTTGAGCCTCTGTGTGTCTTTGCATGTGGGATGGGTCTCCTGAATACAGCACACCAATGGGTCTTGACTTGTTATCCAAATTGCCAGTCTGTGTCTTTTAATTGGAGCATTTAGCCCATTTACATTTAAGGTTAGTGTTGTTATGTGTCATCATGATGCTATCTGGTCATTTTGCACACTACTTGATACCATTTCTTCATAGTGTCACTGGTCTTTATATTTTGGTGTGCTTTGTAGTGGCTGGTACCAGCTTTTCCTTTTCATATTTAGTGCTTCCTTTAGGAGCTCTTGCAAGGCAGGCCTCAAGTTGACAAAATCCCTCAGCATTTGCTTGTCTGGAAAGGATTTTATTTCTCCTTCACTTATGAAGCTTAGTTTGGCTGGATATGAAATTCTGGGTTGAAAATTCTTTTCTTTAAGAATGTTGAATATTGGCCTCCAGTCTCTTCTGGCTTACAGGGTTTCTGCTGAGAGGTCTGCTGTTGTTCTGATGGATGATGCTTTGTAGGTGACCTGCCCCTTCTCTCTGGCTGCCCTTCACATTTTTTCCTTCATTTCAACTTTGGAGAATCTGATGATTATGTCTTGGGGTTGATCTTCTTGTGGAGTATCTTAGTGGTATTCTCTGTATTTCCTGAATTTGCATGTTGGCCTGTCTTTCTAGGTTAAGGAAGTTCTCCCAGATAATATCCTGAAGTGTGTTTTCCAGCTTGTTTCCATTCTCCTCATCTCCTTCAGGTACTCCAATCAACCATAGGTTCTATCTTTTTATGTAGTTTCATATTTTTTGGAGGTTTTGTTCATTTCTTTTCACTTTGTTTTCTCATTTCATTTTCTTTTCATTTTGTTTCTTTTCATTTTCTTGTCTGCGTGATTTATTTCAGCAAGGTGGTCTTCAAACTCTGATATTTCTTTCTTCCACTTGGTTGATTCAGCTATTGATACTTGTGCATGCTTCATGAGGTTCACCTAATATGTTTTTCAGCACCATCAGGTCATTTATATTTCTATCTAAACTGGTTATTCTAGTTAGCATCTCCTCTAACCTTTTATCATGGTTCTTAGCTTCTTTGCATTTGGTTACAACATACAACATGCTCATTTAGCTCAGCAGAGTTTTTTATTACCCATCTTCTGAAGCCTACTTCTGTCAATTTGTCCATCTCATCCTCTGTCCAGTTCTGCACTCTTGCTGGAGAGGCATTGTGATTATTTGGAGGAGAGGCACTCTGGCCTTTTGGATTTTCAGTGTTTTTTAATTGATACTTTCTCATCTTCATGAGTTTGTCTAGTTTCCATCTTTGAGGCTACTGACCCTTGAATGGTGGGGTCAGTATTGTGGGGACTTTTTTGTTGTTGATGCTGTTGTTGTTGCTTTCTGTTTGTTTTTCTTTCAATGGTCAGATTCCTCTTCTGTAGGGCTGCTGTGGTTTGTTGGGAGTTCACTTCAGGCCCTATTCACCTGGTTCACTGCCATGCCTGGTCACTCAAGGAGGCTGGAGAATAGCAAAGATGGGTGCCTGCTCCTTCTTTTGGGATCTCTGACCTCAAGGGGCACCAACCTGACGCTAGTATGATCGCTGCTGTATAGGGTGTCTGGCAACCCCTGTTGGAGTGTCTCACTCAGTTGGGTGGCATGGAAAACAGGACCTGTTTAATGAAGAACTTTCACTGTCCCTTTGTGGAGGTGGTGTGCTTCTCTGGGGGAAAACCCACTCGTCTGGGCTGCCTGGATACCTCAGAACATCTGCTGGTCTGCAGAGACTCTGGCTACCCCTCCCTCTAGAGGCTCAGGACCAGGGAGATCAGGGTTCTGTCTCTGCACCCCTGGGTGGAGTTGTTGGAGTTCTTGTAGGGAGGCCCTGCCCAGTGAGAAAGGGAACAGTCAGGATCAGACCTGAAGAGGAACTCCAGTTACAGACTGCCATAGCTGGTGTGTTGGGCTGTGGGGGACACCTCTTGGGACTAAGCTGTCCAGACCCCCTGGCTCCAGCAGGAAAAAAGTACAGCCTGGAGGTATAGAGATGGCTGCTGCCCTTCCCATGTCCAGGGAGCTTAGCGTGTTAGGTAGTTATCAGTCCCAGTGCTGACTGCTCCCTCACCCCCAAGGAGCTCAAAAGGCTTAGATGCAGGCAGCTGCAGCTGTGGTGCTGGTTGCTTCTCCCCTGGGAACTCAGCAGGCTTAAGCAGATTCTAGCTGAGAGGCTGTTGAGAACCTGTGTGGCTCCAGGGTTGGGACCCTAGGTCCCAGTGGCGTGGGTTCATGAATGGGATCTTCTGATCCGTGGGTTGCACAGTTCCCAGGTTGGGTACCATGTTCACTCACTGCTTCCCTTCGCTAGGGGTAGGGGCTCCCCTGCCCTGTGTGGCTCTCAGGTGGGCCCCCACACCACACTGCTCTTCCTTCCTCTCTGTGGATCACACCAGCCACCTAGTCAGTTCTGATGAGAGAACCTGGATACCTTGGTTGCTGGTGCAGGTTTCACACACTATTATGGTTCTTTTCAATGGGAGCCTCTGATCACCACTGCTTCTAGTTGGCCATATTAGCCCCGCCCCTCTGTATCACATTTTAAATGAACTATTTCTTTACTTTTTATCCTTTTACTTTTATCCTCAGATTGAAGAGAATCCTATTTCTCTGAACCTCTATAAAAATAATTGTAAGTCTGAAGTTGTCATTTTATTTCTTGTTTTAGTTACATATTTCACTTTATCTTTACCTTCCTCAGCCACTGTTTGCAAGCTCTTAAGAACAGAGACAAAGGAATATTCATCCTTATATTAAGTTCTCAGTACACTTCATAGCACTTAATAGTTATTTAATATGGGTACATTTCAAGTAAACAAATATACATTTTACCCTCTTTTTTGTCTCAGCTATATAGAATGTACATTTAGTATAATAAAGAAAGAAAGAGGCTCTAAAAGTGAAATATTTGTTCTAGTTTCACCTAAGAAAACCAGAGTTTGACAGCTTCACAAAGAATTAAATAACAAGTCCTGATCATGAGGACCATCTAAAAAGAGCAGGTGATGGCTGGGTATCAAAACCTCCAGGGTCGTAGCAGCTAGCAAATTCATGTAGACATTGTATGCCTAATGGTAGGTCTTAATATCATAGCTTCAATTGATAATTACATATACTAAGGTTGCTCAAAGTTTATTGTTTACTTCAAGACTAGCACTGCCAGTTATGAATCAAATGTATTAAGAAATATTTTCTCTTGGTGTTTCATAATGAGAAAGTGTCTTCATGCCAATAAACTTCTCATGTGATTGATGTTGGAATGCAGAGCTCTGATGGCCTTAGGAACTGCTACTGCCAAGGCCCATACATCTTGGAAAATCACTGATGCCTGAAATGTAGCTTAAAAGTGGAAAAATAAAGAGGTAAATGAAGTAGACCACAGTAAGGTAGTACTCCAGGGCCAAACTGTGACTTTGAGGAGATCAAAGTGTCTTCTAGCCTCCTGCCAAACATCAGTGCTTGCGTCCACCTTATTTTTGGACTTTTCAACTGAAATGTCTGAGAGCTATCTTAAGTTTGAAATTTTCTACTGTCGAAGAAAAAAATGTGAAGGCCAGGATTTGGGGTTTATTCTTCTTTTGTCTTGTATTTACATTCATGGTATTACTCAGACCCCAAGATTATAGCTCATCCATTAAAAATGAATAATTTAGTGATAAAAAATTTTTATATTTTCTTTTGTTTTTGTTTTTTTTTGAATCATTTTGTAATCAGTCATATTTGAACACTGATGTGAAAGAAGAAACTTTTGTTCCCCATAACTTCAACCTAGGTGAGAAAAACACTGTGCTTTTTCCCATACCATTTTATTAAATTTATGAGATCCTTTTCATTTCTGCTTTTATTCTTTGTTTTTTTTGTTGTTGTTGTTGTCTTCACTTATACAATTGTCCATGAATCTAAATAAATTTTTGTGCCACCTACATATAAAGATGAATTAGGTTTTTAGCCCATAAGAAAATTATAATCTAAAGAAAAAAGTCACATAAAGAAACAAATACAATAATATTAAGTTATGGGTACTCTGGTCTAAGTAATTACTGAATACAGAGAAGTTCCAAAGAAGGTACTGATCAGTTTTACCTGGGTTGGTGTCAAAAAGTCTTTACAGAGAGAGTAACACATGAGTCTTACATGTTGAACACATGTTTGTAAGCAGGCTAATAGATAAAGGTCATTCTGGGTTCAGGGTGAAACATGATTGATAGCTTGGCAGTGTCCACGTGGTACATCAAGGTCATCACCCATCACAATGTATGACGAGAGTACAGGGGACTAGGACTGTGGCAGTGGATAAGTCTAGGTTACTCATGTAGGATGAGTTTCTTGGCATTATACTTAAAAGCAAATCTTTCTCTTCTCTTTGTCTTCAACTCTCTCTAGTTTTTTTTTTTTAATTCCCATGCTAGTGCTATGAAATGTGTTCTCTATCAATTAATTCTCTAGCTTGCCCAACACATTTTTAAATTTTTGCTTCTTAACCCTTACTTGCTCTGATCCTGTCATCTAAGGCTTGCTTTGTTTTGTAATTGTTTGTTCCCAAGCATCTTTAGATAATATATGAAGTTACAAAGGAGATTTTAAAATTCATACACTGGAACCACATTATCAGGAACAAATTAGCATTGTCAATATATTAGTTGAAGTTAGGGAGAGGAGCAAGTGTCAATGTCTGAAATTATCATCTCCAAATATAAAGGAAATAAAGTTTACATCTACTTGCTTATCTATTACTATATTCCCAAAAAATGACTAAATGGGTTTTCATCAAATTTGCCCTGATCTAAAATGTAAAATACTAGATGTCAAGTATCAATCACGGGATAGGGGGAGGAGTGACAAAGAAGTAGACTTTCTTTTTTTTAATCACTGAAATAAGGTTTAATGAGAAGCCCATCTGGTTTAGTAAGGAGAAACATGCCATGTTGTTAAAACAAAGTACACAGAGAAAACAAACAGAGCTTCAAGTCACAAATCTTGAGAGAAAATGCTTTGAATTCCAAACAGTGATTTTTCAATTAAACTATTTCTCACATGGGAAACTCCAATTAATTGCTCCAAAGTGAGTTGAATACAAATGCATTTTACTTACTTATGTACGCTTCCTTGACCATCTGTCTGTCAAAGGCTATGATTCTCCCAATGGACAAAAGATTGGCTAGAATTTCTATTATTTATTTAACATCTACCAGGATGTTTCAGGCATAGTCTGTAGGCCCTGTACTTACATAGTGGCTTTTTCCTCTAGCTATTCCTACAGACCTGTGCATTAGGTTATATCATTGCCATTTTATAATTTACACGACAAGACTCAAAAAATAAACATTGTAGCCTAAGTCACATCAGAGGGTTCACAAGCAGATTTGGTATCTTGCTCGAAACCCCACACCTATAGCACATGGATTCTAGTTAATAAACTAGATAGAGCTCTGTTTAGAAGAAAGTTGAAGCATAGCATTATTTACACATATTAGAAGCAATCCATTCTGACTCTGGAAGACAAAGTCTTAGAAAATAGGACTTTGATTCTGGCACTAGGAGTTAGTTAGCCTGTAGCTAGCAGTTGCATTTATAGACACAAGAGCCTCTGAGTCAGCAGAGGTCCACTGATATTCATGTGCCTCTGCATATAAGATGTCCACAATTTGAGAAGAATTGGAGAGTGAACTATTCTTAGGAGAAGTTTTGTTTTCCCACTCTTGTCCCTCACCTGCTGTGTAATCAACTTAATCCAATATTCCCTCAGCCATCCTGTTAAACTAAAATTAAAAGCAATATTCATGGCCATCTAAAGAATTTCTAAAGGATTTTGACATACTCTAATGTAATGTATAATATAATCACCTAAAGCTATAGTTCTTTATATTAGGCATCTCAAAAAAATATCCTGGCAGTGTTATAGCTTCTGGTCTCTAATATATTTTTCAAATACAATATATTTATTTCTCAGAACAGTCAACTCAATGTTCTTCTCCAGGGAAAATAATTCAGTCGGAACCCCAAGCCTTTATAGTGTAGCACTCCATAAACAAGTGGTATTACTGAGAAAATAATTGTTTCACTAGATAACTCTTTAAAAATAAAAGCTGCCACAACACCCAATTTGAGTAGAATATAATACACTATTACAGAAATAACTAATTTAAGTATAGAATAAACAATAGTACCTTATTTCCAAAATTACAGTTTACATAAAGCTTTCTCAGAATTCATAATTCTATGTTTATTTTAGAGGCTAGCTAAAGTGATATCAAATAATAAATGAAAGTATAACTTCAGATTTTAATCTTAGAAGTCACAGTGAAAAGTGGAGTGGGCTTCCTTTTTATTATACCTTGTGTGTTGAGGGGTCCCCCAGACCATCCTGGGTCTGATGATCTACTAGGAGGACTCACGGGACGCAGTTATAGTTGTACTCATAACTGTGATTTATTACAGCAAAAGGATACAAGGTACAATCAGCAAAGGATAAAGCCACATGGGGCCAAGTGTGGGGAAAACCAGGTACAAGCTTCCAAGAGTCCTTTCCCAGTAAACTAATGTACTATGCACTTAATTTCTCCAGCAATACACGAAATGTCATCTACTAGGGAAGGTCATTAGAGACTGAGGGCCCAAAGCTTTTATCGGGGGCTAGTCACATAGGCACTCTCTGCCTGGCATGTAGCAAAATTCTAGACTCCCAGAAGGAAGCAGTTGTTCGGCCTGAACCACATTATTTGTATAAGCATTTTGTAGACAGTGAGTAACTCACCAGTTCTGGGGATGGTAGGAGCCTTCTCCAAATCCGAGGTCCCAGACATCTGCTAATGGCAAGCTTTGCGAACAGGTCTAATGCTCGCTGTCCTAAGAACTGCAGTCTCAGGCCTACTATGTTAACTCCTTTTGCATACTTGGCTAGCTTGAAAGTCAAACCACTTCTAGCCCTTGTGGCTCATTCACTTGCCCAAACAGATCCTAGACAGATAGACTGAAAATCATAAGGAAAAAGATGAGAAGAAAAGCAGGCTCATTAAAGCAACATCTTGTGAGGATTAATGAGCTATTCCCCCAGGGAGAGGCTCAAGCCTCCACTAAGAGACTGCAATTTCACAAGGCATGTGATGCTGTACCTGATGATGAGAGCTTAAAAGTGAGGGGTACTGACCTTTCTCAAGTGCATTTGCTCTCAGAAATAATAATTAATAATGAAAGATTCAAATCACAGTGCTGACATCATTTGGCATGAAATTACCCTTCTCCTTATCAAAACCTGAGCGATAGTCTTTTTTTCTTTTCTTTTTTTTTTTTTTTTTTTTCCTTTTTTAAATTCCTCAGGAGGAACACTAGGCACCTTCACCGCCTGGTTTTACTGTTCCCCAGCAGCTCAAGCTCTAAGATCAGCAAGGGTAAATTCCAATTGGCCGACCTCACACTATGGCACAGGGATAATAGGAACTAATTTAGTTCTTCATGATATGATAATGCTCCTTCTCAAGGGGTATGAAATGGAAGTGAGCTCCTTTGTGGAATACCAAGAAGGAGGAAATCATGGAACTGGAAAATAAGTTTGGCTTTTCGAGGCTAAATTTTGCTCCTTTTCTGTAAACCCTAAAACTGTATTTGCATAAGGCTTGGATTAAGAGTCAGCAGGAAAAAAGTAAAGGAAAAAGAATGCCTGCAATTACCACTGTGACAGTTCTCCGTTTTCCCCTGGGGACCAGGGTATAAGAAGAAAGAAATAGATGACAATTTGCTAATTGTTCTGAAGTGTTTTAGACAGGTCTGATTTTATGCTAAGGAACACAATTAAATTCTCTGAAATACCCTCTCCAACATAAGAACTTCTCCCCAGGGAGCAGAGGAAACCAGAAGAAAGATTTAAGGGTGAGTTTCTGCAAATTGTTCCTACAATCTCCATTCTTACCTCATAGGTTTTGAAAAAAAATAAATGAAGATAATTTGGGGAAAAATTAAAACATGCATCCATAAATGGCCTCTCAAGTGCTTTATAAAGACTTTCCCCTTGCTGTTTTAGATAAGATTCTGATTTATATTCGAAGTATCCTACTGTCTTTGTCTTTCATCACAAGCAATAAAAAGATAAAAGCCATCTTTTATAGAGCTCTCCCACAATTTCAGATTTTCATATTCCTACGTATTCATCAAAAATCTAAAATATTTTTTAAAATTGTTCATTAAATAACATTGGAGGGATTTTATGTTTATATTATTTTGTGATTTTTAAAGATGGAATTCCTGAAAGAACCATCATCCTGACAAACCCTCATGTGAGTCCCTTTCATTTCAGGCTGCAAGCCGTTTTCCTTCAGAGCCTGACACCTCTGTTGATGCCATCCCTTAGACTTATGTCTGTGTTCTTCATGATCTCTTTCCTCCAAAAGGAATATTTCATTTCTGGTGACTGCCCTAAATACATTTTAAATGTAAAGCATTTCCACTTAAAAAAAAAAGATGGACTTGGCTAAATTTTTATGAAGACATTATAAAACAGGATTTTGAATTTGATTAAATATTTGTATTTATTATTATCATAATTCTTGCTGTAAACTCATAAAGTAAAGCTTGAAATGTGGTGGAAACTAGATGCAGGTCACTTCATATTAATTTGTGCTGTGGTAACATGTGTACAAAACTAAGCAACTTAGACAGCCCTTGCCTTAGAGAAGCTAAACAAAGGATATTGAAAAACCAAGAGAGACAGCTGGGTGACAGCACAAACTAAAGCATTATGTACAGACTTTGACCAGACATGAACTTAAGCCTGGATCAGATTCTATCTATAAAACTTTAGGTTGAAAATACTTACAAGGTGCCAGCTCTCCAGACATTTACCTAACATTATTTTACCTGCCATGCTTCCCACTGGAGATATAAGGATGAGATTGCATTTTATACCTTGTCCAAATGTAAGACCATTGTGGAATTCTCAAACCTACTTCCTTATTCTGTATTGGCAGATTATTACATTTTTCTCCTCTCAGAAATGGAAATCAAGAAGACATACCGATAAGTTGTCACATGGTATAGAAAAATGTTTTAATGTAAAACAAAAAGTGAATTTTGGGGCCGGGCATGGTGGCTCATGCCTGTAATCCCAGCACTTTGGGAAGCTGTGGCAGATGGATCACCTGAGGTTGGGAGTTCAAGACCAGCCTGATCAACATGGAGAAACCCTGTCTCTACTAAAAATACAAAATTAGCTGGGCGTGGTAGGGCATGCCTGTAGTCCCAGCTACTCGGGAGGCTGAGGCAGGATAATTGCTTGAAGCCGGGAGGCGGAGGTTGCAGTGAGCCAAGATTGTGCCATTGTACTCCAGCCTGGGCAACAGAAGAAAAACTCTATCTCAAAAAAAAAAAAGTGAATTTTTGGGGGACTAGTCAACACATCCTGGCTAGAAAATAGTTATAAGTTTTCATTGTATCACTTTTCTTAAGAACGATAAAGAAGGTATTCCAGTAGTAATTAGATTACTTCTTCTCCTGACCCTTGAGCAATTATCCTTTCTTTGATTAATTTTTAGGAAGAAATAAACCAGTGAGGGTTGACCCCTGAATCCTACTGCCACCATACAGTATTTCCATAAGAGTATAACCTAGTTAAGTGAGGAACTATTTCAAACTGGAATGAAAGAAGGACTACAGGAAGGATTGCAGTTACAGCTGACCAAATAACTTGTGGAGCTCAGTGAAAAATGGAAATTCAGTTTCCCTTGTTCAAAAATTGTTAAGAGGTATGAGATAGTGACAGCAGAGAATTAAAAAAAAAAAAGAAAAAAAAAGAAAGCTTGGGACTCTTCTGAGTGTGGGTCCTTGTGTGACTGTAGAGGTTGCAGACCCATGAAGCTGGCCCAGGTTACAGTATCAGACATGTGTAGCTGGAACCAATCATCTTTCTACCCCAGCCGAGGACCTATGGTAGGATCTGATTCTGCATACCAAATTTCCTTCTCCTCTTACAGAGGTCTCCTTTTCAGGGTCCTCTCTAGGTTCCTCTGTGACCTGTTTGTTATTGGATATGTATGCCACTCAACCAAACACTTACAATATGTCTGTATATTTAAAACCAAATGTAAAACAAAATCCAGATTATTTTCCAATTATAGGAGCCTCTCTACCTTCTATGTATCCAAGAATGGAAGTGGGCATACAGGGAAATGGGCAATAGTCAGCCATATAACAGGGCCACTGAAGACCTAATGCGGGATACATTGGAAAATGAAAGCCACTGTCTGACTCATCAGCCAACACCCTCATCCCTTTGCACCTCCCTAAATATGCCATACAAGGAGACTTAATACATATTTAGCATCTTTACAGCAAACTTGCTTCTTAGACCCAGCAGTCCGATAAGTTTGGATGCAATGAATAAAACAAATATTGCATTGCCTGTTTTTCTGTGTCCTTATGCCAAGGAGATGTGCTTCAGCCCCAGTGTTTTCATTCCCTCCTACCAATTTACATTTTCTATGGCTTCTATGCCTAATTGCTTGGTCAGGCCTTAATTTGTTAAGAATTAAGCACACACATTCACATGCAAATTTTCAGTGCCTCTAATTGTGGTGACCAGGGACCACATTAACTTCTGAGGCAACCCAGTTTAAATTGGTGCTCAGCCCACATGCCGGCCTCTGTACCCCAGTGTGTAGTTTCAGAATAACCCCACACTGAGTCATAAATGAGTAATTCAGTATGTTCAACTCCTCTTCCTTTCAAAAATCCAATCACATCAGGAAGAATAAATTCTGCTTGACAGATTGATAAAGATTTTGGGGAAAATATATTGAAAAGGGCGATGGGGTTTTACTCAGCAGCTCAAGTTAAACCACCTTCATCTCTTATAAGAATAGTTGCAATGAAATTTGTTCTCGCATTTCTCAAAAAATGTAATTAGAATGCAGGGAGAAGTATATGAAAGGGATAGGATTATTTATAAAAGTTTTAGAATAAATCTTTCTGGGTCAGGAGATTTGCCCAGTGGCAAGAATTTAATACATAAGCATAATTCCTTAGAGAACTTTTGCTCTAGGGATTTCTTTCTCCTTTAACCAGGGGAACTTGAAGAAATGAAAAATTTTAAAGACATGTAAGAAGTGGATGGGCAAAACCCAATTTGATCTCTACTGTAATGGTATTACTCCATTTTTGCATTAAAGAATAATACCTATAATGTAAAGATTATGCCAAGTACTCTATAAAATAATACAAACCTTGAGGCAGTCAACCCGGACTTGCTTCCAATTGCACTTGGAACGACACACACACACAAAGATATGCCAAGAAATGTAGTGTCAGCAAAGCATGTGGGGCTGGCAGTTTAAAGAAGGAGGAAGCTGAGTCTTACCCCCAAAATAAAGAAACCAATTATATAGGATGAAAAATATAGTTCAGAGCTTTGAAGGGTCTATCACATGTTTACAGTGAAAGTATGAAATGATCACAAATGCGGCTTCCTTGACTGAAAAAAATGTTTGTGTGTATATAGGTACAGTCATGCATTACTTAATGAAGGGCATATGTTCTGATAAATGCATCATTAGTCGATTTCATCCTTGTGCGAACATCATAGAATGTACTTACACAAACCTACATGGTATAGCGTGCTACACACCTAGGATGTATAATATAGCCCATTGCTCCTATACTACAAACCTATATAGCATGTCACACCACTGAATACTGTAGGTCATTGTAGCACAATTGTGAGTATTTATGCACCTAAACATACCTAAACATAGAAAAGGTACAGTAAAAATACAGTATAAAAGATATTTAAATGGTACACCTGTGTGGGGCACTTACCATGAATAGAGCTTATAGGACTTGAAGTTACTCTGGGTAAATCTGTGAATGAGCGGTGAGCGAATATGAAGGCCTAGAACATTTATTTTACACTACTGTAGATTTTATAAACACTATACACTTAGGCTATACTAAATTTATTAAAACACTTTTTATTTAATAATAAATTAGCTTAGCTTACTATAACCTTTTTACTTTATAAATTTTTTAAATAGTTTTGTTTTTCACTCTTTTATAATAACTAATTAAAACACAAACACATTGTAAAGCTGTACAAAAATACTTTCTTTCTTTATGTCCTTATTCGATAAGCTTTTTTCTATTTTTTTTAACTTTTTGTCTTTTTGTTGAAAACTAAGACATACCTGGGTGTTGTGGAGGGGGCCTGTAGTCTCAGTTACTTGGGAGGCTGAGGCAGGAGGATCACTTGATCCCAGCAGTTCAAGGTTGTAGTGCACTATCATTGTACCTATGAATAGCTGTTGAACTCCGGCTTGGGCAACATAGCAAGACCCCATCTCTAGAAAAAAAAAAAAAACCTAAGACACAAACACACACATTTGCCTAGGCCTACACAGGGTCAGGATCATCAATATCACTGTCTACTACCACCTCCACATCTTGTCCCACTAGAAGGTTTTCAGGGACAATAGTATGCATGGAGATGTCATCTTCTATGGTAACAGTGCCTTCTTCCAAAATACCTCTTGGAATAATACTTCCTGGAATAACAGCAACAAACAAGGGTAATTTGAAATTAAAAATATAATACCATTAACATTAGCACCACCAAAATGAAATACTTAGTTGTAAGTCTAATAAAATAGGTACAAGACCTATAAAACAGAAACTATAAAACTCTGATGAAAGAAATCAAAGAACTGTAAAACTGAGGCTGTTTTACAGTTAACTTTTTAAAATAAATAGAACACTAGAATATAACCATAAAAAGTATAATATAGTAAATACATAAATCTATAACAATTTATCAGTATTAAATATTATGTATTGTACATAATCAAATGTGCTATATTTTTATATAAGTGGCAGTTCAGTAGTTTATACCAGCCTCACCACAAATATGTGAGTAATGCCTTGTACTATGATGTTTGAATGGTTAGGACCACTGTGGTATATGCAGTCTGTTAAATGCCATTATATGGAACATGACTGTATACATACAAATATGTGTATCTATAATATATATATATAATATATATAGTCAGCATAGTATGTATATCTTTTGAGAGAATTCTGTATGTAGAGTCACTGAAAATGTGTCGATGTCCAGCCAAACATCCATATGTGAAGCCCAAATTTCACTTTCATAACATTTCATGCTGACCTATATCTCTGTTTCTATCCACAGAGAAAGGTCAGAGACCTAACCAGAAATAGCAGTTAGGTTTTATCTCACATGCCAAGTCCATTATAGTGGCTTTCCAGGGAGCTGTGTTGAAAAGAATTATGTATTTATGTCTGAGATCAGCAGAAAAAGATTACAATGATTGATTAGTGATGTCTATCATGGCACACAAGAGAAAAAGTTACTATAATTTTTTATCTTTGTTCTGGACTTAATAAAGTTTTGGAAAATTGATGGAGGGCTTCTGAGTGGTCATGTTGTGCAGAAATTCTGGATGTGGTTTAGCCATCATGGAGGTACATGACCTGCCTTCAAGAGTGACCCATCTTACACACCTGGTAGACAGAAAGAAGCATTCACTTTAAGGCCATAAACTACTTGGCTGCTCCCAGCTAATGACTGAGCATGGTGAAAGTAGTGATCAGGTGATTTTTACTTGATGAGGGACTCTTCTAAGGAACAATCTTTCCCCCAAGGCTCGTCATCCGCCGGGCTTAGACTTTCTTGGAGATGTACTGCCTTACTCTTCTTATTCAGTCCTCTGTCCCTTCTTTTCTCTTTTCATAAGTGTCATTCCTTAGTGTCATCTGAAGGTTCTTGCTGCCTGCTTCTCCTTCCTCTCCTCTCCATTCTACATTCTTCACAAGTGTTTTCCCAATTAATATCTCGTACTTCTAATTGCCTACAGTGTCTTATTCCCAGAGAACAGGAATTGATACACTTGGGAATCAAGTTACCCTCAAACTTGGCAGAGTACCTCAACAAAATAAAATTTATTTCCTCTATCCCTTATTTCAATAACGTTTAAGTAATATTTATATTAATTGATGCATAGCTTAACACAGATGCTCCACTATATAAAACTTTCATAGAAACAAAGCTATGTGCCTGAGCAATAATGCATCATCAGTATCCACCACTAATGGTCCAATTGTGGAGAATTACTTTGGGTGTCTGGACCATGGATTTTGTATACATCTTACCCAGCCTGAAAGTAGTGAAGATTCGATGGAGCAGAAGGAAAGAAAAGGAAACCTATACTTTGTGTCTCTTCTGTTCCTGACATTAAGCTTGAATTTGACCTACATTTCTAGGACAGAAATGATTACTGTATCTCTTACTGTTGGTTCAGAAGACCTCAGTTTTGATTATGATAAAGCAGCTTGCATTTTTAAAGTGCAGTTTATACCAGGATGTATATTATATGAACCTAGTTCTTATAATTTTATCACTTAAAGTGAAGGCATTGCACCGACAAGTTTCATCAGCCCCAAATTATCACTTTAACATTAACTCAGTGGATGGCGCAGAAGCTGTCATATCCCCCTTTATTTCCTATGACCATGTGGCCTCCAGTCCTGGCTTTGTATATGTTGGGTTGGTTAAAGATAAGGGAGACTTCACCAGTTGGATTATTTTTCCCATCGTGGCATGCCTTCTTGGAATTGGCCTGTACTCAGCTCTATTCTCACTATTCCTTCAGGAAACTCCAGGCTTTGTCACTCCCTCCCTCCAGTAATATAAACCTACATGATCTGTTCTCTTTTCACCACCAGCTATATTTCTACATGAATAAACATGGCTGTGAAATGACAAAATCAAACCCATAATCTTTAGTCAGTTCTGATAACTATGAGTTTATGATGTTGGAAAAGCTCTTTTACAGAACACATTTATTTTATAAAGAAACATTTGCTATTTGCTATGTATCTCCTTTAAATAGCAAATGATTTTCATTGTATTTAATATGTGATATATATTTTATATACATATTCATGAGCATTGTGGAATCTCTTTAAACTTTGTTCCTCGATGTTTACATTTATATTCTTTTAAAAAAATGGAGAGATGGCATCTCACTATGTTGCCCAAGCTGTTGAACTCTTGGTCTCAAGTGATCCCCCTGCCTCAGCCTCTCAAAGTGCTGGGATTACAGATTTGAGCCACAGCACCTAGCCTAAATTTATACTTATTAAAATCACAAGTAAGGAAACTGAAGGAGAGGAAGCCCAAGAAAGAAACTTGCAAACAGCATCGAGATAGAAAGCTTAGATTCTTCTAGACTTGAACAGAATTACATCAGATCTTCTAAAGAAAAAAAATAAAGTCTAACTTAGGCACATGTGTTATAGGCAAATGAATAAATAGCTTCACCTTATAGTGGGACAGAGCTTAATGATTCATTTCTTAGGCAACAGCAGGATATTTTCCTGTTGGAATTTTAAAAGCCTATTCTTTGTGGTGAATGATGTATTTATTTTTTTCATTCCTCCCATATTATTCCAGTTCACTGCACATGCTTCTAAAATTCTTTTCATAGGACTGAATTTCATTCTTTTGGCGAATCCCTCTGAGAATCAGAAAAAGAAATGAATGTCTGTAGATCTGGTTTCAGATCATCTTTTTGTCTCATCACTAATGTAAGGAATACTATTTAGAGACTAAAAGATACCAGATTCTTGGGCAGGGGTTGACTTTGCTTTGTAACTAAAGTACAGATGAGAGTTTCTACAGATAAAATCCTACAAACTTTGTTTGTTATCCACAATGCACTTCTGGAATTTCCACTTGTTTATCCATAGTCCTGTGATGAGGCCCAAATGGAAAGATAAATACATCATTTTAAAGGCCACATCATTGGATATTTGTACTTAATTTTTGACCATGGAAATTTAACTGTTAAGCAAGTTGGGATCTATTGTTCAAATCTATAGTTATTATTTAGTTAAATTTGTTGGCAGAAGTTTAATACTAGAGGGAAAAGTATCTCTAGGATTTCTATTCATAGAAAGAAAATCAGTGACTTAAGTCTGAGATATGGGTCCTTAAAGCTTTTGATTTGATATATATGGTCATCCACTAAACCAATAATTAAAGCTACCTTCATGCCTTAAGTGTCTATGTCAGCACTCAACATTATGAGCAAACTTTTCCTACTTCAAAGGTATAAAGTAACATTTAATATTTATATTAAAGTAATACAAAGTAATTTAATGTATATTTAATGTATATGTAATTTATTTATTTTTATTTAATTTATAAATAATTTAATGTATATAGTAATTTGATATTACTCCGTAGTTTCTAGGGAGATAGTCTGTCAGGCTCACTATACGGAGCAGACAGGCACTGCAGTCAAAAGGACGAAGTTTCCTTTATAAAGCATTGATGCTGCTAACCTCAACTGCAAACTCTTCCTTCCCACATTCTTTTTGGGCTGTGACTTATCCAGGGTATTAACTTCTCATTTCTAGTTCCCTGCTTTGGGCTCATATCCAGCTTCATTTATTTGCTAGCTGTGTCATCTACTTCACCTCTCTAAGCTTAAGATGCCCTGTCCATAAATGAGGTTATAATGCCAAATGCAGATAAAGGGGCAGTGCTATGGTCTGAATGTGTCTGTAAAATTCATGTGATGCAAACTTAATCCCCAATGCAATAGTGGGAAGGGGGGCCTTTTGAGAGGTGTCTATGTCATGAGGACTCTGTCCTCATGAATTAATTTATGTTGTTATTAGAAAGGGCTTGCTGGAGTAAGTTCACTCTCTCTAGTCCTTCCACCTTCCGCCATTTCAGGATGTAGCAAGAAGGCGTACACTAGATGCCTGTGCCTTCATCTTGGACTTCCCAGACAGAACTGTGTGAAATAAATTTCTGTTGTTTATAAATTACCCAGCCAATGGTATTGTTTTAGCAACATAAATGAACTGAGATAAGTAGTAATATTTTAAAAATTACATATAAAGTATTTATCAAAGTGTTTAACAAGAATAAAAAATAACCATTCTTTTTAGGCTTTCTAAGCATAATAACCCAGATTTGAGATACCACTCCAAAGAGATAATTTCACATACAGAAAAGACCATATGCACAAAGATGCTCAGTAGTGATAGTAACAGAAGTGAAAGATTGGAAACAATGTATAACAACACTAGATAATGCTCATAGATTGGTAAATAAAATAAATTTCATGCAATCATGAAAAATCATGACTGTAGGTTAAAATATAAAAAATAATATGCAAAACTAAATTTACTATGTGGTTGAAGATATGTAAGAATATGAATGTGCAGAATAATACACTGAAATTATATAATTGATTCTCTTAAAGTGACGGATTATAGATAATTCCAAGATGTTGTTTCCTTGGTTTTTCAGAGTTTCTACAATGTGGTTATATTCCTTTTATAAACAAAATTGTACGAAGAACCTCATCATTATTTGAGGTCTGGAAGCCTGGGGTGGTGAAAAGAGAAAGTTATCTTTTCTTAGCTGGCTTTACAACTTTGGAGATTACTGGAGTGGAGCAGCTTCAGTATCAAGGTGGCTGAGGGATGGAGGTAACATGAACCGAGAAGGCTGAGGGTGAGGTCCAGTTTCAATCTTGAAAAAGGCAGGCCAGAGCAGAAGAGTTTTTTCGTATTATTTCTACTTCTGATGAAAAAAAAAACACACAATGTTTTTAAAGTTTCTATTAGCCCACGTCATAACCATTACCAAAAGCCCAAGAAATCGTAAGTACCAAGGAGCTTGATTCTGCATTATAAGTCTTTAAGTGGTAAATACTTCACATGGGTACCTTGGGATTAGTTCATTTTACACATACATTTAAAATAATCTTAACCTACTCAGCAATTGTACACGTTCAGCCTCCTCCCAACCTCTAACCTCTATTATTTTATGATCCCCAATTACTAGCCCCAAGTAAAATACTCTCCATGTCATTTTTGCTTTTAGTAATCTTATTTTTTAACTATCATTATTTCCTTTTTCTGTGTCAATTTATCCCTTGCTCTCTTAAATACATTTCATGGTCACCTACCCTGATCTCTCTAGAATCCCTATAATACTGGAACAGGTTTTCCTAAAAAATATTTCAGAAAATCACTTCTCTTTAACCTCAAAAAACTTTTTCAAATGGACATTCTTCATGCCCCTAATACTTATGTTTCAAAACACTTTAGAGAAGGAAGATAGCCCTTGTTCCCATCTGCCATTCCCAGTTATTTATGTGGCTTCCTTTGACCCGCAAATTCTCGCTTCAACTCCAAAATATCCTTCTCACTATTATGAAATCTACTTGTGTGAAACCTAGTACTAGAACTGTGAGCCCATTTCAATATTTTTGTATTTATTTATTTAACATTTTTTTGTCTGGGTACAATGACTTATTCCTGTAATCCCAGTGTTTTGGGAGGCCAAGGTGGAAGGATTGCTTAAGACCAGGAGTTCAGGACTAGACTGGGCAACATGGTGAGACCCTATCCCTACAAAAAAAAATTTTTTTAATTAGCTAGGCATGATGGTGCACACCTGTAGTCCCAGCTACTCGGGAGGCTGAGGTGGGAGGATCTTTTGAGCCCAGGAGTTTGAGGCTGCAGTGAGGTGTGGTTGTACCTCTGCACTTCAGTCTGGGTGACAGAGAGAGTCACCATCTCAAAAGAAAAAGATAATAAAGTAATACTATGAATAACTCTATGCTGGCAAATTTGATAACCTAGATGAAATGGAGCAATACCTTGAAAGACACAATTTTCCAAAACACACACAAAAAGAAATAGACAATTGAAATAAGCTTTTATATATTAACAAAATTGAATCAATAATTAATAACCTTCAAAAACAGAAAACACCAGTCCCAGGTGGGTTTGCCAAAGAATTCTATCGAACATTTAAGTAGCAGATTATACCAATTCTCTACAACCTCTTTCAGAGGATAGAAGCAGAGGGAATACTTCCTAACTCATACTAGAAGACTAGAATTAGACAAATACATTAATTACAAGAAAAAAACTACAGATCAATGTTTCTCTGAATATGGATGTAAAAATCCTCAAGAAAATATTAGTGCCCAAAAAAGAATTTTTAAAAATTATATATGATGACCAAGTGTAATTTATCCTAAGTATGCAAGATTGTATCAACTTTCAAGAATCAATAAATGTAATTCATTACATCAACTAGTCTTAAAAAGAAAAATCACACATTTATATCAATAGACGCAGAAAAAAACATTTGACAAAATTCTACATGGATTCATGACTTAAAAAGAAACCTCAGTAACCTAGGAATAAAGATAATTTTCTCAGCTTGATAAATAATGTTTACAAAAAACATGCGGGTAACATAATACTTAATGATGATAAACTCAATGGTTTTTCACTAAGGTCAGGAACGAGGCAAGGATGTCCCCTCTTAGAGGCACTGCTTTCCAACATTGCTCTGGAAGTCCTAGATAATATAATAAGACAAGAAAAAAAACGTAAAAGGTGTAGAGATTGAGAAGGAAGAAACAAAATAATCTTTATTTGCAGATGATATGATTATGTAGAAAATCGTGATGCATTGACAAAAATACTGTTGGAACTAATAAGCCATAATAGTAAGATTGCAGGATACAAGATTAATATGCAACCGTCAATTGCTTACCAATACAGTAGTCTCGCTTTATCTATGGTTTGGCATTCCACAGTTTCAGTTACCTGCCATCAACCCTGCTCCAAAAATATTAAATAAAATATTCCATGAAGAATTCATAAGTTTTAAATTGTATGCCATTCTGAGTAGCATGATGAAATTTTGCTGTGTCCTGCTTTTTCCCACCCAGTATGTGAATCATCTTTTTGTTCAGCTTATTTGTGCTGTATATACTACCCACCCATTAGTCACTTAGTAGCTATCTTAGTTATCAGATTTAAAAAGAAAGCACAATAGCATCTACAGGATTTGGTACTATCCATGGTTATAGTTATCTACTAGGGATCTTGGTATCCCCTGTGGATGAGGGGGGACTAAAGTATACCAGCAATGAAAAAGCGTAATTTGAAATTTTAAAATACAATACCTTTAACATTGATACCTCCAAAGTGAAATACCTAGCTATAAATCTAATAAAATATGTACAAAATCTATAAAAGGGAAACTATAAAACTCTGATGAAAAAAATCAAAGAACTAAATAAACGAAGAAATATTCCATGCTCATGAATGGAAGCACTTAACATTGTTAAGATGTCAGCTCTTCCCGACTTGATATATAGATTCAGTGCAACCCCAGTCATATTTTCTAGATATTAACAAACTAATTCTAAACACTCAGAGTAATCAACACAATACTGAAGATGAAAAACAAAGTTGGAGGACTGACAATACTCAACTTCACGCCTTATTATAAAGCTATAGTAACCAAGACAGTATGGTATTGATTGAAGGACAGACAAATAGATCAATGGAACAGAATAAAGACTTCAAAAATATACTTACATAAATATAGTTAAGTGATCTCTGACAGATAATCAAAGGCAATACAATGGAGAAAAGATAATTTTTGCAACAAATGGTACTGGAGCAACTGGACATCTACATGGGGAAAAAAAAAGAATCTAGTCACAGACCTTAACAGTCTTTACAAAAAATAATTCAAAATGGATTACAGACCCAAATGGAAAATGCAAAACTGTAAATTCCTAGAAGATAATATCGGAGAAAATATAGATGACCTTGGGTTTGACAATGACTTTTTAAATACGATACCAAAGTCACGATCCATGTAAGAATGAATTGATAAGCTAGACTTTTTGAAACTAAAATTTTATGCTCTCTGAAGTTACTGATAAAAGAATAAAAAGACAAGCCACTGTCTAGGAGAAAATATTTGTAAAAGACATATATGATAAAGAACTGATATCTGAAATATATAAAAAACTCTTAAAACTCAATAACAAAAAATATATAATTAGATTTTAAAAATAAAGACCTTAACAGACATCTCCCTAAAGAAGATATACAGATGTCAAAAAAGCATATAAAACGTTTCACATCACAAGTAATCAAAAAATGCAAATTAAAACAATAAGATACCGCTACACTTATTAGAATGGCCAATATCGAGAATACTGACAACACTAAATGCTGATGAGGATGTCCAGAAACAGGAACTGTCATTCGTTGCTTGTGGGAATACAAAATATTAATAGTAAACCCACTTTAGAAGATAACTTGGCTTTTTCTTACAAAATGAAACATGGTCTTATGATATAATCCAGCAGTCATGTTTCTTGGTGTTTACTAAAGCAGTTGAAAATTTATGTCCATGAAAAACTGCACACAGATGTTTATAGAAGCTTTATGCATGATTTCCAGTATTTGAAAGTGACAAGGATATTGTTCAGTAGGTGAACAGGTAAACTGTGATAAATCCAGACAATGAAATATTATTTAGTGCTAAAGAAATGAGCTATCAAGCCATGAAAAAACATGAGAGAAACTTAAATACATATTATTACATGAAAAAAGCCAATGCAAAATGGCTATATACAGTATGAGTCCAAGTATATGACATTCTGGAAAAGGTAAAACTTTGAAGACAATAAAAAAATCATTGGTTTCCAGGGATTAGTGGGGAGAGAGGGATGAATAGGCAGAACACAGAGGATCTTTAGGGAAGTGAAAATACCCTGTATCATCCATATTGATGGATACATGTCGCTAAATATTTGTCCAAACCCATAGATGTATGACACCAAGAGTGAACCTTAATGTAAACAACTTTGAGTGATAATGATGTGTAATGTGGGTTTATCAATTGTGACAACTGTAACACTCAGGTGGCAGGTGTTGATATTGGGGAAGGCTATGCATGTGTGGGGACATGGGGGAAATGTGATACCTCTGTGTCTTCCCCTCAATTTTGCTGTCAACTAAAACTGCTCTAAAAAATGAGTCTTAAATCAATCCCCGGGGGGTACTGCTCTTCAGAGAATGCTTCCACCATTATGACCACCCTAAGGCACGTCACCTCATATCTATTTATCTCCTAGTCATTATAACATCTTTAGTTTCCATTTTAACATCAACCCAAACTTCAAATTCAATATGACCATATCTGAATTCATCACCCCTTCCTGTCCTTCAGACACACTTGGGGCATTGTTCTCCTCCCCTGGCTGATAATGGCCCCCACTACTTTGACTCACTCACCACCCAGCCAATCCAAGTTATGCTCATTTGTTCTGTTGTTGTGCCTCTTGGCTCACTCCTTTCCTTTCCAAACATAATTTTGCATATATTTTTTCTATTCTCTCAACAATCAGCCAAGGGATTTTATCCTTATGTTACATATGAGCACTCTGAAGCCCTGAAGATTCAGCATATTGCCTGAAGAACACAGCTAGCTCAGGGCAGAGTCAGAACTGGCACCCAGAGCCAACTGACTCCAACACCCATGTTCTTTCTATTACAGCAAGGTGTCCCTTTAGCAGAAGTCGAAGGTGGACGTACCTTCAGTTGTAATAAAAAATTATTTAAAATGATTTAATATACATTAAGTAACATACACTAGTTAAGACTTAGTCCTTTTTCAATTTGTTTTTAATCTTTTAAAATAGATGGAGAAAGTCCTATTTGGTGCTAGAATACAATTAATATCTCCCTAGCACTTGCTATTCTTCATTTTCAATAAGAAGAGATCAGGCCTCAGGCTCAGAACTTTGGTAGGCAATAAAACCTAGGTAGAATTTACTGTTTTGTTTTTATGGCAAATGACACTGCTTTTATTCTATTTTTGGCAAATGACCATGGTTTTCTTAATGCAGTAAGGGTAGTAATATATACTTTTTTCCAAAAATAAATGTATTTGAATTTTAAAAGTGAGTCAATGTCAAAAATATATTTAGTAAATAACAGGACACCTGCTACTCAAAATCACAGAATTCATGATGGTAAAATATGAATTGCTGAAATATGGGAGGTAAAAATAAGCCTAACAAAGTTGTTTTCTGGAATATTGACAATGTTTTTGCTTATCATTGCCACAGTAGTTCTTCAGGAACTCATTTTCTCAATGGCCTTCAACAGGCTTCCTTCTCACTATAGGCTTATTTATTTCAGAATAAGAAGGCCCTTAGATGTCACCTAGACCAACCTTCCATTTTATGGAGAAGATTGAGGCTCAAAGAAAGAAAGTGACTTGTTTAAGGTCACCCAGAACATCATAACTGTTTAGTGACTAGAGCCTAGGTGTCTTGATCCCTCATCCACACTGTCTTATCTGTGCCAAAGTGCTTGAATTACATACATCCATCACATACATTCATCATTACACACTCTTCGTTCCCATACCTGAAAGAGACTCCAAGCAATCTCTGTCAGATTCAGCAAGAACATTAAGCACTATGCCCCAAGGCATTTGTTGCATTGTATTTAATGACCTAATTTCTCGCTTATGCCCCTCAAAGAGTAATAGCTAGGTACCATCCTGGGAGAGTTGGGAATAGTAGTCACTCAAATGATTTTCTGTGGCTTTAATTCTTTTGCAAAATCCCAATTGGAAAAAAAAATCACAAAGGTACAGTAATCAAAACAGTATTGTACTGGCATAAGACAGATATATAGGCAATGGAACAGAATAAAAACACCAGATATAAACGCACACATATATGGTTAAATAATCTTAGACAAGAGTGTCAAGATTATACAATGGGGAAAGGATAGTCTCATCAACATACAGTGTTGAGAAAACTGTCTACCCACATGCAGAAGAATGAAATTATATTCTTATCTTTCATCATACACAATAATCAACTCAAAATGGATTAAAGACTAAAATATAAGACCTGAAACTATAACATTTCTAGAAGAAAACACAGAGAAAAGTTCTATAACATTGGTCTTAGCAATGGTTTCTTAGACAAGACACCAAAAGCACAGATAACAAAAGCAAAAATAAGACAAGTGGAACTATAACAAATAAAAGCTTCTGTGCAGCAAAGGAAACAATCAACAGATTGAAAAGACAACCTTCAGAATGAAAGAAAATAACTGCAAGTCATGTATCTAAAAAGGTTTAATATCCAAAATATATATTAAAAAACTCCTATGGCTAAATGGCTAAAAATCCTCCAAATAATCTGATTAAAAAATGGCCAAAGGACTTGAACAGACATTTCCTCAAAGAAAATATGAAAATGTCCAACAGGTATATAAAAAGATGTTTAGCATCACTAATCATCACGGAAATGCAAATCAAAATCATGATGAGATATCGCCTCAATACTTGTAAGGATGACCATTACACCAAAAAACAGAAAATAGCAAGTGTTGGTGAGGACATGGAGAAATTGAGATTCTTGAATACTGTTGGTGGAAATATAAAATGATGCAGCTTTTATGAAGCCTCAGCTGCTTCATCTACAAACAGCTGAAATGATGCAGCTGTAATGAAAACAGCATGGAGTTTCCTCAAAAAATTAGAAATAGAACTACACATGATTCAGTAATCCCACCTCTGGTATTTATCTAAAAGAATTAATTAAGATCTCAAAGAGATGTTTGCATTTCCATATTCATTGCAGCTTTATTCACAATAGCCAAGAGTTGGAAACAACCTGAATGTCTATCAAAAGATGAATGGATACACAAAAATCTGCTATACACATACAGCAGAATATTATTTAGCCTTTAAAAAGAAAGAAATCCTGTCATATGCTACAACCTGGATAAACATGGACGAATCATGAGGAAATTATGCTAAGTGAAATGAACTAATCACAAAGGACCATTGCTTCATGATTCCACTTACATGAGGTATATAAAATAGTTAAACTCATAGAAGCAGAGAGTAGAATGGTGGTTGCCAGCAGTTGTGGGGAGGGATAAATGTAGAGTTGTTCTTCGATGCTACTATAGACTTAAGTAAATTGTGTCCCCATAAAATGTATAAGTTGAAACCCTAATGACCCCAACTGGTTGTATTGCAGACAGGACCTATAAGGAGTGATTTAAATAAAGACATAAGGGTAGAGCTCTGATCTGATGTGATTAGTACCCTTATCAGAAGAGGCACTAGTGTGCTTGCTCTCTCTCTTTTTCCTCGAGTCCACAAAAAGAGGTCATGTGAGCACATGGCAAGATGGAGGCTTCCTACAAGCCGGGGAAAGAACCCTGAGAAATTGATAATTCTGGTACCCTGATCTTGGACTTCTAGACTCCAGGACTGTGAGAAAATAAATAGTTGTTGTTTAAACCCTCTTTTTAAATGTATTTTGTTGCGGCAGCCCAAGCTTACTAATACAAATGGACATGAAGTTTCAGTCATGCAGAACGAAAAAGAAATTAGAGTTATGCTGTACAGAAATGTGCAAACAGTTAGCAATACTGTACTATACCCTTAAAAAATTGTTAAGAGGGTAGATCTCACATAATGTGTTTTTACCCCAATAAAAAAATGTGGTGGTAGACATTTCTATTAAGTCTCATGTACCAATGTAGTCCTCTTCTTTAAACCCCTTTTCCTACTCATATTCATCCAAATCATTTCACCCTCTCTAAGCTCAGATTTTGTCAATTGTTGCCTATATTTTATTATATTGCATCATTATTTTTGCATATTATTTATTTCATTTATTTTAGTGTTCCATTTATTACATATTATTTATTGTATTTTTTTACTTTAAAAAATTGATTTGAAGAAGTAGTAGAAACACGTGGTATAAAATCCAAAAGATACAAAGGGGTATACAATGGAAAGTCAGTCTTCACTCACCTCTGCCCCATGTCTTCTGGTTACCAGCTGTCTTCTCAGAGACAATTCCTTTTTTTTTTTTTTTTGACACGGAGTCTCGCTCAGTTGCCCAGGCTGGAGTACAGTGGCGCGATCTCGGCTCACTGCAAGCTCCGCCTCCCGGGTTCATGTCATTCTCCTGCCTCAGCCTCCCGAGTAGCTGGGACTACAGGCGCCCGCCACTGCGCCCGGCTAATTTTTTTTTGTATTTTTAGTAGAGACGGGGTTTCACCGTGGTAGCCAGGATGGTCTCGATCTCCTGAACTTGTGATCCGCCCGCCTCAGTCTCCCAAAGTGCTGGGATTACAGGCGTGAGCCACTGCGCCTGGCCAACAATTCCTACTTCTTGTATAGTCTTCTAGGTGGAGTCTATGCATAGACAAAGATATATATATATATATATATATATACATACACACACACACACACACACACACACACGCATACGCACACACATATATTTGTTTACAGAAATGATAGTACATTTAACGCAGTGTTTTGCACCATCCTCTTTTCACTTAGAACTATGTCTTGGAGATTATTCCATATAAGTACATACAGGTCTACCTCATTCTTTTTAAGACCAACAATAAAAGACGCATTTTTAAAAACAATATAAGTTATGTCTATACCAAAAATCATAAGATTAAGCCCTGGGTTCCAATATCAGGTCTACCATTTACTAGATATGTTACCCTAGGCAAATTGCTTAACCTCTCTGTGCCTCAACTTCTTCATCTATAAAAGAAGGATAATATTCATTTCCATGTCATAGCTTTATTAAAAGAAAATAAATTAGTCAATACACACAAAATACTTAAAATGAGTCTAATGCATAGTAAGTAAAATAAGTCAATACACACAAAATAGTTAAAATGAGTCTAATGCATAGTAAGTACTCAACATTTTTCTATCATTATCCTATTCTCTGTTAAAATATATTTAGAATTTATAAATATATTTATAATGTTTTCATGTCACAAATAATTTTGCAATTCATATTTTCATATAAAGTCATTCTGCACATATGCAAGAATATCTGTAGGATAATTTCTGAAAGTAGATATTTTCTAGGTCAAATGGAACATGCATTTTATATGCTCATACACATTTCCAAGCTACATTCCATAGAGACTGTAACAGTTTATTCCCTTAAACAGTGATATGAGTGCCTCTCTCCTCTCATCATCACCATATGACAGCTAAAGAATGATACTGCAGCATAACTCTAATTTCAATTACCTTTTTACATTAAGCATATTTTTATATGTTTAAGAGTCTTGTTTATTTTCTTTTCTCTTTTTTAAAGATTAATCTATTCATACACTTCCCTTATTTTTTATTTCTTTTCTTCATTTAACTATCAAATGTTTCTAAAACATAGGTAGTTAGTGAAGAACCTTTAACTCATTTATCTTTTTACTAAAATTGCAACCTCTGTCTCAAAATTACTTAGAAACTGCTCTCCTGATTACTCCCTTTAATCATCTTCTCAGTGAGGATTCTCATTCTTTCTACAGTATTGAGCGTACTTGCCCATCCCACTTCCTGGGGCATTCAGTAACTTCTGGGATACACAGTGGCTTTTCCTGGGAGCTCTCCTTTGCTGTTTTTGACTCTCAATGGTGACCACATGGCCCTTCTGCTAGTTAAACTTAGGTTTACCATATAATTTGTTATCCAACCCAAGGATATCTTTGAGAGAAAAAAGGTGCTTTTAATAATCATTCCATGGCAATAGTTGTCAAGAGGTTCTGTCTCAAGCAAACCAGGACATATGCTCACTCTAGTCAAGTCCCTTAACAATTTCCATTAAATATTTTATTTTTTTCTCAAGTATCCAGAGCTTTCTTTTTTATAGCAACTACCACTTATTTCTTGAAGTTGCACTTGCTAAGATGAGGTGGATACTAGAGTGTGTTCATCCAAATACCCTGCTTCCTTGGTGCAACCCAAATCAAACATGTAATCGCTTGGAATTTTAAGAGTTGTTTAACCAATAAGTTTAGGGGTAAAAGAAGGGGCATATTATCAGATAAAGTAAGCACGCTTATGTCTGAAATAGTACCTGAAGGGACAACTTCAGATGAAGCATGCGATCAGGGAAGATTAGCTGACGTCTTGAAGGTGGATATCCAAGGTATTTCTAGAAGCTCAAAATGACCACATCTTTGCAACAGAAGATAATAATAAGTTTAGTTTTGAGCCATCTGAAGATCCTGTCTTAATATTGTGATTGCTCATCTAGGAAAGGCCACAAATGTTTTAAATTTTCTTAACCAAAAGGAATTCATACTTCACCAGACAAGGAGACACTCTTAGAACAAGAGGTCAGAGGTGGTCCGCTGATCCGTGATACTGTAGACATTGAATTTCTCCCTCGGAGAGGCAGCCCATCTACCCCACAGACCTGTAAGCTGTAGAGTTGCTTGTGGTTTTCATTCAGGTTAAATTTGGGCTGCACCAATCAATTTGGTGAATTGATTGATTCACCAATCAATATGTGAATTTTCCACATTCACATATAAGCCTGGTTTATGGAGGCAGCCTTGTGCTTTTTGGGTAGTTGATAAAAGAACTTTCTTGTGGCTAGTTACTAAAATGTGTGGTATAAAGACTGTGTTTATGGAACAGAAATTCAGAAGATTGGAAGGGATTTGCCTCTACAAATAAGTTTGGTGTAGGGCAAGTTAGGACCTCCTGCTATAAACGTTTCCTCACTCTAATAAATTTCTTCATAGAGACCCATCTAAAGGCAGAAGAGGCCCAATGGGGACAGAAGAAATCAACAACTTCAAATACAACATTGTCTCGAGATATAAGTCTATGTCCCTCTGTAGTTTGGTATAAATCAGAACTCTTATTCATTTGTATATAATATGAATCTCCCATGCTTTCCACATATGGATTTGTCAGCAGACCAAGGTAGAAGGGCCTGGAAATGAAAGAGCTGAGAGGGAGTTTATTTGAGGGGATTTGCAGTGGATATACACACTGTGGAAAAAAAGGAATAATTGTTGAAAAGAGGCAAGGCAGGAAAAATTTTATATATCAAGTCCAAAGAGGAAGATGAGGATAAAATTAGACAGTAAAAGCAGCAACATTGAAAGGTAGTGGAAGCAAAACAACATCAGATGAAAAGATTGATTTTGGATGAATAGTTTAGGACATGGGGTAAGGGTGGAGGTGGGAAAAGAAGCTCCTCTTCACCAGTGTGTGTTTAATAAAAATGTCTGATAGCTAAAATGTGTGACATAGGAGTAAATATGGTTGGAGCATCTGAATTCTGTGTGGGATTTTCTCAACCAAAGCTATCCAAAGTCTAACCTCATGATTTCACAGTGAAAATAGCCACTCTTACTCAAAATCTTCCTTTCTTCCAGGCACAGAGTCACCTAGGATCACACAGATCTAGCTATTCTACTTATTTTCTTCTCTCACCTCTGGGTACAGTACTCCATTTAAAAGATGGGCTTTAATTATACCAGTGACTGGCTCAAAAATCTACAATGATTTCTACAGTTTCCAAGAATAATATTTAAAGCATTCATCACATTCCTTCCACCTCGAGCCTGGTACAACACATTGAACCCAGTATACTCTTAGCAGATGTTTATTTTCAAAATTTACAAATGTGTGATTTTCAAAGAAAGCCAATGGTACACATGAAAGCATTATTACCTTCTTATTATATATTATTATATAGTTATATTATATTATATTATCAATGAGGACCATGAGAAAGACAAAGAAAGTTGCACAATGACAGGGGAGAAAGAAATCAAGAATGCCTAGCTCTGACGTAGCCTCAGAATGCCATAGCTATCTCATTAGAACATGCTTCTTTCCTATCTGCTGGGCTACTGAAGCAGGCCCAGCATCCTCCGTATTACTGAGGCCCAGAGTCATTTATCACATCTAGGGTTTTTTCCACTGAATCTCTGGAGTAAGATGGAATTCTCTGCAGAACAATCCATTGCACACCAGAGCCAGCCTGAGGTTCCCTAGGGGCATGAGCATAGCTTACTTCCAAGATATTTCGGTCATAATGGAAAATAAGAGGTGGACCTGATTGCACAGTCAGGATGTTTTATAGATGTAGGAAAAAATGCAAATCTATAAATATGTAGGGTTAACTCTATAGATAAAGAGTTATAAAGGGTTAACTCAGAAGTCTTGGGAAGTTCAATCCCTATATATTACAAAGAAGGGATTGGCCTTTGCTGGCTCCTAGGAGATAACCTCAAATTTCATGACGGATGCTGCTGACAAGAGTGTCTTTGTATAACTGGGGACTTGGTGCACACCAGAGAGTTTATGCTAACAATGTGAATTATGGTGGGGTCTTGGGCCACACCATATCAGTTTGACCTCTAGAGGAGCTACAGACAGTAACTAAGTCAAGCATGTGGGTGCTCCATGCTTAAGTGACCAACCCCCAATTAAAACTCTGGACATCAAGTCTCTGGTGAGCTTCCCTAGTTGGCAATATCCTGTATGTTTTATTACACATTATTGCTGAGAGGATTAAGTGGTGTCTGAACAACTTCACTCAAAGAACAACTAGAAGCGTGTGCCTGATCTCTCCTGGACTCTGCCTTATGCACCTTCCACATTTGCTGATTTTAATCTGTGTCCTTTCATTTCAATAAGCCATAACCGTGAGTATAACAGTTTTTCTGAATTCTGTGAGTCCTTCTCAAAAATCGTTGAACTTAAGGGTGGCCTGGTGGACCACTGACACAATACCTCTTGGTGATTTATTAAGGGGAAATAAGGGAAATTAAGGGGAAATCTGAGAGCACCCAGGTTACATGAAGGTGGTAAATGGACTTGCAAAATAAATTTAGTAATTAGCATTTGTACTCATACTTTATAGTTTGTGACTTGTTCTCTTTTGAGCCCTCCAAGACTCTATGAATGAATCATTCTCATTTTTTAGAGATGAGCCTGTATTATTTATCACTGTACAAGAAATTTTATTATTTATTACTGTGTAAGAAATATTTTTTACTGTGTATTTTACAACTTCTGAGTGTCAGGAATCCCAGAGTGGCATAGCTGGATGGTTTTTGCTTAGGGTTGCTCATAAGGTTTTGATCACCTGGGACTGCATCATCATGTAAAGCATTGATTGGAATTTTATTCTTTGCTTCTGAGAAGACTCACTCCAATGGCTATTGGCTGGAGTCCTCATTTCCTTGATTGTTGTCTGAAAGTCTCAGTTTCTTGCCATATAGGCCTCTCCACAGGGTTGCCTGAGTATCTTCAAGACAAAGCAGCTGGCTTCCCCTAAAGTGAATAAGAGAGAAGGAATACATGCCTATAACAGAAGCTTGTCTTTATCACCTCATCTCACAAGTGTCATAACATCATTTCTGCCATGCACTATTGGTCACAAAGGTGAAACCTTGTCCAGTGAGGAAAGGGATGACCCAGGGGCTCATTAAGGGTTATCTTGGAGGCTGTCTACTAGAGGCACTAGAAATTTGGCTAACAGATATAAGATCACATGTGAGTAGCAGAGCCACAAATGAATTTCTTTTGATTCCAAATTCCTTGCAAGACCTCTCACAACTGACCCATGAAAATTACTTTTCGCTATAGGGAAAGAGAAGCAGATGACAAGGTCTAATCTAATCCTTACATCAAAACTACAAGTAAATATTATTATCCCATTTTATAGATCATAATAAAGAGATTCAGAAATGTTACACTGCTATAGTTATTCTGTAATAAAGTTGAGGAATAAAACCTAATTTGTAATGATCTCAGATGTATCCATATTCTATTACACTAAGTTGCCATTGTATTGTGCCTTAGGAGCAATAGATAAACTAAATCACCCATCTTACTTCTCCATTTCCCTCCTTTTTTTTTTTTTATCAAATTTGAGATGTTAATGATTATATTATTAAGAAAGATATAATGTTGCTTATTAAATTATGAGTTAATGCTTTAATGAATGTCCTACATGATTTATGAATCAGTCACACTAGCCTCTTCTTCCTTTGAAATTTCTTTTACCTACTGTGAGGAACTTGTCAATTTCTCTTGCCTTCAGTTACATTGCTTTGAGTCTAATAAGCAATCCTTTTCACATAGCCCAGTAACAAAACATAATCAAGCTTCACTATTTACTTGGCACTATTTTCTTTCTTAAACCTTTGGCCTTCGCTTTGAAAAAAAAAGGAGGAGGAGGAGAAGGAGGACGAGGATGAGGAGCAGGAAGAGGAGGAGGAGGGGGGAGAGGAGGAGGAGGAGGAGGAAGAATAATAATTTTAATTATCCCTCCAGCAATAAATACTTGCTTTGCTAAGAGCAAATTTATGCCCTGCTTTACTGTTTCTATTCCTTTTTGCTTACACACCAACTTTTCATTCAATAGCTAATTAGATTTTTTTCTTTCTTCTTCTTTTCTTTTCTCTGTTTTTTGTTTTTATTTTGAGGTAGGGTCTCACTCTGTTGCCCAGGCTGGAGTGCAGTGGTGAGACCATGACTCACTGCAGGCTTGATGCAGACTTGACCTTCCAGGCTCAAACCATCCTCCCACCTCAGCCTCCTAAGTAACTGGAACTACAAGCACTTGCCAGCACGCTGGGCTAATTTCTATATTTTTAGTAAAGATGTGTTTCACCATGTTGCTCAGGCTTCTCTTGAACTCCTGGGCTCAAGCAATCCACCTGTCATAGCCTCCCAAAGGCCAATTTGATTTTACCTGCATAATAGGTACAATGTACATATCAGTAAGTTAATGGAAGCAATGACAAATAAGTACAGTTATGACCAAATGGTGGACACCCAGCTGGCTGGGAATGATTGTAAAATGTCATTGGTGCTATGACAAATGCTGATTCCCAATTTGTTAAAATATCTAACTGTCTTGGAATCAATGAAATTCTATCATTGTCCAAGTTTTACTCCAACAGTGGTTGTCTGGACACACTCTAGTAAAATTTCAAGGTGAGAATCAATCTAGCTAAAATCAAGTCAGGCTTCTTTTACCTTACTTACAGCCTCAAGCAACTTTTATGTCAAATTATGTTTGGGATCACTCAAGAATAAGTGAGAAATCAATCCAAAATACTAAGCCTGATGTCCAAAAATGAGTTAGTCATGCATCCACATAGCTTATATTAATATGCAGTAGATCTCAACTGACAGAGGCTGACAAGCCTTATTAGGGTAAACTGTAAAACAGAAACAGTTGTCTTTGAAAAACAAGGACCTATGAATCTTCTTGGACCAGCAAGTTCAGGGAAAGTGAGTAAACTCCCAGAAAAAGATCAGGAATGGGTTCTGAGATTTAATGAAGTGAGATGGGTGGAGTGGCAAACATCATGTGTGGTTATATCACCCTAGCATAGTCACAAACATTTAGGAGACCTCTTTCATTTATTCTACAAGCAGTTGTTTGCTGTTCAGCTACAAATATTTTAGACACAATATAGTTTTCTATTTGCTGCCATAATTAACTATAAGCTAAGTGGCTTAAAACAACACTAATGTGTTATCTTATAATTTCTAGAAATCAAGATTCTGACACAAATCTCACTGGCTCAAAATCAAGGTGTTTTGCAGGGTTGTTTCTTTCGGGTAGCTCTAGGGATGAATGATTTCCTTGCCTTTTCCAGCTCCTAGAGGTCCTACTCTTCTTCAATCAGAGCTTCCTCTCTCCATCTTCAAAGCCAGCAACGTTGCATTCATCTATGCCTTTTTTTCTGTAGCTACATTTTCCTCTGGCCTCCTCTTCTGCTTCCCTCTTCCACTTTTAAGGACTCTTGGAATTACACTGGGCTTACCCATACAATCCAGGTCCTATTTCAAGGTAATCTGATTAGCAACCTTAATTCCATCTGCAACCATTAACTCCCTTGTGCTATGTAGCCTAATATATTTACAGGTTCTGGGATTTGAATATTGGCATCTTTAGGGTGAGGGGCATTATTCTGCCTAACATGCTACTTTTGCTCTTGAGATGGCTTGTTATGTGATTTACAAAATAACCATAAAATTTGAAAATTTATCTTGGAGTGCTAGAGACTTTAGGCTCACTCATTTCACAAAGAGTATTTTTTCATTACTTACCACAGATTTGATGAAAGACCACCAGATTGAGTTTTAAAATGGAGATTATACTCTCTTTCCTGCTATTGCCTTTCTGGGGCAAATCACATTACCTTTCTGAATCATACTTTCTCACCCCTAACATGAGGGTAATTTTATATTTCTATATAGGAATGATGACATAAGCAAATATACACTAAAATATTGTCATTGCTACATAAATATAAGGCAATTTATCTATTAGTAATAATCTTGATAATAAAAATTAAAGTGTTCCCAATTTAACTACCAGTTTCTTATGTCAGAGCTTCAAGGTATTAAATGTTCTAGAAGTTAAAGGCCCATACAAAAATGTTTCCTGTGTTTTTGACATGGTTTGGCTGTGTCCCCACCCAAATCTCATCTCGAATTGTAGTTCTTATAATCTTCATATGTCCCTGGCGGGACAGAATGGGAGGTAATTTAATCATGGGGGCAGTTACCCTCATGTGGTTCTCGTGAGAGTGAGTGAGTTCTCATGAGATCTGATGGCTTTATAAAAGGCTTCCCACCGTTTTGTTGGGCACTTCTCCTTGCTGCTGCCAAGTGAAAAAGGACATATTTGCTTTCCCTTCTGCTATGACTGTAAGTTTCCTGAGGCCTCTCCAGCCATGCAGAACTGTGAGTCAATTAAACCTGTTTCCTTTATAAATTACACAGTCTTGGGTATGTCTTCATTAGCAGCAGGAGAACAGACTAATACAGTAAATTGGTACCAAGAGTGGGATGCTGTTTTAAGGATACCCAAAAATGTGGAAGTGACTTTGGAGCTGGGTGACAGGCAGAGGTTGAAACAGTTTAGAGGGCTCAGCAGAAGACCAGAAAATGTGGGAAATTTTGGAACTTCCTAGAGACTTGGTAGGCTCAGAAAACAGGAAGATGTGGGAAAACTTGGAACTTCCCAGAGATTTGTTGAATGGCTTTGACCAAAATGCTGACAGTGATATGGACAATAAAGTCCAGGCTGAGGTGGTCTCAGATGGAAATGAGGAACTTGTTGGTAACTGGAATAAAGGTGACTCTTGCTATGCTTTAGCAAAGAGACTGGTGTCATTTGCTCCTTCCCTAGAGATCTGTGGAACTTTGAACTTGAGAAAGATAATTTAGGGTATCTGGCAGAAGAAATTTCTAAGTGACAAAGCATTCAAGAGGAAGCAGAGCATAAAAGTTTGAAAAAATTGCAGCCCGATAATGAAATAGAAAAGAAAATCACATTTTCTGGGGAAAAATTCAAGCCAATTGCAGAAATTTGCATAAGTAATGAGGAGCTGAATGTTAACCACCAAGACAATGGAGAAAATGTCTCCAGGGCATGTCAGGGAGCTTCCTGGCAGCCCATCCTATCACAGGCCCAGATGCCTAAGAGGAAAGAATGGTTTCCTGGGTTGGGCCTAGGACCCTACCTGCTATGCACCCTGGGTACATGGTACCCTGAGTTTAAGCTGCTTCAGCTCTGGTTGTGGTTAAAAGGGGCTGCCACTGTGCCAAGCTGATTTTTAAATTTTAAGTTTTTTTGTAGAGACAGGGTCTCTCTATATTGCCCAGGCTGGTCTCTACCTCCTAGCAATCCTCTCACCTTAGCCTGCCAAAGTGCTGGGATTATAGGCATGAGCCACTATGTCAAGCCATGTTTTATTTTTAAACAATTTATTTTTGTTTAATTTTGAAATACATAGTTTAATACATAATTTTAAATAACATTTTAAAATAAATGTATTTTATTTAAAACCATTTATTTTAAACAATTACTACATTAATAAAATAATAATTAAGTGATCATTTTTCTTTCACACCATCTTCCTAAGCTTTATTCACTTCCTTTCTGAAATGCCTCTCAGTCAGGCTTTCTACTCACCAGGCCTATGGAGATAAACTCAAGCTGATGTCCTGCCATTGTTTGGTATCTTTGTACTCCTTGTGGACAGGGGTAGAAGAGCTTAGAGTCAGTGACAGTTAACTTCCTTCTTCTACAGCAAAACTATGAGCATTATATTTATAGAAATCTCTGGTTGGCAAAATGCTTAATGTTTTTTCCTCAGAAAATAATAATACAGTTTTTCAATTATTCAGCCAGTGGAAAGGACACAGTCTGCCTATTCAAAATTTTCATTTTCCCTCCAGTGACTAAGTTTTTAGTCTAATCTTTGTTAATTATTACTGATTACTACTTATATCTGTTTGTTTGTTTGTTTGTTTGTTTGTTTGAGTCAGAGTCTCACTCTGTTCCCCAGGCTGGAGGCTGGAGTACAGTGGTTTGATCATGGTTCACTACAGCCTCGACCTCCTGGGTTCAAGCAATCCTCTCTCCTCAGCTTCCCAAGTAGCTGGGACCACAGGCATGTGCTACCACACCCAGCTATTTTTTATATTTTTTTGTAAAGAAATGGGGTTAGATAAGGGGTTTCGCCATTGTGCCCAGGCTGGTCTCAAACTCCTGAGCTCAAACAATCTGCCCACCTCAGCCTATCAAAGTGCTGTGATTACAGGCTTGGCCCACCACACCTGGCCTCAGATTTTAAGGACATATCTTTATCTTCTCTTTTAAGATCTTTTCTTTAATCAAGAAAAGCATGCAAATGCTCTTAGACTAAACTAGATATTAATTTTACAATTTATGGAAAATTACTAAGAATACAGTCTCCTTTTAGAACTCTTTTTTAAAATGTGAGTTTTATCTCTAAAATCTCCTTCTGTAAGTCTAGGGTGTATATCTGTTCTGAGTGAAATCATATAGTGACTATAATTTAAATTAATTCCAGTAAACAAGAAAAAAAGATTACTATATATTGAAATCAGCAAATCTAGCTCTCTCCTACAGCCCCTCCCTCCAGAATAACTCACTTTTCAGCATTATAATTCTGGGTGTGATGTTCTCATTTCACTGTTACCTCTTATAGCATTGGGCTCCAGGGATGCAGAAAAACATTTTCCCAAATGATTTTCAAACTCAATCCATCCTTCAGTAATTACATTTGTAGATAATGGGAAAGAAACCATTAATGCAGAGTGCTTTTAAATCATAATTAATTGCACATGCAAATTCACTGCTAAATTTGGATGCTCAATTAGACAGTTAATTACATTGAAAATGAAAGTGTGCCCTTAAATTGACGGCCATGGGCCCTGGCCCACCTGTGTGCATCCTCTCACTTAAACAAGCAATATTCTCATTTCTTGATGCAATTGTAAATAAGGAAAGAAAAAGAAGTACCACCTGCAGAGAGTGGAAGATGTGGCCAATCATAACTGTCACAAAATTTACATCTCTAATATGGATGGTCTATTTTAAACAAGATCCTCTGAAAATGAGGCACCCTGGGGATTCCAGGAGTTTTAGCTCCTTCTAAAAACACTTAACTTATGGAGGAAATGCTGTGTTTATACAATTGTTCATTTTTTGAACACCGTATTAGTCTGTTCTCATGCTTCTAATAAAGACATACCCAAGACTGGGTAATTTATAAAGGAAACGGGTTTAATTGACTCACAGTTCCACATGGCTGGGGTGGCCTCAGGAAACTTACAATCATGCCAGAAGGGGAAGCAAACATATCCTTCTTCACATGGCGGCAGCAAGGAGAAGTATCAAAAGGGGAAAAAGAGACTTATAAAACCATTAGATCTCGTGAGAACTCACTCACTATCACAAGATCAGCTTGAGGTTAACCACCCCTATAGTTAAATTACTTCTCACCTGGGCTCTCCCAGGACATGTGAGGATTATGGGAACCACAGTTCAAGATGAGATTTGGGTGGGGACACAACCAAACCATATCATTCTGCCTCTGGCCCCTCCCAAATCTTATGTCCTCACATTTCAAAACACAATCATACTCTTTCAACAGTCACCCAAAGTCTTAACTCACTCATTCAAGCACTAATTCAAAAATTCAAGTCCAAAGTGTCATCTGAGACAAGGCAAGTTTCTTCCACCTATGAGCCTGTAAAACCAAAAGCAAGTTTTTTACCTCCTAGATAGAATGCGGGTACAGGCATTGGGTAAATACACCCATTCCAAATGGGAGAAATTGGCCAAAACAAAGGGGTTATAAGCCCCATGCAAGTCTGAAATCCAATAGGGCAGTCATTAAACCTTAAAGTTCCAAAATGATCTCCTTTGACTCCATGTCTCACATCCAGGTCACGCTGATGCAAAAGGTAGGCTCCCACAGCCTTGGGCAGCTCCACCGCTGTGGCTTTACAGCCACTTCTGGCTGCTTTCATGGACTGGTATTGAGTGTCTGCAGCTTTTCCAGGTGCATGGTGCAAGCTGTTGGTTCTGAGGTCTGGAGGACAGTGGCCCTCTTCTCATAGCTCCACTAGACAGTGCCCCAGTGGGGACTCTGTGTGGGGACACTGACCCCGCATTCCCTTCTGCACTGCCCTAGCAGAGGTTCTCCATGAGGGCTCTGCCCCTGCAGCAGACTTCTGCTTGAACATACAGGCATTCCCAAACATCCTCTGAAATCTATACAGAGATTCCCAAACCTCAACTCTTGACTTCTGCCCACCAGCAGGCCCAAGACCACATGGAAGCCACCAAGCCTTGGGGCTTGCACCTTTTGAAGCAATGGCCTGAGCTGTACCTTGTGGGCCTGCAATCCCAGCTACTTGGGAGTCTGAGGGAGGAGGATAAATAGAGCCCAGGAGTCTGAGGCTGCATGAGCTATGCTTCCACCACTGAACTCCAGCCTGGGTGACACAGCAAGACCTTGTCTCTCTAAAAAAGTATAAAATAAAACATATGTGTGTGTGGTGTGTGTGTGTGTATGCTCAACATATACATTTTTAAAAGAATGAAAACCAAACAGAGCAATTTAAAACCATAGGTGAAAGTTTTCTCTCCCCCTCAGACTCCTGGTTCTTCTCTCCAAAGGTGATTACAGTTAGCATCTTTCATGTATTTATGCAGACAAAAAATACATGTACTACAGCTTAAAATCATAGACAAATTTTTATATCATATTACAACCAGTCTCTATTTTGAGCCTCAATTTTTTTCCAACATTAAAATAGCTTGGTTTTCCTTGCATATCAAGACATCTAGATATACCTCACTCTTTCTGAATGGTTGCTCTGAATACTATTGAACAGATATATTTGAGTATTCTCTTAATGATGAACATCTGGATTTTTCTAGTTTTCTATTTTATATACAATAATGTTAATAACATTTATATAATTAAATTGCATGCTTTGGTGTAAATATATAGAGAATAAAGTTTTAAACACGAAGTTGCTAGGCCAGTCGCAGTGGCTCACGCCAGTAATTCTAGCACTTTTAGAGGCTGAGGCATGTAGATCACTTGAGGCCAGGAGATGGAGACCAGCCTAGCCAACATGGTGAAACCCCGTCTCTACTAAAAATACAAAAATTAGCTGGGCAAGTGCCGTGTGCCTGCAATAAGTTGCTGAGTCATATGATACATGCATATGTCCATTTTAAATTTTAATAGGCGTTACCAAATGCACTTAAGAACACACCAGACCAGGCACAGTGGCTCACACCTGTAATCCCAACACTTTGGGAGGCCAAAGCGGGTGAATCACAATGTCAGGAGTTCGAGACCAGCCTGGCCAGCATGGTGAAACCTCGTCTCTACTAAAAATACAAAAAATTATCCTGACATGTGGCACATGCCTGCAGTTCCATCTACTTGGGAGGCTGAGGCAGGATAATTGCTTGAACCCAGCAGGCAGAGGTTGCAATGAGCTGAGGTCACATGCCACTGTATTCCAGCCTGGGCAACAGAGCCACTCCGTCTCAAAAAAAAAGAAAGAACACACCAATATTCATAATCACCAACAGTGTATGAAAATGATAAATTTTTCCAACACTTTTAATAATCTATTACCAATATTTTAAAACTTTCCCCAAGCTAATGAAAAAATATATTGTTTTAATTTTCATAATTACTCTTGACGTTGCATATTTTTTACCTGCTTATTTTGGCAGTTTGGCATCCTTTGTTGTGAATGGCTCATTTGTACTCTTTTTAAATTTTTCTTCCTTTAAAAATAACTTTGAAAATTGATTCATAATTACTTATATTCTGGAATATAATCTGTTGTCAGTTCTATATGCAACAAATGTTTTCCATTCTCTATTTTCCCCCAGTGCTGCTTGCTGATGTCTTGTGCTCCGGGGTGCTGAGATATCCTCACTTTGTGCTACTCATTGTACTTAAAAAATATTTGGAGAAATTATTTGAAAAAATTATTTGAGGTCTAGGAAAAGGAGACTTTATACAAAGAGGATTTACATGTGTGTTACAATGTGACGCAAAGGTGCTACTAGCTCAAGACAATCTCAAACCAAGTTCACGGCTTACGTTTCCCATACGCCACAGAATGTGACCATTGGCTACTGTTGCTGTGTGCGTGTGTGTGTGTGTGTGTGTTTGTGTGTGTGTGTATAACAATTTATGGTGAAGAAAGTCTCCACTATCATGTACATTACACCCCTTATCTTGTTCAAACCTTCAGCTTTGTCATTTGTTTCACCTTCCTTATCCTGCACAGATCTGAAAACAAAGTTCCTCTTTCTGGAATGTCAAAAGTTCTTAAGGCTAAATGACAGCTGAGTTCTACTTCTTTCTCTAGAATCCCTGCTTTGTTTTTCCTTCCACTCTGTCCTGGTAATTGCTTACTTTGTTGTCAAGTACTTGATACTTTTCAAGAAGATTGTTAAAATAATGTATTCAGCATTTTTTAATTGTAAGCAGTGTTAAGATTTGTTTGAATAACTTAATTTTTATGACCTTACCTGAAAGTCCTCTGCTTTTATCTTTATTATGCCTACTCTTCTATTCAGAAGAATATGGTGAATTTTCTGCTCTTTTTCAAGTTTCCTAAAATTAAAGTAAAATCGAATTATTCTCAGTTTTGTGTTTTTTGTTTTTTTTTCCTAGTGAATGTTTTATGTGTATGATTTTTTCTCTGAAAACTGCTTTGGCTGCAACCACTGGTTTTGATACGTAGTTAATTTTAAATAGCAATTTAGTAATAGTAATTTCTTTTTAACCTAAGAATTATTAAATAGATTTCCTTTTTAAGATGTCATTGTTTATATTTTTATGGCCACTTCCATCTTACTAATTTTTTATTTATATTATTTTGTGTTACTAATTATAAACTAAGTAATTTATGTCTTTTGGAAGTATAAATATTCACTTTTTGGCTTAATACTTAATTTTTGTAACTGACACTTAAAAGGATTGTGTATATTTAAAAGGTTTCCTTTTTCCGGGGTTGGAGGTGAGTTTATGTTTCTCTGTATTTGTTTATTCTGTAGACATTTATTTAGTGCTATTATATGCTAAGCTCTGCCCTAGACTGTAAGGAAAGAATAATCAATAAAACTGCTAATATCTCTGCCCTCAATATAATTGACATTCTAATGGAGGAGACTACCAATAAATAAATAAACAAAACGTATTTTTAGTAATAATATCTATGAAGAAAAATAAGGCAGTGTGAGGAAATGGAGACTAACAGTGGTGCTAGTCTTACTAGGGTAGCCAGGAAAAGTTTCCTTCACACCAGATATTGACAAGAGCCCTGAAGGCAATTAGAGAAGGTGCCTGTGGAAATCTTGGAGAAGAACATTCTGGAATGAAGGAACAGCAAGTTTTTAGATACAGCTCATTAGTTATGTTATTCCAGTATTCTATTTCTTTACTCATTTTTTTTTACTGTTTTCAATTTCTCAGGAAGAGATTTGAAGATGTTCTTAAGATGGCTACTATAGCCAGATTTTGTTAATATCACAAATGTTTCAAAACAAAAATAAATTGAAAATCTAGCTATAAAATAAATGTGTAAATATTCTGCTGGTCCTCAAAGTGTTTACCTCAAATAAGTAAATGGGCCTGGGTGGGTGTTGACTTCTGGTATTAATGCAATTCTCTTCAGCATAAAGCTCTTCTAATTCTAGTCAACAGTTAAATCATTTTCCAAGTACCCCAAAGTGAAATCAACTGGTCGACAAAACCAGACACACAGTCTCCCAAGGATGCTTCTCATTTAAGGGAAAGACAAAATTAAGGAACCATACCACCCACACAACTGGGGGAAAAGCCCCAAATAGCTACCCCAAAAATAGACCTAGCCCACAATTCTTAAGTATAATAGGATAACCAAGGATAACCAGGCATACGAGGAAAACAGAGTCATAAATCAGAAGACCAAGATATACAAAAAGAAGAAACAAGCCTTAGGTAACACAGGAAAGGCAAAAGAACTTAAATCCTCTAATTATTATCCTCAGAGAAATCTGTGGAGATATAACAAAGTACATAAAAGTAAAAAATACAATTACTGGCTGGGCGTGGTGGCTTATGCCTGTAATCCCAGCACTTTGGGAGGCTGAGGCAGGCAGATTACTTGAGGTCAGGAGTTTGAGACCAGCCTGATCAACATGGTGAAACTCTGTCTCTACTAAAAATACAAAAATTAGCCGGGCGTGGTGGCTCATGCCTGTAATCCCAGCTACTTGGGGGCTGATACATGAGAATAACTTGAATGCAGGAGTCAGAGATTGCAGTGAGCCGAGATCTTGCCACCGTACTTCAGCCTGGGCAACAGAGGAGGGTCTGTCTCAGAAAAATGCAATTGCTAAAATTCAAATGTTAATAGAAGAGCTAGAAAACACTAGATTAGCTAGAAAAAGTCAGACATTCGGGAGAATTAGAGGGAAAAGTTCAATACACAATATTATATGTATGAAAAAGAACATTAGAGACAGTGAACATGTTGCACCAATATCCAACTAATAAATATTCCAGAAGAAAAAACAGAAAAAAATAGAGAAAATAAATATATCAAACTGAAGAAAATTTCCTTAGATAAACACATTTATTTAAAGATGCTATACAGCCTCATATACTATGCTAAAGAATTTGGAATTAATTATATAGAATTATAGACAGTAGAATCTATAGTCTATAGACTATAATATATATAAAAAATGAAAAGTTTTAAGCATGTAACATAATCAATATTTCTTAGGAAAAGATTTCCTATTGTCAATGTGGATTATGGACAGGTTTTAAAAAGTAGGTAAATGTTTTGGGAGTTTTTTTTTAACCAGTTTCCTTCATATATATTCTCTTTTTACAACAACTATATAGAGCATAGGTGTTATTATTTCCATTTGACAGTTTAGATCTGGAGAGATGCTGTAGCCCATATATTGCAGATCCAAAACTAAAGCTCAGTTTTTCTGATTCCAGTATTGTGTTCTCTTCCCTCTCAAGTATTCTTTGTCTCTGTTGACATTTCATATCCATATATGGCACCATTTCTGTAATAATACTTCATCTTAAGTCAAGTAGAAAATTTATCTTTGATAAATCTAAGGATATGTCAGAGACTCGCTTGCTGTTCAATTAAACTGTTTTCTCTTATTCCTGGGAACACAGCTAGATGACATTTTCTAGATCCCTTGCAGTTAAATGTTGCTATGAAGTGATTTCTAGCCAGGAGAATGTGAAAGGAAATTGTGTACATTTCTTCTAAGCTTGGCACCTAAAAACCTCTTGTGCTCCTTCCCCTTCTGCCATCTTGAAGCATCCAGGGAACACCTTGCAAGCCAAATGCTAAAGATAGTAAAGCAGTAAGACAGAAGGAGGCTGACTGAGTCATCCCTGGGAGGGGGGTCACCTCAAAATTCAACTACCTCTTATAGGTTTCACATGAGAAATAACTCTCACTTGGGGGAAATTACAATTATGCTTATTATAATTATATGCATAAATGTTGGCTAACTAAAACAAAAAGAAATCTGGAATCCATATGTCAAGATATTTAATCCTTCCATTGTCGAACAAGTGCCTAGAGTAAAAAAGTCCAATATTTTCCAAAATCTATAGTGAATCACAAATATACCTCTATTAGTTCACTGTAGTTCATTATCTTATCTTGCCTACATTGATCAAAACTTTAATTTTCGAAAACAAATGAAGTATAAACCTGCAAATTGAAAAAAATCCATACCTTAATAAAGTTTCATTTTGATTTTCTTTTGGATGTTCTTTCATTTCCTATTTAGTCCTCAGGGCCTCTTAGAATATTGCCAAGTTGGAATCATTAATTGTAAGTAGCCATTTGGAATTGCTTAATCAATGCTGACTTACAACCGAATGCAGAGAAAAGCCTCATTATCACAGCTACTTTCTGAATGAATTCCTAAGTATGTATATCTCAGTGTTGCATGTAGTTTTCTTTTTTATTTTTCTAGATAATCTCAATTAAACTGATTAGAGGTAGATCTATGTACGTAAAGTATACAGATACATTTTCTTTTCAGGAGTAGAGGATTTATTTCTAACGAAATATTTACCCTCAATGTATCCAACCTCTTCACAATCTCTTTAGAGCTTCATCTAGCCCTGGAAGTGAAGTCTGCAAGAGCACAAATGTGCCAGTATCATGGTGTTATGATTTTAGACAACTACATATTTTTTTAAAACTTAAAATAATTTGGTAATGAAAAGATCTAGAAAATTTTCTATCCAAGCAACAGTGGAGAAAATGTATGTGTGGTTTCATCATGGCCTCTATGTATTGCCAGGGTTATTGCCTCTGTTAAACAGAGTTATGTGTAGATGTTAACAGCACTGTTTTAGTTCAGTTAGGCTCCCCTAGGAATGTCGCAGTGGCTCACGCCTGTAATCCCAGCACTTTGGGAGGCTGAGGCGGGTGGATCAACTGAGGTCAGGAGTTCGAGACCAGCCTGACCAACATGGAGAAACCCCATCTCTACTAAAAAATACAAAATAAACCGGGAGTGGTGGCACATGCCTGTAATCCAAGCTACTTGGGAGGCTGAGGCAAGAGAATCACTTGAACCCGGGAGGCAGAGGTTGCGGTGAGCCGAGATCACACCATTGCACTCCAGCCTGGGCCACAAGAACGAAACTCTGTCTCAAAAAAAAAGAAAAGAAAAGAATACTGCATTTTATTTCAGTCAGTAATGATTTCCTTTACAAAAATAAAAACATGTATTTAATACTGTTTAAATAATAATTATATATTTAATATAATTATTTTATATTATAAATTTTATATTAATATAATATAATATAATATAATTAATATTATAAAATAATAATATATTTAATACTGATTAAATAATATGTTAAAACAAACATGATTATTAGGATGTGCTTATTTGATAATTAGAGAGCTCATTTATTTAACTTATGCCCCTGTGCTTTAGAAAAATCACAGCCCCTATATCTTTTAGTGTGTTATCAAAAGTTTTAAAAGCATGTGTATCCTTACACCTTTCTTTGTTACTTCAGAGCAGTCCCAGGATCAAATTCCTTTCAGGTAGTGTCTTTATACTTTTTCATTGAATTACATTCATGAGTGACACAAATAAACTAAACTACTCTGTAGATATTAATAGTTGCTTTAAAAAGTAGCGTGCATGACCCAAACAAAGGTTAAAGGCTGTATTCAGCTGATAAGCATCCGGCAGCCCCGGAAGACAGGTACTTCTCTGAAAGGAGGCAGGTTGGAGTTTTAGAAGATGAGGAGAGTTTTGGCTCAAATGGCAGTTTTCATCTTTGACTGCTGTGAAACTCGCAGTTGGAGGTTTTTTCTGGGATTTTTTTGTGCCTCTCACTCAGTATTGTTAGTGCAATTCCATCCCCATCCCTGTCATAACAGTACTTACCGAGAATGGCTCTTGCAAGCCCTGTGGTTTGTTGGTTAAGCAAAATGTGTGTGTCTGTGTGTGGGGGTGGGGGGAGGGGGACGCGTATGAAGGTAGCAAATAAACAAAACAAAACAAAACATAAAAACAAGAAAAAAAGAGAAAATTAAAAACAAAAGGAGACAAGGGGAAAATTGAAAATATTCTATTATATCTATTTCAGTCCTTTTAGATAGTGTGCAAAAGAAATATGCCTCCTATTCCATATGCTTTTTCATTCATACTTTCCCTTCTGTTTTGATCCACATCAAGAAGAAAAACATCCTTACCATGTAACATGTCTACATTTTTACACGTGAAAAACCACAGTGACTTCCTATTTAGAGTAGCACAATTTTCTATTTTATTCTTCCTGTAAACAAACCACCTTTTTGTTTGCTTTTTAAGTTTCTTTTCTGCCTCATACGTGGAGTTACTGCTCCAGTTTGCATTTCATGCTTGTTTACACATTCAATTCTTCCCTTACCAACATTGCTAGCACCTTGAAACTTTTTCGTAATCTCCCTTTTGACCCAGAAGACTTTCTTAAAGATTCTGGAATTAGAAAATCTTGGTAATATTTAGAGCATGACTTTTAAATGCTCATTTAAAAAGCATACATTTTTAAACAGAAAACATTGCATTCCCTATACATAGTAATAACTGAAAAATCTACATTGGTAATAATAGGGCTATTAGTGTTAGAGTGGTAGTCCTTTCAAGTTTTGAGCCATGATTCGGTTCTGTACATTTGGATTTTTTTTTTTAACATAACATACTTTGCATAAAAATGAAACAGTCACAGCCTTATAGGAGTTCAAATATACAAATGCTGTCTTGAAACTACTGGTTAGTTTATTATCTCTCCTTATTTCATTGCCCTTCCCAGAAAAATATGACTTACATACATGGAAACAAATGTGAATGAAACTCAGTAAGTCTAAATATTATTCCTCTTCTTAGAATTTACAATTTATTGGAATTTTCTGTGCTTTTTAAAAACAAAAATTTGTGACAAAAGATGATCTGGTAATTTTCAAGTTTCTTATAGCAACTTAATAACCTTAATAACTTGAGATGCACAAGTTATTAAAGGTTGATTCATTATTAGTTTATAGTACAAACTATTAAAGTATCTTATAATATTAATTTAGACATAAGGCATTTTATTCTACACTTCAGGACAGGCATGTCTGACCATCAAGCAGATGGACCTAGCACTTTGCTAAAGTCCAGTAACTATTAGATGAATCTGTTTGCTCTCTTGATGGCTTAACCTGCCCAAGAAAGCTGTTAAATATGTATTAGGTTAAATATGTATTAGGCAAAAAAACCACACTTACTTTTGCACCAAGCTAATGTATTTTACTTCCTTAAAGTCATTCACAAGAGACTAACCATTTATATGTCCTACATCAAGAGGGTGTCGTGGCATTTACCTGCCTGAAGTTGAGAGAGAAGCATACTTTTGGTAACTGGATAGTAACCTCACAAGCATAAAATAAAACTACTTGTTAGGTCAGCAATATGCATCAGACTCAGGCCAGGAAAGTCTATTATCTGCAGAGTTTTTTCTTTTTCTCTTTCTTCCATTATTTACAGCGTGAACTTCTTGTGCTGCCATCCATTGAATTTTCATAAACAGAACTGAACTATGCTGTTATTCCATCAAGGACTGGTGTGGATGATCTGAAAAATGCAAGTGGTTGATGCATGTGTAGAATGGAGGGTATATGTTCTCAGGGAAAATGAAACTGTCTGCTGTCAGTTCATTCCTAAGTACTCGTGATAATTAAATAGCGTTTTGTGACCATTTCAGTTTTAGCCAACGTTTTCCACTCTTCAACTTAGATTTGCACATTCTTTCTACTTAAATATGTTCCTGAGCCCCAGTTGTTTGGTGTCCTGTTATTTTGAATTATGATACTGAACAGTGAATAAAGAAGGAAGAATTTTCTATTTCATTAGAGGGCACTGATTATATGACAACTGACATAAAAATAAACTACTTCTCAATACTTCAGAACTAGAACATAGTAAATAATGCCATCAATGTGTTTTATGTATAGTCCTTCAAAGATGGGGATTTCTACTAGAAGCCTTAAAGGGTTGAAGTTTATCTTGGTTTTAGTGAGAAACTGAATTTTTAGATTATCAGCTTGGAAATGTTCTAAAGGCCTCAATGATTTGCTGAGCATCATCAAATGAAAGAAGGACACCTTAATGGTCTCCAACCACTCAGGAAGGAAGCACAGACAAAAGGACTGATAGACAAAAGGAAAGAAGGGAGGGAGGGAGGGAGGGAAGGAGGAAGAAAGGAAAGAAGGAAGGAAGGAAAGAAAGAAGGAAGGAAAGAAGGAAGGAAGGGAGGGAAGGAGGGAGGGAGGGAGGGAGGGAGGAAGAGAGGGAGGGAGGGAAGGAGTGAAAGAAAAAGGGAAGAGGACAGGTGGAAAGCAGGGGAAGGAGGGTATATACGGTCAAGACAGCTCCATTCTCTAACTCATGGTTTTAATATTGAGCTTGCATAAATTCTCAGAGAATAAGCTTCTATAAGTTTACATCTTAAAGGACAAAACTTTTTTCTCTCTCCTCTGCTTTCTCAAGTTGGAATAGGGTAGGTCATCCTGCAACTGCTCAAATCCAGTCCCAGGGAATATGAAGACACTCGTTTCAGTTGTCCCTAAGGTGAAGACAGAACTTCTGGAATCTAAAAACCATCCCAGTTCCAAAGAATTTGCTCTCTGTTCTTGTACTTCTTCCCTTATTCTTCAGGTTAGTTTAGTGATTGAGAGAGCCAAAAAGACCTCATCCACATCAGGTTGACTCCTGTAAGATTCAGATGGGAAGATGAGATCAATTCATTCCATTCATTTGCATGAAATTTAATTCATTTTGAATCTCTCTGGGGGATGGGAGATGGCTAAAATATGGAAGTAAACAAGATTATCATTCGGAGAAAGAAAATGTGTACTGAACATAATTAGTAAGAGTGGTCAAAGGAAACAACATTAACCTGCGGAGCTCATATGGGCTTTTGGGGGTCAATGAGGAGGGAGTTTATTGAAAATTTTTGTGAAATAAAATTGCCCTTCCAAAATTTCATTATATTTGAAAGTTAACAGCCTAAAACTGTTGCACATTTCAAGCTGTTTGGTGAGTCTGGAAGCTTTGTGATTCAGATTAATCCCGTGGTGGCTGCCTCCACCCCCATTGTTTTCTTTATTAGGAAGCAAAGATTCCCATATGTTTCCGTGTAAGACAGAATGACTCAGCCATTTTATATTTAATGCACCCTTGGATAGCTGCTTTAGATTTTATATGCCAGTACAAGAGCACAGAAATTGACTGTGACACCGTCTGTTGATGAAATAAAGAGAATGGCCCTGGAGACAAGAGAGCTTTATGTTCTGGTTGAAAAATGCAGAAAACACGAATTTGATCAATGCTGTTATTTGCCAATATCTCTAAAATGGACTCTTTGTTCCAGAATTAAGTTTAATCAAATAATAAAAGTGTTGAGATTGCCTTGATCAATATGGAGGTCATGTGCAAGGTGCTTATCCCCTAATACTCCTCAGGAACCAGTAGTATATTTACAAGAATTCGTGGTGGGCACTGAAAGAAAGAACTATGTGAGAGGACTTCCATTTATCTCAAGATGAGGTCTGCCGACATTACTTACTACCACATTCTTTTCTCTACAAACTACACCTTCAATACATGTAGAAGAACCTTGCTTGAGGTATATAGCTTGTAGGGATCTTCAAACATCAACCCAGAAAGTTGGAATAAGAAAAATATACTTACCTCTGTTTCAGTCAATAATTTTCTTTTTTTTTATTATTTTCTTTTTTTTTTTTTATTTTTGAGACGGAGTCTCACTCTGTCATCCAGGCTGGAATGCAGTGGCGCGATCTCTGCACACTCTCATGCTCCGCCTCCCGGGTTCACGCCATTCTCTTGCTTCAGCCTCCCGAGTAGCTGGGACTACAGGAGCCCGCCACCACACCCGGCTAATTTTTTTTTTTTTTTTTTGTATTTTTATTAGAGACGGGGTTTCACTGTGTTAGCCAGGATGGTCTCGATCTCCTGACCTCGTGATCCGCCCGCCTCAGCCTCCCAAAGTGCTGGGATTACAGGCGTGAGCCACCACGCCCGGCCCATTCAATAATTTTTTGTTCACTTTATCAGGAGTTTTACCACAATTCATCCAGTCAAAAGACTTGATCCTTGCCAAAAACCTAAATAACACTTTACATTCTTATCTTTAAAAATCCATGGTCACCAAGTCCCATAGATTCTACCCCCTTGGTATTTCTTAGTTCTGCCTCTTCCTGCACTAAGTTCTTAATTTATTCCCAATAGCTCTGCCTGCATTATAGCAATAGATTCATAATTAATCATCTGTACCCAGTGCCCCTCCCTCTTACCTATAAAACCATTGTCCAAAAGGTTGTCAATGTAAAAAATTGCACTGGACAAAGCAAAATACACTTTTTACTTTAATAAATTCTATTTACTGAAGGCTGTGTAAGACTAATCAGACTATCATTTATTCAAGACAATTGCAAGAGGGAAAAGAGACTAAACTCAAATCCACGGAAACAAAAGCCCAGAAAGTTTTTAGGAGCTGGAGTGGGGGGACTTGTATGTCATCTGTGTTTGCTAATTGGCCTAACCAAAAGAGAAAGTAAGCTTTCTCCTGTCTTCAGGACAGGTGGTAGTTTTACAACTTGGAGCAAGGAGCCACTGAAGTTAAGTTTCTACCTCACCATGGAGGCTGAGAGAAAGGGGTGCTATCTTTTTGGATGATTACACTTCAAAGAGATGACTCCAAGGTCCTTAAGGAATACATGCCCTGGGTTGTAAACCTGGCAGTAGGCTTTTTAAGGAGATTTACATTCATTCCAAAGTGGCAGAGAAAGAATTTGTCATTAATAGTTTTCTAAAGTAAATGCTATAAGAAAAGAAAGCTCGGGGGGGCCTATAGTCAGAAAGAAATCTATGAGAGTGAGCAGGAGTTGCATATTTTTCACATTATCTTCCTGCACCCATCATAGTGTTAGTTACTTTGAAAGTTCTCCTTTAATATTTTTCAACTAAATTAAAGGTGCAGTTGTTTGAAAAATATAAGGGCTTACAAATAGAATTCTTAAATTTCTCAATGGTAGTAAATCATCAACTTTTGAGGGTAAATTTTAAAAATAATGTAATTTGGAAGTATTTTTGAATAAAAATTCAACCAATATTTTAAACACCTGTAATAATTATTCTTTCATTTAAAGTTTAAAATTAGCTTGGAAGGTTTTATGCAAAAAGCATATCACTTAAGTAAAAGCCTAGTTCTAAGAACTTCCAAGTTCAATGCTCATTTATATAAAAGACATAGAATATGTTTGTTAACAAATTAGTCTCAATATTCTAGGGTGTTTGGAAAGCACCTCTGAGTAGGGTTATGTCTCTGTGAGTTCATAATAATTATATATTGACTAAATATTTTGGAATATTCTCATTGTTTAAGGCACCATAACAAAACAGGGTTTAAGTCCCGTGGCTTAACCAGTTTGACACATTTACAGTACTGTAAAATCATGCTCCGCTGTGATAATGAATCTGTTAGTCAGGCTTCTTGTAATGTTCAGACACTTTCCTGCTAAACAGCTGCTTTACTGCTTTACACCTGCTAGTGAATGAATTGCATTCACTGAGTTTGTTTAGTTCAATTTAAATTTAGGGATCATATCTGAAAACATGAATTATTTAAATCTCCCAAGTCTTTGGTGGAAAAAAGAGATTCTTTAAAAATTCTTTCAAAGATAACTGAAATCTGGCTACATTAAGTTAATGCCATGGAGGAGGAAACATGTCAGGTCATGACTATTTGATAAAAAATAAAACTAGAAAACTTTAAAACATATTTTTGTTGAATATAATTTACATACTGTGAAATACAGAAATCTAAAGTGTATATGTCAAAAATTTTAACAAATACATACATTAGTATAATCTTGATCTCTGTCATATTTCAGAATTTTGTTTTTTCTTTTTCTCTTTTTTTTCTTTGAGATGGAGTCTCGCTCTGTGGCCCAGGCTGGAGTGCAGTGGTGCAATCTCTGTTCACTACAACCTCAGCCTCTCAGGTTCAAGCAACTCTCCTGCCTCAGCCTCCCTAGTAGCTGGGATTACAGGTGCCTACCACCATGCCCGGCTAATTTTTGTAATTTTAGTAGAGACGGTGTTTCACCGTGTTGGCCAGGCTGGTATTGAACTCCTGACCTCAAGTGATCTGCCCGCTTCAGCCTCCCAAAGTGCTTGGATTATAGGCGTGAGCCACCATGCTCGGGCGAGAATATTTTTATCACCACAGAAATTTTCCTCATACCCTTTCTCAGTTAAAAGCCCACCTAAAGCAAACATCCTAGATGTGTCATGCTTATTCTAGAAATCCATATAAATGGAATATTACATAAGTAGTTTGTTGGTTCTGTTTACTTTCACTTAGCATGGTGGTTTTGGTGAGTCTTCCAATAGGAAATTTCAAAATTCACCCACCTTTATGTTTTCCTTTTTATTACTGATGAGTATTTAATTGTATGACTATATCACATTTTGTTAGTCCATTCTCTTGTCGGTGAACACCTAGGATGTTTCTAATTTGGGGTTATTGTAAATAAAGTTGCCATAAAAAATCATTGTATGGGTATACCCAGTAATGGGATTGCTGGGTCAAATGGTAGTTCTGTTTTTAACTCTTTGAGGAACCACCACACTACTTTCCACAATGGTTGAACTAATTTATACTCCCTCCAATAATGTATAAGCATTCCCTTTCCTTCTCAACCTTGCCAGCATCTGTTGTTTTTTTGACTTTTTGGTAATAGTCATTCAGACTGGTGTGAGATGGCATCTTATTGTGGTTTTGATTTGCATTTCTCTAATAACCAGTGATATTGACCTTTTCTTTAAATTGTTCTTCCATAAAGACACATGCATGTGTATGTTCATTGCAGCACTATTCACAATATGAAAAACATGAAATCAACCTAAATGCCCATTAATCGTAGACCAGATAAAGAAAATGTGGTACATATATACCATGGAATACTATGCAGCCATAAAAAAGAATGAGATCATGTCCTTTGTAAGAACATGGAGGAAGCCGGAGGCCATCATCCTTAGCAAACTAGCACAGGAACAGGAAACCAAATACTGCATGTTCCCACTTATAAGCGGGAACTAAATGATGAGGACATATGGACACAAAGATGAGAACAACAAACATTGGGGCCTATTTGAGGATGAAGGGCAGGAGGAGGGAGAGGATCCGAAAAAAACAAGGTACTAGGCTTAGTACTTGGGTGATGAAATAATCTGCACAACAAAGCCCTGTGACACAAGTTTACCTGTATCACAAACCTATGCATGTGCCCCGATCCTAAAAGTTAAATAAAAGAATAAAATAAATCTAAAAGTCCTTGTATCTAAAAGGAAAATTGCTGAGTTGTATGGTAAGTATATGGTTAACTTCATAAGAAATTGCCAAAATCTTTCCCAAAGTTGTTCTACTATTTGATGCACCCCAAATCAATAAATAAGAATTCTGGTTGCTCCATGTATCTTCCAACATTTGGTGTTATAAATCTTTGTCATTGTAACTATTCTAGATGGTGTACAGTAGGTTCTTGCAATGGTTTTGATTTGAATTTTTCTGATGGCTAATGATGTTCAGCACCTTTTAATATGTGAATTGGCCATTTATGTATCTTCTCAAATATCTGTCAAGTCTTTGCCCACTGGGTTGTCTTTTTATTATTGAGTTGTAATTGTCAAATATTTGTGTTAAGACTATTTTCTCCAGTTGGAGCCTCATCTATTTCTTTTCTTAATGGTGAAATTTTGTGAGTGGAAGTTTTAGTTTTGATGAAGTTCAGTTTATCAATGATTTTCTTTTCTGGTTAATGTCATCTGACTCTGCTCTAAGAAATCTTTGCCTAAACCAACATAGTGAAGATTCTCCTATGTTATCTCCCAGAAAAGGGTCCCCAACTCACTCCGGTACTAGACCAGGGCCTATTAGGAACCAGACCACAGAGCAGGAGGTGAGCAGTGGGAGAGCAAGAAAAGCTTCATGTTTTTGGTTTTTTTTTTTTTTTTTTTTTTTTTTGAGACAGAGTTTCACTCTTGTTGCCCAGGCTGGAGTGCAGCAGTGCGATCCCGGCTCACTGCAGCCTCCGCCATCCCAGCTCAAGCAATTCTCCTGCCTCAGTCTCCCGAGTAGCTGGAATTATAGGCACCCGCCACCACACCCAGCTCATTTTTTATATTTATAGTAGAGACGGGTTTTCACCATGTTGGCCAGGCTGGTCTTGAACTCCTGGCCTCAGGTGACCTGCTCACCTTGGCCTCGGTGGCTCACGCCTGTAATCCCAGCTTCATGTGTATTTACAGCCACTCCCCATCACTCGGATTAGTGTCCGAGCTCCACCTTCTGTCAGAGAAGCCTCAGCATTAGATTCTCAAAGGTCATGAACCCTATTGTGAACTGTGCATGCAAGGGATCTAGGTTGCATGCTCCATCCATCCTCCATCACCTGGCCCCAACATCTGTGGACAAATTGTCTTTCACAAAACCGATCCCTAGTGGCAAAATGGTTGAGGACAGCTGTTCTAGAAGTTGTACAGTTTTAGCTTTAATTCTAAGTCTATAATCCATCTCACATTACTTTTCATTATGATGTAACATTTGTTTTCCTATATGAATATCCAATTCTCCAAGCAGTATTTGTTCAGGTGGTAGAAAGCCATTTCCTGGTCTGCAGTGTCAGCCTGGTTGCCTGTAAGGGATTTCCTCAGTATTGTTTTCCTTATCTCAGTACCTCTGCACTTATGTGGGTGGTTTCTTTCAGCTCTTCTGGTCCTCCTTTGATGGCTGACTCCTGTCACTTAGGATCAAGGTAAAGCTTGGAGTTCCCGTGAAGTTTCTTTCTCAGTTCTCCTTCCTGTCCTTATACTTAGGCAGGACCCATACGTGTATGCCTCAGAAGGGTCCTGCCTCATCCCCAGTCATAGATTGTTGCTGTCTAATGTTCAGCATAAGGCCTGGGATATGGGAGGGGTTCTCCTTTTTTATTTTTCTTGAGATGGAGTGCTCCATCACCCAGGTTGGAGTGCAGTGGCACGATCTCGGCTCACTGCAATCTCTGCCCCCCGGGTTCAAGTGGTTCTCCTGCTTCAGCCTCCTGAGTAGCTGGGACTACAGGAACCTGCCACCACCCAGCTAATTTTTGTATTTTTAGTAGAGACGGGGTTTCACCATGTTGGCAGGGATGGTCTCGATCTCTTGACCTCATGATCCACCCTCCTCAGCCTCCCAAAGTGCTAGGATTACAGGTGTGAGCCACTGCACCCAGCCAGGGGAGTTTCTCTTAGTTCTTTGCTCTGCCCTCAGACTACAGCAGGTTGGCAGCACTTGCACTGTGAAAGGGTCTCAGTTCTCCTTCCTTGCCAGCTATCTTTCTGGTGAGTGTTCAGTGAAGGCCTGTGTTAAAAAGTTGGCAGGCAGCGTAGGTTCTGCTTGTCTACAGGACCCTCAAGGTCTCTAAACTCTTATACCAGCCTGTACTCAGCCTTTAAAAATCCTTAAAAGTTCACCTGTTTTCTTCCTGCTGTGTCTATGGAAGTTTCCTCTTCTCCCTGCTACTTTACCAAAGATGAAAACATCCATGGTTTCTGTATCTCCTAAGAGGACTGGGCATTTCTCATACTTTAATTCATTATGTTACTTTAAGACTTTAAGTATTTGATGGGTTTAAAATATTTCCTTTTAGGTTATCTAGCTTGTTTTTATTTTGTGAGTGGCTGATTTCATCAAAATTAAAACTGTGATACAGGGATAGTCTTCTCCATCAACAAATGTTTTAATGTCAGAGGAGATGTCTTCTGCACTTAGTTTCCCAAAATATTTAAGACAGTAGAGGTTGTAGCAGTTCTTGCAGTCACTAAATCAGCAACTTCTTGCTCTAAAGAAAGGCATTTTATAGGATTTTCAGCAGTTTTGTAATGTACATATGTATATTGCTAAGGCTTCCTTTTAATTGTAAAATCACTTATCCTTGATGACCTCAAAATACTAACACATCATGCAAAATGTCATATAAAATAATATGACTTCCGAGTTGTACTGGTCATTCCACTGTTACTGATGTTATTTGAGGTAATTCCTATTAAAACAAAAAACAACAGCATGGTCTTTAGCAGAATAAATTGCACAATTGGCTTGGCAGTAAACAGAATTTACTTAGTCACAATAATTAAATGTTGAGTATCAACGTAACCAGAAATTTTGATTTTGATATATTGACATGAGGCAAAGCATATGGTGGGAACCAGGGTAAATGTAAGTGTAAAATTCTCATCTGCAAGAGAAGAGAGTCTGTAGATAATGCCTAGAGCTGAAATATCAAGAAATAAGATACTTTAGCAAAGTATAAACTTGAGAAAAGTATTTTGAGAGAAGTCAAATACTCATTGAGCCATCACTTTAAACTAGATTGTTTCAAGAAGAAAAGGAACAGATTTGCAATAAATTTCCTTTTTTCTCAGTTCCTCCCACTTGTTGGGTGGAGAACTGCTAAGCAATTAAATCCACTTGTTGGTTTTTCAAGATTTGAAAAACAAATTAAACAGAATTTTTTCACATATCAACTCCAATTTTTCTTTGTCTGAGTGGTCCACTCATTTTTACTTAAATGTGGGGAGCTCTTGCAGTTGCTGCAATGCATATAGTCATAATCACATAAGTTTTCTTGGAATTTCTTTCTAAGAGAGGTTAATACATTTCTAACAAGTATGCTTTCTTGGAGATAAATAATAAATATATATAAGCTTGTACCTTAAATCTTCTTTAAAATCATTTGACATTATTAAATGCAGGTCCCAGATATCCTGTCCTTTTCACCTTTAAAATATAAAAAAAAGTGAAAATAAACTCTAATCTACAGATGTGTAGAGAAACTGTGATTTTAGGTATCTAGATTGTTTGGCTCGCTTGAGACAAAGGCCGATGTCTGATTCTTACATAAATGCTGTTAGCTCTGCTCAGAGAAAAACTATGCTAGTGTCCTTGTGCTTCTTCTGTATGCATAGACACAAATCTCAGTGACACCGGCATAAACAAGCTGACAGGAGGATACGGTTTAAGAATTTACAAGATTTCTAACTGCCAATAGGCCAGACATCCTCAGGCAAGCACCTTCTCTCCCTGTAGGCAAGGTAAGTAAGAATCCAGCTTTTATTTTGGGACTTAATTGTTGAGCAGCAAATCAGAGCAAAGGGAGCAAGTAAAATTCAAATGGCTGGTCAACTTCAGGCTCTGAGAGGCTGGTGTATGTGTCTCTATGAGAGGAATATAGCCATTCTTGGCAATGAACAGGTCAAATCTTCCACCAAGGGACCCTTTTCCAGAGAGCAAATGCACGAGCTTTCCTGAAGTTTGCTTTCTTCTCTAACTCTCCTTTACCTTTTCTCCATTCAGTATTAAAGCTTCTTATCACTGACACACTCTTTCATCAGTTATATTAAACTCTTCCAAAAAACTTTGCAAAACCCTAATTCACCGTTTTATGCAGAATAACACTTTTCCCTTAAATTTTCATCCCAATCTAATATTTAATATTATTTTTCCACATATTTACTTGTTAGTATTGCTAATAACAGCAGAATGCTCTTAATCTGCTCAAATAATTAAGAATGACAGGCAGATCAAAAGACCAAAAGAGGATAGAGAGAGTCCAGGAAGGTAGCTAAGTATATATGTAGAAAAATAATCACATAATAAAATACAATTTATTTACCTTTGGCGGAAATAATTAACTGAGATCCCCTGTTTCATACCTCAAACCAAGGTAATGAGTCAAACAATTTCAAAACCCAAAATGAAATCAAAAACCTACCTGGAGGAAAAATACATGGATTTAAATTTAAATTTAGGCTGAGAAAAACCTGTCCAAGTAAGATGTCAGGGGCTGGAACCATAAATAAAACATTTGATAGATTTGACCACCACTACGGCATGGACATTAAAACACTTCCTGTCAAGACATGACAAATGTACTTGATAATATCCTCTGAGTCATTTTCATGTTCACAGCCCTTTTTGAAGGAAGTACTCTACTCTAGGTTTCAGGAACTGATAGGAGAGGATGCACAAAAGAAATGATGAAAAAGTAAAGGTAAAGTGCTGGTCTATTTAATATTGGCCAGTGCTTAATATCCTTCCTGCCTCCATCCTCCTACATAAACACTGACACACTGGAACCAGGCTGAGAATAGGCCAGGAATCTTGGGTAAGACTTCTTAGATCCTATTCTCTAATCTTTGAATGTGAGTTGGCTTATCCACCCAACCACAAGAACCTGGAGCCAAGAGACAGATTTGTACTTTCAACTTATCCATGTACTCAGTCACAACCAGAACAAAGAAGGCCAGGAGTATGGCTAGTCTGGAGAAAGCTAGATAGAAGGCTATCCTTCTGAGTCAGGTCAGGTCAGACTGAAATACAGAACACCAGATGTATAAGACAAGGCAGGAGGCCAGGATGCACTTAGATCCAACTTTTAAATTAAAGACCTTAACTACTAATGAACAGAAGCCCTGCTAAAGTGCTCTGTGGCCACTTCAATTAGCCACTCTTTCTCCCAGAATAGGATAGAGAATGGGATGTAGAAAAGTCAGATGTATCTCCCCCAACACTTCCCTAAATGTAGAGGCTTGGGGTGTGTTCAGTCTTTCCTGTGGGTGAAGTGGAAATGTGAGAGGGGATAAAAGACCCACTCAACAATAATGTGTCCTTAAAAATATCCATATCCTTTGATTGAGAGGCAACTATCTTACAGGATTAATTGGACATAAATAAAATGATTTATCTTGAGGATACTCATTGAAAAGAGTTTATAACAATGGAAGTATAAAATGACTAAGGTGCAACAATAGAAAAAAAGACTTAGAAACTGTATTATATTAATATGATAGACTGCTATATGGCCATTAAAATGAGGTTCACGATAAGTAAGGTAAAAATTTACTAAGTAGTATATACAATATAAACTCTTTTAAAATGCACATACAAAAGAATGGAAGGTTATTAAAAACAGTTCACAGTGATTACCTCTAAGTGGTAGCACTGTATGTGATTTTAATTTTTTTATTATTAAAATCTGAATTATCCAATTTTTCTATAAGAACACATAAGGTTTATATAAGTTAAGCAAAAACATTAATGAAAGAAACAATCGATTTGGTCAATTATAATGAGAGGCACATCTCTGTCAGAAGTCAGGGAACAATATAGGTACCTGGATTGTGCAGGAACCACTTCCCTACAACTCAATAACTGGCTCAGTAGGCTTATTTGGGGCTGCCTCTTATTAGGAATTATTATGGTCTCTCAAAAATGGGTTTCTTCTAAAATAAATGCTATCTGGCTTTACCTTTCCCTTTTTGATCCTACATTATTCGCTATTACCTTCAAACGATCTGCTTTTGGAGATCCATAGATTCATTCATCTATTCCTCTAGTCACAAACATTTGCAAGTGGAATGAATATATGATTTACTAGTGCCCTGGGAAGGCAAAAAAGAAAACAGATTTCTCCTGAGACAAATTTGCTGCAAACTTGATGCCTATTTTGGGAAACAAATCATCCCTACTTGAAATAACTTGATTACACTTGCAAGATAATATTCTAACATGGCATCATGCATAGATTTTTGCTGAGGACTGGAAAGAGTGGAACAGACTTGAATGACCTAGAGAGCCATGGTAAAAAGGTTTTTGGAGAAGGTGTGGCTTACCCCTAGCCTTACTGGGGAAAATGGCATTTGGCTTTGCAAAAAAGATATGACTGGCATAGCTGATGAGTAGGAGAGGAGAAAGTTTTAGTAAAATAGAGAGACATGAGGCTGGAAAATTAAAGTGTGGTCATTTGATGAAAAGTTTCAGAACACAGATTGAGGAAGTGATTATTTGATTTCAAAGACAATAAGAAATTTTTTTGAACTTGTTTTCATAATCCAAGTCTTTTTAATTCTTCCATGATTTTTTCTATGGAGCTCATTGCTGGGGGCTAAGGGGAGGTCAAGGGTGCCTCTTTTTAAATTTTACCATTTCCAGGTAATATCATCCCCAAACAAGACCCCCTCCAGGACCACTGATTAGAGCTGTGCAAGTTGGACTCTAAGGGCCTGTTCCGAGACTCACAGAAACACCCTGTAACCCCCAAGATGCAGCATGGTTAGGCTCAAAGATGTTCTGTTGGATCCTTATGCTAAAAAGGACTAGTAGGTTTATGTAATGGGGAAGGGATTAGAGGTCTGAGTCAGTATGTGTGTGTGTGTGTGTGTGTGTGTGTGTGTGTGTGTGTGTGTATGTGTGTGTGTATGTGTGACGGGTGGGGTTGACTCTCCTTTTCTCTTGGGGCATTCCTCTTCTCCTGGAGTTGGTAATATAAGCAACCCTAAGAATGCTTGGGCAGGGTAGTGAAATAAAATTTCCTCTATCTAAGGATTAAACAAATGCTCCATTCTTTGTTTTTCCCCACTAATGTGTTTTCTTATCCTGTTGGCCTTGGAGCTGAGCATTGAGATTCAAAGACTATGCTTGCAGGATAAAAGACAAGAGGAACCATAGTGCTATCATCCAGCATAGCTCACAAGGATTCCCTGCTGAGGCTTAGAGGAGCCAAAACCCAAGCCAGTGATAGCTATTTATGTTTATGCAAGTATCTCTGTCTACTTTCTTCTTTTGTACATATATCTTTCTCAGAAACTGCTCTGGAAGAAGTGGCAATTGCAGCTAGGTTTTGGCCTTTCAGCAGTTGTGCAATAAAATGGTTGCAGGGACCAGGGAGTTACACAAATGTGAAAAACAGGCTGGTGTGGTGAAGCCTGTGACGACAGAAGACCTGTCCCATTGATAAGAAACACTGGGCTAAGATGAGTATTTTATGGAACCACAAAGTGACCTCAGAAAGTCATCAGGATCTCTCAGAAATGTCTAAAAATGTCGCAAACACAAAAGATTCCAAGTCACCTTTAAAGACTACCAGAAAAGCTAGGGGTTATGCATTTTGATAATTCTTCCCAGGGTATAGCAACCTCCAGGTGGAGTGAAGCAGCAGAATTCCATGGCAGATTGTTCAAAACTAGTCTCTTTGTGGACTCTGCCTTCCTTTTCAAATACCAATCATCCTTTCTCTTTGATTAATTTTCCAGTGTGTGATTGCTAAGACATTAAAGCAAAATCATCTGGAGTAACAATTTTGTTCTTAAGTTATTTAGGGAAACAGCTGTACAGAAAAGATCAAATTATTAGCCCTTGAGAAAAGTGATGATGGGAAGAAAATGAAAAATAATTTTGCCCTTGCTTTAAGAGAGAACAATCTGTGCAGCACTTAAGGTAAAATAAATAAATAAATAAATAAATAAAAAACTTTACTCCAATCTGAGTCCAGAATGAGAGATTTATGCACTGAACAGGGTGGTTGACTTCTACCACTGTTCTGTGAGAGGGAGCATGATTGAGACAGTCACAGGGGCAGAGAGACAGCACCCAAGAGGTGAAAGTAATGAGGACAAAGTGGCAACAGCAAAAAATTCAGTGGTCAGAGTAAAGGTATTGGAGTATCCTTTTCCATGTACTTTTTTTGAGTAAACTTCTACTCATCCTTTAAATTTTTGGTTTCACCTTCTCACCTCCTTCAAGAAACATTCTTTAACCTCTACCAGGCTCCTTTCAAGAGTCAGCTCCTATAACACTCCCAAGAATAGATCTAAGGTGCACTTCCATTCAGTGCTCTATTGGGTTAGAGAGAGACATTAGTTCAAATTCTTAACCTGCTTCTTAATACATATGACCTTGGAGAGATTGGGGTTTTGTTCTCTTGAAGTGGAAGCTCTAACTGGGCAAGGAGGAAGAATATCGAGCAGGGCAGATATGACAACAAAGTAAGGAGTGTTCAAAAGGAAAGTATTCCAGAGGAGACATAGAATAGTAACTCTCAGTAGCAGTATCAACATCATTTTGTTAGAAATGCAAATTACTGTTCCTTTCCCCACTTCAGACACTCTAAAGCAGAATTTCTGGGCTTGTGATCCAGCAATCTGTGTTCTAATAATCCCTCCAAGTGAAATGAATGCATGCTAAAATTTGAGAACCACTGCAGTATACAAAGGGAATCATATAAAAGAGGTAGCCAAGATCAGGGTATGATGCCTAACAGGAGTAGAAAAAAATGGGGCAGGGCCCATTACAAGCCTGCCCACTGTCAGAGTCCTCAGTCCCTTTATCAGGCGGGCCCTTGAAGTGTGACTCTACCTCCTTTCTCCGCAACCCTGTCCCCCCTGAGCTCTGGCCAATTTAGCCTTGAAAAGTGGAAAATTCCGTCATACTGAAACTCTGCTGTAGTTACGCATTTTGCAAAGCGTTCTCAATGGCAGGTTACCTATAGACAGTAAATTTGTTGTGGAAATTTGCTGGCCACGCAGCAAATCCACTTAGTCTTCCCAACAATGGTTTCCATAAACCTCAGTTACTTCCAAAATTAAAGACCATTCCACAGTCCCAACTTATGGCTAATTAGCAATCATCAGATTCATTCTTGTCGTTGAATGGCACAGTCAACATTTATATTCTTGCTTTATCTTTCTTTGTTTTTTTTGTTTTTTTTTTGTTTTTTTTTTTGTTTTTTTTTGTTTTGACAGAGTCTTGCTCTGTCGCCCATGCTGGAGTACAGTGGCGCGATCTCCGCTCACTGCAAGCTCCGCCTCCCGGGTTCACGCCATTCTCCTGCCTCAGCCTCCCCAGTAGCTGGGACTACAGGCGCCCGCCACCACGCCCAGCTATTTTTTTGTATTTTTAGTGGAGACGGGGTTTCACCCTGTTAGCCAGGATGGTCTCGATCTCCTGACCTCGTGATCCACCTGCCTCGGCCTCCCAAAGTGCTGGGATTACAGGCGTGAGCCACTGCACCCGGCTATTCTTGCTTTATCAAAGTAATAATTGAGCTACTAAAAATAGTATAATTTTTCTATAAGGAGTTGCATTCCTAGAGATTTGTTCTTCAAAATGTCGTTTTGAAGTCCTATCAATGACTTTAATTCTGTTGTACTTTCTTGTCTGTAGCTGCCAATACATCAGGTCCGGTGTAATGCAGATTTATTCAATTATCACTGAGTAGTTAAGCATTTGGGGAGCTATTCTCATGGGGATACACTACTCCAGAAGGCAGCCATAGGCCTCGTCAGACATCAGAACACTCTGTAGGCAGAACTAAAACTTAGCAGTTGAATAGATAAGTCTAATCCTTCCTTTTCAGACAGACAGACTATAGTGTCAGAAACCAGAAACATTTTATTTCCTGGATCAGCACCCAGAACTCCCTTCAGAAAGGGAAAGGAGAACACTCTAATTGATGTCTCCAAAAAAAAAGTCATCTTCCTCTTACATAGTATCTGCCAAGTAATGGCTATGGCGTCCAGAGAGAGTTCAGAGGCAACATACATTGTCCCTGATGCACTTGCTAACTCAAGGGTCCCTGTGGAAAGGATATTCATTTTGTAGCTAATGTAAATTACAGCACTTGTGTGTATTTCGGTGATTTCAAGTGACATTCTATTAAAGTTGTCCCTGTCATAAACAAGATGAGGTGATAATGGGAGAATTAAACAAGAATTACGCTTGGCTGGTAACCTTGAGCCTAATAGTCTTCAAGTATAACACAACAGTCTTTTTTTCTCTCCATTTTTATTCCGTGATCTATTCATACAAGCGGCAACTTCGAGAACTGAAAAATTATCAATTAGTACCTTTGTTTTCCACCACATTTGTTTACTACCATCTGCTTCGAGTCTTTCTCAATGATGAGACTCTGATAGTCAGTCACATTAATATAAGTTCCATGTTAATCATGACCTTGTTACTTTTCTAATAAAATAAAGTTGTGACCAAATTGTTCTGCCTTTGTAGCTTAATGATGAGAACATAAAATAATTCATTAGCAACAGCAGTGACCTAGACTACAAGAAGGAATAACCGTGACATGCTCCAAAGCATTTAAGCCCCCAGCTCCATGTGACACTTGAGTGTTGTGATGCAATGCAACCTATACATATTTGATTCTTGAAAATCTGAGGACAAAGTGAGAAGATGAGTAACAAAGGTCATACATCAAATCAATAATTAATATAAATAATTTAAGCAGTTACATTCAGCAGTGGTAATTAGATAAACATTGAAGTTTTGTTGTAGTGAGGTAAGTGAAATCTGGCAGACAGAATTGCTTGAAAATTAGTTGGGGATAGAAAATAGAAATATGGGAATATTGCAGTATTCACTATAGAAGATGACAACTAATATAACTGGTGCAAATAAGTGTTGAAGTTGGAATCAAAGTGAGAGAGTGCAGTGCTCATATTGGCTTAAAGGCAGCATTACCCAAAGCAACCAGCAGCTAAATCAAAAAGAGCAGTAAACAGTCAACTTGTATTGGCAGACTCCTGGTGAAATTTGATGGGTAGAAAAGGCTGGAACTCGAATTCTGCTTGGAAGCAGGAGATATTAAGTGGTAACAACTTTCCTAAGGAAACTCTTGGCATACGTCTTACTGTACTCATTTTAAACCTGAGGCTATCGCCAGTTATGCTGATTGTAACTCCTAAGTAATCACCTCACTAGAGGCAAAGAAAACCAGAAAGTGCTGCAGAGAATGAAATTGGGAAAAAAGTTTAGTAGCTACTCTATACCAAGAACCGCAGTTGACATCTAACTTATAACAATTCTGCTAGTCAATAATATAATTACTGCATTTTTAGACTCAAGAAAATAAGCTTAGAGTGACTTGCCCAGGATCAGATAACTAAGACAACATCTAGTCCCATGTCTCTCTGGATGGTATCCTTCCAGTAATGGTTGTGGCTTACTGGAACAGTTCAGAGGCAAAAGCTCTCTAACGTTAAACTTTAAGAGTTTTACGCCTATGACGCTCACAGTGTGACACCTGGATCAATAGCATCATGTCTCCTGGGAGCTACTGAGTCAGAATCTGCATTTTAACAAGACCCTAAGATGCACCATAAAGTACATATACACAATTTACAAGGTACAACACTGCCTAACCCTTTGACTTAACAGGAAAAGTGAAGAATTCTTAAAGAGGCATTCTTAAACCTTTTTTGATTCATGGAACACTCTTAAAAGTCTGATTAAAACTATGAACCTTCTCTTAAATAAAGTAAGCACATTGTTACACAAACTTTTATTTATTTTCTGAGGGTTACAAACTCCCTGAAACCTATGTGTGGACAAACTAGTTATCTGTAGACTCCAGGTTAAAAATGCCTTTGAGAGGTGATTAAGGTAGTGGAGAAATACAAAATCTGTATAAAAAGTTTGGAAAGTGAAAAACCATAGTGAAAGAAAAAAAGTGAACTCTTTCCATCAGCAGCACCGTAGAGTCCAGTCATGCATCACATAACATTACGGTCAAAGATGAACCACATACACGGTGGTGGCTCCATTAGATTACAATGGAGCTACCCTATAAAAGTGTACCATTTTAAAATCTTGTATGCCATATTTTTACTACATCTTTTCTATTTTTAGATATATTTAGATACACAAATCCTTACCATTGTGTTACAGTTGCCTACAGTGTTCAGTATAGTAACATGCTGTACAAGTTTGTAGCCTAGGAGAGACAGGCTATACTATGTAGCCCAGGTGGTTAGTAAGCTATACCATCAAGATTTGTGTAAGTACCCTCTATAATGTAAGCACAAGGACAAAACTGTCTGAGGATGCATTTCTTAGAAAGTATCCCCATTGTTGGAAATGATTCCCTATTTAATAAATGGTGCTGGGAAAACTGGCTAGGCATATGTAGAAAGCTGAAACTGCATCCCTTCCTTACACCTTATACAAAAATTAACTCAAGATGGATTAAGGACTTAAATGTAAGACCTAAAACCATAAAAACCATAGAAGAAAACCTAGGCAATACCATTTAGTACATAGGCATGGGCAAAGACTTCATGACTAAAACACCAAAAGCAATGGCAACAAAAGCCAAAATAGACAAATGGGATCTAATTAAACTAAAGAGTTTCTGCACAGCAAAAGAAACTATCAGCAGAGTGAACAGGCAACCTACAGAATGGGAGAAAATTTTCGCAATCTACCCATCTGACAAAGGGCTAATATCCAGAATCTACAAAGAATTTAAACAAATTTACAAGAAAAAAAAACCATTAAAAAGTGGGCAAAGGATATGAACAGACACTTCTCAACCGAAGACATGTATGCAGCCAACAAACATGAAAAAAACTCATCACTGGTCATTAGAGAAATGCAAATCAAAACCACAATGAGATACCATCTCACACCAGTTAGAATGGCAATCATTAAAAAGTTAGGAAACAACAGATGCTGGAGAGGATGTGGTGAAATAGGAATGAGTTTACACTGTTGGTGGGAGTGTAAATTATTTCAACCATTGTGGAAGACAGTGTGGCGATTCCTCAAGGATCTAGAAATAGAAATACCATTTGACTCAGTGATCCCATTACTGGGTATATACCCAAAGGATTATAAATCATGCTACTATAAAACACATGCACATGTATGTCTATTGCAGCACTATTCACAATAGCAAAGACTTGGAACCAACCCAAATGTCCATCAATAATAGACTGGATTAAGAAAATGTGGCACATATACACCATGGAATAGTATGCAGCCATAAAAAGGATGAGTTCTTGTCCTTTGAAGGGACATGGATGAAGCTGGAAACCATCATTCTCAGCAAACTATCACAAGGACAGAAAACCAAACACCGCATGTTCTCACTCATAAGTGGGAGTTGAACAATGAGAACACATGGACAGAGGGAGGGAAACATCACACTCTGGGCCTGTCAGGGGGTTGGGAGCTGGGGGAGGGATAGCATTAGGAGAAATACCTAAGGTAAATGAAGAGTTGATGGGTGAAGCAAACCAACATAGCACATATATACCTATGTAACAAACCTGCACGTTATGCACATGTACCCCAGAACTTAAAGTATAATAATAAAAAAAGAAAATATCCCCATTGTTAACCAAACATGACTATAATTATACAAGCTCAGCCATATATGCATCCCTAGAAAATAGCAGAACTTTTTTTTTTTCTTTTTTTTTGAGGCAGAGTCTCGCTCTGTGGCCCAGGCTGGAGTGCAGTGGTGTGATCTTGGCTCACTGCAAGCTCCGCCTCCTGGGTTCACGCCATTCTCCTGCCTCAGCCTCCCAAGTAGCTGGGACTACAGGTGCCCACCACCATGCCCAGCTAATTTTTTGTATTTTTTTTTAGTAGAGACGGGGTTTCACCATGTTAGCCAGGATGGTCTCAAACTCCTGACTTCATGATCCGCCCGCCTCGGCCTCCCAAAGTGCTGGGTTTACAGGCGTGAGCCACAGCACCCGGCCGAAAATAGCAGAACATTTTTTATGTGGATACACTATATGGACTTACGTGGACATAATACATTTCCCTAGAAATTTTCTCTCTGTTTATTTCTCCACTTATTACTTCTCAATGGATTTTATCAACAGTTATTTGGAGTTTCAGTCCCAATTCCAATATTTTCCTCATTGACAAAAATATTTTTCTAAAATAATGTTTGGATACCTCATTCTTAGGGACGTTGAGATATAATTTCAACTATGTTTTCAAAGACTATTTCAATAACTGTAACTATTCAGCTAGTTGTAAACCTGTATATTTCAATTTTTACTTTATGAACTGTAAAGTCTGAAGCAAAAGGAAAATAAAAAAAATTTGGATTTTGAATAAAATTCCCACATTCTCAACCCTTTTCACCATTTAGTAAAATTTTTAACATTGTAACATCATCAATACTGACTGCTTCCTTTGCCCCCTTTTCCCTCTCCTTCGACTTTGAAGGGAGGTCTATCTTTATTGGGAAGAGATTCATTTTTTTCCTAACTAGATTAATTCTCAAGTCACCTGGAAGCAGTTGTGGACAATTAGTGATAGAAAAATAGATTAAATTATCAACTCGTCTTCTCTTCTTTAATAAAGTCTTGGTCTTGCCCAAGTCTGTTAGCGCTTTGGTCTAATCTTACTTGGTCTTCAGTAGTGTCTTTCTCTTTTCCATTATTTAAAAATCTTGTTGATATATTTTTTTAATTTATTTTTATTTCTATAATTTTTTAAAATTTTAAATATCTTAACTTTTATTATAGGTTCAGGGGTACATGTGAAGTTTGTTATATAGGTAAACATGTGACTCAGGGGTCTGGTGTACAGATTACTTTGTCACCCAGGTACTAAGATTAGAACCCAACAGTATTTTTTTTTTTCCTGAACCTCTCATCTCCCATCCTCCACCCTCATACTTGAGGCCTCTGTGTCTGTTGTTCCCTTCTTACTGTCCATGTGTTCTTATTATTTAGCTCACTTATCAGTGAGAACATGCGGTATTTGGCTTTTTGTTCCTGCTTTAGTTTGTTAATGAAGATGGCCTCCAGCTCCATCCAGGTTCCTGCAAAGGACATGATCTTATTCTTTTTTATGGCTGCATATTCCATGGTGTATATATATCAAATTTTCTTTAACCGGTATACTGTTGATGGGCATTTAGGTTGCCCATCGCATGTCTTTGATATTGTGAATAGTTCTGCAATGAACATACGTGTGCATGTATCTTTATGGTAGAATGATTTCTATTCCTCTAGGTATATAGAGGGTTAGAAACTCCCTGAGGGTCAGTAGTAGAACAGCTGGGTTGAATGGTAGTTCTGCTTTTAGCTCTTTGAGGATTCATCATACGGCTGCTTTCCACAACGGTTGAACTCCCACGAACAGTGTATAAGTGTTCCCTTTTCTCTACAACTTTGCCAGCATGTGTTACTTTTTGACTTTTTAATAATAGCCATTTTTACTGGCGTGAGATAGTATCTCATTGTGCTTTTGATTTGCATTTCTCTAAGATTACTAATGTTGAGCATTTTTTGATATGCTTGTTGGCAGCATGTATGTCTTCTTTTGAAAAGTGTTTCTTCATGTCCTTTGCTCACTTTTTAATGGGATTATTTGGTTTTTTTTTTCTTATAAACTTGTTTAAGTTCCTTGTAGATTCTGGATATTAGATATTTGTCTGATGTATATTTTCCAAATATTTTCTCTCATTCTGTAGGTTTCCTCTTTGTTGATAGGTCTTTTTGTTGTTGTTAATTTGTTTGTTTGTTTGTTTGTTTCTGTGCAGAAGCTGTTTAATTTAATTAGATTCCATTAGTCCAATTTTTTGCCTTTGTTGCAATTGCTTTTGGCATTTTCATCATGAAATTGTTGCCAGTTCCTATGTCCAAAATGGTATTAATATTTCCTAGGTTGCCTTGGAAGGCTGTTATAGTTTTAGGTTTTACATTTAAGTCTTTAATCCATCTTGAGTTAAATTTTGTATATGGTATAAGGAAGGGGTCCAGTTTCAATCTTCTGCGTATGGCTAGCCAGTTACCCCAGCACCATTTATTGAATAGAGAATCCTTTCTCCATTCTTGCTTTTGTCAGCTTTGTCAAAGATCAGATGGTTGTAGGTGTGTGGCTCTATTTCCGGGCTCTCTATTCTGTTCTATTTGTCTACGTGTCTGCTTTTGCACCAGTACCAGGATGTTTTGGTTACTGTAGCCTTGTAGTACAGTTTGAAGTCAGGCAATGTGATTACTCCAGCTTTGTTCTTTTTGCTTAGGATTGCCTTGGCTATTCAGGTTCTTTTTTGGTTCTGTATGAATTATAGAATTTTTTTTTCAGCTCTGTGAAGAATGTCATTGGTAGTTTGATAGGAATAGCACTGAGTCTCTAAATTGCTTTGGGCACTATGGTCATTTTAAGGATATTCATTCTTCCTATTCATGAGCATAGAATGTTCTCTCATTTGTTTATGTCATCTCTGATTTCTTTGAGCAATGTTTTGTAATTCTCATTGTAGAGATCTTTCACCTCCTAGCTAGTATTCCTAAGTATTTTATTCTTTTCATGGCAATTGTGAATGGGACTGCATTCCTGATTTGGCTGTTGGCTTGGGTACTGTTAGCATGTAAGAATGCGCAGATTTTTGTACATTAATTTTGTATCCTGATGCTTTGTTGAAGTTGCTTACCAGTTACAGGAGCTTTTGGGCAGAGACTATGGGGTTTTCTAGATATAGAATCATGTCATCTGCAAACAGGGATATTTTACTTTCCTTCTTCCCATTTGGATTCCTTTTATTTCTTTTCCTTGCATGTTTGCTCTGGCCAGGACTTCCAATACTATGTTGAATAAGAGTGGTGAGAGTGGATATCATTGTCTTGTTCCAGTTTTCATGGGAAATGATTTTATCTTTTGCCTATTCAGTGTGATGTTGGCTGTGGGTTTGTCATAGATGGCTCTTTTTATTTTGAGGTATGTTCCTTCAATGCCTAGTTTATTGAGGGTTTTTAACATGAAGGGATGTGGAATTTTACCGAAAGCTTTTTCTGCATCTACTGAGATAATCACGTGGTTTTGTCTTTACTTCTTTTTATGTGATGAAGCATATTTATTGATTTGCTTATGTTGAACCAACCTTGCATCCCAGGGATAAAGCCTACTTGATCGTGATGGACTAGCTTTTAGATGTGCTGCTAGATTTGGTTTGCTAGTATTTTGTTGAGGATTTTTGCACCCATGTTCATTAAGGATACTGGCCTGAAGGTTTCTTTTTTTTTGCTGTGTCTCTGCCAGGTTTTGGTATCAGGATGATGCTGTCCTCATAGAATGATTTGGGGAAGAATCCATCAGTTTTTTAGAATAGCTTCAGTAGGAATGGTATCAGCTCTTTTTTGGTTCTGCCAGATTTGTACATCTGGCAGAATTCAACTGTGAATTTGTCTGGTCCTGGGCTTTTTTGGTTGGTAAGCTATTAATTACTGATTCAATTTTGGATCTTGTTATTGGTCTGTTCAGGGATTCAATTTCTTCCTAGTTCAGTCTTGGGAGGATGTATGTGTCCAGGAATTTATGATTCTTAATTTTGCTAACACTTCCCTCTTCCCTTATCTTTTCCTCACCATCAATATAGCTGCATGTTGATATGGATTCCCCATGTAAATTTCTTTACAAAATTCAGAATAATTATGAACCAGTTGTACTATTTAGTTTTACGAAACTAGTACAAAAATAGTAAGTTCTTACAAGTTTATGGAGGACAGAAAACACAACTATTTAAATTATAACAACATAACAGTTTAGAATTTTATCCTTTAGTAGCAATCTGATAAAATAATATTTTATGTAAATAACTTATCAGTAACTAGTAAATAAATTTAGTAACACTAAAACATCTGCAAAAGATGCAATTTAGATAACTACTAAATTGTACTACTGATGTAACATTTTATATTCTTTTTTAATTTTAAAGCAAGCAACAATTTAAAAAGAATAAATTTCAAAGTCAAAGGTACTAATTACATTCAATAAACTATTTTTTGGGTAAAATAAAGTTTGAGTATGCTAAACCATTGCATCTCAAAGTTTGCCCTCTCTTTCTCACCATTTCACATGTGAAACATAAATCAAAATCCCAAGCAGTAACAGAGAAAAAGAAAATTGAGGTAACATAGTTTCTTCATCCTTACCATCATTAGGCTATCATTGCTTATTTCAACCTGTTTAAACACAAGACTATGTAGAACCAGAGGAGTCAAAATAGTGCCATCTGCGCCCAAAGCTGGTGTGAAGAAGTCTGAACTCTAGAAATCACTGTCAACTGAGTCCACTGGAGTTGATGGGCTACCTGCGTAACCAAGGTCTGTAAAATAACATCCATGTAGAGTACAATGCTTTTTAAAGGAAACATAATAAATATGCGCTAGTTAGAAGATTATATGTGTGCTATGAAGAACAACCGAAACCTCAGAAATTGTTTAAAATTTAGACCAAAGAAATTTTTTTAGAGAAGAGTGTTTTACCATGGGTATTGTTTACACATAGTAATTGTTGACGTAGTCATCATAAAGGCAGACAGACATTTAGTCAGTTTCATTACTGTTTCTAAATTCCATACAAACAATGCATTTCCTTGAAGCCTGCACCTGGGAATTCTGCTGCTGGACCTTGGTGCCAGAACTTGTAAATATGTTTTCCTTTGAACATATTTTATCTTTGCTATTTTAAGTAAAAATAAAGATGACTAAAAAGAAAAATAAATTCTTAGAAACAAGTTGGCACTGCTGAGAAACAGTGGCCTTATGAGAAACCAAGTTCCTTCAAATAGGGAACATCTGAAGCCCAATGACATACTCCAGAGAACTGTAATCTCATCATGATGACAAGGAGTTATACTTCATCTTACCTTTACTGGCTTAGAGTTACCAAGACCTGTCTGTGAGGGAAAAGGGTACCTCTGCGTTGCAAACATACTCTCTCTTACTAAAGAAAAAAAAATCCCTTTTACAATGGCCAGATCATCTATCAAAAACCCATTCAGTAGAAAACAGGGATTAGCATCATTGTGGCCATTTAGATGAAGTCTGTGGCTGCATGTTAACTGTCTGTTTCCATGTAGAGAAGTGTTGCTGGTCTCCAGATTCTTAACATGTGAAGTATTGAAGAATCAGAAACAAATGACCAGCAAAGACAATAACCATTTAAAAGAGTACTGCCTTATGTTCGCTATTTTGAATTGAGTGTCTCATAGAAAGCATGATATTTTTCTTATTATGCTGTAGCATGGATAACAAGTCTGTGGTTTTCATTCATCTAATAAAGTCTAGAACACCAAGAGCTTACGTTATATTTATAAGAGTGGATTTCTTTTCAGATGAGATGTTTAAAGCATTGCTATTAATAATGCTGTGTATAACAGCTGTCTTTATTTATTCATAAATACAGCACAAACATCTTACTTGTCAAAAGGAAAGGATTTTCTTCTACTATAAAAAGATAATTAATTCAGGCTGGATAAACTTAATGGTGCATTTGCCATCTGGGCAAAGCAAACAAAACACCAGTATATAATTGTGTGAAGAAAAAATAATCAAAATATGAAATAAAAATACATGATAAACTTTATTTTGATTTCTTGAACAACAAATAATTTTCCACCGTAAGTATTATGCTCATGCTCATTTGAAAAGAAATATAAAAGGCAATAAGGCATAGAAAAATACACAACACAGCTCGGATAAAATTTCAGGTAGTGTCTTTTTTTAAATTAGTTTAATATGCCAGTGATATATATAAAAAGGTTTTCCAGGATGCATATCTTCTTGTCTTTACCCATGAGGGACAGAAACCCTTACCAATTAAAATAATGTAGCGAAAAGTACTTTGTGAACTTTAAAGAACCATAAATGTTTAAGATGACTATTGTAATTACCATCAACCTGGTGTGTCCTTAGCAGAATTCATAGACACATTGAGGGCTTTGACTTTGTTAAAAACTGAATGTGGCTGATGATCATAATCTTTAAAACTCTTGAAAAGATGGTGCCTGTCATGCACAACAAACACTGTGACATTCTAGCCTTACCTTTCGGCTCTTAGCTGTCACTTATTCAAAAATTTGCTTTTCTTATCCTCCCCTTAAACATATCAACTTTTATCTCTTCTAAGCTAATGTATAGCCTAACTTTCTGAGTCCCTGATTGTATATAGTATAATTGTGCCTCAAAAGCTTTCTCTCTCTACCCAGCCACATCTACCTTGCCTCTATTCATTTCCCATGTTTTAACTGTACCCTGTCATCACTCAGCAGAGCACTATCAGCATGCTCCTGTGCCTTCCTCTAACTCATTTTTCTTACAGAGAATAATTAGCCCCCGTTATACAAAAAGTTTCCACTGAAAATCTCAAACAGTCGAAGAAATCTTGAGCAAGAAGAACAAAGCTGAAGGCATCATATTACCTGACTTCAAAATATGCTACAAAGCTATAGTAATTAAAACAATGTAATACTTGCATAGAAACAAACACACATGTAAGTGAAACAAAGTAAAGAGCCCAGAAATAAATCCACATATTTATACTAACTGAATTTTGACAAAGGAGTTAAGAACACACAATGGAGAAAATACAGTTTCTTCAGTAAGTCATGTTGAGAAAACCATATATCTACATGCAGACGATGCTTATCTCACACTGTATACAAAAATCAACTCAAAACCAATTAAAGACTTAAATGTAAAGCTTGAAGCTATAAAAGTACTACAAAAAAAAAACAGTGGATAAAAGCTCTATGCTGTTGGTCTGGGCAATAATTTCTGGCTATGATCCCAGTAGCAACAAAAGCAAAAACAGACAAATGGGATGAAATGAGCTAAAAAAAAAAAAATCACCAGAGTAAAGAAGAAATATTTGCAAGCCACATATACGATAAGGAAGTAATATGAAAAATATGTAAAAACTCAGACAACTCAATAGCAAGTAAACACATAGCTTGATTATAAAATGGGTAAATACCTGCATAGATATTTGTAAAAGGAAAACATAAATGTACAACAGATATATAAGAAAATATCCAACATCACTAATACTCAGAGAAATGCAAATTAAACCAAAATGAAAAAGAAAAGATAACAAGAATTGGAGAGGATGCAGAGAAAAAGGAATATGCATTGTTGGTGGGAATGTAAATTAGTATATCCACTATGGAAAACTTTTTGGAGGTTCCTGCCAAAAAAAAAAAAATAGAACTACCACATGATCCAGCCATCCCATTTGGAGGTATATAGTCAAAGGAAATGAACTGAGCATGTCAAAGAGATATCTGCACCCCTATGTTTATTGCAGTATTATTCACAACAGCCAAGATATAGAATCAACCTAACAGTCCATCAACAGAGAAATGGATAAGGAAAATATGGTATATCTACACAATGGAACATTATTCAGCCATAAAAAAGGAAGATCTTGTCATTTGCAACAACATGGGTGAACCTGGAAGACATTATGTTATGTGAAATAAGCCAGGATGTAAAAACAAATACTTTATGATCTCATTCATATATGTAATCTAAAAAAGTTGATCTTAAGAAGTAGAAAGTAAAATGGTGATCATCAGGAGATAAGGTAGTGGTGGGGGAGCAGATTGGGGAGATGTTGGTCAAAGGTTACAAAATTTCAATTAAATAGTAAAAACAAATTCAAGGGCTAGATCTTAAAACATGGAGACCATAATGCTGTATTATATTCTTGAAAAATAGTAATAGAGTACATTTTGTGTTCTCACCACAACTATGTCAGGAAATGTACATGTTGGTTGGTTTGGTTTGGTCATTCTGATAGATGTGTTTTGGAATGTCATGTTGCACATGATAAATGTATATAATTTTATTTGTCAATTAAAAAAACCACGCTGGGCCGGGTGGCTTACGCCTGTAATCCCAGCACTTTGGGAGGCCAAGGCGGGCAGATCACAAGGTCAGGAGATCGAGACCATCCTGGCTGACGTGGTGAAACCCCGTCTCTACTAAAAATACAAAAAAATTAGCCGGGCGTGGTGGCGGGCACCTGTAGTCTCAGCTACTCCGGAGCCTGAGGCAGGAGAATGGCGTGAAACCAGGAGGTGGAGGTTGCAGTGAGCCGAGATCGCATCACTGCACTCCAGCCTGGGCGACAGAGCAAGACTCCATCTCAAAAAATAAATTAATTAATTAAAAAACAAAACAAAACAAAAACAAAAAACTTGTTATCACTGAAAAGTAATCTAGAAAGTCCTTTTTTTCAAGAAGCCATCCCTATGTTAAGATTTTGATGACAGATAAATTCTATCAGTCTTCAGATTTCAATGCTGGATTTATTTATTTTCAAAAATTTATTTAAATTGATATATTAAATTTTATGTATTTATTGTGTACAATATGATGTTTTGAAATATATACACATTGTAGAATGGATACATCTAGGTAATTAACAAATACACCATCTTACTTGGGTATCATTTCTGTGATGGGAACACCTAATATCCATTCTTAGCATTTGTCAAGAGTACAATATGTTGCCATTAACCATAGTCACCATACGGTACAATAAATGTCTTGAAATTATCCCTCCCACCTAACTATAAATATATATCGTTTGACCAACATCTCCCTAACCCTCCCTCCCTGCATAAATATCCCAGCCTCTGGTAACCACCACTGTATTCACTACTTCTTGAGATCAACTTATTAATATCCCACATATGAGTGAAATCATGCAGTATTTGCCTTTATGTGCCTGGATTATTTCACTTAACCTAATGTCTTCCATGTTCATCCATGTTGTAGTGAATGACAAGAAATTCTTTATTATGGCTAGTGTTGCATTTTGTATGTACACCACATTTCTTTATCCGTTCATCTGTTGATGGACTGATTCCGTATCTTGGCTATTGTGAATAATGCTGTGATAGGCATCAGAGTGCAGACATTTCTTTCACTGATTTTATTTCCTTTGGGTATATATTCAAAGCAGTGGGATTGTTGTATCAAATGGTAGTTCTATTTTTAATTTTCTGAGAAACCTCCATAAAGTTTTACGTAATGGTTACAACTAATTTACATTCTCACTTACAGAGTGGCAGGGTTCCCTTTTCTTTACATCTTTGCAACTTTTGTTAACTTTTAAAAAAATAATACTCATTCTAACAGGTGTGAGGGTATAACTCGTTGAGGTTTTGATTAGTGATGTTGAGCATTTTTTTTCATATATCTCTTGGTCACTTGTATGTCTTCCTTTAAGAAATAGATCACTGGCCGGGCACGGTGGCTCACACCTGTAATCCCAGTACTTTCAGAGGCCAAGGTGGGCGGATCAACTGAGGTCAGGAACTCAAGACCAGCCTGACCAACATGGAGGAACCCCATCTCTACTAAAAATACAAAAATTAGTCGGGCATGGTGGCGCATGCCTGTAATCATAGCTATTCAGGAGGCTGAGGCAGGAGAATTGCTTGAACCCAGGAGGCAGAGGTTGCCATGAGCTGAGATCACACCATTGCACTCCAGCCTTGTCAACAAGAACAAAACTCTGTCAAAAAAAAACAAAAACAAAAACAAAAAAACAAAGAAAAGAAATAGATATCTGTTCAGGTCTTTTGTTCATTTATTAATTGGGTTACTTAATTTCTTGTGAATGAGTTGAGTTTCCTATATATTTTGGGTATTATTCCCTTATCAGACGTATAGTTTGCAAACAATTTCTCCTATTTTGTAGGTTTCCTCAAACTCTGTTGTTTTGCTGTACAGCTTTTAAATCCCATTTGTCTACTTTTTCTTTTGTTGCCTGTTCTTTTTGAGATCATATCCAGAAAATCATTTCCCAGACCAAATGTCATGGAGTTTTCACTCTATATTTTGGCAGTTTCATAGTTTTGGTTCTCACTTTTAAGTCTGTAGTCTGTAATCCATTTTGGGTTGATTTTTTGATGTGGTGTGGGATAAAAGTCTAGTTTATTTTTTGCGTGTGGGTATTCATTTTCTCAACACCATTTATTGAAGAAACCATCCTTTCCCATTGTGTGTTTGTGGCACTATTGCTCTTGATTCTTCTGCTCCATTGATTTCTGTGTCCGTTTTTTTTTTTTTTTTTAACTATACCATGCTGTTTTGGTACTGTCAAAAAGCTGTACTGTTATTGGTTATTGTATTTGGTACTATTATAGCTTTTTAGTGCATTTTGAAGGCAGGTAGTGTAATGCCTCCAACTTTGTTCTTTTTGCACAAGACTTCTTTGGCTATTCAAGGTCTTTTGCGATTCCTTATGAATTTGGGGATTTTTTTTCTGTTTCTGAGAAGAATAATATTTCTATTTTGATAGAGATTGCATTAAATCTGTAGATCACTTTGGATAGTATAGACATTTTAACTGTATCAATTCTTTCACTCTGTGAACCTGAGATATCTTTCCATTTATTTTTGTTGTCTTCAATTTCTTTCATCAATGTTTTCTATCTTTTAGTGTAGCACTTTCATTTCTTTGGTTAAGGTTATTTCTAAGCATTTCATTTTTACTTTTTAGCTATTATAAATGAGACTGTTTGCTTGATTTCTTTTTCAGATAGTTTGCTTTCATGCATAAAAATGTTAATTGTTTTTGCATGTTGATTTTGTATCGTGCAATTTTACTGAATTTGTTTATTAGTTTTAATAGTGTTTTGGTGGAGTCTTTAGGGCTTTCTACATATAAAATTACACCTTCTACAAGAACAGATAATTTAACTTCTTCCTTTTCAATTTGGATGTCTTTTATCTCTTTTTCTGGCCTAATTGCTCTGGCTAGAATTTCCAGTATTATGTTGGATAGAAGAGGCAGGTCGGGAGTCCTTTTCTTGTTTCTAACCTTAGAGAAAAACATTTCAACTTCCCCCTTTTAGTATAATAGCAGATGTAAATTTTTCATGTATGGTGTTTATTGTGTTGTGGTACATTCCTTTCATATCTAATTTTTTGAGAATTTTTTTAAGTGAAGGAATGTTGAATTTTGTCAAATGTTTTTTCTGCATCAATGGAAATCATATGGTTTTTGTCCTTCATTCCATTAATGTGATGTATCATGTTTATGGATTTGCTTAAGTTGAACCATCCTTTCATCCTTAGAATGAATCCCACTTGATCATGATGAATCTTTTTAATGTGCTGGTATTTTGTTGAGGATTTTGCATCTATATTCATCAGAGATATTGGCCTAATTTTTTGTTGTTGTTGTTGTTGTTCTGTTTTTATCTGGTTTTGGAATCAAGGTAATGCTTACTTTATAAAATGAGTTTGGAAGGATTCTCTCTCCTTCAATATTTTTGAAGAGTTTGGTGTTAGTTCTTGTTTCAATGTTTGGCAGAATTCAGCAGTGAAGCGACCAGGTCCTGGACTTTTCTGTTATGGGAGGCTTTTTATGAGTGTTTCAATCTCCTTACTCATTATTGATCTGTTGAGATTTCCTTTCTTCATAACATAGTCTTGCTAGGTAGTATATGTCCAAGAATTTATCCATTTCTTCTAGATTACCCAATCTGTTGGTAATTGTTCATAATAATGTCCTATGATCCTTTTTATTTCTGTGGTATCAGTTGTAATGTCTCCTTTTTCATCTCTGATTGTGAGTGTTCTCTCTTTTTCCCTTGGTCTAGTGAAAGGCTTGTTGAATTTGTGTATCTTTTTAAAAAATCAACTCTTTATTTTGTTGATCTTTTCTTCTGTTATTTCTAGTCTCTATTATTTTTAATTTCTCCTCTACCTTTATTATTTCCTTCCTTTGAGTCATTTTGGGTTAGTTCTTGTTTCTCTAGTTTCTTAAGGTGCAACATAGTTTATTTGAAATATCTTTTTTTGATATCGATATTTATTGATAAAAACTTCTCTCTTAGAAATGCTTTTGCTGTGCCTCAGAAGTTTCCATTTCTATTTGTCTTAAGACATTTTTAATTTTTTTATTGACTCATTGGTTGTTCAGGAACATGTTGTTTAATTTCTGTGAATTTGTAAATTTTTCAAATTTCTTGTTATTGATTTCTTGTTTTATACCATTGTGATCAGAAAAGATACTTGATATTATATCAACCTTGTTAAATTTGACAAGACTTGTTTTATGGCCTAACATATTATCTAATCTATTTTGGAGAATGTTCTATCTTCAGTTAAGAAGAATGTGTATTCTGCAACTGTTGGGTGGGATGTTCTTTTTTATGTCTGATAGGTCCAGTTGGTCTAGAGTGTGGTTTAAATCCAATGTTTCCTTTTAGATTTTCTGTCTGGATGCTCCATTCATGCTGAAAGTAAAGTGTTGAAGTCCCTTATTATTGCTGTATTGTAGTCTATCTCTTCCTTCAAAGCTATTAATATTCGCTTTATATATTTAGTTGCTCTGATGTTGGGTGCATATATATTTACAATTGTTATATCCTCTTGCTGAATCCTTTATCATTATATAGTGACTTTCTTGGCACTTTTTACAGTTTTTGTCTTAATGTCTATTTTATCTGATGTAAGTATAATTACTTTTGCTTTCTTTTAGTTTCCATTTGTGAAGAATATTTTTTTAGATCTCTTCACTGTGTGTCCTTATAGGTGAAGTGAATCTCTTTTAGGTAGCATATAATTGGGTTTTGGTTTTGTATCACTTATCCATTCTGTGTCTTTTTATTGTAGAATTTAATCAAATCACATTCAAGGTAATTACTGGTGGATTAGGACTTATTATTTCCATTTTGTTAATTGTCTTTCTTTTTGTAGATCTTTTCTTCCTCTCTTACTTTCTTTGCGATTAAGTGATTTTTTTTGCTAGTAGTATGTTTTGATTCAATTCTATTTTTTATTTATCTATTATAGGTTTTTGTCTTGTGGTTTCCAAAAGGCAGACCAAAAAATCTTGTAAAGGTTATTTTAAGCTAACAACTTACCTTTGATCACCAAAAAAATAAACCTCTACACTTTCACTCCGTCCCCTTCGATTTTGAATTTTTGATATTACAGTTTACATCTTTTTATATTCCATATCCCTTAGTTAATATTGTAGTTATTATTTTTACTACTTTTATCTTTTAACCTTCATACTAAAGATACAAATGATTTGCACACCACATTATAGTATTAGAGTATGCTAAATTTGACTGTGTACTTACTTTTACCAGTAAGTTTTATACTTTCAGATGCTTTGTGTTACTCATTAGTATCCTTTTCTTTCAGCTTGATGAACTCATTTTAGCATTTCTTGTAAGACAGGTCTGGTGGTGGTTAACTCATTTAGCTTTTCTTTGGTTGGGAGTTTTTATACCATCTTCATTTCTGAAGGGCAGCTTTTCTGGGTACAATATTCTTGGTTAATAATATTTTTCTTTCAGTATTTTGAATCATCCCACTTCCTCCTGACCTGTAAGTTTTATGCTGAGAAGTCTGCTGCTAGGTGTACTGAAACTTCCTTACATGTTATTTCTTCCTTTTCTCCTGCTTTCAGGATACTCACTTTGTCTTTGATCTTTAACAGTTTGATTATAATATGTATTGGGATAGTCTTGTTTGGATTGACTCTGATATTAGGTATCAAGGCAAAATTCTATGCTCATTTCTTTCCCTTTCTCACAAGCAGATGCTATCTCTCTGTGCCATGTGTCTGGGATTGGTGAGGGTGGGTGGGTAATGCAAATAATATAAAACCATCCTTTCTACTCTCTTCAATGCATCTTTTCTTATTATTATGCTATAATCAGGCACTGTAAACTCTCACCTGGTTTCCTTAGCTATTTTGAAGGTATTTTCATGCATGGATAGTTGTTCAAATTGATCTTTCTGTGGGCAGAGGCAATCCCTGAAGAGAGCTATTCCATCATCCTCCTCAGCTCTCCTCCCCAGTTATGGATTCATATGTTAATTGTCCTGACTTCAGCCTCTCAAACTATATACACTACAAAAAGGCTTGTTGTTTTGGACAGCGAGCAGATAATTACTTGCTGAAGTTTATGTCCATTAAGTTGAAAAGAATTCATTAAATGACTGCAATGATGAGGCCCATGTAAGATGTTGTTATTAGAAATTATTTTATTAACTTGGGATTTAGTGGTAAGGGAATTTTGACTTCACCTCTTTTCTTGATGGTAAAATAATACATTCTATATATTTTATGCATTTCAGAGTAAGTCTCATTTCTTTTGGTCAGACAGCAAATTCTTACTAGACCCTAACCAGTTGATACTTTTCTTACCAGCTTCCTCTTTAGTTCTTTCCTTTAGCCTTGCTGTACTGTCATTCCTTCCACTCTATGAAAATGCCATGATCCTTCCTGACTGAAGGTTTTGGTAAGCTGTTTTGCTGGTGGACTCTTCCCACTTCACCCCAGATAAGTCCTAATCATAATTCGTAGTTGGCCTCAGATATCACTTTCTCAAAGAAATTCTGATACCTTGAATGAATCAGATCCTCCAATTATATGTTCTTCTGGTGGTGTTCATTAGAAATGATGGTAAGTGAATAAGTCCTCAAGTTATTACTTTGATAATATGGCTCTTCTGCTGAAATGCAATCTCTGTGAAGGCTGAGACTATGGCTTTCTATTCACAGCTAGAACTGTAGCATCTAACATAATGTTCACATATAATAGGTTTTCAAGAATGATGCTTTCAATATGACTAAAGGAGAGAATTTGTTAATGAAAAAAAAAGTGAGGATGATGATGAAGACAAATCACCTGTTGGGTGACTCTGGATTCTCTGATGACCATATTCTGAAAGTGTTGACAACTTTGTATAAATTACTTGTAGAATTTTCAATTCTACTTGTCTAACAATTTCCTTTTCAATTCCTCTAATTGTCATTTTGAAGTACAGCATTGAAGAAGTAAAATATAGAATAAAATCATTAGCCTTTATTAATAATTCATTAATTTTTCTTCTGTGTGTCATCTGATAGATTATACAATTACAATTAGGACACTGTTTAATGAAGCTAAAGTTTACCTTGCATAACCAATTTCTTACTAAGGACACAATTCAGTCATCAGACACATTCAGAAACATTGAACCAAACCTCTATGGAAATGAGATTTTCTCTGTGCAAAATATTTATATATGGCATGCATACATTTAACCATGGCTCACAAGGAATGCAAAGAGCTTAAGCTAAGTCTGACATAACAAAGATGAAGGAACTAAAATGCATTCTCTAGTATTTTTGTGCTAAGTTGGGGGAGAAGGGAAGGAACAGCCACACTACTTGATTTTCATATTGTATATGTTGGTTGACCTTATGAGTTATTGAATTTGATGGTCATAAACAGTAGCACATCAAAACACGTGATCCTCTCTCACAACAACAGTAGCAAAAGAAAAAAGTCATTCTGTGACTTACCCTTCTAAGATTAAAAAAATGAGAGTATATAATACTAGCTTTGTGATTAGGCTTTAAAATTCTCTGGGCTCAACAATTATTTTATTTTATTTTATTTTGAGACAGAGTCTTGCTCTTTCCCCCAGTCTGGAGTGCAGTGGCGCGATCTCAGCTCACTCAAGCTCCACTTCCTGGGTTCATGCCATTCTCCTGCCTCAGCCTCCCGAGTAGCTGGGACTACAGGTGCCTGCCACCACACCAGGCTAATTTTTTGTATTTTTAGTAGAGATGGGGTTTCACCGTGTTAGCCAGGATGGTCTCGATCTCCTGACCTCGTGATCCGCCCGCCTCGGCCTCCCAAAGTGCTGGGATCACAGGCGTGAGCCACCGTGCCCGGCCTGGGCTCAACAATTATATATTGGTTCTGTTTACATTTCCATGTCCTCTGCCTTCTAGCCCTTTTTGTTCATCGCCAGGGAGAATGTAGAGATAATATTCTTTCATATGTCTTTTACTTTCCTGAAATTAAGAAAAGATAAAAACAAAATTCATCAATATAACTTTGAACTGTATATCATATTGTTACGCTTACCTTTACTATTTGAGTTTCTAAGTATACGTTTCTGTGCTTTCTTTATTATATGTTCTACATGGACGATATTTTCAGCAATTAAGGCAGTAAATGAGACATAAACACAGTATCCTCTAGGCAAATGACACTGAGTGGGTTAATTAAGGAAGATAGTTCAAACAGGCAGATTTTGAATCCAAAATCTGAAAGACTGATTTTGTAAAGAGTATAAGCATGAAAAATAAAATTTAGATTGTTTTACACTATTATTTTGTTTCTTCAGTTAACTAATAGTATTTTAAAGTGGTTGCAGATCTATGCCTTGAGTTTTCTAAGATCAACTGAAGCGATCCATATCGAGTAACTAATGTAAGAATTTTAATTTTGAGCCCTGGTAAATTCCAAGTTTTAAGCCCACTTGTATGCCTATGTAACCAAAATGAACCATTTATCACTATAAAATATTATTTGCAAAGTGACTGGCATTATGATTTTCCTTCCCCCATCTCAGGAAGACTAACATTCCCCTAAAGACTGGACTGGAAATTTAGAGAAGAAAATGGTGCACTTTTCCTACTCTCCCTAATAGAAAAGCTACATAAAACAAAACAAAAATACAGGTATATTAAAAAATTCTATCCCAATTGAAATAAAAAAAATAAATCAACCGCCACAATCCACAACCCATAAACTTTAAAGAGTGGCTGCCAAATACTATTTCTCTGGACTGAGAGTAGGTAAGAAGCTGACAGCCAATACATGATTATTGGAAGTCAAATAGGATACAGATTTCTCCTAAACTTTCTGAAAGATATTTATAAGCACCGTTTGACTAGAGCAATAAGAACACATGTACATGGATAGGGCACTGGGGTGATAGAAGAATGTTTCAACAGAGAACGAGTTTGTACTATGGAATAGAAAGAAATCAAATTCTTAAGAGATCATTTCCCACCCCACAGTCACTCAGTGAGTATTACCAGAATTAAGGTGAAATAAATTTATAATAAAACAAAAATATTTCATCTTTCTTACAGTTCCATTAGAAGAGAGCTTGCTAATTTTAGACAGTGTAGTGCAAAAAATATAAACAATTATTTTCTGTCAGATAACAATGGCTCCAACAAATCAACAGGGTTTTTCTTTATTATTATATAAACATGGCAAAAAGAATGTGAAAATAAAATACCTGTATTTGGGAAAGCATGAAATATGAACACTGTCACTATTAGTTTTCTATACCAGGGGCATCCAATCTTTTGATTTCCCTGGGCCACATTGGAATAAGAAGAATTGTCTTGGGCCACACTTTAAATACACTACCGCTAATGATAGCTGATGAGCTAAAAACGAGATGTATGAAAGTTTATGAATTTGTGTTGGGCCACATTCAAAGTTGTCCTGGGCCGCATGTGGCCTGCAATCCGTGATTGGACAAGCTTGCACACCATTCTACCTATCAGTAGAAGTTTATTATTGCCACCACCACCAAGATTTACTGATGGACATTATATGCCAGTTATTGCAATTTCTTTATTTCATAACAGTTGCTTTATACATCAATAACTAAATTACAGTATAAAGAAGAGGATTCACATATAGTTCTTCTTTTTCTTACTGATAACAAATTCTTCCTCTGTTTGCTATGCTTAGTAAGGAAGTCAATGAGAGCCAGTAGTCAGTGGTTCCACACTGGCAGGAGCCTACCAGCATAGCTGTTGACCTGCAGCATTGGTACCCAGCCCCACCAATACATAATTTGACTATCACCCTTAAACAAATGCTATTTTGCAATAAGAGGTAAAATATCAGTGCAACTTAAAAAACAACACTTGTACATATTTTTATTCAACATTTTACATTATTCCACAAATATGTACAATTTCAATAATAAATTAAAAAAATGAGTAAAGTAAGTCTGAGAGAAGTTCATAGTCACTATATTACTCAATGACATTTTTCTGCCTTCATTTCTAAGAGTTCATCTGATCCAAGGTCTGATCATCTTCTTGACAGAAAAACTTGTTTTGACAGCACATTTGAAATGCCGAGTGTTTTGTTATGTCTAAGCAGCAGAGTGATGTTTGTTAATAACAGAAACACTTTAAAAAGAATCAATTGCAATCAAGAAGTGTTGATGAACATTTGGACAATATGTACAAAACTCTGCAAAAATTCTTTAATATTTTTTTCCTCCAGTTCCTCACATTCTTTGCATCCAGATTCTGTTACATTCTGCAAAATATAGAGAGAGATTAAATTGGCAATTTATAATTAAATTAAATATACATTCATGGGAATGGGAATATCATATCGTTTGAACCATATGGTGAGGTCTTGAGATATGAAAGCTTTAGCAAATAAATAGCATATTAGGAAGAACTACGAGGAAAGAGAACAGGGAGATTTGATATATGTTTATTTTTCCAATAATGGGTTAAGGACATTGAGAAAAATAAGCTGTGTCTATCAGACCACGGAGTTCCTGCTTTGAGCCCTTCAATGGTTTCCTATCATCTGCTTCTAGCATAAAGACCATGCCTCCCTGCATAGCACACAGGCTCTTCATGAGCTGTTCCTTACCTATTTATTTCACATATCCCCCTTGCCTCAATGTTATGCCCTAGAAACACTGAGTGAGCATCTGGCTTTCCTTGCCATGCACAGCATACTATTAGATGCCTCTCTGCCTTTGCTTTTCTCTCTGTTACATTCATTCCTATTTTAGCTGCTGCTACTCGCACTTAAGATTATTCAGGTACTCTTTTAGGGAGGCTTCTCTGAACCCCTGGGCTCCTAGGGCTGGACTCAATGTCCCATCTTTACATCTCAGAACCCCTTATTTAGACCTCTCTCACAATATGTCATGTATTCTATTCATATTATGAAGTTTTACTCTTTTTATACTGTAATACTATTCTCTAAGCTCTCTGCCAGAAGGTCAGAGCCAGTATGTTTGTTTCCCTAGCATTTAGCACAGGGCCTGACACACTGTAATCACCCATTGGTTGAACTGAGCCATTTAGGTGAATACCACAAATTGTTGTACTTCAAACACAGTCTCATGGATAACTAGAATGTTCCAAATGTAGCAATTAAGAATAAACTTTTTAGAGATCATCTGAACCATGAAGGCTGTGCCAGCAAAAATAAAAATTAGATTTTATATCCATTAACTATTTGGAATTCAGAATCAGCGACATTTATCAAGCACATCCTCTATGCCAAGCACTGTCATATTTCATATAATGCTGTCCTATTTGATCCTGAAAATAATCATGTCAGATAGGAAGACAGAGATATTGACTCATCTCAACTGACATAATCAACTGAAATTCTTCCCATCCAGGTCTTCTGACTGTGCAGTCCTGCCCACGCATTCCAGCACGTATGTCACACTCTGTCATGATGAGGATGACTATCAACATTCACATTAAAGAGCTCATCATTTATTTTGCCATGAGTTACCTGTTGCGTGGCTCACTCTTTCCACCAATAAGATGGAGATAACATCATAAGAGTATTATAAACCTTAATAAATTCATTTCATACATATGTAAAGTATTTAATATATATGAGACACTGTTCTGGGAATTTGGATATAGTACTAATAAAAAACAAAAACACTTGTCCATTTTAAGCTGACATTCTAGTAGGGAAAAACAGACAATACCCATTACATAAAATATATCATATTCCAGATATGGGACACGCAGAGAAGGGGACAGGGAGTGCTCAGATAGGGAAGGGATTGCAACTGTAAATAGGTAAATCACTGAGAAGGTGACACTGAAGCAAAGACCTAAAGCAGTCTTGTATTTTTAGAGAAAAGTCAAGGTGTCCACCCACACAAGCTTAGGGCCTTTGCACTTTCAGTTGTCTCTGCCTAAACATATGTCCCTAGATACCCTTAAGGCTCATTCTCTCACATCTTTGTCAAATGGCAGCTTATTAGCTCAGCCTACCCTAACTGGAGCCCCAGTGCCCCTACCCTGTGTCCTTTTTCACCACTGGACTTCATAAATAACTAACTTATTACTCATTTGCTGAGTGCTTGGTTTATTTCTGTTTCCTCCCTCTTTAACAGCAGGGATTATGGGTATTTTTTCATACTGTCTCCTGAGGGCTAAAAAGTATTTATGAAATGAACTAATTTGATTATGCCTCTTTGTTGCAAAACTGCTTTCTCTCTACCTTGCTTTGGCCACTGGTGTTTTGCCATGAAAGCCCTAATTCTTTGCACTTCAGGGCCATTGCACAGCTGATTCCCCAGCCTATCATACGAGTACCTAGAATTTGCTCTCCTGGAACCCTCTACTGCTCAAGTTGCCTGGGATGTCCCAGATTATACTCGAATCATTAATATTTTCATTGTTATCTTTTTAAAGCATTTATCTTCTCATGAGATAACAGACTCTGCAGACAGACTGCTCGGGTAAGAGTTGTGGCTCCCCATTTTACTAGCTGTATGAACTGAAGCGAGTGATCCAGGCTCTCAGTGCTACAATTTCTTCAACATTCAAACAGAAATAAAGATAACTATCTCACAGATTTATCATGAGGATTAAATGAATTATCAATTTAAAGCTCAAAGAATAGTGTCTGGCATACAGTAATAACTCAATAAATGTGAGTTACTATTATTGATGTTAGACATTTGAGTATGTAATTAGATTAATGTCTATCCACTGCACCTGACAATAAACACCTTGAGGTCAGTGACCTGTCTGTCTGGTTTGCAACTATAATTCTAGCACTGAAGCACACTACCTGGCATTATTCTGTAAATGTTTGTCTACTGAATCAATCATTGAACAGTTTAGCATTGTGTGCATGCTGGAGATGGTGCCACTTTTGCACACCACTCCACTGGAACAGGACTCCTTCTCCTGATTGCCCCTTAGGAGGATCTGCTTGTCCATGAATGACTTCTCCAAATCAGGCCCAAAACATAAGATGCAACTCTAAGCAACTGTTGGAAAACTCACCCCATTAGAAGACAAACTGTTGTTTGCTAGGATGATCAGATTTTCTACTGTATCATGAATACTTGCATCTCCGGACTCAAGTGAAATAACTTGTAACTCCAAGAGAAAGCACTTCATTGCTGTTACTTTGCAACTGGGCTAAAAATAAAAGTTATAAAGAACAATTACTTTTTTCTGATTATTAATTTTCATACTGATGTAATTTTGATTTTCAAAAAGTCAATCCAAATATTTTATAAAGATACACAATATCCTTAAGAAATTTTACATAGGAGGCAGCTTAATTTTTTTTCTTTTGGCTTTAAAATAAAAACCAAAACAAACCAACAAAACACAATCAAGAAGGATGGCAATATTGTACAGAAGAACATGAAACTAGAAAATGCAGAAATAGTGGCCAGTTTTTCTCACCGAGCACATTTCCCCTGTGGAAAGGGTAATAATACTGGCCTTAGAGTCTGAAAACATCAATATAGACAGTTTATTTGTAAGAATTTTTAGAATCAAATTGTGTTGTTAACATTTTAAATAGTGGTAGCTGCTAATTATACTGTTCTTTCAAGTTCCAAAGTTCCAGAGGGAGAGAAGTAATTCCAAGAAATTTATTAGAAAAATCAAAGCAGGACTAGTGTCCACTTACAGGCAGATCAAATCAGAAAAGGCTCTCTTAGGTGCCACAAAAATATGTTTTCCACAACATTTACTTTAACAATAACTTAAAGAAAGGAAACAAGGAATATCTAGGGATTTGACCATTATTTGACTTTGTGTCCTCGATACCTTGCACAGTACCTGGGAGCCTGCAGACACTTCACAAATGCTTACTGAATGGATAAAAAAAATGAAGGAATACACCCATGTGCCCAGCACTGGTAATATTCCTTAAACCCAACAGTCACTGCTTAGGATTGAAAGACAAATACTGTCACCATATCAGCAATAATAAAAATGAGCTTCAGAAATGTTTAGCAATCTCCAAGGTAACACAAGTAAAAAGTGGTGGAGTCAGTTTTAAAATCTAAACTTCTAAAATCTAAAATCTAAAATCTAAGGTTGTTTCTCTAACCCATGGGTTGCAAAGTTATCTTCTTGCAAAAAAGCAATTTCAGGATGCTGAATTTGGTGGCTAATTGACTACTTTCCATTTTACAAAAAATGCAAAGAAAAACAGAATCCATGCTGAAGCCAGAGGAGGGAGACAATTTCTTTGTGCAGCAGCATGACCCAATTGGTTAGTGAATATCTCTTTTTTCTAGTTTCTGACTATGGTTTCTTTCCAATGCTTAGAAAGTCATCTATGTAAGAGAAGTTCTAATTGAGGAATAATGGAGAGAGGACATAGAGTTTGTTTTCCCTGACGTGAAGTTGGGGATTCATTTCTTGGTTTTAGTAACAATACTGAAGGGAAGAACCACCACCAACATGACAAATCCTACATTCCTTAGGAAATGTCAGGGTATTAATGAAACAAGTTCAAGACCATTTTTCAGTTCTAATAAGTTTCATGGGTTATGTTTCCTTTCTCACATAGAGAATAATTAGAATCTTTTTCTGACAAATGTAGAGAATCATGTAAAATGCAGAACATGAATGATTTTAAGCAATTTATGGAAAATATGATTGCAGATGGTGATACATTACAGCATTGGAAATAACTGATATATTGGCTACTCTTAAATTGAAACAGTTAATCTGATTTTTGCATCTAATTGCACCATGATGCAACTGCATCACAAAAACGTATAATGTATCTTGTTTGACATTGATGGAAAAGACTCTTTTAATATTTTGATTTGGCACCATTACAAAAATAGCATTGATGTAGCTATCTGTCCCCAAGTCCCATCTCAATAATCACTAATAAAACTCATTGACCATATATTATAGAAACACACCAAAAGTTAGATTTTAAAACTACCATATTTTAGTTGTTACAAAAATATACTTTTAAAAACTTTAATAACAAGACAAATAGCAATTTTGAAAAAAAGTATACTCACGTGAACATCACTTTCCGTATATAAAGTAGCATCAATATGCATAGACTGAAAGGAAACAAAATTAGACAATATTAAAAACTATGCCCTGCTTTAAATATTATGAGAACAACCTACTGAAAACATTAAATTGTTTTTAATTCTTTTTTTATTTTGAGATAATTTAAAATTCATATGAAACTGTAAGAGTAAATACAGAGAGATCCTGTGTACCCTTCAACAAGCTTCTCCCAGTGGTAATGTCTTCCATAACCACAGTACAGTATTACAATCAGAAAATTGACATTAATACAATGCACTCACCTTGTTCAGATTTCACAAGTTTTATGTGCCACAGTGTGTGTGCTTGCATATGTGTGAAGTTTTATGCAATTTTATCATTTGCATAGATTCACATCACCACCACCACAGTTAAGACACAAAATAGTTTCATCACCACAAGGATTCTGCTGCTATTCTTTCATAACCAAAGTCACCTTTCTCCCCATACATACCTCATCATCACCCAATCTCTCTAAATTCTGGCAACCACTTCTCTGCTCTCCATGCCTATAATTTTGTCATTTCAAGAATATTATGTAAACGGACTCATATCATATGTAACCTTCTGAAATTAGCTTTTAAAAGAATTGATAGACATTTTTATGAGCCATTTAGGTTTACAGAAAAACTAGCAGAAAGTACAGAGACTTATACACCCCTTTGTTCTCCACCCCAGTTTCCCTATTGTTAATATCTTGCATTAGTGTGGTGTGTTTGTTATAGTTGGTGAATCACTATTATGATCTTAAGTGTACAGAATATTAGGGCTCATTATTTGTGTTGTATGTTTTACAGGTTTTGACAAATGTATAATGCCACCCATCATCATATATTAATATTTTCACTGCTTTAAAAGTAGCCTGTGCTCTGCCTAGCCATTTCTCCTTCCCTCCAAACCCCTAGCAACCACTGATCTTTTTATTGTCTCCATAGCTTTGCCTTTTTCAAAATGTCATAGTTGGGATCATACAGTGTGAAGCCTTTTCAGATTGGCGTCCCCATCTTTCACTCAACAATATGACTTTGAAGGTTTCTCCATTTCTTTTCATGGCTTGATAGCTTATTTCTTTTTATCACTGGATAATATTCTATTTTATAAATGTACCACAGTTTCTTTATGAAGACTGGCTTTTTTCACTCATCATAATACCCTGGAGATCCACCTAACTTGTGGGTATCACTAGTTTGTTCCTTTTTATTGCTCTGTAGTATTCCCTGACATGATATATCACAGATTTTACCAACTGAAGCACATCTGTTTCCAGTTTTTGGCAGTCATGAAAAAATCTCTGTGAACATTCATGTACATATTTTTGTGTGCACGTAGTTTTCATTTATCAAGGATGAATGTCTAAGAGCACAATTGTTGGATTGTAAGGCAAATGCATGTTTTGTTTCATAGGATGCTGCCAAACTATTTTATACAGTGCCTGTATCATTTTACATCATCACCAGCAATGTATGAATGATCCAGTTTCTCCACATCCTTGCCAGCATTATCACCCTTGTTCATTTATATTTACTTAGCATCATCACTATTTTTTATTCTGTATACGCTTATAGCTGCATGTAATAATATGTCATTGTGGTTTTAATTTGCATTACTTTCTAAACAAAATATACCCATTTTTACTACTTTCTCTCCAAAAAACTTGGGGTGATGTATAATTTTCCTTTCCAATCTGTGTGCCTTTTATTTATTTTTTTCTCATACATTTTTTCTCTCCTGCTTCATAATTTGGCTAAACTTCCAATATTATTGCTGTGGTTTGAATGTCCCCTCCAAAATTCAGATTGAAACTTAATCCCCAATGTGGCAGTATTGAGAGGTGGGGCTTTAAGAGGTAATTGGATCACAATGGCTCTGCCCTCATGAATGGATTAGAGTATCAATGTGTTATTACGGAAAGGGAACCGGTAGTTTTATAAGAAGAGGAAGAGAGACCTGAGCTAGCACATGAGTACATTCAGCCCCTCGCCATGTGATGCTTTTTGTCACCTCTGGACTCCAGAGAGCCCCCACCAGCAGGAAGGCCCTCACCAGATGTGGCTCCTCAACCTTGAACTTTTCAGTCTCATAACCATAAGACATAAATTCCTTTCTTTATAAATTATGCATTTCAAGTACTCTGTTATAAGCAACAGAAAACTCAGACAATTATGTTGAGTAAAAGTGGTGAGAGAAGATATCCCTGCTTAGTTTCCAGTCCTAGCAGAAAAACATTCAGTCTTGTACTCACCATTAAGTATGGTAGCTCTAGACTTTTTGAACATGTTTTGTACCAAGTTGAGGCAGTTCTCCACACCTACTTTCTAAGAAATTTTATCTTCAATAGGTGTTTATATCAGTCTGCTAGGGCTGCTATAAAAAGTACCACAGACTTGGTGACTTAAATAATAGAACTTTATTTTCTCACAATTCAGGAGGCTAGAGGTCTGAAATCAGGGTACCAGCAGTGTTGGTTTCTTTGGAGTCCTCCCTCCTTGGCTTATAGGTGGCCATTTTCTCCCAGTGTCTTCACATGGTTTTCTATCTCTGTGTATCTATACCCTTATCTGTTTTTCTAAAGATACCAGTCATATTGCAGTAGGACCTGCCCTCATGACCTCATTTTAACTGACCCTATCTCAAAATACAGTCACATTTTGATATACTGGCAATTAGTACTTCAACATATAAATCCAGGAGGCATAGGGAGGGACACAGGCCATGAGAGGTGTTGCATTTTATCAGATACCTTTTCTACATATGATTTTCTTCTTTAGCCTGTTGATAGGGTAGATTACATTGCTTGACTTTCAAATAATTGAGCAAGACTTGTGTACCTGAAATAAATCTCACTCGGTCATGGTGTATAATTCTTTTTATACATTGCTGAATTTGATTTGTTAATATTTTATAGAGCATTTTAATATCTAAGTTAATGGGAGATATTTTTGTAGTTGTCTTTTTTAGTAATATCTTTATTTGGTTTTAGCATCACAGTAATACTGGCCTCCTAAAATCAACTGGAAAATGTTCCTTCCTCTTCTATTTTCTAGAAGAGACTGTACAATTGTTGTTAATGCTTCTGTAAATATTTGATAGAATGATTCAGTGTAACCAGCAGGCTTGAAGGTCCCTTTTTGGGAGCTTGTGTATGATGAATTCAATGTATTTAGTGATTATATGAGTGTTTGGATTGTCTATTTCATCTTCATTATGTTTTGGTAGTTTGTGGTTTCTGAAGAATTGGTCCATTTCCTCTAAGTTATCAGATTTGTGAGCATAAAATTGTTCATAGTTTTTCTTATTATCCTTCTAATGACTGCAGATTCTGTAGTGACAGCCCCAAATTTCATTCCTGAGATTTGTGTCTTCTCTCTTATTTCTGTCAATTAAAGATCAATTGTATTGATTTTCCAAATAACCAGTTTTATGTTTCATTAATTTTTTCTATTGTTTTCTTGATTTCAACTTCATTAATTTTGGCTCTTATATTTAAATATTTTCTTTGTTCTGCTTGTATTGAATTTGTTTTGCTCTACTTCTTCTAGTTTCTTGAAGCAGTAACTTAGATTTTTGATTTGATAATTCTCCTTTTTTTCTAATGTATTCATTTGATTTTAAAAAATGTCCTGTCAGTATTGCTTTAGCCACATCACATATATCTTGATATGCTGTATTTCATTTTTTTTCATTCTATGTATTATGAATATCCTTTGAGATTTACTCTTTGACCCATGGATTATATAGAGGTATAGTATTTAATTTCCAAGCATTTGGAGATTTGCCCGTTGTATTTAATTTCTTGATTTCTGGTTTGATTCCATTGTGGTTTGAGAACAAATTCTGCATGATTTAAGTTCTGAAAAAATTTTTAAAGTTTCTTTTATGGCTCAGTATATATTTAGTCTTGATAAAAGAAAGTATATTCTGCTGTTGTTGGGTGTAGTGCTCTATGTATTAAATTAGATCCTGTTGGTTGGTTATATTGTATTTTTATGCCCTTTCTGATTTTCTGTCTAGTACTTCCATTAGTTACTGAGGAGGAGGCAGTGAAGTCCTCAAGAATAATTGTGGATTTGTCTATTTCTCTTTTATCCCTATTATTTTTTGTTTCACAAATTTTGAGTCTTCGTTGTTTGATGTGTATACATTTAAGAACATTATGTTTTCCTCACAGATTTATTTTTTATCATTTTGTAATATCCCTCTGGATTATAGCAACTTTATTTTCTGTGAAGTCTACTTTATGTTAATAACATTAACTTTGATGTTAATATAGCCACTTCTGCTTTTTATAATTAATGTATGCATGTGTATCAGTCTAGAGCTGCTGTAATAAACTACCACAAGGTGGGTGGTTTAAAACAACAGAAATCTATTCATTTACAGTTCTGGAGACTGGAAGTCCAAAGTCAAGGTGTTGGTAGGGCCATGTTCCTTCTGAGGGGTCTAGAGAAGAATGCTTTCTTGACTTCCCCAAGGTTCTGGTGGATCCTGGCAATCTCTGGCCTTCCTTGGCTTATAGCCGCATCACTCTGATCTCTTCCTCTGTCTTCACATGGCTTTCTTCCCAGTGAGTTACTCTGTGTCCTTTCCTTTTCTAATAAAGACACTTGTCATTGGATTTAGGGCCCCCCCTACTCTAGTATGATCTCATCTTAATTTCATTAATTATATTTGCAAAGATATTATTTCAAAATAAGATCACATTTTAAGGTTCCAAGAGGATGTGAAATTTGGGGGGACACTATTCAACCCATTATAGTATGCTATATCTTTTTCTGTCTTTTTAAATTTCAACCTATGTATGTCATTGTACTAGAAGTGAACTGCTTATAGATAGTATAGATGGGTGGTGTTTTGTTATGAATTCAACCAATCTCTCTCTTTTACTTGGTGTATTCTCATACTCTCCTGTGATACTAACCATAGGAATGCTGAATCTTTTGTTACTGTCGTCAAGATCAGTGATGCTTTTTTTTTCTTAAGTCAACTGTCTCTCTAGTATTCTGTTGTCAAATTAACTATCATTCCTCTGTCATTCATTCTGCTAATGAGCCTTTACAGTTTGCTTTATATTTCAGTTATATTTTCAGTTATATAATTTCTATATGGTTCCTTTCATATCTTCTATTTCTTTGTTAAGGCATTTAGTTTTTCATTTGCTTCAAGGGCATTTGTAATTGCTTTTTCAAGCACTTTTTATAATGTCTGCTTTCAAATCTATGTCAGAGAATTCCAACATCTGATCCACTTCAATTTTGTAATCTGTTGACTATATTTTCTCATTTAAGTTGTAACTTTCCTATTTCTTGTTACAATGGGTGATTTCCAATTGTATCTTGGCTTCATGTCTATTATGTTAGGACACTCTGGTCCTATTTAAATCTTCTATTTTAACATGCAGTCAGGTTGTTTGGATTTAGCATGCAAGTTCTAACCTATTTTTTAATGCTGTGATTCCAATGACAATTTAGTTTTCAGAACTTTGTGGTGCTATTTTGGTATGCTTGGTGCCATCGAGACTTCCACTGAAGCTGGTATTACCTGCTATGGCAAAAATCACTTCCTTAGGTCAGGCCACCTGTTTTCTTGAGGTGGGAGAAGAGGGCCTTTAGTCCACAAGCAACAACAGCTGTTCCCTGGGTCAAGCCATTCTCCCTGCAGGTGCCACCAAGATATCTGGCTTCTCCAGATAGAGGAAGAGAATACCTCACCTGTGCAGACTAGAACTCATCCGTCTGGGCCGCTTATAAATTACGTTTTAAAGATAATTAGATTCTAAAACAGTAAGGAAAAGACTTCTTTTTGAGCTTTATAAGATCATAAATTTCTACAAAAATATTATTGTTTCAAGTGTGGTTTCCTTAAGACAGACAGAAAAACACAGAGAGAGACAAACTCCATAGCAGTTATACCAGGCATTTTATGGAAAAATGAGTACTCACTTGAATAAGATCTTCAATTTTTTTCAAATCACTTATTACATTCACCCAGTTGGCTTCTGTTTTAGGAAGCCCTGCACTGAAACAGCTGAAAGAAAAACCATAGAGCAAAGCATTTTGAAGGAGCCTATTCATCTTGATGAATACTATAAGCAAAAGAGCAATCAATAATTTTTATTCTGACCAGTGAAAAAATCAGTGTTATCCTTGCTTCTGTGCATTCAACAGCCTTGTAACTGAACATAAACATTGAGCATATAGTACAATTTTGGCATTTTATGATAACTTGAGGCTTCACCAACCCGGATTAGAGAAAAGCCTAACTGTAGGCATACTTTATAAATAAACTGGCTCAATTTATCACAATGAAATAGAAGCAGTGCCAGATGTGTGGCAATGCTCAATAAATGATTTTGAATGAATTACTAGTTTCCTTTAAGTAGAGATTTACAGAGACTTTGAAGTCTAATAAATAGGTAAAATTCTTAAAATGAGTAATAATCATTTTCATGTAATGATTTTGATAGTAAATTTTTTTTACACTACATTAAACATGCCCCTTTCATGTTGCTCACACTCTTACTATGCTTGCAGCAGCTTTCTCCATAAACAGTACAGACTTCATTCCAGTGTAGGCTGAATGATCATATACTTACTCACTTTCACAAATTTCATAAAAATTAAAATTTAATATCCAGACAAAATACACTTATACTGACCAAGTAACATTGGAATGATGCTTAGAGCTTGAGGAAAAATAATCACTCACTTCCTGATGGATCTTACACAGAAGCATGATAGTCAACACTAATCTGTCTTATGATGAAGAATTACCTGCACAAATCTATGGTTCCCAATACCATGAAGGCATTAGTAGAGTAAAACTGAACTGAGAGTCAGATTATATAACTATAGGTTAGGTGCTTTGGGCCAACTGGGTATATTAGCTGCATCTAAGAGAGAAGAAAAAAGTTAATAGTCATGGAAACATATGAATTTTATTAGAAGGAAACAACAAAAGGCTTAAATAAAGAAAGAAATGTTTTAAACTGAACTAGGATAAAGATCAAGGGATAGGAGGAGTCAGTGTCAGGGACAGATAAAAAAGTAACATAAGCAAATTCTAAATATCTACTTTTAATTGCCATGAAAAATATGTAGTCTATCAATAAGTGGTATACTTCCAAGTTCAGTTAAATATCAAAAGGCCCAATTTATTTGAGGGCTATAATGCTTGTTTGGACTATTACCACAATGTAGAAAAATGCTCAGTTAGGTGTTTACCAAACCTCTCTAAATCTCTGTAGTCTGCCTTCTATCCCCCAGATACTGAGTACCTAGAGATATAAGCAAACTGAACGTAAACTAATTTAATGGAAAATATATCCAAGGACAATCATCATGACCATGAACATAATGTTATTTATGCCTAAAGATAAAATTACCCCAAAATGAAGACATGAATGCCAGCTTCAGTTAGAAAATGACTGTTTAGAAGTAAACACAAGTAGCACTGGATGGAAATACTTCTCAAATGTGGTTTCTGAAAAATATAATCATAGACAAATGGTTAAATTTTTTAGTTAAAAAGTGAGGTTTAAAATAACATGTCAACATATTTTTAGGTCTAAAGATGTAAGTTTGTCATAATTTCATAATTAATGCCCCTTATCAAAAATAATAAAACTATAATTTATCTTTTTTCACTTTCTCTCCCACCTCCAACTCTGTCTCTTATGCACAAAGTTCCTTAACAGATATTTCTGCAGATGCATGTCAAAGATAATTTAACAAAGTTGACATATTTGTTAATTTACATACATACCAATGTCACCACTTAAAGTTTTTATATTATCTTTGACCTCCTCCTCATCCTTCTTTCTTTTTTAATAGGTCAAAATATTTTATACAGCACAGGTTAATAACATGCATTACTAACAGAGATGCAATAGTTATATTAACTTCATGTAAATTATGAAAATGAATTATATTAATATTATTTGGTGAAAAATTGGATAAAATGGAACCAATTACAGATACTGTATTCCATCTTGAGAGTGACTAATAATCTTTCTTGGTGATTTAGGAAAATCATTTATCCTACAACTTACCAGAGTTTTGGTACTTTCACCTGCCTCTTTTGTGTTGTCGAAGCTTTTAAAGTTTCAGAAAGCAGTGTTAACTGCCACCTTAACCACTAATTGTTCATGCTTCCTTTCAAAAAGATGAATGATACCCACACCCTGCCCTCTAAGACTACACAATTTAGTGAGTACAAAGACATTTAGAGAACACAAAAGAGTGGGATAAGTGAAATAACACATTTATAATGACAAGAAGAGCCTATCAAGATGGTCAATAGAGTTTTTAAAAACCTATTTATTTTCAAAATAAGAACAATCCAAATGTGAACAGACATCTGTGATATCTCAAGATCTTTGGAGAATAACCATGTAACTTATTGCAAAGACTCTGAGATTCAGACGACCTTTAAGGGAAATTCCATAGGATATTTTCATCTATTTTTTTTCTTACCGAAATTCTCATTACTCAAAGCCACGGTAAATCCTTAAGTATTGAAGAAGAGCTGGCTATGGCAAGGGGTTTCCAGCAGCCATCCATCCACAATGCCTCCTACAATACAATCTAGGGTAAAGTATGATCCATTAAAAACACAAGTGCACTAGTAAGAAAAAGAAAGGGAGGGAATTAATACTTATTGAACACCTACCTTTTAATAAGCACTCTATTAGTTACTTAACAGATGCATCACCTTTAATCTTTACAATAATGGTATGGAGGAAGGTTAGTAGCATTTAGGTAAGCTACTCTAGGCCCATAGCAAGTACATGACAGCCAGGATTTGAGGCCAGTTCTGTCTGATTACAATGCCTTAGCAAAGCTTTTCTATTCTATTATTTCCCTGAATTGAAAAATTCCAGAGTCATACTAGTAAAAAGTAAAAACAAACAAATACTTAGATTTGTAGAAGTACTGATTGTTAATCCAGTTTACAATAGCAGTAGCCATTTCTACAGCCACTGAATATGTATCTTCAGTCTTTTAAAGAAACCATTGTTAATCATTTGAGAATTTTATAACCAAGAAAATTTTATTTTTTCTCACTCAAATCAAGTGAAGAATATGAAGATTAAACATCCCTAAATTCAACTCCATGCCATTAAAAGCAGTTTATAACCAAAATATACAAAAATAGAAACAACTATTTTCTGCCCTTCAAAATAGTATATACATGGTGACCTCTTCCACAAAAAACCAAAATCTGCCACAACCCATGACATAAATATTCACTGAATTAAGTTCCATAAACACAAAGAATTAAATTATTATACTTTTCAGATGTTTCTGAAATATAAAAAATGGCTGCTTTAAAATGTATTGTCTATAACTCATAGAAAGAAAAAGCTAACACTTATTTAGGTATTAAGCAAGATACAAAGGTGTATCCAATAGAAATACCTTTTTGTCCACAAGAACATATCAAATCTAATATTCCTGTTACATATGATCTAAATCACTCATTGATTGGTTTATTTAAAGCAAACCTTCCTTATCACTCTCATTTTATAATTATTCCCTTTGTCTATATTATCTCAGTGCTTCAAATTTTTTATAAAACTTTACCGTAATCTTCATCATTTCATCCAAAGCCTCTTAAATTCCCTACATCCCTTTTAGTTGTGGTATCCTTGAATCCACATTTTTCAAAAAAAAAAAATATTGACTTGGGATTGAGCAATGCCATGGGTGATATAATTCTTAATTAGGCCTTACGAAGCTACTTTTGTAAACAATGAAAATTTCATTCCTGGCCTCTTATAGCAGTGAGGCTTTACAATGTCACAATGGATTTTCACTACCCTGCTCAACTACATCCTGCTGGTATAAGTAAAAGAAGACTAAGTGCTTAGCCAGAAGACTCCACCATAGAGTGTGGTTGCCAAACATGGAGGAATGCAATAGAAAATGTCCTCAAAAGTATCTAACAAAATCATGATAATGGAAGCCAGTGTAGATGAAAAGAAGTATTGGCCGGGCATGGTGGCTCGTGCCTGTAATCCCAGCAGTTTGGGAGGCCGAGGCAGGAGGATCACCTGATGTCGGGAGTTTGAGATCAGCCTGACCAACATGGTGAAACCCCGTCTTTACAAAAAAATACAAAATCAGCCGGGTGTGATAGTGCATGCCTGTAATCCCAGCTACTCGGGAGGCTGAGGCCAGACAATTGCTTGAACCCGGGAGAAAGAGGTTGTGGTGAGCCGAGATCATGCCTTTGCACTACAGCCTGGGCAACAAAAGTGAAACTCCATCTCAAAAAAAAAAAAAAAGAAGTATTTTATAGCTCTGCTTGCTGCCTGAATCCATTTTCTGCTGCTATAAGAGAACACCACAAACTTAATTTACAAGGGACACAAGCTCATTTGGCTCACAGTTCTGGAGGCTGGGAAGTACAAGTGCATGGCACTGACATCTGCTAAGGGTCATCCTGTGGCAGAAGGGTAGAAGTGAAAGCAAGCACATGAGACAGAGAGGAAACTGAGCCAAAATCACCCTTTAATAAGGAGCCCACTCATGCAATAACAAACTCACTCCCTCCATAACTGCATTAATCCATTCATGAGGGCCCTGTCTAATGAAAGTGCCTAAAGAGATACCTAATTACCTGTTAAAGATCCCACTTCTTAAAACTGTCACATTCACAATTAAATGTCAACATGAGTTTTGGTGGAGGCATTCAAACCATAGCATTCTGCACCTACCCTCCCCTCTCTGCCAAATTCACATCCTTCATACAATGCAAAATATATTCATTCCATCCTAGTAGGCTCAAAAGTCACTCCAGTATTAACTCTTAATACTGTTAGTTAATACTTATCTAAATCTAGTTAATCGAGTTATCTAGGTAATACTTATCTAAATCAAATATGGGTGTGACTTCATCCTGAAGGCAAATGTTCTGCAACCACGAGCCTGTGAAATCAAAATAAGCTATCTGCTTCCAAAATACAATGTGCGAAGGTATAGAAGAGACATTCCCATTCTAAAATGGGGAAATAGGCAAGAAAAGAGGGATAACTCATCTGAAACAAGTCCAAAACCCAACAGGGAGAACAATATTAAATCTTAAAGTTGGAGAATAATTTCCTTTCACTCCATATTCTGCATCCTGGGCACACTGGGTGGGGGTTGGACCCCTAAGGCCTCAGGCAGCTCAGCTCCCATAGCTTTCCTAGGCTCAGCCTATTCTTCAGCTGTCATGGGTTGGAGTCTCATGCCTGAAGCTTTTCCAGACTGCAGCTCTACACTGTTAACCATAATTCTAGGATTTTGGTGGCAACCCCATTTCCTTGGCTCCATGAGGCACCGCCCTGTTGGGGGCTCTCTGTGGTGGTTCTACCCCTGTGCAAAGTCTCTGCCTGTGCCCCAAATAAGTCAGCATCATCTTTTGAAATCAAAGTGGAGGAAGCCATGCCCCCTCAGCTCTTGTATTCTGTGAGACTGCAGGCTTAACACTACATGAATTTCACCAAGGCTTACCACCTGTATCTTGTGAAGCAGTGGGTCAAGCTGCAGCTGGGGCCACTTAAGCCATAGTTGGGGTGGCTGAAGACTGCTGCACCAAAATGTAGGGAGCCAAGTCCCAAGGCAGCCCTGGGCAGTATGCCCATGGAGAGCAACCAGGTGGGGCCTGGCACCCGAAACCATTCTGCCATCCTAGAACTCTGGGCCTGTGAAATAAAAGAGACTAAATCCCAGCCCTGTCCTCAAGGAGCTCACAGGGTAGGAATTGTTTGGAATCTTGTGATTGGATCTCACTGCAAGGTGACTGCTGACTCATGGCAGCACTGAAATCCTAGCAGGATGGTACTGCCCAGGGAAAATACATAGTGAGGTGAGCAAGTTAACGCAGGCAGGCATCTCTATAGTTTTCATTCTGGAGTGAAAACTGTCCCTTAGACTCGTAGTCACACAGTTGCCTCTGCTCTAGATTTTCCTTCTGCTTCAAATATTCTTCACCCAGATACTGTCGGGGCTCACACCATTGCTATTTCCCAAGCAAATCATTGCTTGTGAAAATAACTGTAAACATCTTACATTCTATACCAATATTATAGTTCTTCCCAGTGAGGAAAGATGATCTAACATACTTGATGTTTTGTTCTGCTTATTAACTTGTCTAATCACACATTTAAAATTAATTAAACATACAAGAATAAAAGATTTACAAGTATTGGTTTTCTGGGTTAAATGCATCATCCATTCATTCAAACCACTAGAAAAGACAAGCCGAGACTGAATAGAATATAGAGACTATAAGACAACATCACTTTCCTTGATTCATTTAGTAAATATTCACTGAATATTTATTATGGGCTAGGCATTTTTTATGACCTTGGAATACATCAATGATGGCAGAACACAATCTTGATTTCAGAAAGAAAGATGAACCATATAGAAAATGCACAAATAAGTTATTATAATTATGTATTTTATTAGAGAGTGAAAAATTATCTAGGAAAAAGGAAACAAGGTAAGAAGGGTGAGGTTGAAATTTTGGGTAGTCAGGGTAAAGATAGAAAGGGTGTGAGCCCCGGTGGTATCTCAGTGAAGACTATTTGAAGCAGAGGGAATAGCTAGGGCAGAGGCAACTGTGTGGCTATGAGTCTAAGGGACAGAAAAGAAGCCAGTGGAATGAGCAAGGGCAAGAGTAGTCTGAGATGAGGTCAGAAAGGTGGAGGAGAGGAGGACCTGAATCTGCTTGGGGTAGCAGTGGAGATAGATACATGTGGTTAGAGTCTGGAATCATTTTTTATGATAGGACTAATATAATTTCCAGACAGATTGCAGGGTACAGGAGGAAAAAGAGAATGAGAATGACTCTGAGTCTTTTCCTCTGAACACCTGAGAAGATGGAGCTGACATCAACTGAAAAAAGCAAGCCTTGGACACAGCTGATGCCTTGAGGAGAGGGGACAGGTCAGGAGTTTCAGTTCTGGACATGCTGAGTTTGAAAGGCTCATTAGATATGCACAAGGAAATATCAAATATGCCATTGGATACATAAATCTCGAGTTCAGGAATGTGTCTGAACTGGAAATAGATATGCAACTCATCAGAGTGCTCATGAGGGAGTGATGTAGGTAGAGAAAAGGACCAAAACCTGAGCATGGGATACTTCAGTATTAATTAGGTCAAGGATTATAAAAGAAGGACCAGGAAAGAAAAATCAAAAGGAATGACTACTGAATAAGGGGAAAATGAAGAGTATCATATTCTAGAAGTCAGTCAAGGGAAGTATATCCAGCAAAAGGGAATGATGGACACATCAAATGCACTGACAGGCCAAGCAAGACACAGTTTCAGCACTGACCAGTGGGCTTGGCAACCCGGAGGTCATGTCAGATGACTCTGACAATAGCACTTTTAGGGGTTAGATGGAGGCAGAAGCCTGCCTGGGATGGCTGACAAGAAAGTAGCAAGAAAAGGTTTTTAAGATGCTAGTGCAGGCAATGTTTTTAAGAATCCTGCTCCAAAAGGGAGGAAGGAAAGGGGGTTGTTGCAGGTGGTAAGTGGTGGAAATAACAACATGTTTGCATGCTGATGGGACTGACTTATTAGAGAGGGGGAATTAAGGATTTTGGAGGGGGTGGGAAGTGCCAGAGTAATGTTCTCTAATAAGCAAGTGAAGATGAGGATGTTAGCTCACCTCCAAGAGGGGGCGAGGGCTGAGTCATCTACTGTCACGGGAAGGAATGCTGAGTTATAAGGGGGATGGGGCTGGTAGGTAGGTGTAAGTTTTCTACTATTACTTCCATTTTCTCAGTGAATTAAAATAAAAAGACATGAGCAGAAAGTGAAGATTGGAGGAGGATGGGGACAGGAGGAGGATGGGGACAGGAGGAGGAGGAGAGGGAAGAGGACACACAAAATAGCCATTTAGGTAACTGGGAGAATAGTATGAGAGCCTGACCTTTTGAAGGATCAATGTTGTGAATGGTTGTGGAGTGAGATTAGTCATTAGGGTGGTATGTGTTTTCTCCAGCCACAGTAAGCTGAAAGGGAAAGAAAGCCTGGAATAGGTACAGAACTGGATTTAAACATGTTATGTGTATACCAAGCAAGTACAAGGAAGAGAGGGGCAAGGGATTTCAAACTATATGTAAGGGAGCGATTGGGAGATTTGTCCAGGAAATTTTACTTCATTTCTTTATGATAGGACTTCATAAAGGTAGTGTTACGTGAATCATACCTTGAAGGTTGGATATATTCTAGGCATGAGTGAAAGGAGAAAAACAGCATTGAGGCAGAAGGCAGAACCCAAGCAAGGCCATATGCAACCAAGTATAGTGTGTTTTCAGATGACTGTGAGCCATTTTCCTAACAGTATGAAAGTAGTGGTCAGTAAGACTCCACAAAACTGTCACCGTTGTTTAAAGCAGCAACTGGTTAACACTTTGTGTAGAGGGCCAGATAATGTTTTATGCTTTGCAAGTCTTGTAGACTTTGTTGCCAGTGATTAACTCATCCACTGTAGTGTAAGAGCAGCTATAGACAACACATAAACAAATGGGTATGGCTGTGTTCCAATACAACTTTATTTATAAAAACAGGTGGTTGATGGATTTGAATCACCAACCACCTGCTTTGATAAATAACTAGTCGGTTTTGATAAATAAACAGTTGGTTTGCCAGCTTTTGACCGCTACAGATCTCTTCAGTCCTAATTTAAGTACAGCTGAGAAAGTGATATCTTTAAACATCTCCAATCTTCCTATCATTAATCGCACTAAGACATTTTCAGCAATTGCTTTCAAACTGTTTTAAATTGACACCAATATGAGATTTTCAAATAAGAAATGTCCTCAAACTTAATCTGTATTCAATATCAAGGCTAAATAAGCCCCAATACAAACTATAATAACTTGGGTTACTATAATGATTTTTAAAAATTCATTCATACAAATATAAGACCTGAGGTTGGTATTAATTCTCTTATAAGGCTACACAATATGTTTATAAGGCCTATAAATTTCAGCTTATCAAAACAAAAAAAAATGATTAGGTAACTACTTCATACAAAGGTATATAAATATATGTATCTTTTTTAATGAAACACCTTTAAGTTCTTTGGAATGCTTAAAATAAGACAAATTGGTTAATTATATTGAAATGTTTCCAAAGCAAACAATAATCTATATAAATATTTTTTGAGCTGCCAGGGACAGAGGTAGCAGTAAGATTTGGACATCTTAGTTTCAATCACTATCAAAAAGCATTAATTAAACAGATAGTGGGTAAATATAGAAACACTATATTTAAACAATATATTTATATATAGAAATATATATTTAAACAATATTTAATATATATTTAAACAATATATTTATTTATAGAAATATATAAAATAAATATAGAAACACCTCAGGTAGCTTATTGTTTAAGGTAAACAAGGGATATTCATTTATGTAGCTGGAGGGGATATATGGTAGATCTCTTACCACTCTCTGATCATAGTTTTCTGTAGCACTATGTTCATGGGCTATTGTCACTTGGTGCAAATGTTTTTGAAAATGTTTGGTATAAATGTTTTTGAAAAATCCCAGCTAGTATAATTCTCCAGGGCAGGAACAATGGACAGCTTCCTCAGGGCAGCAAAAATATATTTAACCTACTGTCCGGAAACAATCAATGATATCTGTTCCTCTAGTCAGTTTTCAAAAGCACTTCATTCAAACACTCACTAAGGTGAAGAAATTATCCCAAACCATAGTACAGAAGAAGAAAAAGTTGGAAATTATCAGATAGATAGGTGTAGAAATTCCAACATAGTATCCAAAAGGAGTTCCATAAACAGACAGCAAAGAGACAACAGACAGAATGAAACAATCAAAACAGTCATAAAAGAAAAGTTTACAGAGCTGAAGTAGAACACAAGCTTTCACATTGACAGGGCATAAAAGGGATAATTGAAAAACACAGCAATTTTAAATTGAATTTCCTAATTCCAGGATAATGAAACACATGCTAATAGAAAGCTATTTAAGGACAAAAATCAGAATGAATCTGATCATGGTACTTACAAGACAAGAGAATTCATCTTCAAGGTTCTAAGTGAGAATGAGTTTGAACCTAGAAAGCTATTAGTATTTGAAAAGGAGGGCAAAAACATTCTTTCATAGCACATCTTAGAAAATATAAGACCCACAGAATGTCTATGAAATAATTAAGTAAAAAATGCATTCCAGATAAATTAAAAAGTTATTCAAAAAAGATGTGGGATATAAGTATGCAGAATTAGTAACATTTATATTTGAGTCTAAATAACTAATGGCAATTCATTAAAGTACATTTTTGACATCATTCATTTTGCAAAAATGTGAAATTCTTGTGGTCAGAAACCTTGTGTATCTTACTAGTTACTGTACCTACAACACCTATAAGCATGCTAAGCATATAAAAAGCACATATGACATAATTACTGGATTTGATTTTTAATTTGTTTATATTATAAACAGATTGTCCTTATTCTCACAACTATCAGCATCTTAGCTGCACTAGCTTCCCTAACCAGAAGGTGGCCCAGCCAGTCACTGTAATAAATACTATCCTAAATAGCACACTAATTTTACCCCACATTTCATCTTTCTGCTACATTCATCTCGCCAATTTCAAGTTCCAAACTGCTAAGTATTTCTGGAAAAACCATGCCAGTATAATTTCATAAGATGTAACTTGCAATGGGCTTTCTCTACATCCTGCTAATTATTTCTTGCTCTGTCTGACATTCTGTACCATACTTTTAAATAAACTTTATTGAGATACAATTTTAAGATAATAAAATATACACTTGTTTTAAGCATACAGTATACAGTTCTGATGACACTATACACTCATGAAATTACTACCACAACCATGATATAGAAAATATTTGTAATTATAAAAAATTATCTCATCCTCCTTTTCAGTCACTGTATCATCAGTCGCAATGCTAGGAAACTAGTGATTTAGCCATGTACTTTTACAAGTAGCAATGTGCAAGGAAAATCATGGATACTCTCCCTGGGGGAAATGGTGTAGGAAAAGGAAGAGGAGGAAGTAAACTCATACTCTGATGATTATTTTATTTGTGATAATTTGAAATACACTTATGCTAATTAATTGCAAAAAGTCAAGAGAAAATTTAACTATGAAAAAAAAACCCAAGCCAGACATGTATAATTTCCAAACCAAAATAAAATAAAATGAACAAACAAAACTCAAAGAATCTAACAGAAGGTTGTAATAGTAGTAGAGGTAGTGGGGACAGGCAGAAAGAGAGAAGAAAAAAAAGAAAGTGCAGTAAAAATATACAGAAAAAACAATGTGGCAGTAGTAAGTCTAAACATACCAGTAATCATTCACTCATGCAAGCAAAGATGTAAATAAACTATATTTCCTTACTAAGAGATGGATACTAACATTAGTTAAAAAGTAGACACAGAGATAAATTTTAAAATGAGTTTATAAGAAATGAAACAAAAATAAAATGATACGAAATGCTTAAAAATTACAAAAAAAAGATATGCCAAGTAAATATGACTGTAGTAACAAGAATAGAGAAAAAGTAGAACTCAAGTGAGAAGTACTAAACAATATAATGGATAATGCACATGGATAAAAGTTAAAACTCTCTGAGAATGTCCATTAACACTGGCTCTTGAACACCTCCCACCCCTAAGACCTAAGATTATACAGCTCAATGGTTTCTTGATACCAGACCCACTAATAGAGGGTATCCTGCCCCAGGGGCCAATAACTGTCTCCATTGCTGAGGCCCTGCAGTAATTCCACATTAACAGTAGACTGAATTTTTTAAAATGTGGTATATATACACCTTGGAATACTATGCAGTCATAAAAAGAAGGAAATCATATCCTTTGCAGCAGCTTGGATGCAGCTGGAAGCCATTATCATAGGCAAAATAATGATTTTTAGTGATTTTCTGTTGAAAATCAAATACTGCATCTTCTCACTTATAAGTTGGGGTAAACAGAAACTGGACACTGAGTTAGTGTGGGGGGAGGGTGGGAGGAGAACAAGGGTTGAAAAACTACTCATTGATTACTGTGCTCACTACCTGGGTGATGGCATCATTCATACACCAAACCTCAGCAACACACAATTCACCCATGTAACCAACCTGCACATATACACCCTGAACCTAAAATAAAAGTTGAGAAAATAAATAAATAAAACCCTCTCAGAAGATATAATAGTTATGAATGTTTATGTACCTAACAGTATAGCTTCAAATTATATAGAGAAAAATGAATATGAAAAATAAGTTATCAAATATTTTAACATAGTTTTTAGAAATTTAAACATATACAGAAATCAGTAAGGCTAGCATTGATATGCCAGTAAACTAGCTCTCAAAAAAAAAATCGTTGTTTTGTAGCATTTCCCAATTTTTGTTGTATAAAAACCTCACTATACTGACTTCAAAATACCAATGGCTTAAAAGCTGGCTCATAAAATTCCTAACTATTTAACCATTGGCCCTAATGAGCCAATTAGAGCTGGCTCCAGCAAACCAATGCCTAGGGCAAATTTTAAAAACACAATGAACAACCTTTTTATGTAGTATATATGTACATTTGATTAAACAGATTAGATACATGACATCCTACACCACAGTGATAGCGCATTAAAAATAAACATACAGAATATTTGTAAAAGGTCATCTATGACCTAGACCTAAAGTGTTTATGTCCTAGATCTAAAATAAAGTCTCAAACATTACACAAATCTGAATTCATACTTGTTACATTATATGATCACAAAACCAAAAAATTAATAGTATTGAACTATTAAATTGAATATTGAATTCTGAAAATTTCAATAATATTGAAATTTTTCAATATTGAAAATTTTCAATATTGAATAATATTGAAAATTTTCAATATTGAATAATATTGAAAATTTTCAATATTGAATAATATTGAATTACAAATTAATAATAAAAGAATAGCAAATAAAAAATCCCATCCACTTATAAACATAAAATTATCATTTAAAGTAATCCTGAATAAAAGAGGAAGTCAATCTGGAAATTGCACATAATTAAAATACCTGTCCAAGTGAAGTTAGAAAGATGACTGACTATAGTTACCTGGTGCTTGTTCCCCCAACTAAAAGGGATCAAAACAGTGAATAAACATCTATAATTTGACTGGAGTGACTGAGGAAGTATGCTGGAGAGCACCCTGGCAGTGGCAACATCCCTGTGAAGCACAGAAGGCGAGAATAGCACCATAGAGAGGAGAGCAAGTAATCCACTTCTGCCACAATGTCATCTTCACCAGAATTAGCTCAGAGTCAGGGAGACTTCTTCTTATGGGGTAAAGGTAAGCTCTAAATCCCCAGCAGTCCCAATTATTACCACACATGCCAGAAATCCTTGCTGCAGGAGAGTCTCCTGGTCCTTATAGGTTTTGAATCCAGTTTGGAGATTAGCCAGAAGTTTGTACAGCTGCACTGCCTCACAGTAGGAGCCCACCTTGAACACCTCCCACCCTTAAGGCCTAAGATGATAGAGCTCAATGGCTTCTTAAAACCAGACCCACTAGTAGGAGCCAATAGCAACTGACTGTCTCCATCCCTGAGGCCCTGCTCTCATTCCACTATGTTCACATGAATGCTTGCACCACCACAAACTCAGCTACCTAGAGCATAGGCATGTCATAATGACCAAGACCCCAGTGTCCAAACTCACATGGCACACCACTATCTCAGGGAACAGGCAGATATGCACAGCAGGGAAGCTTCCAAACAGCCACTAGCCATGTTACCAACACATACCTGTGCTTCACAGCCAGCAAGCACTCTGAGCATGTATGTGCCTGCACCCAGCCTGGCAAGTGGTCATGTGGCAACCTACTCCCATGAAAGGCCACTGCAGAGCTGCATGGCCTTGCTGCACCCACAAACATTCACATGCAGCCCGACATCCAGTCCTGCAGCAGCTCTGCCTCTCCAACAGACTGCCACAGGGATGCTTGGCATTGCTGTGCTCATCTAGTTTGGTGGCTGCCCTGCCTCACTGAAAAGAAAGCCACACAGCCACCTTGCTGGCAGCATCTCTGTAAGCTCAAGCCTGGCCCAACAGCCAGCACAGCAGTAGCCACTGACTCTCTGGAGAGGTAGCCAGACAGCTTGTCAGCTCTCTGTGCCCCCACATGCCCAACCTGAAAACCAACCCAGTGCTCCCACCCCAAGAAAACTATGCCACTACCTCAAAAGCTCTCACAGCGTAGACCACTGAGTCAATCACAGACACCACTGATGAGTATTACAGCCAAAGAAACTGCACAGATACCGTGCTACTGAGTCCACCCAGAATCAAAGCCATTCACCATGCTGAACTTATACCCTAGGATTTATCTACAGGAAATGTCTCTCCCTGAAAAAGCTACTCCATAAAATTGGAAACAAAAACTATTCTACTATATGAACAAGTATCAATGCAGAGACAAAGGAAATATAATAAAAGCAAGAAAACATGATACCCCCAAAGGAACACAATAAATCCTAGTAGAAGACCCCAAGTAAAATGATACTTATGAAATGCCTAAAAAATAATTAAAAATTATGATCTTTAAAAAGCTCAGTGAGATACAATAGAACACAGACAAACAATCAATAATTGGAATGAGAAATGCATAATATATAAATATAATTTTAAAAGAACCAAACAGAAATCTGGGAGCTGAAAAATTTGATAAATGAAAATTTAAAAAATACAAGTGAAATTTTTAACAATAGACTAGATCTTTCATGAAGGAATTTCTGAACTAGAAAACAGGCGTTTGAAATAACCCAGTCAGAGGAAAAACACAGAAATAAGAACAAAAGAGAATGAAGAAAGCCTACAGAATACATGGGATACAATTAGGCAAACAAATATTCACATTATAGGAATGCCAGAGGAAGAAGAAATTTTTTTAAAGGCATAGGAAATGTATTTAAGAAATAATAGCTTTAGGCTTCCCAAGTATTCAGAGATACAAACATCTAGATTCAGGAAGCTGAAAAGTCCCTAATTAAATTGAACCCCAAAAGATCCTTTCTGAGGCACATGATTATCAAACTGTCAGCAGTCAAAGACAAAGAATTCTAAAAGCTGCAAGACAAATGTATTAACTCACATACAAAAGGATCTCTATTAGACTATCAGATTTTTCAGCAGACTAGGAGAGAATGGCATGACATATTCAAAGTGCTGAAAATTAAAAAAAAAAAAATCAGCCAAGAACACTATATTCAGCAAAGCTATCCTTCAAAAATGAAGGAGAAATGAAGACATTCCCAGACAAACAAACACTGACGGGATTCATCACCACTTAACTGATCTTACAAGAAATGCTTAAAGGAGTGGTACAATTGGAAATGAAAGGCTCATTATTACTATAATAAAAACGTGTGAAAATATAAAGCTCACCAGTATAGGTAAATTCATAAATCAAACTCAGAATATCCTAGCGCTGTAATGTTATGCAAATCTTTTAATCCTCTAGTATGAAGGTTTAAATCAAAACGGTCAAAAATTACAACAGCTACATAATGGGTAAAGAAGTAAATTAAGGAAACAAATATATAAATAGTAAAGAAAAGAGAAAACATCTGGAGTATTTTTATGTGAACAAAATTAAGTTGCTATCAGATTTAAATAAACCATCAGTACCCTTTATCCTTATAATAACCACAAAGAAAGATATAACACATATACAAACAAGAAGGAGAAAAGAAACCAAGCTTAGTAACACATAAAACCACCAAACCACAGAGATAAACAATAAAAGAGGAAGAAAGGAACAAAACATTTACGAAATAACCATAACCAGAAAGTAATTTTTTTAATGTTAGGAGTAAGTTATTATCTATCAATAATAACCTTGAATATAAGTGGACTAAATTCTCCAGTTAAAAGATAGAGAGTGGCTGAATGAATTTTTAAAAGGAACCAACTATATGCTGCCAACAAGCATAACACAGACTGAAAGTGGAGGGATAGAAGAAGATATTCCATGCAAACAGAAACAAAAAGCAAGCAGAAATAGCCATACTTATATCAGATAAAATAGGCATCAAGTCAAAAACTGTAAAAAGAGGTAAAGAAGGTCATTATATAAAAATAAAGAAATCAATTCAATAAGAGGATGTAACAATTATAAATATTTATGCACCCAACACCAGAGCACCCAGATATCTAAAGCAAATATTATTAGACCTAACAGGAGAAACAGAGGGCAATACAATAATAGTAGAGGGCTTCAATATACCACTTTCAACAATGAACAGATCATCTAGACAAAAAATCAACAAAGAAACATTGGACTTAAATTATACCATAGACCAAATGGCCCTAACAGACATTTATAGAACACTGCATCCGACAGAGTACACATTCTTCTCACCTGCATATGGAACATTTTTTAGGATAGATCACATGTTAGGCCACAAAACAAGTCTTAAAATTTTTAAGAAGATAGAGATCATATCAAGTATCTTTCCTAACCATAATGCAATAAAACTAGAAATCAATACTAAAATAAAAACTTCAGAAAATTTAAAAATACATAGAAATTAAACAACTTTTTCTTAAATAACCAATGGGTCAATGAGGGAAGTAAAAGTGAAAAAAAATTTCCCTCAGACAAACAAGAATGGAAACACATCATATCAAAACCTATGCGACATAGTGAAAGAAACTCTGAGAGGGAAGTTTAAAATAGTAAATGCCTACACCAAAAAAGAAGAAAGATTTCTAGTAGACAATCCAATGATTCACCTCAAGGAACTAAAAATAATAAGAACAAACTAAACCCAAAATTGGTAGAAGGAAGGACAGAAATAATACAATTCAAAACATAAACAAATAAAATACAGACAAAAAAATGAATTCATATAAAAACCAAAACAAAGATTTGGCTTTTTAAAAAGATAAAAATCAACAAACCTTTACCTATGGTAAAAAACAAGTGAGAGATTCAAATAAATAAAATAAGAGATGAAAAATGAGACATAACAACTGATACTACAAAAATACAAAGGATCATGAGAGACTATTATGAATAAGTATACACCAAAATAATTGATGACATGGAAGAAATGAATAAATTTCTGGACACATATGACCTATCAAAATTAAAATAGAAAATCCACCAAGAAATAGAAAATCTGAACAGACTGATAATGAGTAAAGAAATTAATAACAATTAATATAAATTATTATTTATTATTATCACTAATAAGTCTTCCATCATCAAAGAAAAGACCAGGACCTGAAAGCTTCACTGCTGAATTCCACCAAATATATAAAGTACTAACACCAATTCTCCTCAAACTACTGAAGAAAATTGAAGATGGGAGAATACTTTTAAACTTATTTTATAATGCCTGCATTAATCCGATTCCAAAACCAGACAAGGATACAACAAAAACATAAAACTATAGGTCAATATTGATGAGGAATATAGACACAAGATTCTTAACAAGACAGTAGCAAACTGAATCCAACAGCATATTAAAAAAATCATTTAGTATGATTAAGTGGGATTCATCCCAGAGATGCAAGCATGGTAAGCATGGTATAACAAGCTAATCAATAAATATGGTACAACACATTAACAGGAAGAAAAACAAAATCCAGATGATAATATGCAGAAAAGCATTTGAAAAACTTCAACATTCCTTCATGTGAAGAACTCTCAAAAAATTAGACATAGAAGGAATGTATCTCAGTAGGTCATATATGACAAAACAACAGCTAACATCATACTGAAGGGGGAATTGCTGAAAGCTTTTCTTCTAAGATTAAAGACAAGACAAGGATGCCTATCCATGACTTCTATTCAACATAGTACTGGAAATCTTACCCAGGACAATTAGGCCAGATAAATAAAAGGCATCCAAATTGGAAAGGAGGAAGTCAAATTGTCCCAGTTTGCAGATGATAAAACTTTATATATTAAAAACCCTAAAGAATTCATCAAAAAACTTTTAAAATTAACAAATTCAGTAAAGTTGCAGGACAGAAAAACAACATTTAAAAATCACCAGCATTTCTATACACCAATAATGAATTAGCTAAAATGGAAATCAAAAAGGGATCCTATTTACAATGGCTACAAAAAATTAAAAAAATCGAATACCTAGAAATAAACTTAACCAAGGAAGTGAATGATCTATACACCTTTTTTTTTTTTTTTTTTCAAGATAGCAGATAGGAGGCAGTGTTAGCATGCCTCTCCCACTGGGAAAACTGGAAAAATCCACAGACCTTTTGAAAGAAGTGATAGGCTGCAGCCTACTCCATGAGATAGGAAAAAAAATAAAAGTTCCCAGAGTATGAGACGGGGAGATTCTACCTTTGAGCACATATCCCCACTAAGGAATCTGAAAATCCAGGCCACAGGAGAAGGCCTTAATGCTACCAAGAGCTGGAACAAATTTAGGGAGCCTCGTGAAAATAAAAGTAGAAGCAGTCGCAGGAAGTGCCTTGCAGGTATTCTGAGTCTCTAGTATGAACCAAGGAAAGCCATTCCTGACTATATCTCACAGGAGCCCTCAAGAAAGTTAGCCAATGAGCTCAGGGAGGGGTCACAGGGTAAAAGAAGCTCCCAGCTGAATTTGTGATATAATTTTGAGTAGGGATGTACACCCATCAACAGAACTTGGTGGCGAGTGGGAAGAGCACTGCTGACCAGCCTTGAGGGCAGACGAGAGGAGGAGGGATGTGACCCAAAAGTCATGCTTGCTATTTCTGCAGGGAAGCTTATGGCCTCAGGCAGGTCTGAGTTCTGTGCATATGTTATGTGGACCTAAACCTGGTGCTGATAGCAGGACACTTCAGGAGTGAGATTGGCCTTGCCAACTGCAAGGAGCTGGATGAGGCTTACTGCTGCCGGCTACTCCCCACTCCCTTTGTGAAATCTTCTGCATAGCAGAGGCAGTTATACTCACCTCTGGATCATTACCCTAGTGGCCTGCAAACCACCCCATGCCTCTTACAGTGGCTGCGGCAGGCCCCACCCAAGGGGAGTCTGAGCTCAGACCCACCTAACCCTGCCCTCACCTGGTGATATTTCTCCACTCATCCTAGTAGATGAACACAAATAACATAAACTTTTGGGAGCTCTACAGCCCTGTCCATCACCTAAGAAACCAGAATAATTCCCCTGGGCAACTTAAAGCAAGCTCAAATCCCACTGCTGCTACTGCAGCTGATGCTGTCTTGCAAGCGCCACCTCCTGGCTGGAGGCCAGCCAACTCAGGCCATCACAATACCTCTCAGCAGAATATCACTGCTCTCAGGAAGGAGAAAACAGCTGTGGGATCTCAGCTTACACCACTGCCTGCAATACCCTGGCTATCCAGGGGTCCTGAGTCTGTCCACATGACAAGTTCACTATTAGTATAACCAGCATTCAAGAAAGCCAGCACACTAAGCCTATTGACAACCAAGGAATCTCAGTCTACGTCACTCCCCTGCCACCTCCATTCAAAGCAGGTGCTGGTATCCATTGCTGGGAGACTTGAAAAAAGGTCACATCACTGGATCCTTTGCAGACATTCTCCATCACCAGCCCAGAGTCTGGTAGCCCTACTGGGTGGCTAGACCCAGAAGATCAATAGTAATCACTGCAGTACAGCTCTCAAGAAGTCCCATTTTTAGGGGAAGGGAGAGAACACCATATCAAGAGAACACCCCATGGAACAAAAGAGTGTGAACAGCAGGCTTGAGTCCCAGATCTTTCCACTGGTGGAATGTTTCTTTCAGCAGTGACCCAAGTGCAGAGCTGGGCACAATAGAGAAAGTCAGCACCTCTACCCCAACAGGCAGGCAGCCTCTGTGATCATGAAGGGTCTTGGAGAAGAGATCCTTGTTCAACCCTGGTACATCACTGCGGACACAACTGGAGTTTCTATCACAAGAATGCAGTGTATATGCGTCTATAGACAGCCTTCCTGGAACCATTCATGGTGATTGCAGCCCAACAGGGGGAGTACTCTCCATATTCAGGCCTGCATAAGAGGCAAGGTCACAATTCCCCGCTACTTGGAGCATCAACATTCCTACACATGAAAAGAGGTGCCCGTATGATCTGAATAGCCAGAACACTGGTACAGGAGTGAGGCTATGAGGTGGATAACTTTTCTGTTGGCCTGGCAGGGGAACTGAGGTAGCTCACACCCTTCATCCTGGTACAACCTCAGGACATCTAATTGAGAACTCCCTTAGCCACCTTCATCAAGGCTGGGATCCCTGCCCACCACTGAGGATTACATGTACCCACCTGCCTTAGCTACAACCAGTGACTACCAAGGGCTACCTCTCCTATTGGACTGAAGCCTGAATCATCAACTCAGTAAATAAAATACTGGAGTAAAGTTAAATAAATAAAGTATACATCACAAGAGAATGAGACAAACTTCAAGAGATCCCTGCCATTCCAACTCCATAGGAGACAGTGAACTTGCCCACACAACAAGTACATAACTACTACAAACAACATTTGGAAAAACCAACACACAACGTCTCTCTATAACTAAGGAACTCATACAAAGTCTTCACCCTAAAAGCACCAAGAATTAAATTAGGCTAAAATAAAATATAAACATTAAAGTCAGATCCTTAAGAGGGAAAAAATAAAAAAAAAAAACCTCAGTCCCATCAAAAATAAATTCAAGAACAATTTAAAGAAATAGTCTACCCAAATGAGAAGGAACTAGGAAAGTAATTCTGGTAATATGACAAAACAAGGTTCTATAACACCCCCAAAAGATCACATTAGCTCCCAGCAATGGATCCAAACCAAGAAATCTCTGAAATGCCAGATAAAGAATTCAGAAGGTTGACTATTCAGCTAGTCAAGGAGATACCAGAGAAGGTGAAAAGCAACTTAAAGAAATTTCAAAAATAATCCAGAATATGGATGAAAATTTTTCTAGAGAAATAGATATCATTAAAAAAATCAGAACTTCTCGAAATGAAAGACATGCCATGGAAATACAAAATGCAGTGGAAAGTTTCAACAATAGACTAGAACAAATAGAAGAATGAATTTCAGAGCTCAAAGACAAGGCTTTCAAATTAACCCAATCAGACAAAGACAAAAACAATTTTTCTTTAATGAACAAAGTCTCCAAGAAATATGGGATTATGTAAAATGGTCAAACCTAAGAATAAATCGTGCTCTGGATGGAGAACAGAAGTATAAAAGTTTGAAAAACTTATGTGAGGGAATAATTGAGGAAAACTTTCTTGGCCTTGTTAGAGATCTAGACCTGCAAATACAAGAAGCTTTAAAAACTCCTGGGAAATTAATTGCACAAAGACCATCACTAAGGCACATCATCATCAAGCTATCTAAAGTCAAGACAAAGGAAAGAATCTTAAGAACTGTGAGAAAAAAGCATCAGGCAACCTATAAAGTCAAACCTATCAGATTAACAGCAGATCTCTCATCAGAAACCTTGCAAGCCAGAAGGGATTGGGGCCCTATATTTAAACCTTCTTAAACAAAAAAGTTGTCAGCTAAGACTTTTTTTATCCAGCAAAACTAAGCTTCATAAATGAAGGAGAGGGAAAGTATTTTTCAGACAAACAAACACTGAGGGAATTTGCCCCTACCAACCCAGCACTACAAGAAATCCTAAAAGAAGTTCTAAATCTTAAAACAAAAGTTCAATATACACCAAAATAGAACCTCCTTAAAGAATAAATCTCAGCCAGGCACAGTGGCTCACTCCTATAATCCCAGCACTTTGAGGGGCTGAGGCAGATGGATCACCTGAGGTCAGGAGCTCGAGACTGGCCTGGCCAACATGGTGACACCCTATCTGTACTAAAAATACAAAAATTAGCCAGGCATGGTGGTGGGTGCTTGTAATCCCAGCTACTCAGGAGACTGAGGCAGGAGAATCGCCTGAACCCGGGAGATGGGGATTGCAGTGAGCCGAGACCACACCATTGCACCTCAGCCTGTGCGACAAGAGGGTAACTCCATCTCAAAATAAATAAATAAATCTCATAGGGTATATAAAACAATAACACAATAAAAAAGAAAGTATCTAGGAAACAACTAACATGATGAATAGAACAGTACTTCACATCTCAATATTAATGATGAATGTAAATGGCTCCACTTAAAACATACAGAATAGCAGAATGGATAAAACAGCCACTAACCAAATATCTGTTGTCTTCAAGAGATGCACCTAACACATAAGGACTCAAATAAACTTAAGGGAAACAGGTGGAAAAAGATATTCCATGCAAGTGGAAACAAAAAACAAGAGTAGCTATTTTTACATCAGACAAAACAGACTTTAAAGCAACAACAGTAAAACAAGACAAAGAAGGACATTATATACTGATAAAAGATTAGTCCAACAGAAAGATGCTACAATCCTAAATTTATATGCACCTAACAATGGAGCTCCCAAATTTATAAAACAATACCTACTAAACCTAAGAAATGAGATATACAGCAATATAATAATAGTGGGGGACTTCAATACTCCTCTGACAGCGCTAGGTCGATCATGAAGTTAGAAAGTCAACAAAGAAATAATGGACTTAAGCTATACCATAGAACAAATGGACTTAGCAGATATTTACAGAAAGTTCTTCCCAACAACCACAGAATATACATTCTTCTCATCAGCACATGGAGCATTCTACAAGATAGACCATATGATAAACCACAAAATCATTCTCATTAAATTTAAGAAAATCAAAATCATATCAAGTATCTTCTCAGACCACAGTAGAATAAAACTGGAAATCAATTCCAAAAGGAACCCTCAGGACTTTATAAATACATGGAAATTTAATAATCTGCTCTTGAATGATTTTTGGCTTAACAATAAAATCAAGATGGAAATTTTAAAATCCTTTGAAAGGAATGATAATAGTGGCACAACTTATCAAAACCTCTGGGATACAGCAAAAGCAGTGCTAAGAAGAAAGTTAATAGCATTAAATGCCTACATGAAAAAGTGAAAAAGCACAAATAAACAACCTAATATCACACCTCAAGGAACTTAAGAGACAGGAACAAACTAAACCCAAACATAGCAGAAGAAAAAAAATAACAAAGATCCGAGCAGAACTAAATGAAAATGAAAGAAAAAAATACAAAAGATAAATGAAACAAAAAGCTGGTTCTTTGAAAAAATAAACAAAATGGATAGACCATTAGTACGATTAACCAAGAAGAGAGACGATTCAATTAAGCTCAATTAGAAATGAAACAAGAGATATTACAACCAATACCACAGAAATACAAAAGATCATTCAGGGCTACTATGGACAACTTTATGCATACAAACAAGAAAACCTACAGGAAATTGATAAATTCCTGAAAATATACAACCCTCCTAGATTAAATCAGGGAGAAATAGAAACCCTGAGCAGACCAATAACTAACAGCCAGGTTGAATCAGTAATAAAAAAAGCTGCCAACAAAAAAAAAAGTCCAGGACCAGATGGATTCACAGCTGAATTCTATCAGACATTCAAAGAAGAATTGGTACCAATCCTACTAAAACTATTCCAAAAGATAAAGAGAGAATCCTCCCTAAATCATTCTATAACGCCAGTATCACCCTAATACCAAAACCCAGAAAGAACAAAACAAAAAAAGAAAACCACAGAACAATATCCCTGTTAAACATAGATACAAAAATCCTTCATAAAATACTAGCTAACCAAATTGAACAGCATATCAAAAAGATAATACATCATGATCAAGTGAATTTCATACCAGAGTTGCAGGGATGGTTTAACACATGCAAGTCAATAAATATGATACATCACATAAACATAGTTGAAAACAAAAACCATATGATCATCTCAATAGACACAGAAAAAGCATTTGATATAATCCAGCATCCCTTTATAATTAAAACCCTGAACAAAATAGGCATAAAAAGGACTTACTTCAAAGTAATAAAAGCTATATATGACAAACCCACAGGCAACATAATACTGAATGGAAAAGCATTGAGAGCATTCCCCCTGAGAACTGGAACAAGACAAGGATGCTCACTTTCACCATTTCTATTTAACATAGTACTGGAAGTCCTGACCAGAGCAATCAGACAAGAGAAAGAAATAAAGGGCATCCAAATTGGTAAAGAAGACATCGATTGAATTGTCATTCGACCCCTTTTATAATAGCTGAAAAAAAAATAAAGGAATATACCTAACTAAGGAGGTGAAAGACCTCTACAAGGAAAACTACAAAACACTGCTGAAAGAAATATAGATGACACAAACAAACGGAAACAGGTCCCATGCTCATGGATGGGTAGAATCAATATTGTGAAAATGACCATATTGCCAAAAGCAATCTGGTCATTCAATGCAATTCCCATCAAAATACCATCATTATTCTTCACGGAACTAGAAAAAACAATCCTAAAATTCATATGGAACCAAAAAGGAACCCACATAGCAAAAGCAAGACTAAGCAAAAAGAACAAATCTGGAGGCATCACATTATCTGACTTCAAATCACACTTCGAGGATATAGTTACCAAAACAGCATAGTACTGGAATGAAAATAGGCATGTAGACCAATGGAACAGACTAGAGAACCCAGAAATAAAGCCAAATAGTTACAGCAATCTGATCTTTGTCAAAGTTTACAAAAACATAAATTGGGGAAAGAACATCCTACTCAATAAATAGTGCTGGGAAAACTGACAAACCACATATAGAGGGATGAAACTGGATCCTCATCTCTCGCCTTATACAAAAATCAACTCAAGATGGATCAAAGACTTAAATCTAAGAGCTGAAAGCATACAAATTCTGGAAGACAACATTGGGAAAACTTCTAGACATTGGCTTAGGCAAAGAATTTATGACTAAGACCCCAAAAGCAAATGCGACAAAAACAAAAATAAATAAATGGAACCTCATTAAACTAAAAAGCTTCTGCACAGCAAGAGAAATAATCAGCAGAGTAAATGGACAACCCACAAATTGGGAGAAAATATTTGCAAACTATGTACTGACAAAAGACTAATATTCATAACGTACAAGGACCTCAAATAAATCAGCAAGAAAAAAACAAATAATCACATCAAAAAGTGGGCAAAGGACAAAAATAAATAATTCCCAAAAGAAGATATACAAATGGCCAGCAAACATATGAAAAAATGCTCAACATCACTAATCATCAGGGAAATGCAAATTAAAACCACAATGAGATACCACCTTACACCTTACTAATGAACTTATCATTGTAACCAAAAACCAGTTACCAAAAATCTATTGAAATAAAAATAGAAAGTAATAAAATTCCATACACTAAGACCTATAAACCTTTTCTGAACGAATGTGAAGACACTGAAAAAATGGAAAGCTATCCAGTGTTCATGAAGTAGAAGAATTCATATTGTTAAAATGACCATACTATCCAAAGCAACCTACAGATTTAATGGAATACGTATCAAAATACCAATGATATTTTTCACATAAATATAAAAGAAATTCTAAAATTCATGTGGAACTACTAAACACCCCAAATAGCCAAAGGAATTCAGAGCAAAAAGAATATTGTAGGAGGTTCTTCATACTACCTGAAATATGCTACAAAGCTCTAGTAACCAAAACAGCATGATACTGGCATAAAAAACAGACTCATAGACCAATTTAACAGCGTAGAAAACCCAGAAATAAGTTCACATGCCTACAGCGGATATTCAACAAGGGTGCCAAGAATATATATTGGGTAAAAGACAGTCTTTCAATAAATGGTGCTGGAAAATTGCATCATCACATGCAGAAAAATAAGACTAGACTATATGCAAAAGTCAAATCAAAATGAATTAAATACTTAAATGTAAAGCCTAAAACTGTGAAACTACCAGAAGAAAATATAGGGGAAATGTTTCATGACATTTGGCTTGGCAAAGATAATTTTTAAATAACTTCAAAATCATAGGCAGCAAAAGCAAAAATAGGAAAATGAGATTATATCAAATGAAAAAGCTTTTGAACAGCAAAGGAAACTATTAACAGAGTGAAGAGATAACATACAGAAAAGGAGAAAATATTAATATTTACAAACTACCCATCTGAATATATAGTGTATATATCCTGAATATATAGTGAATTTAAACAACTCAAATTTGAAGAAACAATACAACTTGAAAAATGGGCAAAAGTCTCTAATTATCAAAAAGACAAAACAAGTGTTAGTAAGGGTGTGAAGAGAGGCCACAACTTATGCACTGTTGGTTAGATTGTTAACTAGCACAGCCATTAGAGAAAACAGTATAGAGGTTCCTCAAACAATTAAAAACAGAACTACCATAGGATCCAGCAATCCAACTAATGGGTATACATCCAAAGAAAATGAAATAAATATATCAAAGAGATATCTGAAATCCCATGTTTATCGCAGCACTATTTCCAAGACCCAAAATGTGGAAACAACCTTAAGTCTCCAACTAAATGAATGGATAAATACAATGTGATATATATTCACAATGGAATGCTATTTAGTCATAAAAAGAATGAAGTGTTGTCATTTATGAGAACATGTGAACTTGTAGGACATCATGTTAAGTGAAATAAGCCAGACACAGAAAGACAAGTACTACATAATCTCACTCATATGTGGAATCTTAAAAAAAAAAAAAAAAAAAAAAAAAAAAGGTATCATAGAAGCAGAGCAGAAGAGAGACTAGGGAGAAGAGGCTTAGAAGGATTGGGAGAAGTTGGCCAAAGAGTATAAAGTTAAAATTAGATAGGGGTGGCTGCCATCAGGTAAGAACCTGGGACTTAATTGGGAAACCCATTTAAAGCATGTTGAGAGTGGGGAGAAGATAAATTGGGTTAAATTTTAAAAAGCACACCAGGGCTACCATATTGAGGAACTATTTGTGTGGACAAGCATGGGCACAGGGAGACAAATTGGAAGGTGCTACAGTAATCCAAAGTAAATAGTAATGGACATGGAGAGAGGGGTATATTCTGATGGTGTAGGATTTGCTGATTAATTAGATATTACATTTGAAATGGAAGCCTAAAGGATGGCTCTGAAGGTTTTGGCTTGAGATACCAAAAGAGCAGGGCTGCCATCTATTAAGATGGGTGAAACCATGGAAGTACCAGGTCTGTGGGAAAAGTCCAGAGTTTTTTGAAAGTCTCATGCCTCTTAGATATCCAATTTTATCAAGATGTTGAGAAGGGGGCTGTATTTCAGGATAGAGGTCCAGGCTGGAGTTATAAATTTGAAATACACCTGCCTATTGATGATTTGCAGGGCCTCAAGGCTGGATGAGATCACCTAGCAAAGGAAGGAGGAAAAAGACGGTCTAAGAATTGAGCCCTGGGCTTCTCCAGTTATTTCTATTGCAGGCCTTCCATGATCTTAAATATAAGCATGTACCACCTCCCTTGCAACCAGATTCAACAGCACTGCCTCTTTTTTCCTTCATTGAAATTACTTGATAAAGTATCTGACCTGGTTAAGCTCACCTCTCTGCCTGCTGTGACCTTACCCCTGCATCAGACTGTACCTGGAGAAATACCATATATTGAATGGTGAAGCTCACTTTCAATTCATGATCTCTAACCTCAAGAGAACCAACCCTTAATAATGCCCAGCTATTTTATTACATTTAATAGTCCAGTAATTTTCTCAGGTGACTATCGCTCTGCTTCTCTTTTTTCCTTAAACCAATACTCTCCACGTTCACGTGTGGATGATCACTTGCTTATTTCACCTAGAAAACAGGACTCACCAGAGGACTTCCACATCTTCCATCTCCTTGTATCTGTGTCCATCTGCTCTGTTTTCCCTTTACAACCATAGATAAACTGTGCCACTACCTAAGGTAAAACCATCCATTGGTGCAGTAAATACTTGCCTTTTTAAACTTTCTCAACACCATTGTTCCATTAATTGAACCCACTGTCTCCCACATCACCAGTTTTTCTGACACTGCTGGATCATTCATATCAGTAATACCTATATACAATTATTTCTCTCATATAGAAAAACTCTTGACCTCACCAATTCTTCCAACTACTGCCTAAGCTTTCTGTCTTCAGTACAATCAAAAAACTCTTAAAAATAGTCTATATGTGCTACCTCCTTCCTCTCCTCCCAGAATTTTCTTCCTTCCAGAGTAGTGCCTGGAACAGAGTATGGGCTCACTAATTTTTTTTGTTTCAAATGACTAATGAAATTGTCTTATTTATCCAACAAATGTGTATCTAAATCATTTAATACTGATTTGTTATTCTTGTTTTCCCACTATCTAGAAGTATCTTTCATACAATTACCACTCAATAAATATTTACTGTATAAATAAATCATAAATTCATTAATTTTTAAAGAAACAATCATGGAAAAATTGATAATATACCAAATAAGAAATAAGTCAGTAAGTGCAAAGAGATTTAGGGACCTATTAGTGTTAATTATTCAGTTCTGTTCAGCAGATATTTACTGAATATCCCGTATGTGTCAGGCACTATGGTTACAAAAGTGAATGAGCATGGTTCCTGTCCTTTAGGAATTTATAGATAAGCAACACATAGTATTTGATATGATTTGGCTCTGTGTTCCCACCCAAATTTCATCTCGAACTGTAATGCCCATGTGTCGAGGGAGGGACCCAGTGGGGGGTGATTGGACCATGAAGGCAGTATCCCTCATGCTGTTCTCGGGATAGTGAGGGAGCTCTCACAAGATCTGATAGTTTAAAAGTGGCAGTTTCTCCTGCATTGTCTCTATTGCCACCTTGCGAAGAGGGTGCCTGCTTCCCCTTTGCCTTCTGCCATGATTGTAAGTTTCCTGAGGCCTCCCCAGCCACGTAGAAATGTGAGTCAGTTAAACCTCTTTGATTTATAAACTACCCAGCCACAGGTAGTATCTTTTTTTTTTTTTTTTTTTTTTTTTTGAGACGGAGTCTTGCTCTGTTCCCCTGGCTGAGGCTGAAGTGCAGTGGCGCTCAGGTAGTACCTTTGTAGAAGTGTGAAAATGGACTAATACAGATAATTGGCAGATGGGGGTACTGCTACAAAGATAATTTGAAAATGTGGAAGTGACTTTTGAACTGGGTAATAGGCAGACGTTGGAACAGTTTGGAGGCTCAGAAGAAGACAGGCAGATGTGAAAAAGTTTGGAACTTCCTAGAGACTTGTTGTATAATTTTGACCAAAATGCTGATAGTGATATGGACAATGAAGTCCAAGCTGAGATGATCTTCGATGGAGATGAAGAACTTGTTGGGAACTGGAGTAAAGGTCACTTTAGACACTGGTGGCATTTTTCCCCGGACCTAAAGATCTGTGCAACTTTGAACTTGAGAGAGTTGATTTAGGGTATCCGGCAGAAGAAATTTCTAAACAGCAAAGCATTAAGAGGTGACCTGGCTTTTCCTGAAAGTGTATTTATGTGCTCTCACAGAGATAGTTTGAAATTGAACTTATGTTTAAAGGGGAAACAAAGCATAAAAGTTTGGAAAATCTGCAGCCTGACCATTTGGTAGAAAAGAAAAACCCACTTTCTGTGGAGAAATTCAAGCCTGCAGAAATTTGCCTAAGTAACAAACAGCCAAAAGTTAATTGCCAAGACAATGCAGGAAATGTCTCCAGGCATTTCAGAGATCTTCAAGGCAGCCACACCCATTACAGGCCTGGAGGCCTAGGAAAATAAAAACAGTTTTGTGGGCCAGGCCCAGGGCCCAACTCCTTTGTGCAGCCTCGGGACATGGCACCCTGTGTTCCAGCCACTCCAGCTCCAGCTGTGGCTAAAAGGGACCAAGGCACAGCTTGGGCCGTGCTTTAGAGGGTGCAAGTCCCAAGCCTTGGTGGTTTCCACATGGTGTTTGGCCTGCAGGTGCACAGAAGACAAGAATTGAGCTTTGGGAGCATCTGCCTAGATTTTAGAGGATGTATGGAAATGCCTAGACATCAACACAGAAGTCTGCTGCAGGGGCAAAGCCCCTGGAGAACCTCTGCTGGAGCAGGGTGGAGGGGAATTGTGGGGTTGGAGCCCCCACACAGAGTCTTCACTGAGGCACTGCCTAATGGAGCTGTCAGAAGACAGCCACTGACCTCCAGACCTAGAAAGATAGATCCACTGACAGCTTGCAATATGATCCTGGAAAACCCATGGGTACTGAATGCCAGCCCATGAAAGCAGCTAAAGGGACTGTATGCTGCAGACCCAGTAGGGATGCCCAAGGTCTTGGGAGCCCACCCTTTGCATTAGCCTGCCCAGGATATGAGACATGGAGTCAAAGGAGATCATTTTGGAGCTTTAAGAGTTAATGATTGCCCTGTTGGATTTTGGACTTGCATGGAACCTGTGGCCCCTTCGTTTTGTCCAAATTCTCCCATTTGGAATGGGAACATTTACCCAATGCCTGAACCCCCATTTTATCTTGGAAATAACTAACTTGTTTTTGATTTTACAGGCTCATAGGCAGAAGGGACTTATCTTGTCTCAGATGAGACTTTGGACTTGGACTTTTGGGTTAATTCCAGAATGAGTTCACACATTGGGGGAGTGTTGGGAAGGTGTGATTGGTTTCAAAATGGAAAAGGACATGAGATTTGGGCAGTGCTATGGGCAGAATGATAATGTTTGGCTTTGTGTCCCCACTCAAATCTCATCTTGAATTGTAATCCCCACATGTTGAGGGAGGAATCTGGTGTGAGGTGATTGGATCATAGGGGCAATTTCCCCCATGCTGTTCTCATGATAGTGATGGAATTCTCATGAGATATGATGGTTTAAAATTGGCAGTTTCTCCTGCATGTTCTATCGCTCCTGCCACTTTGTGAAGAAGGTGCCTGCTTCCCCAGAACTGCAAGTCAACTAAACCTCTTATGTTTATAAATTACCCAGTCTCAGGTAGTATCTTTATATCAGTATGAAAATTGATTAATACAGTATTATAGGATTTTTAGATGCAAGAAACATCCTAGAGATGATAAAAATAAATCATCTTAAAGGAATGATTAAAGTTAATCTAATACAGAAGAAAAGCGCTTTCCTGGCAGAGTGGAAATAATGGGCAATGGCACAGAGGCATGAAACATGAAGCACACCAGTAAACTCCAAGCAGTTCAATTTTACTAGCACATAAAGTTGGATAAAGGGAGTGGCGGTAATATGGAAAATGAAAAAAATAGGAGTATGTCATGGAGAGTCTTTCTTGACAGGAGAAGTTGCTGTTCATTGTGTTCATGCATGTAATGGCATGATCGAATTTGTATTTGATGTAGAGTATCTGGACCACTATGCAGAGGGCTTAAAGGAAGCAAGGCTTAGGGTAGGAAAACAAGTCAATTATTATTGTAGTAGTCCGCATAAGAACCTAAATCGAGAAAGTAGCAATAGGAGTTGCAAAGAGGAAACTGATTGGAATAATACTTCATAGGAAAATTATCAGGTCTTGTTGGCTGTCTGGATATGCAGGACAAGGGAGAAGAAAGAATCTAGGATGACTAATAGGTTTTATTATTTGAAATGTCAGGGTAGTGGTGAGAGGTGACAGCCTGCTGTCAGTCCTCACAGCCCTCGCTCGCTCTCGGCGACTCCTCTGCCTGGGCTCCCACTTTGGCGGCACTTGAGGAGCCCTTCAGCCCACCGATGCACTGTGGGAGCCCCTTTCTGCGCTGGCCAAGGCCAGAGCCAGCTCCCTCAGCTTGCAGGGAGGTGTGGAGGGAGAGGTGCGAGCGGGAACCGGGCCTGCGTGCGGCGCTTGCGGGCCAGCTGGAGTTCCGTGTGGGCATGGGCTTGGTGGGCCACGCAGTCGGAGCAGACGGCTGGCCGTGCTGGCCCCGGGCAATGAGGGACTTAGCACCGGGGCCAGCGGCTGCAGAGGGTGTACTGGATCCCCCAGCAGTGCCAGCCCACCAGCGCTGTGCTCGATTTCTCGCCGGGCCTTAGCTGCCTTCCTGCAGGGCAGGGCTCGGGACCTGCAGCCTGCCATGCCTGAGCCTCCCACCCCCTCCATGGGCTCCTGTGAGGCCCGAGCCTCCCCGATGAGCACCGCCCCCTGCTCCACGGCGCCCAGTCCCATCGACCACCCAAGGGCTGAGGAGTGTAGGCGCACGGAGCAGGACTGGCAGGCAGCTCCACCTGCAGCCCCAGTGTGGGATCCACTGGGTGAAGCCAGCTGAGCTCCTGAGTCTGGTGGGGCCTTGGAGAAGCTTTATGTCTAGCTCAGGGATTGTAAATACACCAATCGGCACTCTGTATCTAGCTCAAGGTTTGTAAACACACCAATCAGCACCCTGTGTCTAGCTCAGTGTTTGTGAATGCACCAATCGACACTATCTAGCTACTCTGGTGGGGCCTTGGAGAACCTTTATGTCTAGCTCAGGGATTGTAAATACACCAATCGGCACTCTGTATCTAGCTCAAGGTTTGTAAATACACCAATCAGCACCCTGTGCCTAGCTCAGGGTTTGTGAATGCACCAATCAACACTGTATCTAGCTATTCTGGTGGGGCCTTGGAGAACCTTTGTGTGGACACTGCATCTAGCTAATCTGGTGGGGACGTGGAGAACCTTTGTCTCTAGCTCAGGGATTGTAAACGCACCAATCAGCGCCCTGTCAAAACAGACCACTCAGCTCTACCAATCAGCAGGATGTGGGTGGGGCCAGATAAGAGAATAAAAGCAGGCTGCCGGAGCCAGCAGTGGCAACCTGCTCAGGTCCCCTTCCACACTGTGGAAGCTTTGTTCTTTTGCTCTTTGCAATTAATCTTGTTACTGCTCACTCTTTGGGTCCACACTGCTTTTATGAGCTGTAACACTCACCGCGAAGGTCTGCAGCTTCACTCCTGAAGCCAGTGAGCCCATGAGCCCACCGGGAGGAACGAACAACTCCAGATGCGCCACCTTAAGAGCTGTAACACTCACCGCGAAGGTCTGTAGCTTCACTCCTGAGCCAGCGAGACCACGAACCCACCAGAAGGAAGAAACTCCGAACACATCCGAACATCAGAAGGAACAAACTCCAGATGCGCCACCTTAAGAGCTGTAACACTCACCGCGAGGGTCCGCGGCTTCATTCTTGAAGTCAGTGAGACCAAGAACCCATCAATTCCGGACACAGTGGGGCCACTAGTTGAAACTGTAAACAAGACAGGACTGATCTGAGGGAAAGTTAACTCAGTGTTGTACATGTTAAGTTTGGGAGGCTGGTGGGATATCAACAAAAGGACTCTGGCAGACAGATGAATATGTAAATTAGAAGCTCAAGAGATGGCAGAACTAGAGATATATAATGCAATGGTCTAAAACCATGAGTTCCAAAGAGATCAAGCCAAAAGAGCATATAAAGAGAAAATTCCACTGAGAAAAGGAAAGAACAACAATCTTTAACCTTTCTATAGATAGTGGCTTCAGTGAAAGGCTTCTAATTGCTTCAGGTTATTGGTCACAGCTAACATACAGCAATTATAGCACTCTTGTATACTCTGATAGCACACTTTCTTGAATGTAAGATTTTTTTCAACTTGAACATTTCTGGAATTGGATCACGTTTTTAAAGCGATCTCCTCCCTCATCCCCAGAGAAGCTGTTATTTAACACATTATTGCCTCTTGAAAATTTTGAAAATGCTTCAGGTAGTGGTCTCTAAGAATGAGACTCTGAGACTGGTTTATGTACACAAGGTATACTGGAAAAAGTTTTCAGGGTCACTACATGTCAGGGAAGGGAGGATACGTAAATTGGTCAGAGGGTGGAGAAGTAAGGTCACTATTCTGTCACTAGGCAGACTTTGTGGAACTCTGAAGCTAGGATGATCCTTCAGGGGGTGCACTAGACCAGGGCCTTTGTAAACAACCCTACTCCACTCCTATTAAAGAAACGCTGGGTGTAAGCTGCCCTTAGGGAGTGGCTGTGATCTTGCACAAAAAGAACTTGTCCCAGAGAGAACTGTCGTCTTGACAAGTAGCAAGCAGCACTCCCAACAACTGGGATAACAAATTCTTCATCTCTGAAAGGATCTAGGGACACAGAACGGTATCCACTAGAAATGATATTTAAGAATGAAATGAATATGGCATTTTTTTCTCAATATGATTAGATCTTAACATGATCATGAGGTATTAAACAAACTTGCTCTATCACAACTCATTTCAAATTCACTTTAGTAAAAGGCTGGGTTATTTAGAATTCTGTCCTGTTTGGAATAAAGAGGAGAAACACAATTATTGCAAAAATTTTTTAAAAATAAAATAAAATTTAAAAAGGCATTCACTGCAAAATTCCTAGGGTTTTAATGAAAAATAATTTGCCAATGAAAGAGTAAAACAATTCGGGTAAGTGCTAATTTACTGAGCACTTACAAGTCAGAAGCAGCTTTACCATGGAATTAATGGAGTTGAGGCTTCAGAGCTCCTCACCTGCACTGCCTATATTGAGGAAGTAATAGCCTCAGGCCTTTAGTGGAGGTGTGGAGAGTGGTCCTAGCCTGTCCTCACCTTCTACCTCCTAAAAATCATCCTGAGTTTGCAGCAGATGCTGTCAGCAGGCAGGCTGCCAGCATTTCCTTAAATCTATCTACACTTCAATGACAACCTAACCCCAGTGGACTTCAGGGAGATTTTGGACCTTACCTGTGACCCTAATAATGTAAAAGCAAAGCTTTGTCACCACTATCTCCCAGGCTCTTGGCTACTTTCTACTTCCTCCCCTCATCTCTCACAGAAAGACCTGCCCTGCTTACAAGGATGAAGATGGGGAATCAAGAGGAGGCTGCCAGGATGGAGCCACTGCCAAGGCACTGGCCTGTCTGAGACCATGCCAAGTGAGACCCAAAACCTGAACTTCTCTAAGGCTTCCTTCCAAACAATGAACTTCCTGGGCAAAAAGCCAGGGAGGAAGTCAGAATGTGGCATTTCCAGTAATATGTTATGAATTAAGTAAATAAATACTTCCTAAACCAGCAACAATAAAAAATTAATAAATTTCAATCCCCTTTGCTAAAGAATGAATTTTCTTTCTATTCTCTTTATAGAAAATATTTAAAATTATTATTTGAAAAAGGAAATCTGAGTGTATGCATCTAAAAATGTGTAGAAAATAAAGTATTATAATGAACCAGGAAATTACTAGTAACAATAATATTTGATGATAACTGGGGTATTTTTCAGACCTTTGTTGCCTATAATTTCCCACTCTACAGACATACCTTTAAAATGTTCTAATTAGCTAATTTTGAATTCATAGTTTGAAATTCATTTTCTTAAAGAGAGCTCAGACACTGTAAAAGCTTGAGGCCCTACGAACCTGGATTCTCTCTTGCCTATGATGTGTTAGGCACTTTGCCAAGCACTAAATTTGACGCTCACAATAACCGTATGAGGTAGGCACTGTCATTACCACACTCCACAGACAAGAAAGCTGAGAATGACGAATTTAAGGAACTCGTCAAAGGTGACTCACAGAGGAGTAGGCAGTGTCAGGATTTGAACATGTGGTCTCACTTCTGGGCTCATGCTCTTTAAATTCTGGACGATAATGAAATAGGAAATTTATTATTTTGATGCACCTTGATATGCAGCCTTTCATTTATGATTCAATATTTACTGTGTCCCTCCCACCTTTTATTTATTTATTTATTTATTTATTTATTTATTTATTTATTTTTGAGATGAACTCTTGCTCTTGTTGCCCAGGCTGGAGTGCAATGGCATGATCTCGGCTTACTGCAACCACTGCCTATGGGGCTCAAGCGATTCTCCTCCCTCAGCCTCCTGAGTAGCTGGGATTATAGGTGACCACCACCATGCCTGGCTAATTTTTTTATTTTTAGCAGAGACGGGGTTTCGCCATGTTGGCCAGGCTGGTCTCGAACACCTGACCTTGTAATCTGCCCGTCTCGACCTCTCAAAATGCTGGGATTATAGACGTGAGCCACTGCGCCCAGCCTACTGTGCCCCTTTTTGATTAGGGGGATGTGCTAGGTTCTAAATAATATCAAACAGGTTTAAGAGAGTTCCTGCCCCTACAAATCATAAAGACTAATGAGGCGACCCCAATGGCTGTAACAGTAAGAATAACAAAATACAAAGATATTTTTAAATGTTATGAAGAAATGAAGGAGAAATAATGAATTAAACATTCTGATCTGCCAAGTGGAAGATTGTGATTAATGGTATATAAACATCTGATAAATCTTTTCATTCATGGAACATTAGGAAGCTAATGCAATAATATTCTAAAATTTCAACTCAATAGATATATTTGTAGCTATAAATTTCTGAAGTTTAATTTCAGATTTACCAATTAACAGATGTTTTCTGAGTACCTATGATGTCACTGGCATTCTGAAGAGCACTTGGTGATTGAATCAAGAAATAAATTTGTATCTCGGAAAAAATAGCAGAGATTTTATAATCTACCTTTTTTTCCATGAGGGAGCTGAGGCCAAAAAATGCATGGCATATATTCCAAAAGTCATCTCTTTCAGGAAGTTTTTCCTTAAATGACCACAGTCAGATATCATTTTACCTCTTTCTAAACACAGCTTAGGGTTTGTTGCTCTTTTATGACTCTTGTTCTTTAGTTGTGTACTTGTTTCATACATACTGAGATCATGAGCTTTTCAACCTTTTCAAAAAATTATCAATTACATCTTTAACATCTAAAAACTATGCACCCTCTCCTCAGAAAAATGCATATAAGCACATATCCAAACTTTAGATAAAATCCTCTGAAGTTAAAACATTGAATTCTCTAGGGGGGTCCTAGGACCTCAAATAGAGACTCTCTCTTTTGGAATACTGACTCTATTAAGTGATTGTCTATGTATCTCCTATAGTGTATAACATCGCAACGTACATGACAGAAGTTTAATAAATGTCCATTGATTTGAATCATCGAATGACTAAGTAGTAGCCAAGAGGAAATACAAATCAGCCTTGTAATTCCCTACTTGGTTTTGACTTACACTATTTCATGACCTCTTTGTTAAAGAAAAAAAAAAAAGACATAATCACTGCCACTGTAAGCTCAGTTTTATAGAGGAGATACAATAAATATTAAACTACAAACTCAGTATACTACTTGGTTATGACTCTACATGCAATAAAAATTCATGTTTAGGTGAGGACAGCATCTGTAACATAGAAGACACTCAATATTTGTTGAGTTATTGTGAATAAATGAAAAAATAAATAATAAATAATACTGAATCAACACTGCTGCAAATGGAGAAGGCCTTGGAATGGGTGGTAATTGAGGTTAGTTTTGAAGAGTGGATAAAGTTTGAATAGAAAGAAGGAGGATATTCCAAGCTAATATAGACCTAGCATAAATAATAATAGCAAGTATGAGAAAACCTAAGAGGTGCCACTGAATGAAAAGTATTGAAGGAAGTCAAAGGAAATACATGTGGATAGGCAGGTTGAAGCCAGATTGCATGTGTCCTTCAAAGCCAAACGGAGGAATCTGATATGATTTGCTCGGCAATGGGATATCACTTTAGATTCTTAGACAGTGATGCTGCCTAACAATTATACTTGACAGGGATTAGTCAGTAATTAAATACATAACTGAAGAGAAAAAAAATTTACACATCACTTTTTAACATCAGCTAGTATAAAAACTCAGACCAGTCGTTTACCTATTAGATAAACTAAGATCCTAATCTGATAAATAGCCCTTCTACTTGAATAAATTCATTTACAATTCCTGGTCATCAGTGGTCAATCTTTTAACAGAAAAAAAAGACTACTGAGTACTGAAGAGTGAGAATTTATAGTTGATTACATGCTAAACTTCTGTGTTAATTTTTAGCTGTCTGGGTACAGGCTGGGTCGTAATTAGTTGAGGTCATAGCATGAAATCTCCCAGCTTCTCCAACACATATCCCCAACAGGGTCTTTCACCTGCATTGTAGCACTCTCTGTTACTGTTGCTTCCATAAGTGTATTTTTGGCGAAGAAAACCCTGCTATGTATCAAGTATTCATATTGTGTCTACATTTCAGCCTGTCTACTAAAGCTAGTTATTAATCTCTCTACAAATCCATTCGCAATATGTTTGGGTTATAAATCCCTTTAGAATCCTTGCTGTAGATAAAAGTAGATGTGAGCAATGCCATTTTTCCCCAGAACATCTGTACTGCTCTCTCCCCGACCTAAAGCTCTTTTCTGTATCTTTAACATCATCTCCATCTTCAAATAACTGTTATTCTAATAATAATGTGAAATTACACTTGAGAATGTTTTCCTAATATATGGACAAGATAAAAGTGAGCCAAAAGTTATTACATGACTTGTTCCAGGTTCGCACAGTGCAGTTACTATAACAAACAAGAGGAGAAACAGTCCACTATTGTTTTTTTTTCTTTTTTCTTTTTTTTTTTTTTAGAGACGGAATCTCACTCTGTCACCCAGGCTGGAGTGCAGTGGCGCGATCTCGGCTCACTGCAACCCCCGCCTCCCAGGGTCAAGCAATTTTCCTGCCTCAGCCTTCCGAGTATCTGGGACTACAGGTGCACACCGCCATGCCAGGCTAATTTTTTGTATTTTAGTAGAGACAGGGTTTCACCGTGTTGCGCAGGCGGGTCTCAAACTCCTGAGTTCAGGCAATCCACCCACCTTGCCCTTCCAAAGTGCTAGGATTACAGGCATGAGCCACCGCGCCCAGCCTATTGTTTTTTGTTTGTTTTTGAAATGGAGTCTCGCTCTGTCGCCAGGCTGGAGTGCAGTGGCATGATCTTGGCTCACTGTAACTTCCACCTACCCGGTTCAAGTGATTCTCCTGCCTCAGCCTCCCGAGTAGCTGGGACTACAGGCACCTGCCACCACGCCGGGCTAATTTTTGTATTTTTAGTAGAAACGGGGTTTCACCATGTTGGCTAGGATGGTCTTGATCACTTGACCTCGTGATCCGCCTGCCTCAGCCTCCCAAAGTGTTGAGATTACAGGCGTGAGCCACCGCACCCAGCCCCTATTGTTTTTTGTTTGTTTGTTTGTTTTTTCTTTTGAGATGGAATCTCGCTTTGTCGCCCAGGTTGGAGTGCAGTGGCGTGATCTCGGCTCACTGCAGACTCTGCCTCCCGGGTTCATGCCATTCCCGGGCCTTCCAAGTAGCTGGGACTACAGGCGCCCGCCACCACACCCGGCTAATTTTTTTTGTATTTTTAGTAGAGACCGGGTTTCACTGTGTTAGCCAGGACGGTCTCCAACTCCTGACCTCGTGAACCACCCGCCTCGGCCTCCCCCTATTGTTTTTATTATACCACATTGTCTCTCATCGTTCCCCAACTCCCCAGAGAAGGTTTCAGTGTTGGCTTTCCATTGTGTGTGTATGTGTACACATGTATGTACATGTGTTCATGTGCCACTGAGAGAACTAAAGAGAAAAAAGTCTCCGTTCTTATAGAGTTGGCACATTTTTTAATGTGACTGTATATATTACTTATGTGTGTTATGGACATGCAGAAGTAAGTAGTAGTGACTTTCTGACAGATATATTCTAGCTAGTACTTTATTCTTTAAATAATTTTGGTCAAAAGGTTTATGTAACTCTAGGTAAAGTTATTTATGAGATTCAATGATCACTATTTCCCACTCAGCAAAGCAAATTCACAGTTAGACATCATTAAGTAAAATTTTCCTACTATTCAAATTTTCTTTCAACAATTACAAATTTTAATTTAAGGAGAGGTAGATATTTATGCAGAGAACAAAGCTGAATATTTGTGTATTAATCATTTATATGTGAACTTAATGGTTATACTTACCTTGTTAACTTTAAACAAATCTTTAGAAAAAAGATCACAGTTTAGAATAAACAATTTTTGAAGGGAGACAGGCACGCTACAAAAACAAAAGGTTACATTAATGATCTCTACAGTAGAGTATACTAGCTCAAAAGTTGCATCTAATGTTTACTCCAAATCAAAACCATTAAACAATTGTTTAGAAAAATCACTTCTCAGCAGAAATTACTTCAACCTGAGCTATAAGTTTGTGAATTAAAAGTCCACAGTATACTGCCGAAAGAAAATAATGATTCTTTGCCTTAGGAACAACAAAGTGGGTCATTTAATGTCTGTGAGTTATATACAACCAACGGAGAGAATAAGCTTTCTGCACCAACAACCACTTAGTCAAGCCAATTAACGACTTGACTTAAGCATCTGAAGAGACACTTTGGGTTATTAACTGAAAAGAAAGTCTTATAATAGGGTAAAAAGGCCTTGCAAAATAATTGCCTTTGGGAAAAAATTTTTTCTTAGTTTTCCAGTAGAAATATATGAAACATAAATTATATGGGAATGAAAATTTGTTAACAATCCTGTTATTTCACTTTAAATTCCCTCAGGTACCCACTGTCATGCTAGAACTGAATATTTACATCATGCAAACAACATTATCAGAAAAGATGAAAGAAATTGTTTTCCCACTCATGGCATTCTAGAACCTGTGCTATCATGAGGCATCAAGACACAGTGAAGCAGCCTGTCTGGACTGCCACTTACCCTTTTATTTATTTATTTTTAAATAAATAATGCATGTGAAGAAATACATGTATAGTTTAGAATCCCTTTGGACACTGAGAAAGCTGTTTTCAGGCAAAGCAAAATATTACTATGACTTCTATTACCCTTTAAAAAAGTCTTCTCTCTTTTTTTTTTTTTACACAGGTTAATTAAACATGCCAACTTATTAGAAAAAAAAGAGGAAGGAAGGAAATTATGTTTCACAGCGCATCTTATATAAGAGATCAGAGCAAGAATCAAAAGGTGTTCTGTGAGAAGAAAAATGTACAATAATGGAAGACAGGCACTCTCTCAGACTGTACTCAATTAAGGTAAAAGAGGACCATTAATGAGTCTCAGAACTACAGAGAGAATATAAATGCATATTGGCTGGGCTGAATATATAGACGTCAGCAGGTAAGGATACAAAGCCAGGATGACATGGCCACAAAATGTAAGTGGAGAACAAAAAGTTTTAGTAAGGAAGAACTGGCACTGAAGCATGTTCATTGCAATACAAATCTCTCCAAAATGTATAATTAATATTTATTGAGGACTCCTTGGTGGGAAGTACTTCTGAGGAGCTCTACCTAGGGTAATGAAAGAGGTGAATTGTTGAATATAAAGAACATTTTGACCTTGATGTTGCAAATATCCTAGGAAAACACCCAAAGAACTTGGCTCTAGTGTACAGTAAAGATGGGTTGAACAAGACTATTGAGCCCCAAAAGGGAGGCTGGTGGGAGAGATGTTCTGTAGGAAGAAAGTGGTAAAATAAAGGAAAGTGTTTGTTTTAACTCAGAGCTGCACTTGCCAAATACAAAAGGCAAGCACAGCTCTGAGTGAAAACTAACACCCAGGTTCTGAGCTTTTAATAGCACACAGGGTGGCAACCCATAAAGACAATTTCTGATCAAATTTATGGAACTTTACTTTATAGCCAAGACATAAAGCCATCTCCATGAAGGAAGCTTTACAACAGGGCTTTCCATCAAGTGTTCGACAGAAACAGAACCATTGGAAAAGTCTCTGATATTCAAACAAAAAAATGAAAACAGTGATACAATATTCATTCAGTAGAATGAAGTGCATAAAACACAGGGGATAGCTCACTTCTGGACACGTTATTGGTGGCATTTGCCTTCCTGCCTCTCACAAACATAGCCACACTTTCCCTCCAGCTATAATAAAATACTGCTATCAAGCTAGATAATCAGCACATTGGCTTCCAAAGCACATGGAATCGGTAGTTTCCCTATCAGAATCCTACAGCTTTATGAAGCCACGTACTGACAGGATGGCAAGGTAAAAAGAAAATAAAACCAAAAGAAAAACAGATAAACAGCTGTTTTCCCCTGCATTAAAGCATCATTGCAAATATATAGTAGTATAGGTTCTTGTATAGTGGAAACTTTTTGTTCTCTACGTACTGAATGACAACATGAATAGTTTTGTTCTGTTTTGGTTGCTATTTTCCAAACTTTATTGCCAGAAAAATCACTCCCTATGTGCATGTTGCTCATAATGTCCTCCCTTCTAGGAAGAGAAGTTATAGCTCATCCTCCATTTCTAATTTAACTGTTCATTTAATTTTCTTTAACACTTTAAAATATGTAGATGCTTTGACTTGTAAAAACCAGGCCATCAATTTTGGGGAGAATCCATCAAAATGATAACATCAGTGTTTCATGCAATATATTTCACAAAGAAAGGCAAAACTAACTTTTCTAAGACATTGTGTAGCCATGTTGGCCATAATCTGCAATTATCTGTTTTTTAATATTTTGGTCATGTATCCTAGACAGCAGAAATAATCATGTCCCATTTAAAGTAAGCACAATCATGCATGAATTATGACAAAATAGCATTCAAAATAAAAGATATTTCTGGTTAAATAAAAGAAAGAGAATAAAAGGAACACCTTTGAGATCACAAGAGTATACAAAAAATTGAAACCAAAGAAATAATTTTATTGTGTAAAGAAGGAAAATAATCTTATAACTTGATTAAGTATGACAAGCCCCATGAGTATTCAAATTAATTTTACTATAATATTTACACATATTCACCTGTAAAATGTTTCCATGTCTTTATGAGATCCAGAGAACAAATTTCTTAGTGGTCAAACTAAAATAAATTAAATATTTCCAGCCTCTTGGATACTAAGCAAAGTATATCATAGCAGATGTCATTTAAAATAATAGAACTGTGGAACGGCTTGCTTATTTTTATAATTGAGAATAAGGAGGTCCAGCTGTATCTAGTGACTTGTCCCAAATTACTTAGTCATTGAGTAAATAAAAGTTGGACTTTGTTTCATACACAATCCATACTGCTCCTAATACCACTGAGCTAGTTGTAATCTGGGAGGCTGTCTCTGGCCTGGTGAGTCATGAGGAAAAAGAAGACTGTGTCATTTTCTTAATGGAGGCAAGCAAACAAGATTCAAAAGCTGTTAACAAAGAAATTAATAGTTATCTCAAAATATGTTACACTTAACAACCTAAGAAATATACGGCATATATTTGTTTATGTTATTTAAAATCAATGAGGCCGGGCGTGGTGGCTCACACCTGTAATCCCAACACTTTGGGAGGCCTGGGCAGGCGGATCACAAGGTCAAGAGATCAAGGCCATCCTGGCCAACACGGAGAAACCCTGTCTCTACTAAAAATACAAAAATTAGCCGGGTGTGGTGGCACGTGCCTGTAGTCCCAGCTACTCGGGAGGCTGAGGCAGGAGAATCACTTGAACCCAGGAGGCAGAGGTTGCAGTGAGCTGAGATCATGCCACTGCACTCTAGCCTAGTGACAGAGTGAGACTCTGTCAAAAAAAAAAAAAAAAATCAACGAAATCACACATTTGCTTTTTTTTTTTTCATTGTGTGCACCAGATCAAATATTCTGCTTCAGAAAAATCCATGGGGTCCCTAGTTAAATGATAGCTTTGTATGATCAAGTAAGGGATTTCTCTTGATTGACTTTGTTATCTTTTGCAGTTCCCTTAGCACATTATGGTCACTCAACTCAATTACCTCTGAAAAGGATTTAATTAAGCAGAAAAAAAAATATGACTACGAATTTCCAAAAGAAACTGCAATAAGCCTGACTCTTAGTTAACCAAGTTTTTTAAGTACGTTCATAAGGTAAGCAGAAGGGAGAAAGGGTAGAAAGTAGAAATCAAAGCTTGTAATAAAATAGGGCAGAATAAACTAATAAACACAAGTGCAAATCACAGAAATATATGGGGCATAACAAAACCTAACGTATGCATTTCTGACCATCTGGATCTCCTATTTTACAGGACCAGTGTGCATGTAAAACTGTGCTGGAGACCTCTGAGGCAATATATTTATAGCAGCATATGGGACCAACATAGCCTGGCTATATAGGACTAAGACTGGTTTCCATATCACCACAGATAAAATTAGGCCCTCTGATGAATGTGGTATAGAGACAAAGCTCTGGAGTTCAACCAAACCCAGGCTTGACCTCTAACTCTGCCAATTACTGTTTTGAGCAATATGATATGGTAAGCAGAATTATGCCCCTTCTCCCACAGAATATCTCACACTAACTGTGCATGTGACAACGTATCACTCCTGTGATTGTTTCATGTTACATGGCATAGTTAACCTTAACATAGAGAGATTTTACATAGAAGGGGTGACTAATCTAATCATACAAGCCCTTAAAAGCAGAGAACTTTATCTGGCTGGTAGGAGAAGGGAAAGCCAGAAAGACTCAAATCATAAGAAGGTTTCAACATGCCATTGCTGGTTTGAAGTGAGTGAGCCACATGAGAAGGAGCACAGGTAGCTTCCAGGAGTGGTGAGCAGCCCCTGTTGACAGCCAGCAAGAAAACTGGTACCTCACTCCTACAACTGCAAGTACAGCTCCTTGAACAACTCGGGCTGGGGCACTGATCCCCGGCAAAGACAAAAATCTACCTGTAAGTTTTGACTCCCCCAAAACTAATAGCCTACTGTTGACCAGAAGCCTTATTGATAACACAGCCAATTAACACATATTTTGAATGTATTTCATATGTAGTAGGTACTGTATTCTTACAATAAAGCAAGCTGGAGAAAAAAATGTTATTAAGAAAATCCTAAGAGAAAACATAATTATTATTCATTAAGTGGAAGTGGATCATCATAAAGGTCTTCATCCTCATTGTCTTCAAATTGAGTAAGCTGAGGAGGAAAAGGAGAGGTTGGTCTTGCTGTCTCAGGTGGCAGAGGCAGAAGAAGTGGAGGAGGTGGAAGGGGAGAAAGGAGAGGCAGGCACACTTGGTGTAACTTTGAGGAAATACATTGTAACTTCTGACTCTTTTGCTTCTTTATTTCTTTAAAATATTTCTATGTGGTAGCATCTTTCTTCCACTGTTCACTTTAGTTTCAGTGCCTGTATCATAGAAGGGTCCATGACATGAAAGAAGTTGAAAGTAGCCTTGAATAACAATAACCCTTCTGCCAGATTGTCTAATGTCAATTTGTTTTCTGGCACTGCTTCTTTTATAATATGTCTTCTTCCTCATAGTGTGGCACTGGCACAAAAGCATTCATCTCCATTAAGTTGTCTTCTGTTAATTCCTCTGGTGTGGTTTCTATTAGCTCTTGAATTTCCCCAAGATCCATATCCTGAAATCCTTTACCCCATCTTTTTTTTTTTTTTCTGCCATACCTACAATCTCATCCATAACTTCCTTGATTGGCTCTGTCATAAATCCTGTGAAGTCACGCACAACATCTGGACAGTTTTCTCCAGTAGGAATTTATTGCTTTGGGCTAATGGCCTTCATGGCTTGTTCAATAACAACGACATTTTCAATTGTGTGATCCTTCCAGACTTTCATGATGTCCTTTCTATCAGGGCTCTCTTTCATGTCACTGACAATCCCTTCCATAAAGTACCATGTGTAATGAGTTTAAAGTCCTTATGACCCCTTGATCTAGAGGCTGAATTAGAGAAGTTGTGTTTGGGATCAAGTAGACAACTTAGACACCTTCGATCTTGAATTCATGGAGTTCTGGGTGGCCAAGGGCATTGTCCAAAATCAAAAGAATTTTACTTGCAAGGTACCTCCTGACAAAGCACTGATAAAACAAATGCAGAATAGGGCTTCTCATTGTCCAGGTTGTCTTGTAAAAGCAAAAGACTGGCAGCTGGTGTTTATCTTTTCCCTTCAAGGCTCTTAGATTAGCAGCTTTATAGATGAGGGCGGTGTTGATCATAAACCTGACTGCATTTGTACAAAACAGTAGAGTTAGCCTATCCCTTCCTGCCTTAATTCCTTAAAACTTTCTAAATATGCCTTAAAAACTTTCTAAATATGCCTTAAAAACTTTCTAAATATCAAGACCCAGACAAAAAAGACCAGCTTAATTCCTGGTGCTGGCTTCTATTTTTTACTAATAAATGTCTTCTGTGGCTTTTTTTCCCCAGAGTAGACACTTTTGTCTGTATTAAAAACCTGTTCAGGCAGATATCCTTTCTATTTAATGATTTTTAATGGTGTCTAGGAAACTAGTATGCTGTCTCTTGGTCTATAGGTATGACTTTCTCATAGCAATCCTGTACCCACATAAAAGCTACATTTTCGATATGAGATACAAATGTATTTCACAAAATGTGCAAGGTTTTTGCACCTGCTGTTGTAGCTGCAGCTACAGCTTCAGAAATTTCCTTTTCCTAGGCTGGATTCATGTATCTTGAAATGATGGGCAATCAAAGTGGCAGTCCTCATTTTATGGTACATATCAAGCAATCCAACTTTTTCTTGTAATGTCATGACTTTTCTGTTTCTTGGAAGCACTTCCAGCATCACTAGTGACACTTCCTGTGGGCCGTAGGGTGTTATTCAAGGTTTATGGTAGTACACTAAACACTATAACAAATACTCGAGAACTGCAAGAGATCACTTTTTACTTCAGTATGCAATTTACTGGAGATGAGCTGCTCACACAGGTTGATTAGCATCACAGAGCATTTTATGCAGAGACTTATAGTGCTGGAGTTCACCTCATTACCAACAGGAGGGGGTTACAACATTATTACAGTAGTTTAGTATGTACCACAATTAATTTTATGCCTCCATATATTTGTTTACATTTCTGTCAACTCTAAGTGTTTATATGTGTAAATTCTGATACATTTTAACTTTTAATGATAGATTTGTGTATATTTTATGGTAGTTAATGATAAAAGAGACTAGTATCTCCAGAATAGTGTCACACTTAACTTTTTCCTGATTTTTTCAGTATTTCTAGGCTACACTGTTCATCTGGTTTTTTTTTTTCAAATTGTCTCAAATATCCAAAAGAATCCCAATATAATTATTTTTAAAAAATGGGTATAAGTGGACCTGCAGCTGAAACCCATGTTGTTCGAGGTTCAAGTGGAATTTAATTCTGCCAACAACCTGAATGAGCTTGATAATGAATTCTTTCCAGCTGCCAGCTAAGAGCCCAGCCTGGCTGACACCTTGATTTCTACCTTCAGAGACCCCAAGTAGAACACCCAGTCCAGCCTGCTTGGCCTTCTGATCTACAGAACTATGATATAAGTAATGGTGTTATTTTAATTCTCTAAGTTTGTGGTGATTTGTTACATAGCAATAGAAAACTAATACATAGGGTAATTTATTTAACTTCCAGAGCTGCTGAAAAACAGAGATAATAATACAAATAATCAACAATTTTTAGGAGGCACATTGCATACATATTGCATACATAATCTTGTGTGCAATATGCCTAGCACACTATTTAGCATACAGCAATAAATTAATATGCTGTTACTGTACCTTTAAACATTTTATTTTATGAAACTTCAGAGATTTTTTATTTCTTTTTTTTTTATTTTTTTGAGGTGAAGTCTTCTCTGTCACTCAGGCTGGAGTGCAGTGGCGTGATCTTGGCTCACTGCAATCTCCGCCTCCCTGGTTCAAGCGATTCTCCTGCCTCAGCCTCCTGAGTAGCTGGGATTACAGGCAGGTGCCACCACATCCGGCTAATTTTTGTATTGACACATTTTATATTTCTGAAATTCTCTGCAAAATTGTTAGGGTATTACTTCTACCTCAGTTTCCCTGTACTTTGAACAGACTTACAGGTTTGTTTAAATTAAAATTAAGTCTCATGTGAGATACTACACAAATAATCAAATGACTCCACAAAGCACACAGAAGGTTCTGTCTGGTGATCTGTATTTGCATCCTACACTGTGATCTGTATACATGCTACACTTCAGTTGAGAATAAAAAAACCAAAAACCAAATCCCCACTTCCCAAAATTTCCAACTATATATCCTTAAAAATTATGGAATCCTAGTAAGCATACAAAAGCACAAGGGCTCTAGGCTGTGGTTCATTATTTCAGTAAAGATCAACTGAAGAGTTACCTGAAACTTCTGCAAATTTAACACTTTAATATCAACTTTAGCTGAACTTTCTAAATATCAAGACCCAGACAAAAAAGATCAAATGCTGTGAATGTTCAATTTGCTTACATTGTTTAGCTGGTCCAAATAATTCATAGATATCAAAGTACAAATATGGGTTGAATGAAAAGAGCAGATCATTAATTATGCTGGAATATTAGAAATGGTATAAAAAACTAGAATGTTTGTTTTTGGAGGAAACAAACCATATAATGAAATTAAAAAGAATGAAATCTATGCTACTGCTGTCAGAATGAATAAAGTAGTTTATATGTATGATATAAATGGACAAAAATTAAGGAAAGGTGGCAAACTACAGAAGGTGAGTTGAAATATATTTTCAGATAGTAATAAATACATTATTTCACGTGTGTTCCGGAGGCAGATACAGTCGAATACCTTGTATCTGATAGCCAAGCGCTCTGAGAACAGTGGGGCAATATGATCATTATTGTTTCAGAGGGTAAAAGGAAGCTGTAGAAAATTTTAAGAAGCAGAAAGATATAGTCAAAGTAGGTAGGAGAGTGATGAGTAAGATACCAAAGGCATAATTGAGATATTTGATTTGTGTGACCTTAATTCCCATAGTAATTTGCTAGGGAACTACAAAATAAAAGTAAATCAAGAAAAATCATATCCTTGATCATATAAAGAACCATTTAATGAGAGACTATTTAGATACTTACAAAGCAGAATGTTTGATCTGTTGTACACAATGAAAAGATAGGTCATTGTATGTTTTTTCTATTTCAATGCCAAACAATTATGAGTCCTGATTCAAAAATGAGATTTTCTATTGTACTTTTATCTGAATGAAAATGCTAAAGTGGGAAATTTTATTACATTCTACCCCAAATTAATTCATTTAACAAATATCAGTTGCCCATTACAATGTTCTAACTGCTGTGCTAAGAAGTGAAGGTATAAACATGGTCAAAGTCAGCATCACGCCTCTCCTTATTGAGCTCATAGTCTAGTGAGGAAGAAAGAAAAGCTCACAGCAGCTACATGATACTGGGAGGCATTAGCGGAGGGTGCTATGCAAACATGCAAGAGAGGTGCCTGGCCAGAAGACTTTGTGGAGGAAGTGACATGGAAACTGGGACTTACAGGTAGGGAGACACTCATCAAAAGAATAGTAGGGTGCGCTTCAACCTGAGAGGGCAACATATCTATAAGTCAAAAGATAAGAAACTGTCTTGTATTTTCAAGAAAATGAAAGGCATTCCTATAGCTAGAGTCTACGATCAACATACGTCATTGGCTATAAACTGGTATGTTTTTCTTTGTTATAATGCTTTTACGTATTTAAAGTCTACAGTTCATCTGGAGACTGAATATTTTTCAAAGTAGGATTCTTGCAACTCTCAAAAGTTTAGAATACCCTTATTTTACCAAAATGGACAAGTTTGTGTTTTCTGCTTTAGCACACATACCCTCAAGATAGTGTGGGATATAAATTATAAATTCACTGAGACTTCAAAACAACAGAAATAAATCAATGCAACAACATAATACTTTGCGGTGCGGTGTTTGAAAAGTAAGGCTGTCTAGTTAGAAATGATATTGAAACTACTTGATTAAAATAAAAAGAAAACAAAGTCACACTTCACCCCAACTCCATGCTCTGTAACCATTGGTTATATACTTAGATAAGAGGAAAACTGACTTAAAATATTTATCTTCTTGTTATAAAGGAATAAAAGTGACAGATATTAAGCAGTAAAGTAAAAATTTACCTCTTGTTGCTAAAAAAATGAAGACAGTGTAATAATAAAGTAACAAGAATTAAGAACCTTCAAACTACTAGATTTTTTCACAGACAGACAAATCCTTCACTCATAACCTATTGGTTAGAAGTTGCTGCAATATTTCTTTGATTACAAACAACAATGACTATGAACTATATAGAAGGACTCAAACTGTGCCTTTTCATACTATTATTCCTTGCTAGTAATGATGATTGAAACACACACAACAAAATAAGTACAACTGTTAGCCACTGTACACAGAAAAATAGACTACTTATACTTTACCAAATGGGAAATAAAAACCTGCCATGTGTATATGTGGTAGATAGTTTGCAAAGATGGCCACAACAGTCTCTTCCATCCCATGCACCCTTCTCCAGTGTGAATTTGCCACTTCTCCCATTGAAAGGTGGAGTCTCTCTTCCCTCCCCTTAAATCTGGGCTAGCTATGATTTATGTCCTAGCTACGATTTATGTCCTATGTCTTTATAACTAGTTATGACCAACAGGATATGGCAAAAATAATGTGTGACTTCCAACTCTAGGTCCCAAGAGGCCTTGCCATTCTGTTGTTACATCTTTGACTGTTTCTGCTGTCATGTAAGAAAATCCAGCTGGACTACCTAATGAAGAAACTGCATGATGAAAGCGGCTCACACAACAGCCATCACCGAGGCACCAGACAGGTGAGTGAGGAGATATCGAATGAGCCCAAACAAGACCAGGGAGAAAATCACTCAGTCAACCAGTAAAACAATGAGAAACAATAAAGTGTTGTGATTTTAAGACACTAAATTTTATATGGTTTATCACACAACACATAACTAATTTACTACAAAATTTTAAATCACGAGATTCAGAAAACATGAGTTAGTAATCTCTTATCCAGAAATCCCTCAGTCAATAATATGTCATCTAACATTCTATAGCATTTTTGTAGTACTTTTCACAATTTCATTTTCCCCCATAGATAACCCTCTGAGTTATGTATTATTATTATTATCTGGACTTAGAGAGGAGGAAATGAAAGCTAATGGTTTACCTAAGTAATAAGTGTTCCCACAAAATATGAGATTCCTCATTAGTCTATGAGCTTCTTTACGTAGGGGTTATATTACTCATCTTTCTGTCTCTAGTATATACATTAAGACTAGCATATAGAAGGCTATTTCTACATGAAATGATGGGTGAATTGTTAGACGGATGGATGAATGGATAGATAAATGAGTCTGCTCCTTCTTCTGCCATTTTAAATATTTAAGACAACTGTGATATATACACAACTCACCCCATTGTGCAATGCATACATGAGCCCAGACCCTCCAACGTCTTTCTTCTCCATACTAGTTGTTTTAGCTATTTTTCACTTGAATTAGTACTTAGATATGTTATATTCCTGAATGTGTCTTTCTATGTAAGCTCCAATTTGCCAATGTTTCTCTCAAACACTTCAAGTATAAAGGTACTGGAACTTCGACATAATGTTGAATCTAAAACTAATTTCTGTAATCTGCACTCTGCATTTACATATATGAAAGTAATACTCTATAGATTTCAAAAGTTTATCTGAAACATATCATCTTAAATAAAGAAGTAAAATAATTTCTAGGTTGTACTAGTAAAAATATTGAATATTTCTATAAATCTGTTGTAAAAAGCAAAACATGTTGGTTAAACTTAAAATCAATAACATTCCATTAGGAAAATAGACTTAAACTCTAGTGATCTACTTGAATTAAGGGAATAAATAAACTCATTAATTATGGTTAGTTTAAGAGACTTCTTCAGTTTGTGCCATTCATTTGGTTAATTTGGACAGAAGTAAGGAACTCATATTGTTTTTATTTAATTCTATCTATAGTGCCTTTATTTAAGTCAATTTTGAAAGGCTATAACCCCCTTTAATCCCATAGTTAAAGCATAAATATTCTAATTCCTTGATGCCAGCACAGCTGGCTACAATTCTTATAGCCTGTCTTATTCTATCATGTATCATGATACTCTCATAAACTAAAGATTACTTTTAGCCTCTGTGACATCCAGTAAGCCAAACATTATTTTGCATTAATTTCCACAGAATTATGAAATTAGAAATTTTCTGAAACTATTTTTCTTAAATCCTAATCAACATTTGAAAAATTTTATTAATTTTATTGAATCTATTTTTATATCTAGTTGACGGAAGTCCTTAGTAACTTTACAGGGCTCAGAAAAAATAAGGTAAAATCTATTTCTGGGCAAAACACTTTCAATGTAAATATTTATATAATTTACAATAATAATCTATCTTAATTAGAATACTGTACATCTATGCTTACTCAAGAGTTTTCAAATTATCCACACGGTGAACATTAATCTAGATTTCTAGACCCAATATCTCAGTCAAGGCTCTGTCATGAGCCAAGTTAGATTGCAGCTTTTTTTGGTGTCCTACATTTTTGCATTTTAAATATATATTAAAAGAATAGTTAAAAAAAAAAAAATACAAAGAATAAGATGTGACAGAGACCACATCTGGTCCACAAAGACCGAAATATTTTCCATCTGGCATTTTACAGAAAAAGTTTGCCAATCCCTGTCCCCTGGGATACTTCCACTTGAATAGCCTATTATTGCCTCAAACTTAATAAATCTAAAATCAAAATTTTTCTACCCAGACAACATTCTCTTCTTTTAACTCTCTATTTCTGCTAAATTCTACATGATGCAGCCATTATCCTTGGCTCAGAAACACCCTGGGCCCACACCTCTCTCTGATCCCTGATAATCTCCTCTGTTTTCTTTTATCACCACTGCTATTTGCAACAACTTAGTCTAGGCCTTCATCACCTTGAGGCTGAAGTCCTGTAAATACAATCGCTGTCTCACTCTTAATATACTCCTAATGAACTAATTTAAGTCAACACTACTTTCACCACACAACCACTCAAATTATTTCAAGGCTTCTTGTTGCTTGCTACATTGTGTGTCTAAATTCCAGGCACTTTCAAAGTCTCACTTAATTAGGCACCTGCATTTCCAACTTTACATTTTTCATTTAGCCTCCTAATATTTGGTATTAGCTAACAGATACCAAATATTTATTACTTTTCAGTTACTATTTTAGGTTCTTAACTAATTTTTTGTTACAGCAACTTTTTAAGAAAGGGACTATTTTGTCATCATTTTAAATGACATTTAAATTATCATCATAAAATGATGATAAAATAATCCCTTTCTTATAAAGTTGTTGTAACAGATTGCCATTAAGATGACAAATCTGAGGAAAAAAGAAATTACATTATTTACCTAAAGTGACACATCTAGTAAGTGACAGCCCAGAACAAGAAACTAGGCAGCCTGTCTTGCATTCACGTTTTTAGCACGAAGTTAGGCTCCTCTTAGAATAAACCAGTGTAATCTCCTGTTTGTAAATCCCTATTGTCTAGCTTTCCTAAGGCTTCAATCATGAAAATGAAAGTTGGTCTAAATTGAGTTTCTACCATGGTAGAGAATGGAAATATGATTTGTCAATGGAGGCTAAACAGGAGGTTGCCCTTAGGAGAAAAAGGATGTGATGCAAGTTGGCATATCAGCTAGTGGGTGGGAAGGCAAAGAGAAAAAAGGAAGAGGAAGACCTATGTGAGCTAAATTCTCATCCAGTACTGACACACCAGTAGGGGATTGAGAGTGGATTTGGTGGCATGCTTAGTCCCCAACAACCCAGCCAAACTCCTGACAGATACCAACATGAAGGGTAGTCTCACTCAAGAAACGACCAAATGTGACAACAAAGGTGAAAACTAGGTAGGCAGAGAGAAAGACTGAGTTCACTCATCTAAGCTTCTTCTCTGGAAGGAATCCAGAAGTTTCTGCCAAAACCCACAGGGAGCATGGAAGATAGCTGAGGAGAGAGTCAGAGGCTTGCACTGAAGAGGCAGTGGCCAAGTGGCATAAAGGAAGCTGAACCCACCACATCAGAGACACCTGGCCCAGGGAGGTAGGCTGAGGCACAGGAGAGCTGCAGTGTCTCTCTCAAAGGGCCTTCCATCCTAAAGAAAATACTTCTGAACAAGGATGTGCGTGTATTTCCCGCCATATGTGGCACTATGTATTATCTCTATCTCAAAATCAATCATTTCATATGTTTTAATAAAATTATACAGTGATTTAATCACAACTGTAAAATGTGTTAATAAAAGATAATTGTATACATACATTTTAATGCACAAATTAAATTTCTGTAAAGGGAACTTTACTAACTGTGACAGTAGTCAAAGTTTAATGTCCCATGAAAAGGTTAAGAATGTCAGGTTGGTTTTCACAGAATATTAACCTATTGTACCAGAAAATTAAAATAAGAGAAAGAATTAAATAAATAAGCTCACTAATGGTAGATGACGACAGTGATGTTCATGCTTATTTATCTATGCATGTATGTCTAATCCATAGAGGGTTCCGACAACTTTCAAAGTATTATATACATTAGGATACCAAGAAAAAAATAAATACACCCCGCATTACCTCACATTATAAAAGAAATAAAAAACCAAAAGATGTTTTAAGAATTAATATTTGATTCAACTCTACCCTTCCTTCCTATAACTGAATAAACAGAGCCCCGGAAAGCAGAAGACAAACTTATTTCTTAATCTTGCTGGCCAGACAAGACACTCACATTTTTATTTTTTTAAAGTAAGTGGCATACAGAGTGAAAAAAAAAGGTATGAATTAAACCATAGGTGCTGGGTGGAAAAACAGTTTTTTCTCTACTCTCACACCACAACAATCAATACAGAAAACTTCTGTGACCAAGTTTGTGGGGATTTCTCCTAACCAACAAGCAAGCAATCAGTTCTGCAGTGGACACCCAACTCTCTACCTGGAAATAGCATCCTGACACTATCTACCTGGAGACAGCATCAGATCACACAGGTTGGAGGCTCAGTTCCCACAAGCCCCAGGTTATTTTGCCTGGGCTTCTAACCGATCAGTTATAAATCAGAGTTCCCACAGCCCGGTCCTTGGGTTTGATTAATTTGTTAGGCTGGCTCACATAATTCAGAGAAATACATTTACAACTTTATTATAAAGGATATTTTTAAAAATACAAATAAACAGTCAGATGAAGAGATGCATAGGGTGAGGTCTAAAGGGTCCTGAGCACAAGCACTTCCATTCCTGTGTAAATGGGATGTGCCACCCACCCGCACGTGGATGAGTTCTTCTTCACCTTTCTGCAAGCTTCCACAAGTTCAGCTGTTCAGGAGCTCCCATATTCTATCTTTCTGGGCCTCTTATGGAAAATTCATTGGATAGGAATGATTGAAGCATGGACAATCATGTAAAAATATGACTGGACAAAGAGAGTATGACCTAATATGAATAGGCTGAGTGGGGCAACCCAGCAAGGACTGTTTAGATTTTTCTTGGCCTCTCTGTGCAGCATTCCTTCTTCCTGGGTATGGTGCAGGACCCCTTCAGAAATGGGGATCTTATGACTTACAATCAGACAATTTCTTCACGGCCAGCTCCAAGACACAAAGGGGGGAAGATGAGAGTATATTTTTAGTTTCTATGGCCTTCCTTGGGGAGAAAAAGGAGAAAGTTAAAAAAAAAAGTGGGGGGAAGCAGAAGGGCCAGGTGGGGTGGGTCACGCCTGTAATCCCAGCACTTTGGGAGGCTGAGATAGATAGATAGCTTGAGACCAGCATAGGTAACATGGTGAAACTAAATCTTTACAAAAGAACACAAAAAATTAGCCAGGCAGGGTGGTGTGCACCTGTAGCTCCAGCTACTCAGGAGGTTGAGATGGGAGGATCACCTGAGTCCCGGAGGTCAAGGCTGCACTGGGCCAAGATTGTGCCACCGCCCTCCAGGCTGGCTGAGAGAGTGAGACCCTGTCTTATAAAATTGAAAATTTTAAATTAAAAGGTGGGGAGCGATCTCCTGACCTCGTGATCCGACCGCCTCGGCTTTCCAAAGTGCTGGGATTACAGGCGTGAGCCACCACGCCCGGGGACCTAGTGGTGGGCGCCTGTAGTCCCAGCTACTCGGGAGGCTGAGGCAGGAGAATGGCGTCAACCCGGGAGGCGGAGCTTGCAGTGAGCCGAGATCGTGCCACTGCACTCCAGCCTGGGCGACAGAGCGAGACTCCGTCTCAAAAAATAAATAAATAAATAAATAAATAAATAAATAATAAATAAAAAGGATGAGTCTGAGAGAGATTCTGTTTTCTGAGTCCTGCTTCTGAGCCCTAAAGAGCCCCAACATTATGACAAAAGGCTGTCTTTCACCTTTATTACTTAAAAGCTGTTTGGAAGCTGCTTCAGAAACCAAGAACAAAAGACTAAATACTTTAACAAAAGACATATACTTATTGTTTTAGTCACCTAGGAAATAACAAGGTCTATGGGAGTTATGAGACAGAAACCATGGACAGAAACCAAAATATATACATCATAATATCAACAACTCTTATATTCATCATTCCATGTCTCATCAATATGTAGGGGAAATTACCTAATCCACGTTAGCAACAAAATTATACCATAGTTAGGAATGAATATGGTAATGTATGGAAATATATAAAGAAATCAATAAAACTAGATTGAAAGGCAAAAAGAACAATTATACAATCTGAGAAGCATACTTTATTCCTAGATGGAAACTATATATTACAGAAATATCATTTTTCCAAATTATTTCATAAGAAATTTGGAAGTGAAATTGACATATAAGAATTGACATAAGAAGCGAACTTGACACTATGATCCGTAAGTTCATCCAAAAACATCTACTGGTGAAAATAATTTTTAAATAGAAAAGGAATAAAGAGGAACTAGACCTAGTATATATTAAAATAAATACTAGGTCATAAAATAAAATACACTGTCATGATCCCTTTGAAATGTTTTATGCTTTTATTAAAAAGAGGGCAGTTTGAAGTGAAAGGTCAGCCAGTGATAATCAATTTCCTTAAAATTGATATGATTCTTATTAAACGTTTAGCATTTGGGTGTCATTTCAAAAATAAAATATAGTAATGTTTCTTAAAAAGTCAACACAGGAAGATTGATAGATCTGACAAAATAAGAATTATTAATTTCTCTAAGTTAATGTATAATAAACAAAATGATAGGATAACCAGACTTTTAAAAGGTGAAATAAAAATGATAAAATGTACTGGTTCCTTAACATATTAAGGAATTATAAAGTTTGGTTAAAAAAACAACAAAACAAAAATATCTCTAAATATAAAGAACTTGAACAGATAATTTTAAGAAATGAAAATACAAATAGCACATGAACACTTTAAAGAACTCAACTTACACAGTAATCAAAAGAGGTGAAATTTTTCACCTTAAATAAAGGAATTGCAAATTTGTATTTTTATATATTTTTCTATAAAAGTAATATATTCACATGGCTAAAAAATGAAACAATATGAGAAAGTATGTATGTAAGAATTAGGCTTCAATTCCTGTCCCATTCACCCTATTTGTTGTCCCTCCACTCTGGTCTCTGTAGGCAACCATTTCTATTCATTCTTGTGCTTCCTTGAAAGTTTCTTTATAAAACGCAAGCAAATTTAGAAATATATACTTATATTCTCTCATTTCTTAAATAAAATCAAATAACAACTGGTGTCTTATGTGGGGCTGAATATCTTTTTTATGAGCTGAAATGCTATTTGCAATTCTTTTTATATAAACTGTTCATTTATGTTCTTTGCCAACAGCTCTATAGCTTGTACTTCCCCACACGCCCCAGTTTCTAAAAGTTCTTAATATATTAGGGGGAAAATGCTTGGTGATTGGAGAAGTAAATATTTTTCCCAGTTTATCATTCTTTTGAATTTCCCCAGAGGGTTTTTTTGTTGTTGGTTTTGTGTGTGTGTGTGTGTGTGTGTGTGTGTGTGTGTGTGTGTGTGTGTGTTTTGCCCACCAAAGAATTTTTTTAATGAGTCAGATTTATCTCTGTTTTTCCTATTTTAGATGCTGGAATTGAGTAATGGTTAGAAACTCTCACAGGTTATTTGGGGGTTTTTGAAATATTAAGTCACAGAAACATAAAGGTTTTACTTCCACCTGCTTAGGTCTTAGAGCTTAAGACTTCATTTGTCTCTTGTATCTGCTTTGTTGGCTAAAATCTCTGGTACAGCATCAGTAGCAGGGTTGAGAATTGTGCATCCTTATCTGATTTATACTTTTAACAGAATAAGCAGAAATGCCTCTAGTGTTTTGTTATTCATTACAAAATGGCTTTGAGACAAGATTGTGTGTTTGTGTGCTGTGTGTTTCTGTTTGTTTGTGTGCATTCTCAGGGCTCAAAAAATTATATTTCAAAATGAAGGCCTCAGAAGCAGTCTCAGAAGCAAGTTTCTCTCTGACCTCCTACTCTCTCCTCTCAGCCTCATTCTTCCCCTAGCCTCATTCTTCCCCAAGGAGAGCTGCGGAAACTAGAAGCCCTCTTCCTCAAGGCAGGTCATAGGAGCCAGAACCCCTTTTCACCAAAGCCAGGCATAAAACCTAAAAATATTACTCTCAACTTCCCCGACCTTTCCATGTAACAGTTGGCCAAAAAGAAATTAAGACTTCATTCCAGATGGGCCATATCCCATACCTGGGAGGAAGGAATGCTGCATAGATAGGGCAAGAAGAATCTGAACAGGCCTTGTTGAGATTTCCCTACCAGGTCTATTAACATTAGATCATGCCGTTTTTGCCAAGCACAGTTCTACATTGGCCATTTATGCTTCAATCATGCCTAGCTAATGAAGTCTCCATAAACATTCCAAAAAGACCAGTATGAAAATGGATAGTTTACCCTGAGTCTTTGAGTCTTCATTTTTGAAGGCTTCTGTGTCACATAAAACTATGATCAAATAAATGTGCTATGCATTTCTCTTGTTAATCTGTCTTTCGTTATAAGGGTGTGTAGGCTGTGACCTTTATAATGGGGAAGAAAGGGATCACCCAATTTCTGCCCCTATAGCATAAATAGTTTGTCAGTTCACCTTGTTTATAAAATGTTTTAACTCTTATTTTATTGAGTTGTCTTTTTAAAAAATATCCACAATGGCTGTTGAATTTTGTCAAATAAATATTCAGCATCTATAGAAATTAACATATGATTTTTAGACCAATTAATATGATAAATTATTTTAATAGAGTTCACAATCTTTCATTCCTAGAATGAACCCTACTTGATCATGATATTATTTTTTTAATGAGTTACTTTTTTAATGATTACTTTTTTAATGAGTTGCTGGATTTTTTTTCTGCCAATAATATGAAGAGTTTTGCACTGATATTCATAAATAAAATTGGGAAATAGTTTTTTTGTGAAATTTTTATCAAACTTAGATATCAGTGGCATTCTCACTTCATGGAAACAATTTGAAGTTTTTATTCTTCTTTAAGGGTTTAAATCAAACTGCAATTATCTCTTCTTAAAACAAGTCATTAGATAGAATGTAATATGCAAAGGATGCATGTTGAAATAGCTAAGTAATAACAACAAAGGAAGAAAAAGCTACATAAAAACTGAGTCAAACAGAAAAAAAATAGGTTGATGAATACAAACACAAATACATCGGTAATTACATTAAATAAAAATGAACTAAATACTCCGTAAAAGACTAAGATTGTCAGGCTGAATTCAAAACAGTAACAAAGAACACAGCTACATGCTGTTTACAAGAGATGCACATACATAACACAGAGACAAAAACAGGCTGAAAGTAAATGGATGAGAAAATATATATCATGCAATATTAAATGAAATAAGCTGAGGTAGCTATATTAATAACAAAGCAGACTTTAACGCAGGTAGCCTTATTACAAAGATGATGGTGTGCATTTCTTAACTATGAAAAGGTCAAACTACCAGGAAGGTCTCACATTCCAAAATCTATAGTCTTCTAAAATCACAGCTTTAAGGCTTATAGGCAAATTCACCGTCATTGCGGGTAATTTAAAAACATCTCTTTCAAAAGCTGATAGAATACACAGTAAAAGAAAAAGTCAACAAGGACAGAGTAGATGTGGAAAAAACAATAAACTTGACCTACCTGTTCTCTAAGGTGCATTGTACTCAATGGCAAAACTTACTTTTGTTAGGTCCTCTTGGAACATTTGCCAAAATTAACCATATGTTGGGCCTAAGGCAAGTCATGACAAAACTAAAAGGACTAAAAGTACTCAATGTTTTATTCTCTGAAAGAAATCTGGCTGTGAAATCTAAAAACGAAAAAGACAACTAGGGAATCTTCAATTGCTTGAAAATTAAGCAATACATTTTTAAATAATCCATGGAACAGTAAAGAAATCCCAATAGAAATCAGAAAAACAATAAAGGTATGACGGGTAAGACATCATCATGAGACACAGAAAAAAGTATTTTATTGAGGGGTATGATTCCAGGAAAGCAGAAAGAAGTGAAAATAAGGAGAAGAAATAATAGCAACAACAACAATAACAAAAAACAGAAATGGAGGGCGGAGGGAGCCAATATAAGGGAGTGCAACAGAGCTCGCCATTTCTAAGTGCACAGCGGTACACAAACTGTACTTCAAGAGGTCACACCCAGGCAGAGAAAAGGGGAAGAATGTGTTGCCAACTTTTGTATCCCATTGGTCAAAGATGAGCCACACAGGCTGTTAACTTGTCCGCATCTCCATACAAGGAGAAAAATCCCAGGCACTAAGTGCACAGTGCAGGCAGGAATCCGACTCTGCCTGTCAGGATGCACCTTGTGAAGTCCATTGGATCTTACGAGGAATGGCACGTGCACCATCTCTGAGCTCCTCCAGCTTCCTCACTAGATACTGCCACCAAGGGATACAACCCCTTCCTTCCAATGCATTTCTCTCCTTTTTAAAAGATGTGCTTTCTGAGATCTGCCTCTTATGGGAACAAAAACATCTTTCTCCTATTCTCCCAGGAATGACTCCCTATTTGAGTTTAGCTCCCACTCAAAACAGGGCTCTTTCCTTCTTAGAATACTTACCTGATGACAGTCATCAACACCTGCTATCACTCTGTGGCTCCTCCACACTCTCATTCTTCCTGGCAGTATTTCCTGCACAAATTCTGCTAATTTCAGTTGCTTTTGCCTATCTACAGTAACACGTTCTGGATTTTATGGTTACTCACTGTCTCTGGGTTTTGCTTGACCTAGTTTGTGGGATTCCCTTCAATGCCATTCTCATAATTTTCTCTGTGGTTTCCAAGAGAATTACATTTGGCATAAACTGCTGCCCTATTCTTCATAGAACTAGAAAGGATTGTGAAACATCAGCACTGGTGAGGATGCAGTATCACCAAGACTCACATAGAGATGATGAAGGTGTAGGGATGACAAAAGTGTAAATTTGTACATCATTTTTGGGATAAGAGCACCATTAAAATATTTATACTTTAGACATCTTAGTTCCCTTCCTAGGAAATGTACCTAATGAATTATCATAAATTTGGACAAAATTTATTCAAAAATATAATCACTGAAGTGCTATTTATAATAATCAACAATTAGAGAAAGGAATGATGGGTTGGAACCTACTTTAGAGTATTATATACACATTAAAATAATGTTTACTTATGTAATGTCACAGAGAAATGTCACAATTTCCTGGTAAACAAGCAAAACCAGAACGCAACTTTTCAATCTTTTTTATAACAACCACGTAAACAAAATAACCGTGTTAACAGTCATGTGTTTAGTTGCCTTCTAGTAATTACGGCACCTGGTGATATTTTCCCCACTTTAAACTTTTCTGTAGTTTTCACTCTTCTATAATGAGCGCATAATACCCTGATAATCAAAGAGATAATAAGAAACAAAATTAAAAGCTTTAACTAAATTGAGTTAAAAGTGGTGACTCAAGGCCACCCAAGCTTGTAAGCTGCATCCCTAGCTAAAATAAAAGAGGAGGGGCCTTGAGTGAAAGCATGCACTGGTGAGGTTCCTAGTAACTTAGTTTATACCCAAATTCTGCTTTATAAATGCATTTATTTTCAGAATGTAAAAATTATAGCAAAGAAATCATGATAAAGACTACAAGTGAGATTCGGTTGGCAGAAATGTTTCACAGTGAAAGTTTCTTTAGCATGGAGCCCATTACATTCCCCAGTTGACTATCCAAAATAAAAGCTACCTTCAAGGGATTAACTGATACAAATAGTGCCTTTCTGGGTTCTTGTTACAGTAAGAGCAGAGCTCACCAAGGAACAAATTACACTTACTTGCCTGTTTTACTGTGCAAATTGAAAGAGATACTTGAGGTCTTTAATTCCACCTAAATCCTGACATGAATAACTATCACTGGCCACCAAGAAATAAGCAATCAAAATGTACCTGTTTTTAAGTATCCCAACAAAGGAAGCTGAACCTAAAAAATGTAGGAATCAAACAGAATTCATAAAAAGAAAAACAGAAGGCACACGACACTCTTCTTATGACTTCAAAACACTTATTTACTACTCATATACTAGGGGAGATCCCTGTTTAAATCTCTTGCATATTTCAAGCATGATTTCATTTAAGCAAAATTCCCCTGCCATAGCTTATTTGCCACAGAATTGATCAGAATAAATTTTTTTAAAAAGAATGTTTATTCATTTCCATCAATATCTCAGTGACAAGACACTTCACAACCACATTGCTATTACTAAAAATGTCTCAAATATTATCACTCAATACTCAAAATTTCCCCCTGCTTCTTTTTTAACCCCTCAATGGTAGCAATACCTAATCTGTGTGTATCAATAAGACACTGGCCAGGTGCAGTGGCTCATGCCTGTAATCTCAGCACTTCGGGAGGCCGAGGTGGGCAAATCACAAGGTCAGGAGTTCGAGACCAGCCTGACCAACATGGTGAAACTCCGTCTCTACTAAAAATACAAAAATTAGCTGGGCATGGTGGCATGTGCCTGTAATCACAGCTACTCAGGAGGCTGAGGCAGCAGAATTGCTTGAACCCAAGGGGCAAAGGTTGCAGTGAGCCAAGATCACGCCATTGCATTCCAGCCTGGGCAAACAAGCAAGACTCCGTCTCCAAAAAAAAAAAAAGACACCAGGAAACTTGTTCTTGAGTTTGGGGAATTCTTAATAAAAATTCCAAAAAACAGGCCGGGGACAGTGGCTCACGCCTGTAATCCCAGCACTTTGGGAGGCCGAGGCAGGTGGATCACAAGGTCAGGAGATCGAGACCATGGTGAAACCCCGTCTCTACTAAAAATACAAAAAAAATTAGCCAGGCGCGGTGGCAGGCGCCTGTAGTCCCAGCTACTCAGGAGGCTGAGGCAGGAGAATGGCTTGAACCCGGGAGGCGGAGCTTGCAGTGAGCCGAGATCGCACCACTGCACTCCAGCCTGGGCAACACAGCAAGACTCTGTCTCAAAAAAAAAAAAAAAATTCCAAGAAACAATAATTTCTAGGAAGTTTATGAAGTTAAGGGGTAAGTTTCAGTTTATAAATAATGACTGTCAAAGAGCATGATTTCCGTGTTTTTTCTTTGAATTTATATTTATTTTATTTTCTCATACTAAAAATGATGGAAAAATAAACTGCCTTTTTCCTCTTGGAGTTCTTATAAAATGTTTCAATTTCCTTAAAGTCCTTTACTTATTCTACTGTTTATCTTGATCTAGTATACATGCTACAGAATTCTATCTGAGAGTGTTAATTAGAAATTATAACTGAAAGTGAAAATGAAATGTATATATTCACTTTACCAGTAAGAAGCCAGATGCTTGGATTTATTTCTGTGGCTTTAAAGTCACACGCCCCATAATGAAGTTTCAGTCAATGACATACTGCATATACAATGAGGTGGTCCCATAAGATTATAGTGGAGCTGAAAATTCCTAGCAGCTGGTGACAAAGATGTCTGTATTAGTCCATTCTCGCACTGCTATAAAAAACTACCTGAGACTGGGTAATTTATAAAGAAAAAAATGTTTAATTGACTCACAGTTCTGCAGGTTATACAGGAAGCATGACTGGGGAGGCCTCAGGAAACAAAATCATGGCAGAAGATGAAGTGGAAGCAGGCATGTGTTACATGGCCAGAGCAGGAGGAAAAGAGAGCAGGGGGAGGTGCTACACACTTTTAAACAACCAAATCTCGTGAGAACTCACTATCATGAGAACAGCAAGGGGGAAGTTTGCCCCATGATCTGATTACCTCCCACCAGGCCCCCTCCTCCAACAATGGAGACACAAATCCAAACCACATCGACGTCATAATGTCGTAACACAGTGCATTGTTCAATTTATGGTGATGCTGGTGGAAACACACTTACTGTGCTGCCAGTCATATAAAAGTATAACATAAAATTATATGCAGTACATAATACTTGATTATAACTATGTTGCTGGTTTATGTATTTATTATACTATACTTTTTATCATTATTGTATGGTGTACTCCTTTTACTTATATTTTCTTAAAAGTTAACTGTAAAACAGCCTCAGGTAGTACCTTTCAGAGATATTCCAGAAGAGGGCATTGACATCATAGGAGATAACAGCTCCATGTGTGTTACTGCCCCTGGAGACCTTCCAGTGAGATAGGACGTGGAGGAGAAAGACAGTGATGTTGATGATCCTGACTCTGTGTAGACCTAGGCTAATGTGTGAGTTTATGTCTTAGTTTTTAATAAAAAAATTTAAAAAGTAAAAATTAAAAATTTTTAAAAACAGAAAAAAAGCTTACAGAATAAGGATGTAAAGAGAAACATTTTTGTACAGCTGTATAATATGTTTGTGCTTTAAGTTGTGTTATTACAAAAGTCAAAAAGTTAAAGAAAATGTTTGTTTCTTAACTTTAAAAAATTATAATAATCTAAAGTTAATTTATTATTAAAAGAAGAAAAATATTTTAATAAATTTTGTAGGACCTAAGTGTACAGTGTTTATACAGTTTACAGTAGTGTGAAGTAATGTCCTAGGCTTTCACATTCCCCCACCACTCACTCATTGAATCAACCAGAGCAGCTTCCAGTATTGTAAAATTTATCCATCTTAAGGGGCCTATGCAGGATATAATTTTTTATCTTTTATATTATATTTTTACTGTATCTTTTCTGTGTTTAGATACACAAATACTTATCATTGTGTTACAATTGCCTACAGTATTCAGTACAGTAACATGCTGTACAGGTTTGTAGCTTAGAACCAACTGGCTATACCATATAGACTAGGCATGTATAGGCTATACCATCTCAGTTTGTGTCAGTGCAGCCTAGGATGTTCCCACAACAGAATTGTGTAACAATGCATTTCTTAGAACATATCTCCATCATCAAGTTATACCTTACTATATTTTGTTTAGTTATCGAGACTGAACTTGACCTTACATTTTTCTAAAATACTCCTTAAAAGACTCAGTCATTTAAAAAATCTAATCTACATTATCTTCTAATATCCTTACATAAACTCATTCAAAAATTAGATAGTTTGATTACACTTATTATTTAATTTTAAGCACGCAAGTTCTTTCAAAATTAACCCAGTAATATACAGAAAGTGATATGCACAATTCTGTCATTTTATATGCCTAGAATTGACAAACTATCAAACTATGACCCAGAGGCCAACCCTCATCAGCCGCCTGTTTTTGTAAATACTTCTGGTGGGACATAGCCATACACCTACACGATTATTGCTTCTTTCAGGTAATAGGGCAGAGTTGACTCATTGTGACAGTGAGCATTTGACTCTCAAAGCCTATAATATTTACTAAGTGGCTCTTTTCAGAAAAAAAATTATGTGCAATATTCTGTGCCTTCAAATATATGCTTTAAGCATGCAATAACAAAGGGTATATTTTTTAAACCAAGATGCTCATTTTAAAAGCTGTGAGTATATATAACTTCACCTGTTTTGCCACATTTTCCTTATTATTAGTTATGCTATTATATAAAAGTATCTGTATTGCATGATAAAACTTTTAAAACTTTACTTACACGATCTTGTATGGGCTGGCTATCTGCTAACATTGATTTCTGTGCTCCATGTGACGTCAGCAGCATGGAACATGATGGAACATTGCTCCAAAGAGCCACATGGCCATATATTGGAATGGATTCTGTAAGAGTCAAAGGTACGGATAAGAGGATTAATAATTATGTATTGAGTAATCCTCCCTTCCTCAGATTTATGGTTACCTACATACCTGATCATGCTATAAAAAAACAGGAAGACTCATATGGAGAAAACTGCATAAGTCAAGACTGAACTTCTTGGGGAAATCTTTTCTACAATCCTCAGAGTTCCCCATAATTTAACTCATGTCCTTGCTGACTAAAGCTACATCATTTTGGAGAAAAAAATCATATATCATTTTTTAAAACCTATAATGCTTCATATAGCTCTCTAGTAAATTGTCTTTCTCTTTATCACAAAATATCACAAAGCACACATGATGTCAAGTGTATTTGTGTGTTTGATATTAAGTTATTGACCAAGTCTGAAGAAGGTGTTGAAAATAAGTTGTAAACGTTTATTCTAAAAGTGAAGTGGCAAAGTCTCCACTCAAATACGAAGTAGTAAAACACAACATCATAATATAGTATAATATTTTAAGGTATATGTGATTCGGGGGTATAAATATGGCAACAGATTATTTAATTAGAAAACCTAAAAACAGTGTAACTTCTATGTTTTTTTATAAGGGTAATCCAACTTATTATGCCATTTAAAAAAGTAAAGTAGTATAACTTTTATTTTATAAAATAAATTAAGAAACATCTTAATCAAATTTCAGTATGATCCAAGAATCCGCATGAAGCTTTGTGTTGAAGAAAAAGATTAAGGTTTTTTAGAAAAACTTACATTCAGTTTAAAAGTTGATCTTACACCCATACAGCCACCAATCTTAGAATTGTTTTTTTTTTTCTTTTTGCTTTTTTCTCTGCATCATGTTTGTATAATACCGCCTTAAATTTGATTTCACTTCCCATTTCCTTATCTTAAAGAACATTTTCTTTTTCTTGGATATGTTTTCCATCCTCTTTATGAACCTTCATTAACTCTACCAGGCACACTTAAGAGAGGCCCATTCCCTGAGCCCTTTCCCCACTCCTACCAGGAAACAAGCTTCCATCAATAACAACCACAATTGATGAATCCTGCAGGAGCATGAGAATGAAATTCACAAGTACCATAAATGACATAGGATGGGCATTTAGACCCATCTGATTCCCAAATGGAAGGTCCCTGAGAAATTGCTATAGCTGTTTGTCTATACCTGTTTGCTTCCTGAGCTTCTAAAAGGAGAATAAATAAGAGCTCCTAAGAATGTGCTTTAAAGCCAGTTATGCTCCTCTCTCTTTTACACCCTATGCCAGTATATTTCTTCAATTTTATCAATATGGGCCAATGTTCCTAGGAAGATAGCAAGCTAGCTTCTCCAGCAAACACCCAACAAGAGGTAACCAAAATATTTTAAAAATATATTTTTATATTTTAATAAAAAGCTCTAATTCAGCTCTTATGCACCTTCGCCCCAAGAGTCTGCCCCAAGTTAAGTAACACATACTTGAAAGCATTATAACAATGCACTTTTTTTCCATAACTGCACAGCAGAAATATTAAAAAGTTAGAGCTTATCTATCCACATCATAGGCCTCTATATGGCCAAGTATGTCTTGGGGAAAACTTATGTCTGACCTTGGAATTCAATTAGCACATACTGAAATGGAAATAGATGCAAAGAATGTTATAAACTCTAAAGAACTTTCAGCTCAGCATCCATATTTCATACAGCAAGAAACTGAGTCCCTGGAGACCAAGTGACTTGCTCTGACCAGCAAGACACTCTAGGAACTGATAAGCATTTCCTTTAAAAATTTGAAGATTCTATACAGAGTTGTAGTGAACAATGAAATTCATTGTTCCAGCTGACAGCTCATAGCTGAGCCCCTCCTGATAAATGCTTTCAATGGAAGAAAGCTCTCCCTTCCAGGAATCTGGCCTGCTTCCCTTCCAGGAATCTGGCCTGCTTCCCTTCCAGAGCTGTAACATCCCCAAAGGGCCATCCTGCCTCTAGAGGGCTCCCTGTTGGATCCAGTGAGGCCACTGTTCCAACTGCATCACAGTCCAACTTCTCCCTCTGCCCACCCTGTTTTGATCTGCCCTTACTTCCATCAGGTGTTGTTCCTTAGAACATGCCCCAGTAAGCCTCTCGCATGTATATTTCCATCTCAGTCTGCTTCCCAAGAACCTGACCTAAAACAATAGTGTATTCCATTCCTTGAGAAAATGTGAGGTCAGGAAACACTTGGATTACATCGAAGCAGATTATTGCAAGATTTCTTTTAATTTGACAGTATGCACTATAAACATCAACAAATACCCAGAGTTAATCAAAGTTATTTAACTATAGAACCCTTTTGGATATTGAACATCTCATGAGACTTGTGTTCTATGGAATATGGGCTGGGAAACAGGAATGCAGTCACTCTAGCTCACTTTAGAATATCAGTGTTGAAATTACTCATGTGAATATTTCCTGTAATAGCAAAAGAATGGAAAAAACCTAAATGTCCATCAGTAGGGTACTGCTTAAGTAAATTATAATACATGCATGCAATGTAATATTATACATCCATAGAAAAGAATGGGAAGTTTTTTTTAATATTAGCATGAACATATATCCAAGGTGTATTTTTAAAGTAAAAAGAAAAAGGTAACTCGACAGTGTGTATTTGTTTTCAGAAAGGGGGATGGTTAAATATATACGTGCATTTTTGTGTGTCTGCACAAAACATTTGCAAGGACATACACTAGAAAATGATAGCACTGGTTGCATCTATAGAAGGGAATTGGAAAGCGCTTTGAAACTTTTGAAGTTTAAACCATGGTAATGTATTATCCACTCATAAAATTAAAATCAAAATACCACAAAATATTATGTAGCACAGATTTAAATATTTTGTCTAATCATATATGAAGAAAATTTGGGAAAAAACTATGACATTCTCCATAAAGCTGCTTAGAAGATGAACTCCTGGAAGACAAAATTCATTTAGAATGCCCAAAGCATGGCACAGTTTCTGAACCAAAGGAGGCTGTAAATAATTTTTTTAATTGAATTATCCTTCATCATAAAAATCAGCCAATTGTTACTAAACAATTTTCCAGTGGTGCCTCTTTAGATAATTGTTTAACTATTAAAATGTATCCTGTAATTTATAAGAGCCATTTTTTGACACCAGTCTCTATGTGATCACTCAGTGCTGCCACAGAAGACATACCTTGTCTGTTTGAGCACAAAATACCAGATGAGAATTTGTAATGATGCACATTTCTTATTACCTGCTGATAATAACGTATTCGGTGAAAATGACACCTAATGATATAGTACATCTCCCACTCACAAATAACTGGATTCAAATATTGCTACTGCTTCTCACCAATCCCTTATAGAAGCAAAGAGATGCGATTACCATAATCCTCAGGAATAACACTTAAAATTAAATTTAAAAATCTAGGAACAGCTAATCTTTTACTAAGCACAAATGCACATTAGACCACAAATCCTCCAGTACTCTTTCTCCAGACAGTTTCTCTAGGCTTGGCTGCCATTCTTCTAATTGTTTATTATTCTTGCTGATTAGACCTCTGGCATCTCTTGTTCCAAATACTTAGCTTCACATGAAATGTATCACGTGATTTAGCCTGAGCATTGGATCTCTGTAGCAGTCCCAAACGTCTTGTTTCTAAAACATTGCTTTCTGGCCTACTTTCTGACAAGTAAACTAACCTTCTCAAGTCTATATAAAAAAGCAATAGTGCTTATAAAACTGCTAAGGGGGAGGTCGTCTCTATTAATAAAGTTTATTTGGCAACTAGCAGTGTTTGGACTCCTGAGCTCTAATGTGGTCAATGTGGTTGCTTTTTTCTCCCTAGATTGGACAGCAGAACTTATCTTTTATAGCACTGCTGGTTCTTCCTTCTCCACTTGGGCTGTACAAATTATCTGAGACAGAGCTAACAGAGATCCTGTCCTCACAATAGGAGAATAGTCCGTTTTAGTACTTTATCTCCTCTTTCACTGGCCTCATTAACTATTCTTATCTAAATGGTTGTTATCAAAACTATTATTATAAATAGATTGCCATTCTTGTCTTCTTTATAATTTTTGCTTTTCATTTTTTCTGCTTTATATTACTTCTCCTATGCCTTTCAGCTTTTGTCTAAGGAAAATGGTTTTTGTAGACATCAAACACTTGGCATGCCTCATCCCTTCTGTGGGATTACAGATTTGTCACAATCTTTAAGATTTTGACCCTTTCTGCTGGGTGTACTTGCTACAGGTTTCCCAAGATGGCTGCATTTTTTGTAGTCTAAGATGTCGGATTTCTTTGGAGGGTTTTATTGGCAGTGGCAGAGTGAAAGATGAAGGGGTACAGAAGGTAGAAGTGAGTAACTTTTTTCTTGCTCCAGAGCAATCCCTGAGTAACTAAGCCTGCATTATTAACTTACATGACCAAATTATTCATAAAATTAATTTTTGATAAATACGGAGTGAGAACAAAGAAAATTGAAAAATCTTACCGAATATATATGTATATCATCCGGGTTGGAATACAATATAGAAAATTATCTCTATTCAGTTATAAAACATACTTCTAGGAAACTAACATTAAATGTGGTCCATGTGGTGGGACCACAACATTCATTTAAAAAAATAAAATGTAAGGCATACAAAGGCAGTTTTGTTACATGGCTATACTGCATAGAGGTAAAGTCTGGGCTATTAGTGTAACCATCACCAGAATAATGTACATTGTACAATTAAGTAATCTCTCATCCCTCAACCTCTTTCCATCCTCCAAACCTTTTGGATTCTCCAATGACTATTATTCCACATTCTATGTCCATGTGTACACATCACTTAGCCCCCACTTCTAAGTGACAATATACCACATTTGACTTTCTGTTTTGATTTGTTTCACTTGAGATAATGGCCTCCAATTCCGTCATGTTGCTGCAAAAGACGTGATTTTAATATTTTTATGGCTGAATAGTATTTCATTGTGTATGTGTATATATATGTGTTTATATATATGTATATATATAGATGGTGTGTGTGTATATATATATATGGTGTGTATATATACACACACGCACACTGTGGAATCTCTTTGGATGTGTTGTGTAAATAATGGTGGAAGTGTTCATCTATTCTTTTATTATACTCCATACAGACTACCATCATTCCCATCTATTCATCATTAACATATTACAATTTCCAAAACTATAGTTCATGTAAAATTGAGATTGAGAACTTCTTGATGAAATGTGGAGCTTTCCTAATCTTACCAGAACCATGGAATGGACTGGGGTCTAGAGACTTGGACCCTAGGCTTGATTCTGCCTTTAAACAGCTATGTGACACTAGCAAGGTACTTTATGTCTTTAAGTGTCAGTTACCTTGTCTTTAAAATACGGAGATTAGACTGGAGGTGTCTAAAGTCCCTTCCAGTGCCTAAGTAACATCTATAAAGATGACAGGTTGAAAATCTCAGCATATGATAGAATCCATCCATGTTATGTTGGTTTCCTGAACCACCAGATTCAACACCAAAGGGATTTTCTCTGGTCTAATTATCTTAATTTTCAAGAAGAGAATAATAAGTGCAGAGAAATTAAATGTATTGTTCAATTTTACATAAAGAGGTTAAATTGAAATTTAGCAATGTGTTTTGGATCCCTCCTTTAATTCTTCACCAGAAGTTCATTCAGTTACCATAGCACAAAGCATATGCTATGCATTGTGCTGCTTCTCCATATTAACTTCAATTTCAAAAGGGCTCTGCTTCATCCATAAAATCCATGATAACAGTATGTTTGGGGCTTGCACCTCCATATGTATTGACTATATCTAAAGCGCAGTTACTAGTAGACATTGAGGGATTTTTTCATCTCACAGCTTAGATCTAACTATCCTACACCATCATTGGTACCACCCAAATTCTACTATATTGTAATTTGCTCCATTCCATTATGTCCAAATAGCTACATTCTGGGTCAGAACAATAAATTAAGCATCCTAGTTACAATTTTCTGTGACAACTCCATTTCATCCTGGCTCACTGTAGTTCAATTATCACCTCTACCTTGGAGGAGTAGGAAGATGGGAGTTTCACCATCTCCTTGCACCAATGGCTAATCCACCACTTTTGCTTTTATACTGCTTGGCACATAGGTAAACACTCAATACAAATGAATGGTGATTATTATTTTTGTCTTCATCACTTTACTGAATAGTTGTGCCAACACTGGCATCCTCATCGTCTCCCAAAATGTAAAACAAAAAATGTTTTTCTGAGCCCTGTATTAAATTTGTTGTTTACTATAGATTTTTCATAGATATACTTTAGTCAGTTTTGGAAAATCCAATCTATTTTTATTCTTCTCAGAACTTGACACTAACTTTTCCTATATCCTTAAGATTATTTTGATAGATTTTCTGATGTTGAGCCATCCAGACAATCCTCAAATAAACCATATTTAATTGCAGCAAGCGTGCTCCTACTGGGGAAGGTTGTGTTGCTGGTTTGTTTTACTGTTGTGTTATGTTAGCTAATGCTTTATTTACTATTGAAAAATGTTATTGATTTTTAAAAATCTTTGGTCTGGCAACTTTTCTGAGCTCTCCCATTTGTTTTAGTAGCTTGTTAATTTGTATGGCTTTCATCTATAAATAATGAAAATTTCACCTCCTCTCTTTTAATCTTTATAATTCTTATTAATTGCACCAGCAAGGTAGCACCCTCTATAGGAAGTGTGCATGCTTGAGAGAGAAACCTGAGTTCAAGCTCCAGTTCCACCACTTCCTACTGGTAGTCCCTGCACCAGTCACCACACTTCCTGGTGCTTCAGTTTACTTATCTGAAAAGTGGGAAGGAAAGTATCTCATGAGTTTGAGAATGCTACATATGTTAACGTACTTGGGACTATGGGTGAAAATAAATGTTAACTATTGAAATATTTATGGAATGAAGTTAAGAATGAAAGACACCTAACCCAACTTTGGACATTTAGGACAATATTCCCAGAGAAGGCATTATCAGACTGAGATTTCTGGACCAGGCGAGTCAGGAGAAGGGGGCACGGAAGAGATACTGGATGAAGTAGTGCATTCCAATGAGAGAAACATGTCAAAATATTTGGCTATGAAAGGAAGTGTGTTGTGTTTAGGGGCAGAGAGTAGTTCAGTATCCTGGACACTCAGCTGTTTACATGCAAACAATAATTGTTCCACGAGACAATAAGTTCCTAAAGAGAATCAAATGTGCTGCGTCTTTTTATCCTTCACAGCACTTGGCAGGGAGCCATGTACAGAGAAAGTGATCAATAAATATCCACTATTGTTTAGAACTTTTGGTGTGCTGTTAGCCTCTTTGGTTTAAACACCTTAGCCTGGAAGCCATGCTTTATAAGTTGCAGCGGCTCAGAGTAATATGGTTTGACTTAAGAAAGGCCAAGGTTTAGAAGATGAATGCCTCAATATCAAGTCAAATAAGCCATCAGCATAATCACATCTTTCCAGTTTTAGAGGTTCTTTACAAGGATCTTGCTTTTCAGGAGTAGAATCTAAAGATACCAAATACAGATTTTAATCTGATATTTGAGGTAACTGCAAATTTTTTTAACAGCATAACAAGAGAAGAAACCATATTTCTTCTCTTAAACCCTCAGGAGAAGAGACACTAAATAAATTAAACTTCCGCAATACTATTATTTTCACACAATTTCTCTCATCTTTTTTGTCCTACTGAAATAACTTCTCAAAATACTCGGCAAATAAAATAAAGAAAATGAAAGGATTTCTGTTTGAAGGAATTTAGAGAATAAGATGTGCCTTGTTTTAATTTCCTTTCATTTACTGAAGCATTTACTTTGCAAATTTATAAAATTATCCCCTCTATAATAAAACTGGCACAAAATATTAAACAAACGTATTTGTTTTCAGTTCTCTAAAACTCATACTCCTAATAAGGAAGTTAAAGATTCTATTTGTAACCTGGCCCAAAGTACATCCCCAGAAAATTCTATTTCCCTTCCTGACCCTGATAATAGGAAATATGCTGTGAATAGTTTCCCAAAAGCCATGTGATCACCAGTAATATACTATGAGTCAAATATGGTCAAACTCCTTTTCTCAGAACCTGATCTAACTTGACCCCTCAGGAATATATGTTGGATCATTGACAACAAGAATAACATTATTATAGCTCTACTATGTGCCAGACAAGGTGTTAGACACATAAGAATGCAGTGTTTCTCAAACTTCAGCCCTTCCAACTCCACCATCACAATTCTTCTCATCTATGACCTTTATCATTTACCTGCCGGAGAGGCAATATGAACACAGATAAATACAGTGAAACACTGCAGATACTATGAGAGAAGTATCTATCAGGTGGAGAACACACAAAGGAAAGGTGTCAGGCAAGACAGGAGGTAAAGATAGTGTCTCGCCAGGAAAACGTCACAGAGAAAGTGAGTCTTTAAAGATGATCCCTATGTAAGAATAAGCATATGAGGGATTAAAATCCCTCTAGAGAGCAGCAGACAGAGCAAGTATGACAGGAAGGCAAGGTCTAGGAGGTGTAAAAAGCCTAGCCTTCTCTTTTGAAGACCTGGGAGCTGGTCAATTCCTCCTCGAAGGCCTTCCCGAATATCTCCTCTTTCAGGGTGCTTAGCTCAGTGACAGTCCCTCTAGTTGTCTTATGTGACCCTAAGCCATCTATATATACATTTGCCTCCTGGGGAAATATCCTGACCATTTGTTTTAACCAATAATTCTTTACTTAATTCACAAACCCAAATCTTGTACAAATAGCTTATCCAATCTTCAATCCAGTACTTCTAATCACTTACAGGACATTTTAAGTAGTTTATTCCACTTTTAACTCAATCGTGATATTTCCAAAATCAAGTTCATCCATTCCCCTACCTTGCCCCATGTGTTAGCTGTAATATATATCTGTTCCTAACATGTTTATCTTTCCTGACTCTCATGGTTAAAATCTTCGGCATTCTCTGACTCTTCGCTGTGCTCTGCTCCTCCCACTCAATCAAGACCAGTCAAGTATTTAGGAAAGTCCCCAGCCCATATTAGGCACTCAAAATTATTAACTGCTGAAGTGCCAAAATCAATTCAATGAATAAATAGAACACTGGTATATCAAATCTTCCTTGAAATTAGCTTGTCTTTCTATTCTCCATTCTATTTGCAGTACCCTACTACTTAGCATTCATTAATCCATTCATTCCCTCATTCATTTTTGTTTTAAATATTGCTTTAAATACTCAAGCAAATATTTGTTGAGAGACTACCATATGCCTAGCACTAATAGGTGATGGGAATATAGCAATGAATAAAATAACAAAACTGCATGTTCTCCTGTGGTTCATATTCTAATGAAGGGAGATGTTAATAATCAAATAATTCAATAAAACATACAAGTCCATAGTCCCTTATATGAAAATATTAAATCAAAAAAGCTCCAAAAACTGAAAGTTTCTCCTTAATTCACTGATTAACAAAACACAAGCTGAACTAACATTAGACTATGTGTAAGCTGTATTTATTCCCTTTTGAGGAAGTACCTGAATAAGCTTGGTCGTTACATGATATATAGTAAACACACTATATTACTTTCCAAAATCTGAAAAATAATCTGAATTCCCAAACAGGGTTGGGACAGGGAGTGCTGGTGAGGCTGCAATTTGAAGTACATCAGTCAAGGATTACTTCATTGCAACAGGGATATTTGAGACAAACCCCAAAGCAGGTATGGGGAAGGGGGTGATATCTGAGAGAAAAGCATTCTAGGAAGAAGGAACAGCAAGGTAAAAGACTCTTAGACAAGAACATAGTAGTATGGTTGGTGAATAGAAAAGGTGCCAGTGTAACTGACTCAGTGAGCTAAGGGAAGAGTAGCAGATGGCAGACATCAGGGGTACAAATCACTTAAGAGACTTAATATCCACTGTAACAGAATTTGGCTTTTATTAGAGTGAGATGGGAGAACCATGTGGGGTTTGGAATAGAGGAGTAGCATAACCTGATTAATATTTTAACCGGATTACCCTTTGTGGTGGATAATCTCCAAAGACAGCTGCCATCAGTCAGTGCCTTCCCCCCATGAACATGCATGACACTCTACTAATCAAAAGGTGGAATCTATGTCGTCTCCCCTTCAATCTGGGTGGCCTTCTGACTTGCTTTTCCCAAAAGAATAAAACAAATGTTAAAGTCTGGAAATTCCATATCCAAGCCTTAAGTGATTACAGCTCCAACTTCCTCTCTTATAGAAGTTGGCCAAGTTGTGAAGAGTCTGACAACCCTGAAACTACCGTGCTGTGAGAAAGTCCAGTTTAGCCATGTGGAAAGACTAAGTGGAGGAGAACCAAGGAGCCCAGACAACAGCCAGAACTGAGGCTCTATATGTGTGACTTAATGTCTGAGCCATCTCAGACATCCCTTGACCATTGAGTCATACCATCTGAGGCCACATACATTGCAGTGTAGAGACAAGTCATTCTCTTTGTGTTTTGTCCTAATTCTTAGGCTTGAGAAAATAAAATGGTTCTTATTTTATACCACTAAGTGTTGGGGTAGTCTATTATATGGAAATTAGTAATTGACATTGAAACTACTATGAGACTGAGTGGTGGGAAGACACCTGGAGAGAGGCAAGGACCCTGTTAGTGAAGGCTAGAAATGCAGTGACGAAATAGTTCAACCTAAGACTTGCTAGATTGGAAAATAACACCTATTCTCATTCTTGCCTTTCCAGGCAGCAAAAGATTCTCCAAGAAATAAGTAGTTTCAGGGCAAAGATCAAATCCAGGCTCTACTATTACATGTGCTCTCAGGTTGGAGATCAAATCAGGTGTGTGGCATGGAGGCCCTTCATTAAGAACTCTGAAAGATTTAAAATGATGTCTCACAGACCTTGCCAACTAGTCAAAAGGCTTCTAAAAATGGTAAGGGTTTCTATGGCACCTTGACTTCCCAAAAAATTAAAGTGGAACTTGTCTCAAGGATTTTCTGGTTATGTCTTTTATCTAACGGAGTGAATGAATCTCAATAAAATTCATAGGAAGCCCCCCGAATTCTAAATATCATTGAACTTAAAAACAAAAAGCAGTTAAACAAAAGTGAGTATATAAAAGGTCTCTAAATTATTAACCCTCTAACATCAGAAAGCAGGCTACGCCACTGCAAAGAATAGCAAAAATTATTTCTCATAGAAAAGAAAGAAAGAATGAGAAAAGGAGCCCAAAGTGCAAAAGATGAAGTTAAGAGCCACAGAGGATCACTCCTAGGGAACAAATTTAAACCTTAATCCGGAACATGTATTGCTTCCAGAGCAAGAACTTGGGATATATGCCGGCTCTATTTAGACTTGCTATGGACTAGCAACTGTTATATGCCTTCTATTGTCTTGTTTTGAAATGGTATTTTTTTAAAGCAATTGTCCTATTTTTGTTTTACCATTGTATGTTGGGACAAGGGGAAGGTCACAGATAACCTATCTTTTTAGCTACAGGTTGCTGCACTCAAGAAACTACATCAGAGAAATATCATCCTCATCTGGAGATCCAGTTTAGAGACTTAAAGTCTGAGTTTGATGCCATAACGAGATAAGCTATGGGGGATCCTGAAAGTCAATAATTAGTTAAATGATACAACTACTTGAGGCCAACATTATGTAAAGTCCAAGTTAGTCATGTATAGGGGTCACATACGGAGAGATGGATGCTTGGCCAGCCATGAGCTTTCCAGCTATCCAAGCTGATGTTCTAGACATGTGAAGGAAGATGCTTTCTTGAATGTCTCATCTCCAGCAGCCTAGGAGGAGTCAAGCAGCCGAAAGTAGCCCAGATTACAAGATCACGATAAATAACAAATTATTGTTATTCAAGTCACTAAGTTCTGGGGGTGTTGTTTTGTTTTGTTCTTGTTTTATGGCTGTTGATCCTTTAGATGCAGGGACAGGTAACCAAAACACTGTGGCTGCTATGTTGAGAACAGGCTGGAGTGGAGATAAGGGGACAAGCAGCAGGCACTTTTGCAATAATACTGTGAGACATGATAGCAACTTGAACCCAGGTGACAGCACTGAAAAAAAGGGTGAGAAGAGATAGGATGTAGGGTATATTTTGAAGGCCTAGCTAAATAATTTGGTGGCAGATTCAACGTGGAATATGACATAAAGAGACGTTAAGGACAAACCCAAGATAGATTGATTGATTATCTATGGAACTAAGAGAATGAAATTGACATCAGGTAAGATGAGGAAGAAGGTGGAGCAAGCAGATATGGCAGTAAAGGCAGGAATCCAGTGAGTATTAGACATCCAATCAGAGATGGTTGAATAACAGCTAAATAGACTGCTAAATGAGTCTGGAGTTCAGGGGAGAGGTCATGGCTAGATTCACCCGTACATTTGTGAATCATCAATGTAAGAAGGGATTAAAAACCATGACACTAGATGAGATCACCAAGACAGAGAGTACAGATAGAGAACAGGCCTAAGGACTGAGCCCTCAGACAGCTATATTTACATGTTAGGGAAATTAGGAACTAGACAGAGACTGAAATTGTTGCTGGTAAGGTAAAAGGAGACTGAAATTGTTGCTGGTATGGTAAAAGGAAAATAAGGAGAAGGGGAGTGGCTTGGAAGCCACATGAAGAACTCTCAGGTCCTGCTGAAAGGGTACATAGGAAGGGACCCAATAACTAACTACTGGATTTAATAAAAGGGATGTTCGTGGTACCTTTGACAAGTGTATTTCTAGTGGAGCAGTGGAGATGACAGCCTGGCTGGTTCAGGAGAGAAAGGAGAGAGGAAAACTGGAAACAGAGAATATAGTTAAGGTTGTAAGTTTTCCTGTAAAATGTGGGCAGAAAAAAGCAGATATAGAAGTGAGCAGAAACATGAGGAGAAAAACATGAGTCTTTTTTAAAAATGGCAGAAGTTATAGCATGGCTACATGGTATTGGGAAAGACCCATAAGAGACAGAGAAAAAAATGGTGATGGAGAGAAAGAATGAATTACTAGAGTTATGTCCTTGAGCAGATAATGAGAATGAAACTACACTCCTGAATTAACTGTGATGAATTTCTAGCTGGTTTCCTTATCTCTAATTGTCTTTTCTTCAATAAATTCTACCTCAAACTAATTTCCCTAAAATACTATTTTTATTACAGTATTCCAACATTGTTTTGCTATATTACTTATGTTTCCTACCTCTTTTACAGTTGTTTGCTTAGCTGTCAAACACTTGAAAGATGATTGACTCATGCTGAAGTCAATACAAATAGACTCTGACCAACCCTCTGCTAAGCACATGGAGCACATTGCCCTTACTCAAAATGTAAGTGTAGAGTCAGACACATAAAAATGAGTTTACAGACATTAAAGCTGTTATAAGGGAATGTAGACAGCACCAAATGAATTCATGTAAGGGAGAAAATAATTCTGCCTGGGCAGTAGGTGGGGACAGAAAAAGTTATAGAGGGTTAACATTTTGAGCAGGACCCATGAAGGCTGACAAAGAATGGCAAGTGTGTCTGGACACTGAGGCAAGGTGACTGCAGCTGAGGCTAGAAGAGGAGACTGCACTGCAGAGGCTATCCAAGCCCTACTAGAGCTTATTTCGCACTAGTCCCCAGTGGGAAACCTCTACAGAAGCTAGCCCAGGCTCTTTACTGCTCCCCATCCTACTCCCTGTACTTTGCTTTAAGCACAGTAACCCATGGTAATCCAGAAGCCAAAGGGAGGGTGTGGGAAAGAAGGCTGAACTATATATCCCAACTGAACAACACGCACCTCTGGCATACCCTACAACTTTCCCAGGGCTTTGTGGACATAGACGGTTCTAAAGGAACCAATTTCAAGATCCGTTACTTCCATAGGAGCCCCTTTTACCAGAGATATGCCTGATGTGTGCCCAAAGCAGGCAGATTTCTGGCAAGTTCTCCTTCCTCACTTCCTCTTTCATAATTACCCTTCTCCCACTTTAGGAAAAAAATGCCTATCTCTCCCTATCCAGAATCTTAACATGTGCCTTGCCTCACCAGGGTGCCAAATAAAGGGGCAATTTGAAAAGTTGATATAAGAGACATCTTTAATCAAAGCATTGACATATCTAGTTGTATGATATATATTTCCAATATTGTTTTAGTTTTTTTTTCAAGAGCACGTTATTATTTATTATTATTATTATTATTCTCCAATACAGGTTTTGTTTTCAAAACTCCACAAAACGTAGCGATATTCACACTTTTCAACAAAAATAATTTACATTCAAAGCACTGATGCAAGAAATTTCCTTAGCACTTAGCACCTTTCTAAGTTTCTAGAAGCTCGAAAACCACATTGCGGCTTTTTTTTTTTTAAATTATACTTTAAGTTCTAGGGTACATGTGCACAACGTGCAGGTTTGTTACATATGTATACATGCGCCATGTTGGTGTGCTGCACCCATTAACTCGTCATTTACATTAGGTATATCTCCTAATGCTATCCCTCCCCCCTCCCCCCACCCCATGACAGGCCCCGGTGTGTGATGTTCCCCTTCCTGTGTCCAGGTGTTCTCATTGTTCAATTCCCACCTATGAGTGAGAACATGCGGTGTTTGGTTTTTTGTCCTTGCAATAGTTTGCTGAGAATGATGGTTTCCAGCTTCATCCACGTCCCTACAAAGGACATGAACTCATCCTTTTTTATGGCTGCATAGTATTCTATGGTGTATATGTGCCACATTTTCTTAATTCAGTCTAACATTGATGGACATTTGGGTTGGTTCCAAGTCTTTGCTATTGTGAATAGTGCTGCAATAAACATGTGTCTTTACAGCAGCATGATTTATAATCCTTTGGGTATATATGTTTTAGTTTTATGCTTAATAATCACTTATCAAAAATTAATGGTTCCTTTGATTAATTTTATAATGATAGTGTTTTAAATAACATAAGCTAGAATAATTTTCACAACGAAAATCCTTCAAATAAAAAATCAAGTTTTATGTACTTATTTTTGTTGCAGATGAGTCAGGAAAATAGAAAATCTTTAACAGTAAAATGTTCAATTAAGAAAAAATCATTTGATAATTTTAGAGGTCAGTGCTAACAGTGTGCAAGGACTACTTTGTCAGATTTCTATTAGAAGGCACATAAGCAAAATACCCAGGAAGGAGAAGTAGCATTCAGTGATATAAGGGACCAAAGACCCTCTCTGGGCTCCTTTCGTGTGTCACAATGATAAGCAGAGCTTACCCCCACCACCACCGCCATCAACCTTACAACCATCATATTTTCCTGTTCTACAACCATTTTCAGTTTCAATTCCCTCATTTCACAAAATAATTTGTCACTTTCCTGATTTTGTCTGCACCCTGTCAGCACTTGGAGGAACTATTAGCATTTAGAGAAGAAACAACTGTGTATTACATGCAGACTTTTTAAAAATCCATTTTTATACGGTCTACATAGAGTCTTCTGCCCCTGCAGTGGGATGAAACACTATAAAATAAATGCATACAAATACCCTGGCTCTGGATGTGAAATGTGGACAAATAATATTATTGAACTAAACTGAGATTAAAGAGCCTCTTTTTCTCCTCTTTCTGACTCCAGCACTAAACAACTTTTTTTTTTGTTTGTTTAAAAAAGGGCAATATTCTTTGACATAGGCAAATTCATAAATAGCATTAAATCACCCCAAATGGTGACCAGGGTCTATTTCAAGGTAAGGATAGCAGCATTTTAGTTGTCAGTACACTGAACACCTGAGTTTTCTTAGAAGAGAATGCATATGATATCCGAAAAGGAGCATTAACATTAGAATCAAGATAAATCTCAGTGGAGTGTCTGTCTTACCTAGTTGTGTCCTAATGCAAGCAAAACTCTGCATGTCTTTTTTTTTTTTTCTTTGTAAATTCAGGATAAAAATGCAATGGTTATTCAAATTCAATGAGGACATACAGATGAAGTGCCAGTATGGTGGCTGAAACATAGCAGAGGCTTCCTCTTTGAAACTTTCAAATTCACATTAGGTTCCTACTGGAATGGCACTGTTAATAACAATAATTTGTCCTTCAGGCTTTCTGTCAAGATTTCTTAGCTTCTTATGTTTATATATTCAATACAGTCTGGAAGCTGAGTAAAAAGTAAACCTTGTCTGCCCACAGCTGTTAACAAATAGTACAGTACAATATATACATACACACACATATATGCACATACACAGTATATATACACATATAGTCATATATGCACACATATAGACATATAGTTGATAGTATTTAATTAGTGAAATTTACCATCAAATAGGTGTTAGTGCATTCCAGTACTCACTAAAATAACAATTTTTCCTTCAACTCCTCTATGGAATTTTTCCATCCAACCCATTCCTATAGGACAGCAGCAAGTATTTAAGCAATGTTCAGTGTCAGTAGTCTCATGCAGTTACTGTAATCAACGGGTAAGTAAATCAAAGAGCTAATATCGAGCAAAAGAAGTGGCTTCTTGCCAAACCTTCTACCATAATGCCTTCTGAAGAGAGGATGTCCCAAATAGTTAACTATATCATCTCCAGTTGGGATATTATGGGAAACTCTTCTTCTCTGACCTCTCCATGAATCCCAGACTTCTAGTTGTATGGAAGAAGGGATACATAGATAGGCAGAGACAGATATCTAGATCAATCCACATTTGCCTACTATTTGTCAGGCTCTTTCAGCAGAAAGTGATGCAGATTAGACAAATGTTTTCATTCAGGGACCATAAAGGAAATTTCTCCAATATACCAAACACATATTTGACACTCAAATGAATATTATTTGATTATAAAGATAATCTTTAAATATATAATAATGTCAATTGCACAAGTACCATACAAACATTACTTTAAAACCGGCATTCTACCATTACAACGCTGCCTGAAAATAAGTAGGGATTATCACTGTCAAATTGTACGAAATATTTGTATGCAAATAATACCATCCTCCATAAATACCACCAGTCTTAAACTTGTCTCAGTTGGAATTCCAACTCTACCACTTTCTAGCTCTGTGACCTTGATAATTTCCTCAGCTGTAAAATATATTGCCTACCACATAAGTTTATTACGATGTTTTTAAAAAATACATCCTTAGAACAATGTCTGATACATAATAAGAACTCAACAATGTTAGTTATTATTCATACTGTTTCTCATAACTTAAGTTATAGGTCTGAAGACAGAACTCTGTATTATGATCAGCTAACCTTCAGAAAAATAGTTAACACAATGAGCAGAACTCAACATTAAACTCCAGGAGAGATGAGGGGAAAAGGACAGTAGTCTATATTTTCAAAAGATTTAAAACTCTTTTGGGTCAGAGACCCATTTAAAAAGCTGATCAAAGTTACGGATATTTTCCTGAGAAAAATCCACATGTACCCAGCATTTCAGGGCTGCTCTTCTAGCTGTCCTGAAATTCATCAGAGGCAGCAAATCTGAGATGGAGTATCCCGTAGGCTTTAAAACCTTCCACTTCCAAAATCTATTTCGATAAACCTTAAACCACTGTTTTCTCCATCCCCCAAGGAAATTTATAAACATTGTGCCTTGCAATATAGCTGTTGACATTGGCTACATTAATTTCATGGATTAAAACAAAAGAGCATCATTTTAATCACCAGTAGTCTGCAGGAAAATTCCAACCAGAACTATAGCTTCCAATCAGGTTCTGGAGTTGCCACTCCAAATCAGCAAGGAACAGTGAAACCAAAAGTATGGGAACACCCTGCCTATCAGAAGTTCCAGACCAATGGTCAACTGACCCTTCTCTGTCACTGTTGCAAAGCAGATGATACTGCAGGAGAGACTTTTCTGATTGACTAAAATTCTGTGAGAATTTTACACGAATAAGGACCCGAAACTAAGACAATCATAACAAACCTTAAGATCTCTATGATACTTGTTAACTTTAAGCAAAACTAGCTTTTTCTTCACTTTTTAAATCTAAATGGCTTTTGCTGTATTTTCAGTTCTTCTCTTTATATGTCTTTATGTTCCTTCCCATGTATTTCCTTGCTCTGTTGGCCACATTACTTCACACGAAAACAACAGGAGTTTAAAAATTTAACCTGTATTATATCTTTTTTATTCATTTATTTATTTTTTGACAGGCTGGAGTGCAGTGGCAGATCATATAGCTCACTATAAACTGGAACTCCTGGTCTCAAGCTATCCTCTCGCCTCGGCCTTCCAAAAGTGTATTGTATCTTGATGCTTTCAGTAGAATGGTTCACCTTATAACCTCTACATGGCAGGATGCATAATCACCAGTTTATTCTGTAATACCTGAGCAAAAATTCAGCCTAGCTAATATGGCCTCTTTCACCACACTGACAAGATAAGGATGACGTCCACTTAGTTGGCCACCACCAGTATCATAATATTAGATAGTAGTTTAAAAATATATAATGGAAACTAGCTGGTGACCACCACTTTACTTCCAGTTTTGAAATTGCTGACTCATCCTATTTAAGAATCTGTTGTAAGCATCATTTAAGAATTAGTTTGGTTTAGACATACTTTGAAGTCAACATAGTTTTTAATGCATGGAATTACATAAAGTCAAATGAACTATATACCCTTGCTACATGCGGTCTTAATAACACTTGAAAAAATTGGCTGGATTTTCATTTAAAAGCCACCTTGAATAATGATTTTATTTCAGTGAAATTCGCTCGTATTTTTTCCAAGTTCCTTCGACATTCTAGATACACTATCGCTTCTCTAAGAGATAACTGGCTGGCGCAGAGTTGGAACCAATACAGACCCAGGCCTGACTGCCAAGCACTGACCATTCCTGCAAATTTCTCTCCCAGAAGACGTGTGCAAGCAAAGAAGAGGGCGATAATTTGATTTTGCAAAGGTAGGGATAGACGCGCACGCACAGACATCTGCACCGGCCCACAATGAGTTTGGGACGGGAGCAGTTAGGAAGTGGGGAGCTGCGGTACCTTTTCTTGGCCTTCCTGAGCTTGACTGGGTGCAGAACTCAGCCCTCAGGGCTGCGGGACAGCGTCTTCTCAGAAACCCGCAGCTTGGCTGGGGCCGCCAGACGCGCGTCCCTCACCCTCCCAGCGGAGCGCGGGGTGCCCGGCCCGCCTTGCGCTAGCCAGCAGCCTGGAACGCCGTAAGAGCGCAGCGCAGTAGGGAGTCGCACGCCAGGGGCAAAGGGACCTGCGATCTGCGCTCCTCCGGAAGCGGGAGGATGGCTAGGAGAGCCTCAGAAGTGTCATTAAAGGAAAAACCAAAAATTGAAGTTGCGGCTAAGTTTTCCCCATGAGAAGGCGGGGCAGCTCGGCCAGTAGGATAGACCGGAGGGTAACGCTGGAGCTGGGAGGGGCCCTGGGCGTAGGCTTTCGGGGAAAATTCCATCGCCCTTTCAACCACCACCACTCCCCTCCCAAGGCAAAGAAGCCGAGCTCTGTACCTCCATCGAGTCCTGGCTGCAGGGTGGGGGGCGACAGCCACCGCAGCCGGGAGGGTGCGGCCACCCAGTTCCCTCCCGGGGGGCGCCGGACTTCGAAGGCAGTGAGCGAGTCAGCTGGGATTCCCCCGGGCGCCTGCCACCCGGAGTCCCAACCCCTGGCGAAAAGAAAAGTGAAAGAGAAAGAGCCGGGAGCATAGGCGAAGACAAACACCTCCCGCGGAGACTGGGGGTGGGGCGGGTGGCGGCGGCTCCTGGATGACTGACTGCCCCAGGTGTCACTGCTTCCCGGCCTGTTTCCGTCCCTGCCGGGGCCTGGGGCGCAGAACTTGCAGGGCAAGCGCAAGGACATCGAGGAGCCCCAGCCCCGCCCTGCAGGAACACCAGCCACCGGTCTCCTCCTCTACCTGCCGGGACACCTGCAGAGAAGGCACAAGGATAGCCGCATCCCAAGCGACGGGCACCATGTGGGAAGCTTCCGCAGCTGAACCTGGAGACCCGGGCTGGGCTGGCGCGCATCCAAGTCTTCCTGAGGAAAGGGAAAAGGATGTCGGATCTGGATGCTGGGCGGCTACTCTAGACCGGCCTCTTGGTCCCCGCACAGGCTGCAAGAAGGAAACTTTGAAGTCCAACTAGGGGAAATGTTGGAAGAAGACACCCGGGTGGCAGCTTTGTGCAAGACAGTTGGTACAGGGAGTGAACTTAGAGCAATGAGCCTCTCTGCGGATCACTTTTCCAGCCTATTGTGTAGTCCAGTGTAAAATATCACACATGGTCCCATTTGATGGAAGCGTGAGATGTTGTTCTTGTAGTATTTTTACATTGGAGGAAGGAACTGAGTTGAGGCTGAGTGATTTGCATGCCATAAAGGCAGTAGCAAAGATCTCACGCTTAGTTTTGAAAGTACTTTGCAGAATCTTGCACTCTTGTGAATCACTGAAAATCCCTCTTGTACGGTGCTTTCCAAATTTTCAGAGTCATGGTTCAGAGAAAATGATGTCTTCCTGGAGCGCAGTTTAATTTAGTTTAAAATTTAATTATGTTTTTAATTACATAAATATGATAAATATCAAATAGAAAAATAATAGAAATTATTCACTTTCCATGTACATAAAGTTCCGTATAATATAATTTCATATTTTTATGAAAAATTTGAGTTTATTTTCATTAACTCAATTTTTTGATATCAGTTTTATATTTGAAATAATTACTGATGGACTTTTTGATGAGAATTACATCAAACTCTAGATAGTCTCCATTAACAAAATAAGTGAGGTATAAAAATGCAAAAACAGTTTTTACAACCATTCAAAATTTCACCATAGTTGGAAATTATATTTAAGAATATGAAGCCATCATCCATTTCTGTTCATGACGATGTCATGTTGAATTTTCTTGTGATGGTGTCAATGGATTTCAAGACCAGTCAGAATTTTTCATAGCAATACATTGAAGCTCTGATTTGCAGAATGAGCATGCACTGGGAGAGCAAGACTGCAGCTGGTTTGGATCTCACCACAAGAATATAGCAGCCACGGAAGGACTGATATGCATATGTGTGAAGATAGAGAATAGGGATGAACAAGTGTATCATGTGTCCCAACCTCATTTTGGACTGTTGCAGAGCTTCCTGGACTCCTGCCATGTAAACTCCTCTAGCACCTCTTTCAGCTCCTTTAATGGATACTGTGTTCTCTGCAGCCGGTGAAGGAAGCAGGTGTCCACGCTCAGCACCACCTAGCAGAGCTCAATATCAGATATTGCTGCTGCCAGAGGACATATCATCACATCTCAGATCCTGTCTCTCTTGGACTGCCCACAAACTCTATAGAAAGTGCTCTCAGCTGGTGCTCACTAGCCTGTGGGCTTCAGCTTTGTTAGCTGTCTGCAGGACTCAGGGCCATCAGTATCTGACTGCATACTTTTAATATATTGAGACCACCAAGAACGTTCTGAGCTACTAGAGAGTTTTCACAACACTATGAAATTGACGGAAAGTTTACTTGTAGGGTGAACTTAAGGCATAATCTGAGTATATAACAGTAAGAAAATTGGTCTACAACTGTTTATTGGGTTTCAACTATAGTAGGTTCTAGAACAAGATGGACTAAATGATATATAAAGCATTTTGTCAGAGTAGGGAGATAAAAAACATAAATAACAGTAAAGTACAACTAAAAATTATTATAGTCATAAGATATGCTTTGCTCTACTATTTGCCTCCCAAATATGTTGGTCAAATTTGTTTTCATAAATACAGATGTTTTAAAAGTATTTTTAATTAGTTATGAGTGCCTGCAGTTCAATGAAGTTGGGTTTGCAACATAATTTGTTTTTGTTGCATTGCACTCAAAAAGAAAAGTCTAATGTATGCAACTTGTGTTTTCAGTTGCCACAGGCTGTTTGGCAAAATATTGAAAATTACTCATACCAATGAACAAGTAAATTCTGCTGCATAAATTAAAAGCAAAGATGAAGATTGATGAAATAATTTGAAACTGTCTTAAGATAACTAATAAAATTACAGGGTAGAAAGAAGTGGAGATTAACTAAATCTCATAGAAGTGACCATAATAATCTTCCTGAATTCAAATAATTAACAATAAAATTATAGTTTAATAAATTTTTAATATCTTTTTTCAAAAACAATGTCAATTGGGCAATCATCTTTAAAATAAATTACTAATAATTTATTTTCTAGCTTTTGTGATTACATGGAAGAAGTTACAAGTTATTTCATCTGATTTAGTGTTCAAAGTCCATGACTGTGGCCTTATTTATGGTTTTACTAAGATTTAAACCTCCCATCAAGAACAAGTTGATCCCCTGCTCTTTGGAAAACATGGCCTGCCTGGGTTCTCTACATTTCCATTCGGGGTAAAGCATGCTGAAATGCAGCATTACCTCGAAGTTGCTTCTCACATTTTTTTCTGGTGATCCTGACAATAGACAGATACTCTTGGCCTTAAATACTATTTAGGTTTTCAAGAGCTCCTCAAGTTGCTGCTTTTTCAGAACCACAACAGTATTAGTTAGGACTTCTGTAGTTCCTCCAATCTGCTATTTCTCCAGTGCTGTGCTAAACACAAATGTTAACTTATTAAATCCTCACAGCAAAGCTATGAGATATAAACTATTATTATCTCCATTTTACAAATGGGAAAACCAAGGCCCAAAGAATTATACAGCTTGCCTAAGATCACATGGAAATTGACTGACCCAGCAAGGATTTGAACTCAGACAGTCTGGCTTGAATACACATTCCTACTCTCTGGTGCCTTTAAATTGGCAGCCATTCTCCACTGTTTCTAAAACTGAATTCATAAGGAAAGAAGCGTGGACCCCCAGACAGTATGTCTTAGTCCAATTTTGTTTGCTTCAGGGTAACTTTAGTCACCACCAGGCAGGAAACTTTTCAGTTTTCCTTGAATTTCTGCTTTCTCATCTTAAGTTTCTGTAATGAAACTGCAATAGATATTGCAGCCCTGCTACTAACATAAGTTATTTGAATAAAGTGACTGACAAAATGCTGGCAGAACATTGCTGCAGGTTTGAAACAGAGGAACTAGGAGCTGGCAGATTCTGATAGAGATGGGTGACTTTGAACTGAAATGTCAGAGTGTACCCATGACAAACAAGGAGAAAAGATGTCTAGTTTCAAGCTGGAGATTAAGAACAATAATAACTGTATTAGTCAGGGTTCTCTAGGGGGACAGAACTAATAAAATATATGTATATATGAAAGGGAGTTTATTAAGGAGAATTGACTCATGATCGCAAGGTAATATTCCATGACAGGCCGTCTGCAAACTAAGGAGCAAGGAAGCCTGTGGTGGATCAGTCTAAGTCCCAAAACCTCAGAAGTAGGGAAGACAACAGTGCAGCCTTCAGCCTGTGGCCTAAGGCCTGAGAGTCACTGGCAAACCACTGATGTAAGTCCAAGAGTCCAAAAGCTGAAGAACTTCGAGTCTGATGTTTGAGGGCAAGAAGCATCCAGCACGGGAGAAAGATGAAGGCTGGAAAACTGAGCAAGTATAAACCTTGCTTGTTTTTCTGCCTACTTTATTCTAGCTGTGCTGGCAGCTATTTAGATGGTGCCTACACATTAAGGGTGGGTCTGCCTCTCTCTGTTCACTAACTCAAATGTTAATCTCCTTTGTCAACACCCTCACAGACACACCGAAGGGTAATACTTTGCTTCTTTCAATTCAATCAAGTTGACACTCAATGTTAACCATCACAATAACATACTTAATTTTTAATATATTTAAAAGTACATGTTATCTTAAATGCATTGGTACTTAATGTAGGGCGGAAGGGGCTTAAGTAGAAAAAAGTGACAAGTTCATATGCTACCAGTACTATTCTGAACAGTCATTTAATGTTGACCTTAACAATTAAAATCTAGTTACAAAACATTAATAAACCTATTTAGATTTATAATCTGAGAGTATATTATAAATGTATGTAATGGATCTTGTCAGCATTTATTTTAATGACAAATTGTAAAAAGGAATTTTACTTCTCTTCACATATATTGGCTAAAACATGGCAAATACATATTCCTTGAATTTGTTCTATGATTAAAATTCACGCATTTTTTACAACACATAATAACCTTTACAAAAAGTGTAAATCAAGTCAATACCAATAATAGGTTTATGTTAACAAAGTTAAACTGGCATTGGTTTTGACTCTATGGCTAGCAAATAGTTGGCCTTCAATAAATATTTGTTATATTAATCTTGGTTAAAAAAAACCCTCTTGTTTCATAGTTTAAATACTTGCTAGAATCAAAATCTAGAAACTTATAGATATGTGTGTATGTATGTGTGTATATATGTATGTATGTAAAAAAGCTCTTTCCATTATCATGAAATGATTTGATAATTTGTATATTTGTGTAACTTCATTCTGTGGTTTATGTGTGTTTAATCCTACAATCACTTTTCATTAAATTGTCAACTAAAATTTCTTCATAATATATATTAAAATTAGTTCTAATTACTGGTTAAAGTATCAATATAGGGTTCTGATCACTGGCTAAAATATCATTGATTTTGTTATTATGGTTGTGTGGGAAATTACCTTGATGAAATGGTAGCCTCCAGTTACTACCCTAAAAGTCTCAGAATAGAAAAACTTGCAGACCAAATAAAGATGCCCAAATAACATGGTATATTAAATGAATTTAAAACACACAATGAGATGTAAAAAAATGGGGTACCAGGTTAACACAAAGTGTAGGGTACAATTGTGTGAAAGGATCTCACTACCCAAATCCTGAATTATATAATCTTCACATAAACACAGCTATCTCCCTCCCTATGTTTCTCAGTCTCTGCCATGTCAACCTTCTCTGCTGATGCTGTGGTGACAGGGACCAAGGCTGAGGTTTGAATAAGAATGGAATGCACAGACGGAAGTTACCTAGGGCCAAAACACACACTCTCCCAGAGAGTGTGTTAGTCTGTTTTCATTTCCATAAAGGAATACCTAAGACTGGATAATTTATAAAGAAAAGAAGTTTAATTGGCTCATAGTTCTGCAGGCTGTACAGGAAGCATGGCAAAGGCCTCTACTCAGCTCTTGGGGAGGCCTCAGGGAGCTTTTACTCATGGCAGAAGGTGAAGTGGGAGCAGGAATGTCACATGGTGAGAGCAGGAGCAAGAGAGAGGAAAGAGGAAGTGCCAGGCTCTTTAGACAACCAGATCTCATGTGAACTCTGGAGAACTCACTTATTACCATGGGGAGGGCACCAAGCCATTCATAAGGGAACCACCCTCACGACCCCAAGGTTTCCCTTTGACTTTCATGACTTCCCACCAGGACCCATCTCCAACACTGGGGATTACATTTCAACATGAGATTCAAAGGGGACAAAACTCCAAACCATATCAGACAGACATAGGAGCAAAATTCTTTTTCAATTAGCCTCCTAAACAACTATGGGTTTTATCTACACCTCATGAACACAAAACATGTGAATAGGTTAGAATGGGACCATGTTGGATGTCACCAATAATAGCCAACTTAAAGATTATATCTAAAAATGCCTGCATGAAAAGGGCATGATCATAACTACAACTTTCTATCCTTTTCTATTATAAGTAATATGCTTGTTCATTCTAGTATATATTTCATTTATTCTACCTTTAACATGTGTTTCAGGTTACAAACTTACCATCTATTTAACACATCAATAAATTTTGCCATACCAATAAGCTACTCTCTTTTGCATTGTTTATATTTAACATACATCCTATAATTTTTTGCTAAATATTCTCTAATTATATAGCAGAGTCATATTATGGCAGTTCTTCGTGATTACTTATTTTATTTATTTGAGACTTGTGTGCTTTTTGGCTTTGTCACATTTATAAGTTTTTATTATGCGTCAAGCTTGATGTCCTCAACTAAAGGCTCTCCTGACCTGTAGCATCATGTCTGTTCTGATACTGAAACTTTCTCCTTCACATTTATGCCACTCCCTCCGACGTGACACCATCTTGGATCTCAATAACTCTCTGAAATGAAATCAAATCTGCTATAACCTGTGGGGGAATACAGATTGTGTATATACATAGATTCAATCCTGAGTCTATTCTCTACTCATACTTTATATTCTAAGCATGCCTTATACCCTAAATGTAAGCAAGAACAGTGCTTAACAATTTCCTAAGGTATGTTCTGACAAGTTTCCAAGATAAACAACAAGTCTTTATCTAAATAAACAACAGATCAAAGAAGAAATCACAGAAGAAACTATAAAATACTTTGAACTGAATGATAACGAAAACAAAACATACCAATATTTGAGTGACGCAGCTAACGGCTTTTAGAAATTTATAGTTATAAATACTCGTATGACAAACAAAAAGATCAAAATCAATAGAATAAGCTCCTACCTTTAGAAAAAGAAAAATATACACAAAGTAAATTAAAGGAAACAAGAGCTGTAATGGAAGAAGAAAAGGAAAGAAAACAAGTTACTTATTTGAAAAGATCAATACAATTAGTAAATCTTTAGCTAAATTGTTTTTAGCTAATTGATTAAGAAAAAAGAGAGAAAATATAAATTACCAGCATGAGCATTGAAGCAGCAGACATTACTAATATACTGTACACATCAAAGGATAATAAGGAATATTAAAAACAGCCTTATGGCAATAAATTTGACAACTTGATAAAAAAGGACAAACTTGAAAGCCACAATTTATGAAAGCTCACATAAAAAAAGTTTAAACTGATCTATGTCTATTTTAGAAATTAAATTTATAATTAAAATCCTTCCCACAAAGGAAACTCCAGGACCAGATGGTTTCAATGGCAAATTTCATTAAACAATTAAAGAAAAAATATTAATAATACCAATCATACACAAATTCTTTAAGGAAACATAGGAGAAAAACACTTTCTAACTTACTGTAGAAGTCCAGAGTTATTCTGCCAAAACCAAAGATATTACAAGAAAATAAATCTGCAGATATAGTTACATCTTTTCTAAACATTGCACAAAACTTCTTAACAAAATATTAGCAAATCTAATCCAAAAATGTATAATAAGGAACAAGAGCAGCTAGAGATCTTCCATGCAATGTGTAGCTGATTTAACATTTGAAAGTCAGTCAATGTAATTTTCCATATTATTTGAATAAAGAAGAAAACCATCCGAAAAAATTTAGTGTTCAGCCATGATAGAACACTTCAGCAAAATAGAAATAGAAGGAAACTCCCTCAACCTGATAAAAGGCATCCACCTAAAGTCTACAGCTAACACCTTATTTTTAGAGAAAGATTAATGCTTTCTCCAAAGTTAGCTATACGCAAAGATGTCTCCTCTCATCACTCCTATTCAACTGGAACTGGGTATCCTAGACAATGAAGAGTAACAAAAATAAATAAATATTTAAATAAATAACTAATATTGGGAAGAAATAGGTAAACTGTCTATATTTGCAGACAACAAATTTATGAGGAACCTACCAAAAATTTCTGGAATGATAAGTGAATTTAGTAGTGTCCCAGGATACAAGATAAATATGTAAACATCAATGATAATTTCTTATTTAAGCCATTAATAATAAGAAATTAAAATTTAAAAACTACAATTTACAAAAGCATCCAATACAGAATACTTAAGCATAAAGTTGACATCATGTACACTGAAACTACAAAATACAGTAGTCCTCTGCCTTATTGGTGGTTTTGCTTTCCAAGGTTTCTGTTACTCGAGCTGAACCACAGTTTAAAATATGTGAGTACAGTACAATAAGATATTTTGAGAGAGAACACATTCACATAACTTTTATTACAGCATATTGTTGTAATTTTGCTATTTTATTATTAGTTATTATTGTTAAGCTCTTACTATGCCTAATTTGTAATTAAGCTTTAATCTTAGATAGGTATATATAAGAAGAAACATAATATATGCAGGGTTTGGTACTATCTGCAGTTATGGCATCCACCAGAGGTCTTGGAATGTATGCTCCACAGATAAGGAGGGACTACTATGGTATTGGTGAGAGAAACTGAAGATGACATAAATTAGAGGTTGGTAAACTATGGCCTGCTGTTCATGCTCTGCTTTTGTTTTTAGAATACATCTATACTCATTTGTTTACATATGGCTATGGCTGCTTTTGCAATTGAGAAGTTGCAAGAGAGACCAAATAATTTAGCAAAACTTAAAATACTTACTGCTTTGCTCTTTACGGAAAATGTTTGCCAACCCCTCATAAATTCTTGGAGAGATATACCATGTCTATGAATTAGAAAATTTAATGCTGTAAAGATGTCAGTTCTTCCCAAAGATATCTATAGATTCAATGCAATCGCAGCAGGCTTTCTTGTACAACTTGATGAAGGGATACTAAAAGTGAAATGCAAATGAGGAACCTAGCAGAGGCAAATACATTTGAAAAAGAATAAAGTTGTAAGACCTGTACTACCAGATATCAAGACTTAATATGAAGCTTTAATAATCAAGTATATTCATGGCATAAAGATAGACAAATCAATAGAACGGACTAGAGAGGCCAGAAATAAACCCACACACATATGGCCAATTGATTTTGACAATTGTGCCTAAGTAAGAGAATGAAAGAATAATCTTATCAACAAATGATGTAAAAACAACTGGATGTGTTGGTGGAAAAAATACTCTAAATTTCCCAGCTTACATCATACTTAAAGTTAACTAAAAATGGTTGAGAGATCTAAATACAAAAGCTAAAAATGATAAAACTTCTTAAAAAAAAGCATAGGAGAAAATTTTCACAATCTTGGAGTAGGCAAATATTTCTTGGACAGAACACAAAATGTACTGATGATGAAAGAAAGAAAAAGATGACATAACTGGGTTTCATCACAGTATAAACTGTTTTACCCTCTTTAAGGTCCAAAATGACTACCAATACATTAAAAGTTTTGGGGTCTCATGTAATTTTAAAATCCTGTTTGATCTTATTTGATTTATTTCTCAAACTTATTGGCGTTAGAACCCTTTAACAGAACACCAATTAATCTTTTATAGAACTTGTATTGCAGAAAACACACTTACAAAGTGCTAGTGAAGACACATTTTTTTTCTTTTGGAATAAACTTTATTATCAAGGCTAATTTAGGGGCAAAGAGCCAGAACAGCCAAATAGTTATTTTTGCCATGGAATGTGCTGTATTTGATGCACTTAAATTTTACTATAATGCTTCTAATGTTGGGGAGTTATAAACATTTCTCAATAGCAGTAAATATTCTTTAAAACAGCATTCTATAATAGCTGTACAATTTAATTAACGTGCTGTATGAATAGGTGTTTACACTTTTATTTACTTTTTATTCCAATCAAGATATCCTCATATAAAATTCAGCTGGAGAATCTGAAAATTTAAACTTAAGGTCACACTCATTAAAGTGGTCTAAAACACATTGCCAGGAAGAGTTCTTAGTCCTAAAAGTCCTACAAAGAAACTTACTATATTTCAATTTATTTTGAGAGGAACTGGAGCATAGGGAAATAAGGTGATTCTTACCTAATGAAAAATCCAAGTAATGGCAGAATGCAGAACAGATACCTTGACAAGTGACGGGGATAACACTAAAGTTTTTCAGCTGTACATATTAAATTAAAAGAGACAATAAAGATTAAGTTTCAATATATCCCCAATATGAACTAATCAAAAACCAGCATTGGTCCAGTGTAAGAAAGAGTTGTCAATAAATAGTATATTAATAAAATACACCACAGAAGTAACCATTCTCATGCAGCTGAAAGAGCAAAGAAATTTTAGGTGAATGTAATATAATATTTGGGTTCTTATCCAAAACAACAAGAAAATGTGTTATATATTCCAAGAAAGCATTTAAAGGTTTATTATTGATTGCATAAACTCAGAAGCTCACACAATATTGAAAGGCAATTTCTCTGAAAAATGGCTTTCAAAGGTAAGGTTTGGCAGTTTTGTTCTATTTGAAACATGAATAAGAAATGAGATTATTGAGCAGGCAAGGAAAATCTTATGTTTGCAAAGTTTACTTTAATGCTCAAACAGTGAAAATTGCAAAGGTGTTGGAAATAGTCATGCATGGTATTTGAACATCCTTTCATTCATACAAAAATAATGAACTATGAGGTATATACGTTGTGTTGAAAGCCTTGGTATTTTATTTGCACATCTCACCACACATAGAAAGGTCTTCTTTTTAAAATATATGCTTGTTTACATTTATATTGTAAACCACAATGTATCTGAGGTCTGTCTTAATTGATTTAGAAGTTTATTTTGCCAGGGTTAAGGATGATGACCTGTGATAAAACCTCAGGAAGTCCTGAACATGTGGGCAAAGCAGTATGGTTACAGCTTGATTTTATACATTTTAGGGAGACAGAAGTTACAGGCGAAGACATAAATCAGTAAATCTGAGGTATACATAGGTTTGGCCTGGAAAGATGAGACATTTTGAAGCAGGGAGCTTCCAGGTCATAGGTGGATTTAAAGATTTCTTGGTTGGCAATTCATTGGAAAACTCAAGCTTTCCATAAAGAAATGAAGTCAGCTTGAATTAAGATAAGTAGGGGATTATGGAGGCCAAGATTCTTGTCAGGTAGATGAAGATTCCAAGTAGCAGGTGTCAGAGAGATAGATGTGCATGTCTTTTACTGGACATTAAAAGGTATCAGACTCTTTGGAAAGAACTCCTTAAGTAAGAAGATTCTCTAAAAAATGTAAATTCCCCCACCAAAGATAGCTTTTCAGGGCTATTAAAAAATATGTCGAGTAAGTATATTTTGGGATAAAATACTTTTATTTCCTTCAGGGCCCATTATCTGTCATTTGACATTATACCAGAGTCAGGTTGGAGTAGCCAAACCCCCAACTCAGCAACTTGTCTAGGAATGGGGCACAGGCTGAAGACTGCTCTCTACAATCTTAGATGCAAGAAAAAAACTCAAATTTGCCTTCCTCAACGGAAGTAAGTGATAACTCCAGAAAGGAGTTAAACTGCTCTCCATTGTCATGGAAACAATCTTAGGATCTCTATTGTAATGTTAATGATTGGTCACTTTTATCTAGACTCCAAAAGGAAGCGGGTATAATGAGGCATGTCCAATCCCCTTTCCCATCATGGTCTAAACTAGTTTTTCAGATTTCTTTGAAATCCCCTAGGTTGAGAGAGTCATCTATTCAAGTTGGGAGACTCCCTAAAATGAATGAAATCAAGCTGTAACTGATCCACCTTGCGCACATGTTCTCAGCACCTTCTGAGACTGCGTCACAGGTCACGATCCTTAACTTTGGCAAAATAAATCTCTAACTTGAGACCTGTCTCAGATACCTTTTGGTTTACAAATTGGTGATCAATGGAAGGGACCCAGGGTGGAGGTGCCCTGACTTTTCACAAATCTTCTCTCAGTGCTTGTTACCAGCTTGGGCTCTTTATTGCTCAAACCATGAGGACAATCTGCTGAGGTGAAAGAGCTTCCCCACTCCAGAGAATCTCTCAAATTTGGAGTGAAATCTAAGGTTCATTTTGCTGTACAGAAAAACAAACAAACAAACAAACAACCCTCCTTTTCTGGAGTTTTGCTCTCTTCCAATAAGGAAGGCAAATTTCCTTGCTTCCGTGACAAAGACGAGCAGTTTAACTTTTTTTTCTGGAGTTTCCACTTGCTTCCACCAAGGAAGGCAAGTTTGAGTCTTTTTCCTGCTTCTAAGATTGTAGAGAGCAGTCTTCAGCCTGTGTCCCATTCCTAGATAAGTTGCTGAGTTGGGACTTGGGCTTGAAATTTCTGCTTAATGACTAAAGGTTTAGGTTGACAATCAGTGAGTCTTAATTTTTCCTCACTTTTAGAGTGTTCAGTAATTGTATACATTGTGTGATCATTTGCTTATTTTCTTTAAATTTGTTATTTGCCTGTACCTGTTTTTATTGTTGCCTTTTGTTGTTTCGGCCCTCCTTTCATTGGGTTTGACCAACTCTATCAGGTTTGGTCAAATCTGAAGGAAAGTCTCAAATTATGGGGAACAAGGCCTCTAAATTGGTTGAAATTCCCACAGCTGCAAAACAAAGGCAGGGGGAAGGGGGAAAAAAAAGTACATCAAAAAGAAAAATTAAAAAATTTGACTACATGGGGGGCTTCATGTACCCAACAAGGCCACTTTTTGCTAGCCAAGCCTAAACTGAAAGAGCAATGGCAGCCACCTCATGTTGTAGTTCAACAGCTAAGATTTGCCCTTTTCACCCTAACAGCCTAGGTTTGGTTCTAACATCAAGTCCTTGCTGGTTTGATATTTGTGCTACTTTTGAAGTATCAGCTGTTTGTCCCAGCTAATATATGATAGTAACAGATTTAAAAGAATTTTTTTAAAGAGCTCTAGGGTTAAAGGTCAGCTTAATTAATAGCAAATATCCAGTGTGTGTGTGTGTGTGTGTGTGTGTGTGTGTGTGTGTGTATGCTTTTTTTCTTTATGCTTTTTTTCTCTCCTTGGATCTTTTTTTTTCTCAGTCAACTAAGTTCCATTTCTTCCTTTTACTTCTCCCTGTCTCTCCTTCCTCTTGCCACCTTTACCCCATGAGGGACCTAGAAAGAAGAAAGGAATTTCTGACAGCTTGGGATCCCTTGGGGGTGGGGGGTAGGTGGGGAGGAAAGGAGGCGGCGGGAGCAGTGGGCAGCTACACTCCTCTACTTACCAGAAATCTGTTTTTCCTCACAGGATACCAAGAGTTATAAGCAAGCAGATTTCCACTGAGGTCATAGAAAAAGCAAAAAAACAAAAAACAAAACAAAAAAAAACCTCTTCTCTCTTTTTGTACTGCATTACATATTTTTTACTTTTGAGGGTACTGGGAATTACTTTGCATTATGAAAAAATGTTTAACCTTGGTGTGTGTAATAGCTAGGTAAGAAATGTACTTTTAGAGGCAGCTAATGGCAATTGCTTAAATAGTTCTTATTACAGGAGGTACCCTTTGCATGTTTAAAATTTAAAAAGGGTGCAGTTTAAACACTTAGAGAAATGTCTTCATAACAAATTGCACTGTAAGAACATAACATGGCCGGGTCTTATGGCATTTTCTCTTTTTTGGGTGACCCGGAATTCTCTGTGGCTCTGCCCTGAGCTCAGGGGTCCAGTTAAAAAATAGAGACTAAAGTACAAACCTACCTACTTTTCAGCAGGTTTGACTTTCAGGTTATCCAAATGGGCTTCCCATAAGGAAAAACAATCACTGCAGCAGGTTTTTTGTTCATTTGTTTTTTGTTTGTTTGTAACTAGCCTAAGAAATAAATATTTCACATTTTATCAAATTAATTTCTGTATTGCTTTCATTAGGTTAAAAATTACTTAAAAAGCTAAATTTTAAAAGGATTAAAGTTTTATATCCACGTAAACTTCCTTTATCTCTTTTGAAGTATTTCAAGTATCCATTTAGTTAAATGAATAGCTATTATTCTACAATGAGCTGTTTTAATAAATTTGTTTTGGATCTTTAAACATCTTTAACAAACATGCTCAAAATAAAATCCTAAATTAAGTCTCTGATTTAGATTTATTGTTGGAGACTTATCAAAACTATAAAAATTAATCACCTCAAAGTTATAAAATCTTCCTACTGCTTCCAATTAAGTCATTAACTCCAGTATTACCACCTCCAGCCTGATGATTAGCTATCAGTTGAGACTCCCTCCAGCTCCATTAAAAATGATCTTTTATCAAATATTGTTAACTAACCTTTGTACTACTAAGTTCAGGGATTTAATTCCTGGGTACCCCTATCTTCTCTAAAAGGGGGCACTGACTCTTACTGAATCCTAAACATCAACGCTGGTATCTGGCACCAAATTCAAGTTTACAAAAGCCTCATCTTCAAACCTGGGAAAAGATGGCAGTCAAAATAGTTTGCTTCCACATGACATTGGACCAGAACTGTGTGCAAAGACATAAATACTCATTTAAAAGTTTTTCCTCTATCTAAATTAATATAATTTGTTTATGCCTTAATACTAGATCATTTAAATGTTTAGCTACCTGTGTATTTCCTTTTCCTGTCATTGTCAGATTTAGGCAGGTCTTATGTCCTTTTTGTTTAAAATTTTGCTAATTCTATATATAGCCTACAAAATTATGTAATACAACAAAGATTACCTTTTTTTTTCTCTTTACCTGATGTCCCCAAAATGTTAAAACCATTTAAAATCTCATTCGGCCTTATCGGTTTTCATTATTGGCACCCTGCTGCTAAAACTATATGAGTACCTTCCCTCTAAATCCAGGGACAGTCATGGAAAATGTGGGTGTGTGAGATCATAAGGGCCAATTCTGAGAGAGAGAATTAGTTCAGGCCCCCCAAATCAAGGACAGGCAAACAGATACCAAAACAGCTGGCAAAATGAGGGACTTTACTTCCTGGGACATTTCCTGGCCCTTTCTGTTCATCTCAACTATAAAGAATTTCCTGCTTCCCATTGAATTAAAAGAAAAATAACTGAGAGGATATCCAGATACCTGGTAATACAGTTTCCTGGGTGTAGTGCTCTCAGTTATGAGATTTATGCAAATATATGTAAAAAATGTTTTCAGCAACCTCAGGACAAATTACTAAAAAGACCACAAAAGCACGGTGGCACAACCAAAATTTCTAATTTCCTTAGCTAAAATGGCTTTAACAAAATGCTTATGTTTTGTATAGCTGATTGCTACAAGTCTGTAGTTAAATCAAGTTTAAGGTAGCTCAATGCATAAAAATTACAGATAAGCCACATTTGTAACCTTGCCTTTTGCATTTGGGTTTTACATGGTTTAAAGAATTCTAAGTGTTGATGAATTCCTGCCCACTTCCATTCCCATCTGGCCTAGAACATTTAAATTAGGTATCAGTCTTTTGTCTCTAAGTCTGTTGACCACGTGGGTCCCACTGAGGGTCAGGATGGACCGGGGCAGGCAGCCACACCACCTCGGCAATGCTATGGGACAAAATAAAAGTTTGGCCATTGATGTTACCTCTGGCAAATCTTGGCCAGAAGAGGAAGAATGTAAACCAAAAATGAAATTCTAAGCCCCCAGCTGACTGAATGGAGCCCACTCTCAGTGTAGGAGATTCCAAAGAAATCTGAAAAACTAGTTCAGATCATGATGGGAAGGGGGGTTGGACATGCTTCATTATTCCATTTCCCTTTTGGATTTTAGATACAACTGACCAGCATTAACATTACAGTAGAGATCTTAAGACTGACAGAACAGAGTCTGTAGTAATGATACTTATTTCAGCCTGACTCTGGTAAAATGTCACATGACAGATAGCAGGCCCTGAAAGAAATCAGAGTATTTTATCTCAAAATATGTCTATTCGACAAATTTTTAATGGCCCTGAAAAACTATCTCCTGTGGGTGAAATTTACATTCTTTAGAGCATCTCCTTCCCTAGCTAGCTATTTCCAGAGAATCTGAAATCTTTTAAGGTCCAGTAAGTGACATTGACTTCTATTCTCTCTGAAGCCTGCTACCTGAAGGTTTCATATACATGGCAAGAACCTTGGCTTCCGCAACCACCCCCACTAACTCCTGCTTACTTTAACTAAAGCTGACTTCAATTTTTCAGACAGAGCTTGACCCTTTCACTCAGTTGCCAGTCAAGAATCTTTGAATCCACCTATAATCTGGAAGCCCCCTTTTATAAGATGTCCTGTCTTTCTATTCCAAACCAATGTATATCTTAAATTGATTGATTTATGTCTTTGCCTGTGACTTCTGCCTCCCCAAAATGTATAAAATCAAGCTGTAACCCAACCACCTTGGGCACATGCTCTCAGGATCTCCTGAGGTTGTGTCACGGGTCATGATCCTTAACCTTGGCAAAATAAACCTCTAAATTGATTGAGACCTATCTCAGATATCTTTTGGTTTACAATACCTACGCTTAGTTTAGGAAGGCAAAGATTTGTGGATTCGAAGTAGGCTTTGACAGACCCAAAACTAATATTATCAAATCATCCTTTTACTATCACTTATTCACTCTGCATTCAGAATCTACTACATATCACAGACTATATAGAAGTAGCATAAGATATAATTCCTCTTTTCCAAAGGGACAATATCTGACATAATTGCTACTACTAAGAAGTTTATAATGTGTTGTTATTTCTGTACGTGGAACAAAACTGGAAACAGTGGTTTGCACATAGTCCTATATGAAAGGCTTTCCTACACAAAAGGAATTCTCTATCACAATTGCTTTGAAGTGATATCAGAATATCATTTTAATTGGCTAGCTTTTTCTCTATGATTGTGAAAATTTTCACACCAGATGTGTGCTAATTCTTCTGTAGTCCAAAACTAGAGAAAAAAAGGAATCTTTATTAATTAAAGGCCCTAATACTTTACTCCACTTAAGCAAGTACCATGAGTCATACAAACTTGTCTCACTAACATAGATCTACTAAGATAAGATATTGTTTTTTGGTGTCAGCATGATATACTGTAAAAAATATAAAATTGTGAAACACTTTAATGTGAGCCCATTCTGAAATCTATTTGGCCTAAGTGGCTACTTTATTAATTTAGTAACTGAGAATTGAAATGAACTTGCCCAGGATCATACAAAAATTAATGAATTCAATGTTTGAACCCATCACTAATTAACTGCAAAGCCTCATCTTCCCTAATATACTGAGGATTGGTTCATACATTATTAACAATTGATATATGCTAATTCCCACTCCATGGCCCTGGGGCTTCATATGCATCATTATTAAGCCTATATCTAAACTTTACATGGTAGAAATTATTATCTTCAATATACATGTTACAAAACTGGGATTCAAACAGGTTATGTAACATGCCAGAGAACATATAGCTAGAGAACTCCATGGTACTTTTTCTTTTAGCAATTTTTGATGCCAATCATAGTGCCATATACATACATTGAATAAACTGTTAACAAGTTATTGGATGAATAAATATGGATGTGAAAAAAAGCATAATGTACCATTTCTTTAATTCCTCTTATGTTTCAACAAAACACACACACGCATTGATTTTCATATCTTTTTTTTTTTTTGGAGACAGAGTTTTATTTTGTTGCCCAGGCTGGAGTGCAGTGGTGCAATCTCGGCTCACTGCAACCTCTGTCTCCCGGGTTCAAGCAATTCTCGTGCCTCAGCCTCTTGAATAGCTGGCATTACAGGTGCCTGCCACCACACCTGGATGATTTTTTCTATTTTAGTAGAGACGGGGTTTCACCATCTTGCCTAGGCTGGTCTCAAACTCCTGAGCTCAGGCAATCCACCTGTCTTGGCCTCCCAAAGTTCTGGGATTGCAGGAATGAGCCACAGCGCCCGGCCAATTTTCACAGATTTTCTTAAGGACCGAACCAATAAGTATAGAAAAACTATAGGAAAAAAGTCAATTAAAATGATTTTGTGACATTACTTCAAAGTAATGTAAAATGTACATTTGTTTTTTTTTTCCAGAAACCTACAGAGCATTCAGCCTTATAGCTGAACTATCTGATTGTGTAGCCTGAATTCAACAGTCTTTAATATTCGAGGAAAAATCTATGTTTACATCTGAAGTTTCAACAAAATGTCCCCAAATAAGCACTAAAACATAGATTTTATTTGATAGCTTTTTAAATTAACGTAGAAAGCAATAGGTAATAAAATGCTGTTTTGATTTGCAAAGGAAAAAAATCCATGGTCAAATGTTTTTCAGTTGATAGACTGGAAAAACTGAAATTGAAGACAATTTGAGAAACCTTGTAGATAAACTGTGTAGCCTAGATATATTGAAAAACTTAAGAAAGGGTTAGGTATGTCATGAATGCAAAAAATGTATGCAAAGACCAGTCTATTTTATCATTTGCCACTAAAATATACACAAATCTATTATAAAATGTGAAAAGTTATCACAACTTATGCAAAAAACACAGACCATTAGTGCCACTCAGCTGAGAAAAAATGTTAACAAATATAAAAATGCACTATTAAATCATAACTGCACAAAATAATTTCATTACATATTGTAATACTATAATAATTTGAGTCACCTCCTGCTGCTGTTGCAGCGTGCTCAAGTACTGTGAGTATCCCCTCAAAAAGCCCTGTGATGCTAATTATCTCCATGACAGCAGTTCTGTCTATCCAGTAAATTGCAAATCAAAGTAAAAAATGATCTCTTAACAGTTCTTGAGGATTTTTCATAGTGTTTAGCGCCCTCCCTTAAACTCGAATAACACGATGGGACCCACAGGAAGTGCCAGTAGTGATGCTCTAAGTGTTTCCCCACAAAAAGAAAGAAGTCATGATATTACAGGAAAATGTTGAATTGCTTGATTTGTACCACAGATTGAGGTATGCAGCTGCAGTCGCCCATCATTTTAAGATAAATGAATCCAACATAAGGACCACTGTACTACACCAGGAGACACAAAAATCTTGTACTTTTTGTGAAATACTTTTTTATCTCATATTGAAAATGCAACTTTTATGTAGGTGCTGTATTACTATAAGAAAGGCACGCCTATAGACATGAGTACGATTTAAGAAAAAGTGAAGCCATTTTATCACAACTTAAAGCAAAAGGAAGGTGAAGATTCTAAGCTGGCGAATTTAAGGCCAGCAAAGGATGGACTGATCATTTTAGAAAGAGGCTGAGCTTAAAAAATGTCAAGACGAGAAGAGAAGCAGCTTTTGCCAACCAAGAGGCACCAAACTACTTCCCAGAAGCCAGTAATAAAATCATTAAGGAGAAAGGATATCTGCTTGAACAGGTTCTTAATGCAGTCAAAAGTGTCCTATCCTGGAAAAAAAAATGCCACAAAGGACATTTATTAGTCAAGAAGAGAAACAAGCACCAGGAATTAAGGCAGGAAGATTAAGCTAACGCTATTGTTTTGTGTAAATGTAGTTGAGATTATAATCAGGATTGCTCTTATCTATAAAGCTGCTAATTCCTGAACCTTGAAGGGAAAAGATAACCACCAGTTGGCAATCTTTTGCTCATATAAGACTTGGACAAGTAGAAACCCTTTTCTGGTTTGGATCCACTGATATTTTGTCCCTGAGGTCAAGAAGTACCTTTGCAGTAAGGAACTGCCTTTAAGGTTCTTTTGATATCTGACAATGGCTCTGGCTACCCAGAACCCCATGAGTTCAACACTGAAGGTATCAATGTGTTCTATTTGACCCCAAAAACAATGTATGTAATTTGGCCTCTGCATCAGGGGTCATAAAGACCTTTAAGGCTCATTACACACACTGCTCTAAGAAAAGGATTGTCAATGCTTCGGGAGAGATTCCTGACAGAGAGAACATCACGAAAGTTGGGGAAGATTACACCATTGAAGATTGCATCGTTGCCATAGAAAAGCTAACAAAGCCATTGGGCCTGAAACAGTAACTTCCTGCTGGAGAAAACTGCGTTCAGATCACGTTGCATGACTTCGTGGGATTTATAACAAAGCCAATCCAAAAAATCACAAAAGAGATATGTAGATATGCCAAAAAAAAAAAAAAAAAAAAAAAAAAAAAAAAAAAAAACACCGAAAAATAAAGATGGAGTGAAGGGTTTCAAGATATGGATCTTGGAGAACACCACACAAGAGAAATTAACAGAAGAGACTTGATGGAGGTGAGTCCTTCTGTGTCCGGAATTGGTTGGTTCTTGGGTCTTGCTGACTTCAAGAATGAAGCCGCGGACACCCACGGTGCGTTACAGTTCTTAAAGATGGTGTGTCCGGCGTTTTGTCCTTCTGATGTTTGGAGGTGTCTGGAGTTTCTTCCTTCTGGTGGGTTCATGGTCTCACTGACTTCAGAAGCGGAGCTGCAGACTTTCGCCGTGAGTGTTACAGTTCATAAAGGCAGCGTGTCTGGAGTTGTTCATTCCTCCCGGTGGGTTCACGGTCTCTCTGGCCTGGGGAGTGAAGCTGCAGACCTTCACGCTGACTGTTACAATTCATAAAGGTGGTGCATCCGGAGTTGTTCCTTCCTCCCGGTGGGTGGGTTCGTGGTCTTGCTGGCTTCAGGAGTGAAGCTGCAGACCTTTGCAGTCACTGTTACAGTTCACAAACACCACGCACATCCAAAGAGCAAACACCAACAAGATTATTACAAAGACCAAAAGAAAAAAGCTTCTACAGCCTCATAGAGTACCCAAGCCATTGCCCCAGTTAAGTGGCTTGCAGTGGCCTGCTTTTATTCCCTTATCTGGCCCCACCCACATCCTCCTGATTGGTCCATTTTACAGAGTGCTGATTGGTCCGTTTTACAGATTGCTGATTGGTCCATTTTACAGAGTGCTCATTGGTCTGTTTTGACAGAGTGCTGATTGGTACACTTACAAACCTTTAGCTAGACACAGAGTGCTGATTGGCGCATTTACAATCCTTTAGCTAGACAGAAAAGTTCTCCAAGTCCCCACCCAACCCAGAAGCCCAGCCGGCTTCACCTCTCACAGGCACTCCCCAAGGCACTTTGCTGGCACCTAGCCCGGGCACTCCTGCAGCCCAGAGGGAGCTCATCCCAGACAACCAAGAGAAAAAGAGGGGAAGTAAGAAAGAGATGGAGACCTGCCATCATGGCCAACGACCCCGCAAAGAGGGAATGGCGGCCCACGCATGGGACCCAGCCTCCGATCAAGCCCCAGCTGCACCAAGTGCAGGGCCTGTGGAGCCTGTGCCCACCTGGAACCTGCCTCAGCCTGCAAGCTCCGTGCCCAGCCCTGCCTCCCGCCCCCACCTCTCCCTCCACACCTCCCAGCAAGCAGAGGGAGCTGGCTCCGGCCTCAGCCAGACCCAGAGAGGGGCCCCCACAGCGCAGCAGCGGGCTGAAGGGCTCCTAGAGTGCGGCCAGAGCAGACGCTGAGGCCAAGGAGGCTCCGAGAGCCAGCGAGGGCTGCTAGCACGTTGTCACCTCTCACTTCTAAACCACTGCCAGATGATGAGAAAGATGACATAGAAGAAGCAGTGTCAGAATCAAATTGACATTAGACAATCTGGCAGAAGGGTTCCAATGATTCAAGACTGCTTTTGATGACTTACAAAATGGATCATTCTATACTTAGTAGTTAAGTATTTGAGGAGTCAAAAGTTATATGCAGAGTTTTGACTACACAGGGAATCTGTGGGCCTAATGCCCACATTGTTCAAGGGTCAGCTGCATTTACTCTCGCAGTTTCAGGTGTTTCCTGTTTCCTCATTTAGATAGTGTACAAGCTAAGAGATGGTTAGCTTCTGAGAAGTCAAACACATAAATGTCTCAGAGTTGGAATAGGTTGAAAAGAACTGTGTGTGTGTGTGTATGTGTTCATTTTAAAATAATCTCTACCTTGTGGTGCCAGCTTTAGGATTAGAGATGAATGCATGGCTCATGATAGGCAGTAAGAATATGGGTCTATCCTTAAGGAATGCACAATACAGTAGGAAATATAGGACTTTGGGGAAAAGAAAGATCTATGTTCAAACACTGGGTTTACCATTTAATTTCTCTGTGATCATGAAGAAGTCCATTTTATATCTTCAGTTTCCAATTTATAAAATGAGGACAAACATAACATATATTCTAAGTTTTGTGAGAATTAATTTACGATCATCTGCTTGATCACATTTTCATTGATGTGAACATGTTGAAGTCAGGCTTTCACCAGGAGAAGCCAGCCATCTGGCTGTCATGCACATTAAATTCAGCAAATTTAATATGGTTTAGTTGCTTCATCCAAGATTGTGTTATATAATTTGAATGTTTAATAGCATTATGATTTTATAATATCAAATGTCCTGATACTCAATAACCCAAATAACTATCTTATCAAGATACCCTTTTCCCTAGAGAGTGCATGAATGGGCAGCTCACCACCAGGGTATGCTGCTTCTGTTACCTAGCAACCTTCCCTGATTTATACATTGTTTCTTGGTAATGGCAATGATTGTCGTCAAATATAGTTTTGGTCCGAGAAACCTCTCTTTTTCTCTCTCTCTTCCCCTAATCCCCTTACTATTTGAATTGAATACAGAAATACATAAAGACAGACATAGGAATGACTGTAATCATATCACTAAAAGATAATAAATGTTAAGTATAGCATCAGCCTTTTCCTTTGTGGTGATCATACTGGATATAGAGAGTCTTTTTAAAATTTATTTTAAAATTATATTTTTCATAATGTAAAAATAATATATACCCTTTCCACTTAAGATATCAGCATTCCACATTATTTGACATCTTTCCAAATCCAAATTTAATGAACGTGTAGTATATTTTAATTAAGCATTCTTCGTTACTTGGACATGTATATTCCAATTTGTAATATTACATAATTAGCAACATAGTAATCATCTTTGTATGCACATATTTTTGCATAGATCTGGCAATTTTTAGGATAGAGTTCAAGTAGTTAACAAACACAAAGCTCTTAATTTATGTCAATAAATTTTTAAAATAAATTTACTACTCCATATAACACTATATGAGAGTGCCCATTTCCCTGCACCATGCCAATATTTAGAAATATAAAACATTCTAATTAGTTGAATTAGAAGTCATTTTTTTTAATAATGAGTAGTTATAGCATCTGCATATTATAATTCAGTATACTTTATAAAGCTATATTTAACACTTTCTTTTTTAAGATTATTTTTTATTTTTTTTAGAGATGGTCTCCCTGTGTTGCACAGGCTGGAGTGCAGTGGTGCAATCATAGCTTACTGCAGCCTCAAATTCCCAGGCTCAAGCGACCCTCCTGCCTTAGCCACCCAAGTAACGGGGATTATAGGCATGTGCCACCACACCCAACTAATTGTTCTGATTTTTTGTAGAGATGGGGTCTCATTATGCTGCCCAGGGTGGTCTCCAGCTCCTGGGCTCAAGAGATCCTCCTGCCTCAGCCTCCCAAAGAGCTGAGATTATAGGTGTGAGCCACTATGCCCCAGCCACTTTCTTAATACTTACTGAATTGGCTACAATTTTAGAATATTTTTAAAAAATGATATTGGTGACTTGCTTCTGGATTTAGAATGATTCTGGTATTTTAACCTTAAATGTAGTTTTGCCTGTTGGTTAGAAAAATATTCTTTTCATGAAAGGAGTCAGCATATTCTCATTTAATAAGACGTTTTATTATTAAGGTGGTTTAGCTATTAAGTGCCTTTATAGTACAACTGAGATTACCCTGTAATTGAACTCCTTTGGTTTACATAAATGATACATTTTTCCTTTAACATTTTAAAATAGTATATTACATATTCTAATATCAAACTATACATATAGTTTTGTTTAAATCTTCTTGACTTGTGGCTTATTCTTTTGCAATTTTGATGAATACAATAATTGTTGATTTGATTTTAGACATTTTTATTCACACATGAATTATATTATCCATTTTCCTTTTATATATATGTTATGTGATATATATGTATAATATTTACATGCTGTATTATTTGGAGTAAAAAAGTTTTCATATTTTTATATGCACTAATATTTTGTCTGTTATGAACACAAAATGACTTCTTCTGTAATCCAAAGCAAGTCAACTAGAAGTTTACCTTCCTTGATATTATTTAAAACGATAAACAGTTCAAACATTTGAACCAGAAAAACCTAGGCTCAAATTCCAACTGTGTGATCTTTAACAAGTAACTTCTTTGTGGCTTAATATCCTTTTCCATAATTGGAGAAATAATGCTAACTTTACATGTTAGTATAGTAGTAAGTGATATGACATATGCTTGTATTACTCCAGAGCCTACAAATAGGAGGCACTCAATAAATACATTGTGGATGTTATATCTGCTTTCGTTTACACCACTATCTGTAATCTTCTTACTTGTAGCTCTGCTCTGTTTTCCATGTTTATTGTCCTTTCATTATTTTCTTTACCTCATTATTTTATACTTCATTCTAAAAGAACTTTGAAATTTGTCTTCAGCTCACAGATGCAATTTTCTGTATCAATTTTCTAGCAAGGCCCATTCTATTATTGCTATTTCATTGGTCAATTTTTCCTCTACACAATTCCCATGACTTCCTAGTTGATTATGTTGTCTCCTTGACCTGTTCTTTACATGTGTCAGATACGCATATTTCTTGAAAACACCTCTTCAAATACTTTAGGGGAAACAGTTGTCTAACACAGTTTGTTCAAAACAGTTGTCAATAATATTTGTTTGCTTTGCTTCCTTTTCTGAGTTATTCCCAGAGATTTGATTTTCACTGTGGATTTTTTGGGTAATATGCTCCTCTTTCTCGTATACAAATGTATTTTTTCCACAGGGATCAGATGATAATTTTCATCTATTTTTAAAATTATGAGCATTTGGTGCATATAAAAACATATATAACATAATAAATAATAATACAATGAAATAGAACATTTCCTAGGCTATTGAAGCTCCCTGTAAGCCCTCTCCAATTACCTCCCTTTGTTCTTCATGTATTTATATATCTCAGACCTTCTTTCTAGGATGTTTCTAAATTATATCCTTCATAAAGTATATTCTTTCCTAAAATATATCCTCTAGATTCTATTTCAGGGAGAATCTGTTGGAGATAGACTTTTTATTTATAAAAGAGTCTTTAATTTGGCTTTCTTGAAAGTTGTTTTTGCAGGGTATATTATTTTAGGTTGAAATAAACTTTCAGCATTTAGAAAGTAAAATTCTAGTGACTTCTGGCTTCCATTGAGAAGTCTGTTGAGAAGCCAAATGTTAATCTAGTTATCATTACTTTGTAAATCATCCTTTATCTTTGCTTTTTCTAAGCAACTACTTTTTTATTTGGTCCTCTGCAGCTTTTCTAATTTCATATCTAGGTATGAAAATTTATTCTGTTTGAGACTTGTTAGTATCCCTCAGCCTGACTTAATTAGTTTTGGGAAATTATTGACCATTATCCAGTAAAATACTGTCTGTCTTCAGTATATTATTTTCTCCAGAACTTTCACAGATATATGCTGAACTATCTCAGCCTCATGTTTCTTAGCCTCATATTTATACTTTTCTATGACTTTATCTTTCTGGGCATCAATTATATGTTTTTTGCATTTATATCTGCTGTGGCATTAGTTCTCTTTTAAGCTGCTATACCACAAACTTAGTTTTAATTCACTAACTATATTTTTATTTCTAAATATTCAATTTTGCCTTTTCTCAACTATGCCTATTCATCTTTGATAGATGCTTGGTCTTTACTCATGTTTTTATTCCATATTTTATTCATATAAACTTAGTCATACTCAGATTATATTTGTAATAATTCTAATATCGCTGACGTCTGCTATCTGTCCCGCTGTTGCTCACTCACAATGCCTAATTTATTTTTGGGTTGGTTTATGATCTCTGATTCTGAACATATGTTTATTAAAACTCTCTGGGAATTTGTTGAAGCTTGATGTGAGGGTGTGTTTATCAGGAAGGAATTTACCTACTTTCTCTATGTCCTAGAAAGCTACAGACTGAGATCTTCTTTCAATTAAAATTATTTAATTGCAAATAGTGTGAATTAAGGATGCAAGCCCACTGAAGAACAGACATGTGGCCAAAAATATTTTAGGAAGACTACTGCTTCTCCCTTTACCCAAAGCAAATCCTAATCAGAGAATCTCTTATTTAATACTTTCTTTGACTTAGGTCTTTGTAAGTCTGGGCTTTTCACTAAGGTCTTCAGTTGAATTCCTCACTATACAATGGCCCTGTCTTTGTCTTTGACTCTCTCTTAAGCAGTCATTAAAACTAAAGCTCTAAGCTACCAGTGATGATATATCCTGGGTCAGTGAGGACCTTCAGCATTCAATTATTTCTTAGACTTGTGCTCTTGCTTCATTCCTGGCTTCAGAGAAATTTCATCAATCTCTAGATCACATTAATTTATATAATTGCTATTTTAAAATTCTTACACAGAACTTAAATGATTTTTTGAACATTTCTTGCAGAATTTTTCAGTTCCCTAGAACTCATAATGGTGCTTCAAACTAGTGACTTCATATGAAGATTTTTAAATCACCAATGTGTTTACCATTGCATAGACACAAAGAGAAATGTCCAGCAGATCCTGTTTAATTCCACCTTGCTCATGAATTTTCCTTTGTCCTCACCTAAGATATTTCTCCACTCCGAAGATTATACAAAAGTCTAGGATTGTTGGAAAGAAAGTTGGACACAGACAGTGGATTACAGAGAAGGTCTCCACTGATAAACTGCTCAATTTTGAGTCTCTTTCTGACAATATATTCTCTCCTACTTCTTGGCCAAGTCTTTTCTTTCAGTTCTGTCTGCCTTCTTACCTTACTCCAATCATATTTAGTTTTTATAAGTAAGAAAATGAGACTCTGTAAGAGTATATTATAATCTTTCTGTACATGAATGGCTCCTCTGAGTAATTAGTTTTGCTTCTATGTTGGCCCACAGTGGAGGCAGAGAAATAGGTAGGGAAAATCCCCCTTTACAGGACAATTGAGAGAGCAAAGGTAGAGGAAAATGCACAATAAACATGTAGATAAATTCTTCAAGATTTTAGAGAGAAATTCATCAATTCCTTGCGGGATACCATTGCTTTCCTTTGGAGTAAGTAGGCAGGTTTCTTTTTCTTGGATCTCATACCAATAATTTCATGTCAAGAATATTAGTTTACTCTGGTCATTACTATTATTTTTCAATTTCCTGTGCTTAAGTGTATAGATTCATTTCACTCAGTCCTACACAGTGTCTTCTGCTTGCTGAATTTGAAGCGATCCTGTCCCTACAATTTCTTGGGTAGTCTACAATCCCTGCCACAGCCGACCCACAGGAGTGCTATTGCCCAACAGTGTTATTGTGCCAGTGACTGGCTATGTTCCAGCGCTTTGTTGTTACCCTTACTATTCAGTGAAGCCAGAGCTTAGAGGACTAATACTACTCAAGAAATATCACGTACTTAAGCCTGTGGTAAATGTATGTTTCTCAATGGCAAAAGTAGTCAAATGTGACATTAATTCTACTTCTTCAGTCAGATCTGCAGCTTATCTAGTAGTTATTATTTGACTCAAGCACTTTCTAATGTTAATAAGTAAATCAACTCTTCGAACAGGGCACAAGTATCACAAATGATTTGCAAACTGATAAGCATGGAAATAACAAGCATAACAAGTTTTCTCTTTTACCTTTGAATAGATAGCTGTAATATTGGTGTAAGTTGATTTTTTTTTCTCTCTCTCTCTCCCTCCCTCTCTCCCTTCTTCCCTCCATCCTTTTCCCAGTTCTGTTATGCTTTCAGAAGGGAAGGTAGAGATGCCATAATTTTCAAGATCTATTTTGCTCAAATTGAGAAATAATTGTTTGACAGATACAGGGTGGAAAGCTTCAGAAACTGGCCAGAAGTTCAAACAGGAAAAATACAAAAAACTTAGCAGAGGATTGTATCCTTTGCCCTTTATTTTGATGACCATGCCATCTTCTAATCCCCAGAAAAAAACTGGAAAACAGAATAAACATAATTTTCTGATTATTCTTATGTACAATAAATGGAATTAATACATACTTAGTTTTTAAAATTTGATATGTTTTGTTAAGCAAGATAGAAAGTAGTCAGAAAAATGATTAAGAGTTACTTAAGCTGGTTCATATATTTTTACTTTTAGTCTGCATCTCCTAATTTAATATAGTGATATATTTGACATTATGAGCTCCTTGATTTGTTTAGAAAAAACTCATCATCTTAAAAAAATACTTCAAACTCAATGAATGATAAAAGTGCTCATTTTAATAGATGACATTTATTGAGCACTAACAATGTGCTACGAACTTGCTTGAGAGGTTTACATGTATTGCTTTCATTTCACCGCATTGCAGTGAGGTATGTATGACATTATCTTAATTTCACACTTGACAAAACTGAGGCTCAGAGAATTTAACGGACTTTCTGGTCCTCAGATAGTAAGTAGTGGATGCAAAATCCATATATGTCTGACTTCAAATCGTTACTCCTATCTATGCTGCATATCAATATCTTTCATTAGGAAGAATACAGAATTCAAAATGTGATGGTGACCTTAAATATGCTTGCTGCAAAGACAGAATATCTTCTTATTACAAAAATCTCCTCTCAACATAGAATTGTAACATTTCAGAGTTGAAAAAGCCCTGCAAACCATCCGATCCTGTGTTTTCCATGTTGTGGAGCCAATGTGCTTGGTTTACTGCTACAAACACACAAGGGTGAAGGGAGGGAAATGTTCAAATTGTTCAAAGGAAATACACGGACTTCTGATATCTCTCAGACACTGTTTGAACTATTGGCTCAAGGCGTTTCAGTTTCAACTCTAAATAATGTTAAATTCCTTTTGGTGACATTATATCTTTGTGAAACTTACTGAATTTTCTAGGTTGAAATGATAAAAAGAAAGTACCACAGGATAATCAATGTGAAACAGGAGAAGATAGCAGTGTTCAATCCGATTTCAAAGTTTAAGAAGTTGTGCATTGCTCAATTAGTGCACACACACCATTAACAACTAGTTGTGTTTCTTTAAGAGTGAAACTTTGATAAATTTGTTTCAAATTATTTGCATTCTTTTTTCAAATGGATGCTGAGTTTAGAACTTGCATGTACAGTATGATCTGTTTTGAAAATGCACCTATATCAGCTGCATCCCTATCAAGATCTCCATCATCTCTGGCACTGTGCAGTCAATATCTACTACATAGAAACAAACACTGTTCTGATTTCTATAACCATGCATTCATCATGGTAATTCAAGGATTTCATATAAAGGGGGGCATAAAGCATGTGCTCTTTTATGTCTACCTTATTTTCGTCAGCATAATTTTGGGATTTTCATCCGTGTTATTTTATATATACAAATACTTCATTCACTTATATTGCTAAGTAGTATTCCATTGTATGAAATACCAACATTTATTTATTCACCTGCTTTTGAATAGTTCATTTCCCCCAATGTATGCTATTATGCACAAAACTACAATAAATAATTTTACGTAAGTCTTTTTTGGTGGATAGACATATCAAGAACTGTGATAAGTCTGGGATTTGACCCTACTTAGAAGCAAAGAAGTTAGCTTGGCATAGTTTCCAGGATTCTGACAGAAAATTATAGCAGCACAATTCACAATTGCAAAAATACAGAATCAGCCCAAATGCCCATCAATCAACTGTGCATAAAGAAACTGTGATATATATATATCATAGAAGTTCAAACAGAAAAAATACAAAAAACTTAGCAGAGGATTGTATCCTTTGCCGTTTATTTTGATGACCATGCCATCTTCTAATCCCCAGAAAAAAACTGGAAAACAGAATAAATATAATTTTCTGATTATTCTTATGTAACATAAATGGAATATATATATATATATATATATATAAAGGAATACTACTTAGCCATAAAAAGGAATGAATTAATGGCATTTGCAGCAACCTGGATGGAATTGGAGACTATTATGCTAAGTGAAGTAACTCAGGAATGGAAAACCGAACATCATAAGTTCTCACTCAAAAGTGAGATCTAAGCTATGAGGATGCAAAGGCGTAAGAATTATACAATAGACTTTGGGACCTCGGGGGAAAGGGTGGGGGTGGTGAGGGATAAAAGACTACACATTGGGTTCAGTGTATACTGTTCAGGTGATGGGTGCATCAACATCTCACAAATCACCACTAAAGAACTTACTCATGTAACCAGATATCACCTGTTCCCCAAAAACCTATGGAAATAGTTTTTTAAAAAAAAAAAAAAGAGAATGAAACCAAATATTTACGTATTTCATTGGAATTTTCTCCTCCCCAGGAAATGAAAAATCACAGCTTAAAAAAAAAAGACTCGTTTTTGAGTCAGAAACAAAAGACTATTCTTTAAAGCACAGTAAGCATCATGACATGAGTATCCACAGATGTGTGTTCCCCTGACCTCCAAGTTTCATGGAGTAATACAGTGGGGCCCAGATGGATGCTTTGCATGCAAATCTGTGTTATAGCTATGAAACCCCAACCTTAGACAATCTGCATCTTTTAGAATAGGCTAGAAGAAATTGGACCTGAACTTTTCCCAAGAAAGAGGCATTATCTTTATTATATTGGAAAGTAAATAAAGTTACCCTTCATGCTTGATGGATATATTATTTCTATATTTCAAGGTTTTGTATTTTTATAATATAAAAATGACCTTAAAGAAGTAATTTTCATTTCCAGTTCAACATGCAAAAAGCTTGTAAGTTGTCATTCTCATCTTCACAACAAGGGAAACCGCTGAGCAAACTGAAAATTAGTAACTCTTCTTAGATCCACCAAAGAATTGAGATCCCCCAAATGGGACAGAGGGATAGATACAGAGAATCACAGCTTACCAAGAGCAGAAGCTTGTAGTAGTGAGAGGTGACAGCGTGCTGGCAGCCCTTGCAGCCCTCGCTCGCTCTCGGTGCCTCCTCAGCCTCGGCGCCCACTCTGGCTGTGCTTGAAGAGCCCTTCAGCCAGCAGCTGCACCGTGGGAGCCCTTCTCTGGGCTGGCCGAACCCAACCGGGGCTGCCCGTGGCACTTGCGGGCCAGTTAGAGTTCTGGGTGGGCGTGGGCTTGGCAGGCCCCACACTCAGATTGGCTGGCCCTGCCGGCCCCGGGGCAGTGAGGGGCTTAGCACCAGGGCCAACAGCTGCGGAGGGTGCGCTGGGTCCCCCAGCAGTGGTGGCCCACGGGCACTGTGCTCGATTTCTCCCTGGGCCTTAGCTGCCTCCCCACGGGGCAGGGCTTGGGACCTGCAGCCCCCCATGCCTGAGCTTCCCCGAGGAGCACCACCCCCTGCTCCAAAGCGCCCAGTCCCATTGACCACCCAAGGGCTGAGGAGTGCAGGCCACTGCGGGGGACTGGCAGGCAGCTCCACCTGTGGCCCAGGTGTGGGATCCACTGGGTGAAGCCAGCTGGGCTCCTGAGTCTGGTGGGGACTTGGAGAACCTTTATGTCTAGCTAGGGGATTGTAAATACACCAATCGGCACTCTGTATCTAGCTCAAGGTTTGTAAATGCACCAGTCAGCACTCTGTATCTAGCAAATCTAGTGGGGACACGGAGAACTTTTGTGTCTAGTTCAGGGATTGTAAAGGCACCAATCAGCACTCTGTCAAAATGGACCAATCAGCTCTCTGTAAAACAGACCAATCGGCTCTCTGTAAAATGGACCAATCAGTGGGATGTGGGTGGGGCAAGATAAGTGAATAAAAGCAGGCTGCCCAAGCCAGCAGTGGCAACCCACTCGGGTCCCCTTCCATGTTGTGGAAGCTTTGTTTTTTTCGCTCTTTGCAATAAATCTTGCTGTTGCTTCCTCTTTGGGTCTGCACTACCTTTATGAGCTGTAACACTCACCACGAAGGTCTGCAGCCTCACTCCTGAGGCCAGCAAGACCACGAACCCACCACGAAGAATGAACAACTCCGGATGCACAGCCTTAAGAGCTGTAACACTCACCATGAAGGTCTGCAGCTTCACTCCTGAGCCAGTGAGACCACAAACCCACCAGAAGGAAGAAACTCTGAACACATCCGAACATCAGAAGGCACAAACTCTGGACACGGCGCCTTTAAGAGCTGTAACACTCGCCGCGAGGTTCCATGGATTCATTCTTGAAGTCAGTGAGACCGAGAACCCACACATTAGAGCCAGCAATTAGTGGCAACATGTAAAGAATAATTGATAAATTACTGAAGACAGACTAGATTGAGAGAGAAAATGAACTGAGGTTCCAGCCTTACAGGGTTGGGGGGTCCCTCATACTTTCATGAGTTTTAGCTTCAGGAGTCCCACTAGGCTCTCAGGGTGAAGAATAGAGAAAAATCCCCTCATCTCCTGGTTAGGGGAGGAACAAGTAGCCGTTCTGAAATATTCCCAGAGCATTCCGTTTTTCTGAACAAAAGCCTGCTCTTATGAGAAAATATTTTACCAGAGCTTAACAAATATGGGCTTTACCGGAGCTTAACCGACCTGTGGAAAGTGAAATGCCCAACTTTAGCCCTCTCAAATCTTCCTATCTCAAAGGGGATAGGGGAGGAAACTAAGAAGCGTTGTGAAGGCTATAGATGAGAGGAACATGCCCATAAGAGATTGAGACTTAATCCGAAGATTATGGAATGCTTCCACTTTCCCCACACCTTACTACCACATCAATAAAACTCATGTGTAATAACAAAGGATTACAGTTTAAAGAACTGCAAGGCTCAGACTCTAAAACAGAGTCACTAGGCAAACCCAAAGACAACAGGGGATACAAATATAAGGACACTAGAGGAAATTTAAAATGGCACCAATCGCTATAGCAAACAGCAAGCACAACCTAACTCCTAGCCAGATAAACATGAAACCTCATACTAAAAGCCTATCTCATTCAATTTCTGTTTTTTTTTTTTTTTTTTTGAGACAGAGTCTAGCTGTGTTGCCCAGGCTGGAGTGCAGTGCCACGATGTTGGCTCACTGCAACCTCCACCTCCTGGGTTCAACCAATTCTCCTGCCTCAGCCTCTGGAGTAGCTGGGACTACAGACGTGCGTCACCACGCCCAGCTAATTTTTCTATTTTTGGTAGAGATGGGATTTCACCATGTTGGCCAGAATGATCTCGATCTCCTGACCTCATGATCTACCTGCCTCGGCCTCCCAAAGTGCGGGGATTACAGGCGTGAGCCACCACGTCGGGCCATTCATTGATTTCTTTTACGTCGTATATTATGTATGCCTTTCAACTAAAAATTACAAGGCATGCTAAAAGGCAAAACCTAAAGACAAAGCAAGTATGGTAGAGATTTTGGAGTTATCAGGCTGAAAATTTAAAATAACTACGATTAATATGCTAAAGGATCTAATGGGAAAAGTGAATAACATGTAATAAAAGATGGGTAATATAAACAGAAAGATGCAACTCTAAGAAAGATTCAAAACAAGATGCTAGGAATCAGAAACCCTATAACAAAATGAAGAATGCCTTTGATGGGCTTAACATGTGAGAGGAAGGAATCAGTGAGCAGGAAGATAGGTCAATAGACATGTCTCAAACTGAAAAGCAAGAGGAAAAATAATTAGAAAGATAGAACAGAATATCCAAGAACTATGAGACAATAACAAAAATATGATTCATGAAAGAAAATAATGATTAGTTAGACTTCATTGAAATGGAAAACAACTTCTTTGTGAAACACACTGTTAAGAAAATGAAAAGACAAGTAGCTAATGGAAAGAAAATATTTGCAAAACACATACCTGATACAAGACTTGTATCCACAATAAAAAAGAACTCTTAAAACTCATACAACAAGAAAATAAACAACCCAATTAAAAAATGGCCAAAAGATCTGAACAGACATGTTACCAAAAAAAAATACATATGGGTGGCCAATAAAGATATAAAACGATGCCCAATATAGTATATCATTAGGGAATGGAAAATTAAGACAAGACAGCATTACATATCTATTAGAATGACTAAAATCTAAAACACTGACAACACCAAATGCAAGCAAGGTTGTGAACTGACAGGAACTCTCATTCATTGCTAAGGGAATGCAAGATGGTACACCAACATTAGAAAGTGGTTTTGCAGTATTTTATAAAACTAAACATACTCTTACTATATGATACAATAATCTCACTCCTAGGTAATTATCTAAATGAGTTGGAGACTTATGAACATACATGCACACAAATTCTGCATACAAATGCATAAGCAGCTGTATTCATAATTGCCAAAATAAAAGCAACCAAGGTAAATGAATAAACAAACATTCATTCAGTTGAATATCACTCAGCAGCAGAAAGAAATGAGCTATGTTTACGATCTTTTCATATACCTATTGATCACTTGTATGTCTTTTTTTTATAAAAAAAAAATGACTATTCAGCTCAATTGCCCATTTTTCAATTGGGTTTTTTTTTTGTTTGTTTGTTTTTTTTTGACAAAGTCTTGCTCTGTTGCCAGGCTGGAATGCAGTGGCACAATCTTGGCTTACTGCAACCTCCACCTCCTGGGTTCAAGTGATTCTCCTGACTCAGCATCCCGAGTAGCTGGGATTACAGGCATGCGCCACCATGATCATCTAATTTTTGTATTTTTAGTAGAGATGAAGTTTCACCATGTTGGCCAGGATGGCCTCGATCTATTGACCTCGTGATCCGCCCACCTTGGCCTCCCAAAGTGCTGGGATTACAGGCGTGAGTTTTGTTTTTGTTTTTGTTTTTGTTTTTGTTTTTGTTTTTTCTCTTGAGTTGTGTGAGTTTTTGCCATTTGTTGTCACAAATGGTGTAAACTGAAGGAAATTTTGAAATTTTTAACACAAAGGAAATTTTGCTAAATGAAATAAGCCAGACACAGTAAGAAAAACATTGCGTGACCACACTTATATGTGGAATCTAAAAAAGTCAAATGCACAGAATCAGAAAATAGAATAGTGTTTACCAAAGACAAAAGTTTGGGGCAAATGGAGAGATGTTGGTCAAAGGGTACAAAGTTGCCCTTATGTAAGATGAATAAATCTAGAGAGCTAATGTACAGCATGATGACTGTATTGCTTATTGGAAATTTGTATTGCTTATTGGAAATTTGCTAAAAGAGTAGATTTTAGATGCTCTCACCACACAAACAAAAAAGGCAGCTATGTGAGAAGATAGATGTATTTGTTTGCTTTATTGTAGTAATAATTAACTGTGTTTGTGTGTATGTATACAAACATGTTGTATATCTTAAATATATATTTTTATGAAAATAAACACTCAAAAACTAGGAATAGAAGAGAACTTCCTCCATCTGATAAAGGACATCTGTAAAAAAATCCACTCTAACATCATACCTGATGGTGAGAAACTAGATGCCTTCTCTGAAAGATCAGGAAAAAGACAAGGATATCCACTGTTGACACTTCTACTCATCATTGTATCAGATGTTCTAGTCAGGGAAGTTAGGAAAGGTAAGGAAATAAACTGTTTCCAGTAAAACTATTTCTATTCACAGGTAACATGATCTCATATATAATAGAAAATCCTAAGGAATGCACTAAAAAATATTAGAACCAATAAATGAGTTCAACAAGATTGCAGGATAGAAGTCAATATAAAAAAGCAAATTGTATTTCTATACATTTGCATGCTCAATCCAAAAATAAAATTAAGAATGCAATTTCATTTAAAATAGGATCAAAAAGCATAAAATACTTAGGAAAACTATTTTTAATAAAAGAAGTACAAAATTTATATCCGAAAACTACAAAACATTGTTAAAAAATTAAAGAAAATCTAAATAAATGGAAAAATTTTTCATTGTTCCTGGCTTGGAAGAGTTTTTAATACTGTTAAAGTGGCAATGTTCCCCAAAATGATCTACAAATTCAATTCAATACTTACAATTATTTCAGCTGACTTTTTTTTATAGAACCTGACAAGTTGATGCTAAAATTGATATGTAATGCAGGTGACCTAGAGTTGCCAAATCAATCTTGAAAAATGATAATAAAGTTGAAGGACTCACATTTCCCTTTTTCGAAATTTACTACAAAGCAACAATGGATACAGTGTGGTACTGGAATAAGGGTAAACACATAGATCAATGGTATAGAACTGAGACCAAAAATTGTTGACCATGCTTCTGTGGTCAACTGATTTTTGACAAGAGTTCCCAGATTATTTAATGGTGAAAGCAGAGTTTTTTCAACAAATTGTTGTGGGACAGCTGGATAGACACATGTAAAAGAATGACACTGGATCCTTAATTCACATCATATATACAAATGGACTCAAAGTGAATTAAAGCCTTAAATGTAAGGCTTAAAAGTATAAAATTCTAAGAAGAAAACATAGAAGTAAATCTTCATGACCTCAGACTTGGCAATTAATTATAAAATAATATCAAAATCTTGAGGAATAAAGCAAAAAAATTGAAATTTATTTCAATTAAAAAATAAATTTGAAATATTTTGTGCTTAGAAGGACACTATCAAGAAAGTAAAATGACAACTCATAGAATGGGAAAAATATTTTCAAATTATATGACTAATAAAGACATGTATCTATAATATGTAAATAACACTTACAACTCAGCAATAAGACAAATGATCAAATTTTAAAATGGGCAAAGGATATGAATAAACATTTTTCTGTAGAAAATATGCAAGTGGCCAATAAGCACATGAAAAGCTGCTCAATATTGTTAGTCATCAGGGAAATGCAACTAAAGTTCCGTAATATGATGCCACTTCCCTGTCACTAGGATGGTTATAATAAGAAAGGCAGATAATATTAAAATAGATAACATATGTTAAACGGATGTGGAGAAACAGAACATTCGTATACTGCTGATGGGAATGCAAAATGATATAGCCAATCTGAAGAACAGTCTGACAATTCCTCACATGGTTGCACATAGAGTTTCTGTGTGTATAAGTTTCCTGGGGCTAACATACAAAGTACCGTAAACTAGGTGATTTAAACAACAGAAATTTATTTTCTTACATTTCCGGGGGCTAGAAGTCCAAAATCAAATGTTGGCAGGGTTGTTTCTTTCTGAGGGCTACCAGGGAGAATCTGTCCCTTACCTCTTTCCTAGCTTCTGTAGCCACACGTCTTTCCAGGCTTGCAGTGTTCTGCTTATTTCTTGTCCTCTTTCCCCCATGCATTTCTGTGTCCAAATTTCTCTTCTTTTGAAGTTCACCAGTCATAATGGATTAAGGCTCACTCTAATGATCCCATTCTAACTTGATTACTTTTGTAAAGAACCTCTATCTAGATAAGTCACATTCTGAGGTACCAGGGGCTAAGACTCCCACCTATCTTTTCTGGGGCATACAAGTCAACCCATAGCACCGTATGACTGAGTATTTACACTCATTATATATATATATATATATATATTCCCAGGAGAAATGAAAACATATTTCCACACAAAATCTTCTGCATGAATGTTTGTAGCAGCATTACTGTAATAGCCTAAAGGTGGAAACAACTGAAATGTCCATTGACTGATGAATGGACAATATGAAATATGCTAATTATATTAACTTATTTTTTTCAATAGGTTTTTGGGAAACTGGTGGTGTTTGGTTAGATAAATAAGTTCTTTAGTGGTGATTTCCGAGATTTTGGTGCACCCATCACCTAAGCAGTATACACTTTACCCAATGTGTAATCCTTTATCCCTCGCCCCCCTCCCACTCTTTTCCTGAGTCCCCAAAGTCCATTGTATCATTCTTATGTCTTTGCATCCTCACAGATTAACTCCCACTTATAAGTGAGAACACATGACGTTTGGTTTTCCATTCCTGAGTTACTTCACTTAGAATAATAGTCTCCAATTCCATTCAGGTTGCTAGAAATGCCATTATTTTATTCTTTTTTACAGTTGAGTAGTATTTCATGGTGTGTGTGTGTGTATATATATATAATATATACATATATTATATATACCATATATGAAATATATATATACCATATATATTATATATACATACCATATATATTATATATATACCATATATGATCACATTTTCTTTATCCACTCATTTATTGATGGGCATTTGGGGTGGTTCATTTTTTGCAATTGCAAATTGTGCTGCTATAAACATGCATGTGTAAATATCGTTTCCATATAATTACTTTTTTTGCTTTTGGTAGACACCCAGAAATGGGATTGCTGGATCGAACGGTAGCTCTACTTTTAGTTTTTTAAGGAATCTCTACACTGTTCTCCATGGTGGTTGTATTAGCTTACATTCCCACCAACAGGGTAATCCTTTTCACCACATCCCCACCAACATCTTTTGTCTTTTGATTTATGATTATGGCCATTCCTGCAGAAGTGAGGTGGTATCACATTGTGGTTTTGATTGGCATTTCTTTGATAATTAGTGATGTTGGGCATTTTTTCATATATTCATTGGCCATTAGTATTATATCTTCTTTTGAGAATTGTCTATTCATGTCCTTAGCCCACTTTTTGTTTGTTTTTACTTGCTGATTCATTTGAGTTCCTTGTAGATTATGGATATTAGTCCTTTGTAGGATTTATAATTTGCAATGATTTTCTCCCACTCTGTGGGGTGCCTGTTAACTCTGCTGATTATTTCTTTTGCTGTGCATGAGCTTTTTAATTTAATTAAGTCTCATCTATTTATCTTTGTTTTCATTGCATATGCTTTTGGGTCCTTGGTCTTGAAGTCTTTCCCTAAGCTAATGTCTAGAAGGGTGTTTCCAAAGTTACCTTCTAGAATCTTTATGGTTTCAGGTCTTAGGTTTAAGTCTTTGATCCACTTTTAATTGATTTTTGTATAAGGTGAGAGATGAGGATCCATTTTCATTCTTCTACATGTAGCTTGCAAATTATCACAACACCATTTGTTGAATAGGGTGTCCTTTCCCCACTTTATGTTTTTGTTTGCTTGTCAAAGATCCATTGACTGTAAGTACTTGGGTTCAATTCTGCGTTCTCTATTCTATTCCACTGGCCTATATGCCTGTTTTTGTAACAGTACCATGCTGTTTTGGTGACTATAACTCATCCCTTTTACTATAATTAATCCCCTTTACAATAATAACTAATAACTAATGCCTTTTACAATAGCTGCAAAAAACTAAAATACTTAAGATTATGCGAAACAAAGGAGGTGAAAGTTCTCTACAATGAAAACTGCGAAACACTGCTGAAAGAAATCATAGATGACACAAACAAATGGAAACACATCCCATGCTCAGGGATGGATAGAATGAATATTGTGAAAATGACCATACTGTCCAAAGCAATCTACAAATTCAATGCAATTCCCATCAAAATACCACCATCTTTCTTCACAGAACTAGAAAAAACAATCCTAAAATTCATATGGAACCAAAAAGAGCCCTCATAGCCAAAGCAAGACTAAGTGAAAAGAACAAATCTGGAGACATTACATTACCAGACTACAAACTATACTATTAATTCATTTTGAATGGTTATCTAACCTTTATTCTTGATATATACCCCACTTTGTCTAGTTGTCCTTTGTGTGATGTGTGTGTGTATAAATTATTTGCTAATAATTCTTATAATTATTATAAATAATAATGTTATTTGTAGACTTAGGAGAGATATTGGTTTGTAACTTTGTTTTCTTGTAATAGCCTTCATTGGTTTGGGTGTTAATGTTATGCTGTCCTTACAGAGTGAGTTGATAAGTGTTCTCTTCTCCTTTATTTTCTGAAATAATTTGCGTACTCTTCCTTTAATGTTTGAGAAAATTTACTAGTGAAAAAATTTGATCCTAGGGTTTCCTTTGTGGTAAGTTTTTAAAGTAAAAATTCACTTTCTTTAACAGATACAAAACAACTGCAATTATCAATTTCCTTTTTTTTGTTTTTGAGATGGAGTCTCACTCTACCACCCAGGCTGGAGTACACTGGTGCAATCTTGGCTCACTGCAAACTCCACCTCCCAGGTTCAAGCAATTCTTCTGTTTAGCCTCCTGAGTAGCTGGGATTACAGGCATGCACCACTATGCCCGGCTAATTTTTGTATTTTTAGTAGAGACGGAGTTTCATCATGTTGGCCAGGCTGGTCTCAAACTCCTGACCTCAGGTGATCCCCTGCCTTGTTCTCCCAAAGTACTGGGATTACAGGCATGAGTCACCATGCCCAGCCCCTTGTGCTAATTTTAGAAAGTTGTTTCTTTCCAAAGAACTTTCTTTTATTTAAATTGTTAACTTCTGACATAATATCCTTAATAGCCCTTTATTATCTTATAATATTTCATAACTACTAGTATGTTTCTTTATAAAATTATTGATTAATGGTTTCATGTCCTTTTTCTTCACTGGGCTTGCTACAGATTTAACAATATTATTACTATCTTCAATAAACCAACCTTTGATTTTGTTGATGCTCTATTCATTTTTTAATCTTATGTTTTATATTTCATTTATGTCTGATTTAATTCTTATTTCTTTTGTTCTCCTCACTTTCTGTGTAGTTTGTCCTCTCTCTCCACCTTAAGCTGGTAACAATAGATCATGGATTTTATACGTTTTCTTTTTTTGTGTCATAGCCGCATAGTGATATAATGTTCCTCTAAGGATCTTTCTTTGTTGCATCCCACGCAGTTTGATATGCATTACTTTCATTATCTTTTCATTGAATCTGTGTTCTAATTTTCTCTGTGATTTTTTCTTTGACCTAGGGGCTGCATAATTTTCAAATATCTTGAGATTTCTTAGACATGTCATTGTTCTTAATCCCTAACATTATTGTTATATCAGTGAACATACTATGTATCTTTTTAATACTTTTAAATTTATTGATATATGCTTTGGGGTTCAGTAGGTGATCTGCTCTATTTGTCTACCAAGATGCTCATCAAAAAATTCTTTATCTTTTTATTATTATTTTTTTATTTTTAGCATTTACACTTGACTTTTATAATCCATATCTCCAGTGAAATTTCCTGTCTGTGGCATGGTAGGATAATGGCTCTCTAAAGATGTCTATGTCTCTTGGAGCTGCTTCTTCCTCTCTCTGCCCTGTCAAGGATGAAATTAGCCTTAGGTCTCTTGTTTCCTAGGGAGGATTGGTATCTTTTTACATGTGGTTCATTACACTGCTCTGTGATCTCAGCTAGGCTGAAATAATAAAGCTGTGATTTTTGTCAGTTATCCAACTTCTTCTCATTCTTCTGATGAAGATAATGCTCTCATGGAAATTTTTACATCCTAATAAGATGAAGAAAGATTACATTTAAGATTTAATTCATGCATTTGATTGTATTTTCTATTGACATCCAGAACTAATTAGAACCTTAGCCGACCATAATACTCACAAGACTCTTAGAATGATTTTACTTTTTTCTCTTCTCCATCATTGTTAACTCCCATGATCTGTTGAAAATATTGGGAAATTTCTATGCCTGTATTGTTTTTAAGAATCAAGGCTTGACAATTTCCTGAAGCATTGTAGTCATACTGTCAACTATTCTTTGGGCTTTAATATAAATTTTAGTAGTTTCTTTGTTCTACACTCTTGTATATTTTATTTCCTTTCAGTTAGATACACTTTTATTAAGCTATACTTTCAAAAATGTTTTCAGGTAGTAACATTTTTAAAAATGTATCTATTCCTCCCTTTTCCATATAATTTTGACTTTGTATATGTTAGATTTGTAATTATTTTCCCTAGTGGATTTTAAAATATAATCAAAGGCATATAAGGGTACAATGTGAATCACATTCAAAGAACATGCTTATGCTAGAGTACTTTTCTAAGAAAGTGCTAACAAATATTGAACTCTCATAAAATTTTTATCATCTCTAAACAACTTGACAAAATAATAGTTTTTCAATAAACACTTATTGAAGTTTTTCTATGAGCCTGAGATACTGCACAACACTAAGATTCCAAGATGCAGAGATGGTATCTGCTCTCAATTTGGAAGGAAATAAATGGTTACAATATAGACTTTAAAATGTCTTAATAAATTCAGAATGTAGTGCTTACAAGTAGAAGACATGGCAAAACCAGTCTGGCCCAACATCCTTGGAGGGGCCCTCGTATCTGAGTCTTCAAATAAATTATACTTAGTTTAACAAAAAAGAAATTGTGGAGGAACTTATTCCATGCAGTGGGAACAGCAGTTCAAATACCCAGAAGCTAAACAGAACACAACAGGTTTTGGGAACTGCCACTGCTGCATTTCATGCAGTGTGTTGCATATACTGTAGGGCATAGATTCAGAAGGAATTTTAGACCCAGATGCCTTTGGAGGCTCAACCATTGTAAGATGGCCAAATCACACATATATGTGTGTCTGTGTGTGTGTACACATATATAATACGTATATTTTATATATATATTTAAGAAGGCATGCTCTGCTAGAAACTATTTTGAAATACTTAAATAGCTAAAAATGATCACAATATTAAGACATATCTGTGAGCCAAATTTAACCACAGCCCATGAATTTTGCAGTACCTGGTCTAGCTAATAAACATTGTGAAACACTGTGTCAGAATCTTGCCGTTGAACCATATGACAATGGACTTCTCTGACCTTAGTGTTCTCACCTGGAGCCACTTTTTAAGTTATAACTCTTAAAAAGGATGAAATTATAAAAATATTAAAAATATAAACTGAAGATGCATTATGTCATTGAGGATACAGGGAGCAACCAAAAACAATAATCATGACGATCAAAACTCGTGAAACATTTACTTTGTTTTCCATAACATTTTGATGGCATTTATTTTATTTTATCTGATATCATACTATTTTCATGCTGCCGTCTCTCCTACCAGAATTTAAGACTTGTAGGGCAAAATCTTTGATGTTTTTCATCCAGAAATGTCCCACAGCATTTCACTAATGTTGCACAAATCGTAGGTAATTACAAATAATGGTCAAGGTTAATATTAGATTTTAAAAAGAGAAAAATTTAATTTTTGAAGACAAAACTGCATGCCTCAATAAATAATCTTAGGAAAACTGAATTTCAGAAAATCATCTTTAAACAAACAAAGCTAAACTATAATAAATAAGAGTAATAAACAAGAAAAGAAATGATAAACAAGAAAGAGCAAAAACTGATTTGTTTTCCTCATGGTCAAATACACTGAAATTGCAAGAAACAATTTTCCTTTAATATAAAAGATGTTGACATTTTCTGCTCCCTGGTTAGGATATACAACATGTTCTCTAAATTATATTATCTTTTGCCATTGATATAGTCCAATTTCAATGTATAAATACAATGGAAATATAGTACTAAGGCACACCTGTTTTCTGGGTACTTTTAGTTGAGCTTTCTCTGTGCTCCCACATTGCTTTGTTTTTACCATTATTATAGGATTAGTTGTGTGTAATTGTGGTTAGCTCTTTATATATTTTTTCTCTGCTATGAGATTAGGAACTCCACTTGGGCAGAAATATTATCTTATTGATTTTTATAACTAAGACTGTGCACAGCACTTGGCATATAGTAGTGTAACTCATAGTAATACAAATATGTGCGAAATTTCCATATCAGATTCGATTTTTGATTGTGTTGCTCTGGGGCTTCCAACCTATTACAGGAGCAATAACGGTCATTGTTTCTGGGAGAAAGGCAGACAGTAGCTAGAACAATAAAATCATGTCTCAGCTTTGACTGGTAGATAAGATTCTTGTGTCCCAAATAAGACAATAATCTTTAAAGACATTTTGGTCAGACCACAGGAGACGTTTTAAATTCTGCCAATTCTTAATACATGCCACACTCAAATTCAGCATTTAACTATCAGGCAAAGGTAGAAGATTACAGTCTCAGCCAACATCTAACTGCAACCAAATGAGACTGAGTGAGAACTCTGCTCAGTTCTTCCCATAATCCCTATCCATAAAGCCTGAGAAAAGCAAAACACTTGGGTTTTTTTCACACCAATAATTTGGGTAACTTGTTATGCCTCAAAAGGAACTATAATTAATTATAATTATATACATATAATTAGGATTATAATCTTAGGAAAATTGGGAATATATAATGGGAATTAACTAGTTAATCTTTTATTTAGGAGCTCTTCAAACATGTTTGTTAGTGAAATAATAGTATCATTTTCTGTTCTTGATTTGTTCTCATCTTAAAGTATTGCCTAGTATTTTCTTTCTATTTGAAAACTCCAGTTGGTTTTAATATAGTACTTATGCATGAATACTTCTGCATTAGTTTTTATTGCTATGCAGAAGTTTGCCATAAATTTAGCAGCTTAAAACAACATGAATTTATTATCTCACCATTTCAGTAGGTTAGGAGTTCTGCTTAGATGCCTGAGTCCTCCATTTAGTGGCTCAGGTGGCTAGAGATAAGATGTTGGCTTGGCTTAGTTCTTGTCTGGAAGTTCCAGGGAAAATCCAGTTCCAAACTCATTTTGGTTGTGGGAAGAATGTAGTTCCTGGTGATTACAGGACTGAGATCTCCTTTTTCTTGCTGGCTGTTGACCAGGGGGCCATTCCTAGCTCCTAGAGGCTGTTTGCCACTCCCTGCACCATGTGACCCTCTCTACAACTTGTTGGTGGCTTCTTCCATGCCAGCAGGAGTATGTCTCTATTTCAAAGTTCTGACTCCCCTTTTCTCTGTCCTCTGTACTCAGATTTAAGGGGCTCTTGTGATTAGACTAAGCCAGTTGGATAACATTCCTTTCTTAAAGTCAAGTATACCACCTGACATAACTCATCATAGCAGTAAAATATTTATACTCTGGGAAATTATGGCAGGTGTGTATGTAAGGGGCCCGAGATCTTGGGGCCATCTTAAAATTACCTACTTTAAGACTATTATGTTCTCAAATTTAAATGACAGTTTGGCTAGGTATAAAATTCTAAATATACAATTATTTTTATTTAATATCTTTAACATATTATTCCATTATCTTTCTACTACTAGTATTGCCGGAACAATTTGATGCAAATCTGAATATGCAGTATGGTTAGTCTGTTCTTGAAGCCTTTAGAATTTATCTTTAATTTTCTGCAATGTCACTCTAATGTGCACAGGTTTGGAGTTTTACTTGCCTCTCTTGTCTGATATTTCTCCTATTTAGGAACCCTTTCAATTAGTCTCTTATCTTTAACTTTACGGAAATTATTTCAATTATTTCTTCAATTACTTCCTCTTTTCATTTTTGTTTTTTCCTCTGGAATTTCTATCTCCTGGATATTCCAATTTCTATTTCTATTCTCCATACCCTTATACTTAAAAAAAACTTTTAAATATATTATTAGCTGGTGCTTTCTCGGAGAATTCCTTGGTTTGATGTTTAACACAGTAATTTCTTTGTCTTTTTTTTTTAATCTATCTGACTATTTATTCAAATTATTGTGGTCTTTATTTAAAAAAACTTTTTATTGCTTACCTTTCTCATTTTTTTCTATTTTTAAAAGTAATTTTAATTCTTGTTTCATATGGTTAATTTTTTCCTTTATACCCTTAGTGAAAATTACCAATATTATTATAAAATTTTAGTCAATCTATTCCAAGATTTCTTTTTTACACAGCATATGTTGCCCAGTTTGTTTTCTTCCTTTTGATGTAGTTGTACTTGTTAGGTTTCTAGATTTAGCCTGTGAGCTTAGTGTGTGTGTGTGTGTGTGTGTGTGTGTGTGTGTGTGTGCGCGCGCGTGTGCGCACATTTGTGATCTTCTACTTTGGTAATGTAATTGGGTAGTTGCCAGAATTGAACCCTGGTCTGTGTCAGTCCTGTGGTTTTAAGGAAAAGGTAAGAGGGAAAGCATACCACCTGCACAAAAGAACTGGAAGCCTTCTAGACCTCTCCCACTTGCTGCTACCCCAAAAGGAAACTGCCCTTATCAAGGTTTTATTTTTATACCTTTAGAAAGAAACAGAATGGACAAGCAGAATTCTCTTTGTTTATAATTCGCCATCTCTGCATGCTCATAATGGAAGGGTGTAGAGAGGTTCATTCTCCATCTCAATTATTTCTGCACTGGTCTAAACCCATATTTTAAAAAGTTATTATACTTCTTTCATTATCAATAGGCAACCTTAAAATAGAAAACCTATTTCTTTGGTTTGCATTACTACTCCTAAATGAAACTGACTTAGATGGAAGCAATAGTAATTAAACTCATACTCATATTCAAAGGAGTCATGTTAGTCTTCAAAATGCTATAAATTGATCATATTAATCATTTTTATTTATATCATAACAAATTTTATGAAGATATTAGTAATACTCTTAATATCTTTAGATGAAACCATTATATTGATAGGATGCTGTTACCTATAAGTGACTGAATAACCATCTAGAAATGTCTTAAGCAAAATGACCTTTATTATGTGACACATATCTGGACATTTAGCACAGGGGAGTTCCAGGTCTGCAGTGTAATAATGTTACTGTCTTGATCACTTTGGACCATAACAAAGCACCATAGACTAGGTGCCTTATATATGTGACATAAATTTATTTCTTACAGTTCTGGAGGCTGGAAATCCAAGATCAGGGAACTATTGAAATAGCATCATTGAGTTAAGTGAGGATCCTCTTCCAGGTTGTAGACTTCATTGTATTTTCACATGATAGAATGAGAGCTAGCTAGTTCTATGGCTTCTTCTTATAAGAGCACCAATCCCATTCATAGGAGTCTAGTTACCTCCCAAAAGCCCCACCTAAAATACTATCACATTGAAATTAAGCTTTCAACAAGTAAACTTCGTGGGGAGAAAAACATTCATTATGTAACAGTAATCAAGTACTCAAGTTTTTCATTTTTGTACTTTGCCCTGCTCAGTGATTTGAATTTTAGGCTCAGCTTGCTTGCCCATACCTACAGGGTGACTGTTGCAGCTCAAGGCATCATGTCTCTACACGGCAGCATCCAAAGACAGAAAGAAGTAGTTTTTGAACTGCTCGTGTGTGTTTCTTTTTGTCAGGAAGAAAAACTTTCCAGAATTTCCCTGATTCTTCTGGCAAGGACCAAGTAATATCCCCAAATTCAACAAAAACAACTAAAGCAATTTTCTATAATTTTCTAGAATATTTACTTTCTGTTGTAGAAAGCAGGCTTTTCCAGCCAAGAAGATGAAGATATGGGACCAGAGTAGGATACAGATGACTTTTGGTTTGGAAACCAGCAGTGTTTGCCAAGCAAAGTATTAGAAAGACAATATAGGCATATAAAGATTATTATCCTCATTTTAGAGGTGAGAAATTAAGACATAGCACTTACTGTACTGAAATGCTATGACTATTAAAAATAAAGTACCTTTCAGGCACTGAGCAAAATATTAGGTTAGATAGCTCCCAGTGGGCCTCTCATGGCCATTTATTACTTTAGTGAGACTATGTAGTGATTTGGATCCATCTCTCAGTGTCAGGCTCCTATTAATTGAACACTCAAAACTGATATATTGATTCTGTTACCCTGTTTATCAATGTATAAAGTGTAATATAGTATTCATATGAAATGAAGTCACTGTACTTATAAGACAAGTGCATTTTTTTTCTCAATTAGTAGACTTAAAAGGGGGAAACAAAACTGAATTGGAAAATTGTTTTTCAAGCACAGAATCAACAAAGGAGACTAGCTGACAAATCAAATGAATAGGATCAACGCAATATTGGGATCAGAATAACTTAAAGCCTGTTAACTAATGCTTCTCCAACTCTGGAGACTGCTTGGATAGGCACTAACAATGTTTAACTCTCATGCTTCTTTAAAAATTTGGCTCCCAACTCTCATTCACAGGTCTTCAGAGCTACAGACACTTGAACAGTTATTTACAGATGTTTTTCAGTGAGATTAAATTATTATTTGCAATAAATATTTACTTTAAAATAGTAACTATAATACTTTAGATAAGGTAGTATGGCAAATGCATTCTCAAACTGTTCATTTAAAGAAAATGAGATGATGTCACCAAGATGGTGGAATGAGAAGATAACCTGTTCATAGCCCCCCATAACAAGAATTCTGCACCCATCCATAGTCAAACTTCTCTCTGCTGGAGCCTCAGGGTTTAGAAGGGAGTTTATAAAAACCCCAGTTGAGCCCAAGACCTTGGAAGGCCCTTTTGAGAGAGCAGATCCTGAGAGGGCCCAGTCTCATCTCTGGCCCTTCTCACTAGAATCAGAGAACTTTTTCAGCTATGCTGAGATCTGCTGGGAGATGCGTCCCTGTCTAAGTCAATGAAATAAGCACTGCAACCTCTTTTTTACAACAGATCCTTTGGGGGCCTGGTCTCAACTCCAAACCTTCTCATTATAGCAGGGAGGGACACATCCCACCTGTCCATAGACCTGCTGGGAGGCACACCTGTCTGAGCCACTGGGATAGTCTTCTGGACTTAAGTTTCTGGCCAGTACTCTCACATAGCACCAGTATCCTTTTTGGGTCTTCCCTAGGTATGTCTGGGCTGAAAAGCCGCGTCTACCTCAGAGTCCCCATGTGATTCGTGGCAAGCCCGGGCTTAGAGCATTTTCTAGTGCTGTGATAACTGCAATGGTCACAGGATCACAGGACTCAACAGTCAATCTGGAGGGCCTCCAGGGATTGTTATGAGGGGCTATAAGCATGTTACCTTCTTTGGCTTTCAGTAAAAAGCCAGGCTGAAAAAAACTAAAATAAATACCTAATCCCTCAGTGCACATATATCATTGCCCATCCATAAGCATCAGGAATATTCAGTGAAATATGACTCACCAAATATGACTCACCAAAAAATAAGATTGAGAGACCAGTCCTAAAGTGATGGAGACATGTGATCTCTTACACAAAGAATTCAAAATAGTGGTTTTTAAGGAAGTTCAATGAACTTCAAGAAAACAGATAATTAATTCAGAAATTTATCGGATAAATTTAACAGAAAAATAGAAATAATTTATTAGAAATCAAACAAATCCTGGAGCAGAAAAATAGAATTAATGAAATTAAAAATGCAATAAAGAGCATCAACAGCAGAATTGATGAAACAGAAGAATGAATTAGTGAGATCAAACACACAATATTTTAAAATGGACACTCAGAGGAGAAAAAAGAAAAAGCAACAAAGAAAGCTTACAGGATATTTGTGGCAACATCAAAAGGGCAAATATTTAGGTTATTACAGTAAAAGAAGAAACTGAAAGACAAAGGGATAAAAAGTTTATTCAAATAAATAATAACAGAAAACATTTCAAACCTGAAGAAAAATATAAATATTCAGGTAGAGGAAAGTTAGAGGTCACCAATCAGATTCAACCCAAATAAGAATACCTCAAGACATATTATAATAAAACTCTCAAAGTTCAAAGACAAAAGAGCATCCTGAGAGCAGTGAGAGAAAAGTAACAATTACTATCTAAGGGAGATCCCATATGCCTGGCAACAGAATTCTCAGCAAAAACCTTACAGGACAGGAGAGAGTAGGGCAATATTAGAGTGCTGCAGGAAGAAACCTGCCAACCAATAATATTCTATTTTGCAAAGCTATGTTTCATAAATGAGGGCAAGATAAAAATGCTCACAGACAAACAAAAGCTGAGAAATTTTATTGTAACCAGACTCGTCCTATAAGAAATGTTACAGGGAGTTCTACAAATCAAAAGAAGAGGACACTACCATGATTGTTACACTAACATTGTAATTGAGGTGTGTAAAACACTTATATCTATATTAAGAAGACTAAAAGATAAAACTATTAAAAAATAATAGCTGCAAAAATTTGTTAAGAGATCAGAAATATTATAAAAATGCAAATTATGGCATCCAAAATTCAAAATGTGGAGTAAGAAAGGTGTTAATACATAAAAAATTTATTTGTGTTTATGTTTCTCTTTTTTTGTAATAAATGTTCACGTCAGTTTTAAATACCTTGTTATAACGAAGTGTTTTAGTATACCTCATGGTTACCACAAAGCAAAAATCTATAATAGACACAGTAAAAACAAAAAACAACAACTTAAAATAGACTACCAGAGAAAATCACTTAACCACAAAGGACTATGGTAAAAAAGGAAGAAGGAGGAAAGGAGTCACAAAACAACTAAAAAACAAGTAACCAAAATGGCAGTAGTAAGTCTTTACCTATCAATAATATTGTTGCGTGCAAATGGGCTGCATTCTTTCATTAACAAACAGAGTGGCTGAATAGATTAAAAAGCAAGACCCAACTATATACTGCCTACAAGAAACTTACTTCACCTATAAAAACACACATAAACTAAAAGTGAAAGTATGGGAAAAGATATCTTACACAAACGGAAGCCAAAAATAGCAGGAATATTCATACTTATATCACATGAAATAGACTATAAGTCACAAGCTGTAAAAGGAGACACAGAAGGTCATTATATAATGATAACAGAGTCATTTCAGCAAAAGGATATAAGAGTAGTAAATATATAAGCACCCAATACCAAAGCACCCAAATATATAAAGCAAATATTAATAGTTCTAAAAGAAAAGATAGATTACAATAAAATAACAGTAGAGGACTTTAACACCCACTTTCAGCAATGGACCGATCTATGCAGAAAATCAACAAAGAAACACTGAAGTTAAACTATGCTAGACCAACTAGACCTAACATTTACAGACCATTTCATCCAACTGCTGCAGAATACACATTTTTCTAATCAGCATATGAAACATGTTCAAAGGTAGAACATATATTAGGCCACAAAACAAGACTCAACAAATTCAAAAAAGTTGAAATAATATCAGATATCTTTAGTTACCACAATAGAATAAAACTAGAAATCAATAACAAGAGAAACTTTGAAAACTGTACTAATACGTGGGAAATTTAAAAACATGCTCCAAATGGCCAATAGATCAATTAAGAAAGTAAGAAAATAAAATTAAACATTTTGCTCAAACAAATGAATATAGAAACAACATCTATAGGATACAGCAAAAAGAGTACTAAGGGGAAAATTATAGTAATGAACATTTACATCAAAAAAGGAAAGACTTCAGGCAAGCAACCTAACAATGCACCTCAAAGAACTAGAAAAGCAAGAATAAACCAAACTTAAAATTAATAGAAGGAAAAAATAAAGATTAGAGAAGAAATAATTAAAATTAAGACTAAAAAATTATAAAAGGTCAATGAAACAAAAAGTTGATTTTTTGAAAGGATTAACAAAATTGTCAAAACTTTAGCTAGACTAAGAAAAAAAATAGAGAAAACCTAAATAAATAAAATCAGGGGTGAAAAGGAAACATTACTATAGAATGACACCACAGAAATACAAAGGATCTTTTTAGTATTTATGCTATACCGCAACAGACTGTAAAACCTAGAATACATGAATTAATTTCTAGGTAAATACAACCTACCAAGATTGAATGATGAAGAAATAGAAAAGCTGAACAGAAAAATAGTGAGTACAAGTAATTCAATTTTAAAAATGGGCAAAAGACCTAAATAGACACTACTCAAGATAAGACATACAACGGCCCACAGATGTATGAGAAAATGCTCAACATCACTAATCATCAGAGAAATTCAAATCAAAACCACGAGATATCATCTTACTGAAGTTAAAATGACTAGTATCAGAAAGATAACAAGTCGGCGAGTATCTGGAGAAATAGAAACCTTTGGTATTCTGTTGGTAGAAACATAAGTTAGTACAACCATGATAGAAAACTGTATGGTGGTTCCTCAAAAAATCAAACATAGAACTACCAAAGGATCCAGCAATCCTGTAACTGAGTATATATCTAAAGTATGGTCATTTTCACAATATTGACTATACCCATCCATGAGCATTGGATGTGTTTCTATTTGTTTGTATTGTCTCTGATTTCCTTCAGCAGCATTTTTTAGTTTTCCTTGTAGAGGTTTTCCATGTCCTTGGTTAGGTATATTTCTGAGTATTATAATATTTTTGTGGCCATTGTAAAAGGGGTTGAGTTCTTAATTTGATTCTCAGGTTGGTTGCTGTTGGTGTATAGGAGAACTATTGATTTGTGTACTTAATTTTGTATCCTGAAACTTTGCTGAATTCATTTACCAGTGCTAGGAGCTTTTTGGATGAGTCTTTAGAGTTTTCTAGGTATACGATCATATCATCAACAAACAGTGACAGTTTGACTTCCTCTTTTCTGATTTGGATGCCCTTTATTTTTTTCTCTTGTCTGATTGCTCTGGCTAGGACTTCCAGTACTATGTTGAACAGAAGTGGTGAGAGTTGGGAATCCTTGTCTTGTTCCAGTTCTCAGAGAGAATGTTTTCAACTATTTCTGTTCAGTATAATGTTGGCTTGGGTTTGTTATAGATGGCTTTTATTACCTAAGTTATGTTCCTTCTATACCAATTTTGTTGAGGGTTTTAATCATAAACAGATGCTGGATTTTGTCAAATGTTTTTTTTTTTCCTGCATCTATTGAGATGATCATGTGTTTTTTTAATTGTTTATGTGGTATATCACATTTACTGACTTACATATGCTAAATCACCCCTGCATCCCTGGTATGAAACCCACTTAATCATGGTGGGTTATCTTTTTGACATGCTTTTGGATTCAGTTTGCTAGTATTTTGTTGAGGATTTTTGCATCTATGTTCATCAGGGATATTGGTCTGTGGTTTTCTTTTTTTCTTATATTCTTCCATGGTTTTGGTATTAGGGTGATACTGGCTTCACAGAATTATTTCTGCTTATTTTAGGGAGGATCTTCTATCTTTTGAAATAATGTCAATAGGATTGGTGCCAATTCTTCTTTGAATATCTGATAGAATTCAGTTGTGAATCTGTCTAGTCTTGTACTTTTTTATTGGCATATTTTTTATTACCATTTCCTTCTTGGTGCTTGTTATTGGTCTATTCAGACATTGTGTATCTCCCTGGTTTAATCTAGCAGGGTTGTATATTTCCAGGAACGTATCCATCTTCTCTAGGTTTTCTAGTTTATGTGCATAAAGGTGTTTGTAGTAGCCTTAAATGACCTTTAGTATTTCTGTGGCATCCATTGTAATATCTCTCATTTCGTTTCTAATTGAGCTTATTTGGATCTTCTCTCCACTTTTCTTGGTCTATCTTGGAGCATGTTCCATGTGCTGATGAAGAGAATGTATATTCTGCAGTTGTTGGGTAGAATGTTCTGTAAATATCTGTTAAGTCCATTTGTTGTAGGGTATAGTTTAAGTCCATTGTTTCTTTGTTGACTTTCTGTCTTAATGACCTATCTAGTGCTCTCAGTGGAGTATTAAAGTTCCCCACTATTATTGTGTTCTCATCTATCTCATTTCTTAGGTCTAGTAGTAATTGTTTTATAAATGTGGGAGCTCCAGTGTTAGGTGCATGTATATTTAGAATTGTGATATTTTCCTGTTGGACTAGTCCTTTTGTCATTATATAATGTTCGTCTTTGTCTTTTTTAACTGCTGTTACTTTAAAGTTTCTTCTTTCTTACATAAGAATAGCTACTCCTGCTCTCTTTTGGTGTCCATTTGCATGGAATATTTTTTTCCACCCCTTTATCTTAAGTTTATGTGAGTCTTTATGTGTTAGGTAAGTCTGCAGAAACTTGGTCAGTGAATTCTTATCCATTCTGCCATTCAGCGTCTTTTAAGTGGAGCATTTAGGCCATTTACATTCAATGTTAGTATTGAGATGTGAGGTACTATTCTATTCATCATACTATTTGTTGCCTGAATATCCTGTGTTTTTTCCATTGTATTATTGTTACACAGGTCCTGTGAGATTCATGCTTGAAGGAGGTTCTATTTTGGTGTATTTCAAAAATTTATTTCAAAATTTAGGGCTCCTTTTATAAATAGCATTCTTATAGTGCTGGCTTGGTAGTGGTGAATTCTCTCAGCATTTGTTTTCTGAAAAATACTCTATCTTTCCTTTATTTATGAAGCTTAGTTTCCCTGGATACAAAATTCTTGGCTGATAATCTTTTTTTCTAAGGAAGCTAAAAATAGGACCCCAATCCCTTCTATCTTGTAGGGTTTCTTCTGAAAAATCTGCTGTTAATTTGATAGATTTTCCTTTATAGGTTACCTGATGCTTTTGCCTAACAGCTCTTAAAATTCTTTCCTTTATCTTGATTTTAGATGACCTGATGACTACATGCCTAGGCAATGATCTTTTTGTAATGAATTTCCAGGTGTTCTTCGAGCTTTTTGTATTTGGATGTCTAGATCTCTAGCAAGGCTGGGGAACTTTTCCCCAATTATTCCCTCAAATAGATTTTCCAAACTTTTAGCTCTCTCTTCTTCCTTGGGAATACCAATTATTATTAAGTTTGGACATTTAACATCATCCCAAACTTCTTGGAGGCTTTGATCATTTTTTAAATTCTTTTTTCCTTGTCTTTGATGGGTTGGGTTAATTCAAAAGCCTTGTCTTTGAGCTCGAAGTTCTTTATTCTGCTTGTTTGCGTCTATTGCTGAGACTTTCCAGTGCATTTTGCATTTCTCTTGTGGCAGTCCAGATCTCACTCACAACTGTTTCAGTACTGACTAAACGGTTAAGTTAAATATTAAAAGTCAGTGCCCTTATACAAAGGCTGGGATGTAACAAAAGTCCACCAAGAATTCTGCCTAGGCCTTTCCTGGGCCTTAAACCACGACAAAATAAAAAAGGAATTCTTAACAGAACCCATTTAGGATTAAACAAGTTGTACTGTCAGTCTGAAGAAACTCCCCAGGCCTCCACAAACAAGTTTATTGGGAATCTAAAGGAACTGTTCAAACCTCTGTGATTTAGCAAGACACAAAATAAGGGTAATCAGCCCAGCATCTGAACCAACTTAAATGAGATAAATTTACTGAGGCTTCAGAGGAAGGTCTTCAGGACTCAGACCTTAGTTATAGATTAAGTTAATCACTTATGTCTTTAGATAAATGCACACTTGCATGTAAACGTATAGCTTAGAAGGTATGTAAGCTCTGGAAAACTTTGTAATTTTAGGTTGGTCTGGCAATAATTTCCAGGCTTTCTCCCTGTAAGCAGTTACAAAACTAAAAACTCTCTTCCTCCCCAGTTCATCTGCATCTTGATATTGGGCCACAAGAAAGAGCAGCCCAGCCGTCAGTTTGGTCCAGGAACACTATGAGTGTGTCCTTGATTTCCAGAAGTTGTGATTGTTTTTTATTTATGCTCTTTATTTCACTGAAGAATTTTCCTTTCATATCTTGTATCATGTTTTTTATTTCTTTAAGTTGGACTTCACCTTTCTCTGGTGCCTCCTTGATTAGCTTAATAATCAACCATTTGAATTCTTCTTCTGGCAATTCAGAAATTTCATCTCGGTTTGGATCCATTGTGGTGAGCTGGTATGATCTTTTGGGGGAAGAAGAACCACGTTTTGTCATATTACCAGAATTGTTTTTCTGGTTCGTTCTTATTTGGGTAGATTATGTCTGAGGGAAGATCTGGGATTCAAGGGCTGCTGTTTACATTCTTTTGTCCCACAGGGTGCTCCCTTGATATATTATTCTACCCCTTCTCCTAGGACTGGGGCATCCTGAGAGCCAAACTATAGTGATTGTTTTTGCTCTTTTGTGCCTGGCCACCCAGCGGAGCTCCTGGGCACTGGGCTGGTACTGGAGAGTGTCTGCAAAGAGTCCTGTGATGTGACCCATCTTCAGGTCTTGAAGCTGTAGATACCAGCAGCTGCTCCAGTGGAGGTGGCAGAGGAGTGAAGTAGACTCTGTGAGGGTCCTTGGTTGTGTTTTTGTTTAGTGCACTGGTTTTGTGTTGTTGGCCTTCACCCAGGAGGTGGTGCTTTCAGAATGCATCAGCTTTATATCAGGTCCTATAGGGAGGATGCAAACTTGCCCTAAGGACACCAGGTTAAGTATTCAGGTTTCTCTGGTGTTGGGCGGGCCATAGAGCTCCCAAGAGATTATGACCTTTGTCTTCAGCTACCAGGGTGGGTAGAGAAAGACCATCAGTTGGGGCAGGGATAAGAATTTCTGAGCTCAGCCTCTCCTTGGGCAGGGCTTGCTGTGGCTGCTGTGGGGAATGGAGGTGTAGTTCCCAGTTTAATGGAGTTACATTCCCAGGGGGATTATGGCTGCCTCTGCTGAGTCATACAGGTCACCAGTGAAATGGGAGAAAGCTGGCAGTCACAGGCCTTACTCTATTCCCACACAGCCTGCAGTCCTAAAGGCTGGTCTCACTTTCACCATGCCCCCTTCCCCCAATAACACTGAGTCTATTTCCAGGCAGCCAGTGACCAGGGCTTAGAACCTGCCCCAGACCACAAGCCTCCTCATTAAGAAAGCAAGCAGACTCACAATTTTTCAGCATCTCAGGAAGCTTGCAGAGGTGATCCAGTTCCTTCAAAGCGCCTGTGGATTCTTTCTGCTTTCCTGGTATGTTCCTGCAGTAGTTACTGGTGCAAAAGTTCATGATGTGAGTCTTCACATGCTGCTCTATCCATCTGAGCTGTAGCTGCAAGCTAGTCCTGCTTCCTGTCTGCCATCTTACCTAGAAGAGAAGATTTTGAATGTTCGGACTATAAAGAAATAATAAATGCTTGAGGTGATGGATATGCTCATTACCCCAAATGTGATCATTACACAATGTTTACATGTATTGAAACATCACATTGTACCCCATAAGTATGTACAATTATCATGAGTCAATTAAGATAAAAGAAAGAAGGAAAGAAAGAAAAAAAAGAAAGAAGAAAGAAAAGAGAAAGAAAAAGAAAGAAAGAGAAAGGAAGAAAGAAAGAAAGAAAGAAAGAAAGAAAGAAAGAAAGAAAGAAAGAAAGAAAGAAAAAGAAAGAGAAAGAAAGAAAAAGAAAGAAAAGAAAGAAAGAAAGAAAGAAAGAAAGAAAGAAAGAAAGAAAGAAAGAAAGAAAGAGAAAGAAAGAAAGAGAAAAAAGAAAAGAGAGAGAATTGGTGGATCACAATATAGACGCATGGATAACTTTAGAAAACAGCTGATAAATTTATTCCCAAAGTGGGTGTCTTTTCTATTCTCTCACCAGTGATATACAATGTTTCCAGTAATCTACATTTTCATCAAGACTTGACATGGTCAGTCTTTTATTATTTGTTTGTTTTATTATCTTACTGCATTGGCTAAAATAATCTATTCAATATTGAATAAAAGTGAGCTCCCTTGCCTTGTTCCAGAAATGATGGTTATACTGTTCAATATGTCACCATTAAGCACAATTCTAGCTGTATGTTATTTTCTTTGTAAAATTGAGAAAGTTCTCCTCTATTACTAGTTTGTTGAGAGTTTGTTAATCAAACTTGAATTTTATTAAATGCTTTTTCTGCACTTATTGAGATAAACATTTAGCTTTTCCCGTTTATTCAGTTAATGTGATAGTGAATTATATTGATTAGTTTTTGTATGTTAAGGCAAACACACAATTTTTTAGATAATCACTTCCCAATAAAACCCATGAAGTATTGTCCTTGCACTTACTATCTCCTAAAAAGGTATAAAGCAGTGTACAAACTACTTTAATTGGCATTACAAAGAATGGAATAGGTATATTTTATAATTTCCCCAATTAGATTTTTAATTCCTTGATGTAATAATGAAAAAAATACTTGAACTGCAGATTTGTAGTAACACATTGTCATGGCTCTGCTAATTTTCAGTTGTTTTATTTTGGACAAGTCAATGAATGTCTTTACATTTATTTTTATTAATCTGTAAGTTGAGGGAGGTAAAGGCATGAATTCCAAATTCTCACATAGTTCATGATTATTGTGATATTTGTAATCCTTAAATTCTACAATAAATTGAACTGAGATTTTTGTGTATTAAACAACAATAACAATAACTTGTTTCCTGTGAATTTATGAAATACAGCTGCTCTTTCCCAAGTGATCCTCATGTGTGGTATTATTAGAATTATGTATTAGACATTTCTGCTTAATGAATTTTCACTGGCATATCTGAAATTATGTGAAGATGAATGTCTCGTTTATATTTCAATTTGATGCCTCTAATTAATTTTTACTCTATATTGATATATATTTGTTGAATGTTTAATTTGTTGGCAGAAATTGCTAAAACATCTAGAGTCACATTAAAAACTTCTGGAACCTGAAGTACTTGGGACATCATATCAAATCAATTTAAATACTTTTTGGAGAAAGTCTGTCTCTTTATTTAATAGATAATGTCCTTGATTTTGTATTTGAAGTCTTTATAATGTAACAATTGGGAACACATATTCCAGCCAAACAGCTGGGGCAAAATTCCTTTCTTTGCTATTTATTAGCTGTGTAACCTTAAGGATGTTGCTCTACTTCCCTTTATTTTTCTTTAAGATGAGGATAACACCACCTCATTTTCTAGGAGTGTTTTTGAGATTTAGATGACATGGGAGAGGCTTTACATGGTGTATTACTCAGGGTCCTTGAGGGAAACTAAACCAGTATGTTACACATTTATTTATTATGAGAATTGGCTCATACAATTATAGAGGCTGAAAGGTCCCACAGTCTGTTATCTGCATGCTAGAAAATGAGGGAAGTTGGTGGTGTAATTTAATCATAGTTCAAAGATCTAAGAACCTCAGAGGTGGTGGGACAACAATGATGTATGTCCCTAACCATGCCCAGCGACCTGAGAACAAGGACCATCAATGTCTGAGGGCAGAAAAAGATGGATGTCCTCATTCTCCACATGCTTGTTCTACTTGGGCCCTCGGTGGACTGGATGATGTCCACCCACATAGATAGGGGCAGATCTTCATTAATAAGTCTACTGCTTCAAATGCTAATTTCTTCTGAAAAGACCCTCACTGACACCCAGAAATAGTGTTTAACTGCCTGAGTATCCCTTAGCCCAGTCTAGTCGACACATAAAATTAAACATCACACATAGTTTTGAGCAAAAGAGTGAAATGATAAGATACATGTTCTTGAAATATCTCTCCAACTTCTACATTGACAGCAGACTATCGAGGGTCAACAGTAGAAGCCAGAAGACTTGTTAAGAAGCTATGGAAGTAATCCAGGTGAGAAATGTTGATGACCTGAATCATGACAGCAGTAGAGGTGTTAAGAAATTTTGGATCCTGATTATGTTTTTAAGCTAAATGCAAGATTTGCTGAGAAAAATAGAAGAATCAAGAATAAATCCAAGTTTCTTTGGACTGGACAGCTGGAAGGATGGTTTTACTGTTAAATGAGCTAGTGAATGGAGCAGGTTTGAGATAAGGCCAAGAAAAGGAGTTCTGTCTGAACATGTTGAGTTTCAGATGACTATTGGACATCAAGGTGGAAATGTTAAGTACTTAGATATGATATGAAGTTCAGAAGAGGAACTTGTGTTAGATATACGAATTTATGGGTCATTAACATAGAGGTTATATATAAAGCCAGAGAGTCACTGATAGAGAGTGGAAGAGAACAAGGACTGACTAACCTGCAGCACTTCAAATGTAAAAGTGCAGAAAAGAAGCGTAACTAAGAAAAGAGATTGAGAAGGAATGACCTGTGATTCAGGAAAAAAAAAATTACAGATGTGTTGAGCTAGAATCAAGAATAGAAAATGTTTCCAGGAGAGGGGAGAGAACTACGTGTCAGATCTACTGAAAGCTCCAATAAAAAGGAAACTAATTGATCATTCGGTTTAATGATGTGGAGGTCAGTGGCAACTGAGTTCATTTTGGTTCCCATAGCAGCAGATTCTAAACAAGAATTTGAGAGGAAGGAGCTTGTTTGAGAGGTGTAGGAACAGCAATAGTAGATTCAAAAAATGATATAAGGAAGGCAGCCCATAAGTGTATGTCATTAAGCCATAGTTGACAACTGGAGCTTATTCCTACAAGACTCTAAGAAATGGCATAAAACACAATTCAGAGTTGTTCCACACAAAGAGCAAGGGAGAGGTGGTATTTTATATTGACGAATTTAGTTGGCACTGCTGGGGAAGGGTGTGGGCGGTGTTAATTCCGTGATATTTACAGCTCTTTCCTTGCATGAATGTGACTTTCTGAGAATCTGGAAAGAGCTCTCAGGCAGCGATACTGATCCTCGTACTTTTCAAGTTGAGCTGGAGCACAGTGGATGGTTAAGATCTGAAGGGAATGAGTGGGGCACTACCGCAACTTTGACAAGAACGCTCTTGCTGGAATGGTGACTATGGGGAAAGTCAGACTGGAGTGTGCTTGAGAGTGGCAGGAGAGGAATCAAAAACACAAGTTAAAAACAACTCTTTCAAGAGTTATTCTACCAAAAATGAGCAGAGAAAGTGCGGCAGCTCATGGAGAGGTTGGGCTGAGAGAAGCTTTAAAAAAGTGATAGCAATCGTAACATTTTAACTGATGACATTGCTCTAGTAGAAAGCAAGAAACATGGTTTAGAGACGAGTGAGAATTACAGCAGTGATGCCTTGAGTAAAACAGAATGGATTCTGACCCACAAATGAAGAAATTGGCTTTAGGCAGGAGCAGACAGGGAGGTAGAAGAAGAGAGTGCAGATGTCTGCAGGTGTGTCCCTTGGGGGAAGAATTCTGCAGAGCTCATCTGATTGCTTCATTTTTCTTAGTGAAACAGAGAGCAAGGCCATCAGCTGAGAGTAAAGGTGGATGAAGCAGTATTTGGAGTTTCAGGAGAAAGAAAGTACAACACAGTGAAAATTTTATTTTCAACGTAATATTTTATTTCTAAAATAGTGAAAGATCTGGCAGATAAAGGGCCCATTTGTGATTCATGGTTATGAGCTGTAAAGTAAAATATTTCAACATGATTACATGTTTGTTTGTTGGTTTATTTCCAGCCGTGATCAGCTGCCAAAACAAAGGAATAGAAATGGAAGAGTTAGAGGCAGTGTTATGCTAGAGCTGTCCCTTAGCGAGCTGATTTTAAAGCTTGAAATCGGCCATGGTGAGTATTCATACCAGAGAAATAGGTAAATGCTACAGATCAGGGATTTTTTTTTTTTTTAATAACAGCACACCAGTACAGTACTGCCTACAGGTTACACACAAAGCCTATTCTGTGCTTTCTCTTCATTCCATCTTTATGAAAAATCTTCTTAAAGGATTAATACTCAAGGGTGGAAAGGTGGAGACAGTTTATGTTCACTAACTGACTTCTATTAACTTATGCACAACCAAAATCATCAAAATTTTTATATAAAATCTTTATATCTTAAAATTTGATATATTAGGTCCTAATCCCTGGAACCTTTATGGGCAGATGCAGGAACAAAGGAATATTTACACAAATATTTCTAGCAAGAAATGTCATTCCACAGTAGAAATAAAAAATAACGAGATATCCTGGTGAACCTTTTGTTTTATTTTACCACTCCATAATCTTCTCACTCTCCTAATCAGTCAGCATTCCCTAAGGATGCTCCTAAGCAGGGGATCTTACTATATGATTGCTACATATCTCAGTGCTTTGCAATTTAAAAATAACTCCCACTGAAGAACGCATGCAGTAAAGCAAGGAAGAAGGTTGATATTATTATAGGAATAACCTGAAAACTACTCCACTCTTCAATGCAAATGATTTGTATACTCTAGTAGTTTTATTATGAATGATTTACTATATCCCAAATCAAAGGTATGTCCACTGGAGCTGAGGATCTTTGCTGTAGTATATAGCTTTTCATGTCAAGGTCATCAGTGTGAGCTATTACAATGCCTTGAAGGAGCTTTTGTGCTTTGAAAGGATTATGCCCAATTACTTAATTTTTTAATTAATATAACTTTATTAAAGTTGTAATTATAAAGGAAACAAGCTTCTCTTAAGCTTTTAACTAACAAATCTTATTCTACTATTTATAAAAACTAATAAACAAGAATTATTTTCTCTTTTTCTTTGGTGAATGTTCAATTAATTCAAGTTGAATAGACTAAATTACTTTAAATAATCCCATTGACAAATTTAGTAAATTACACTTTCTAAAATATGTGGGACTATACTTAGATATTTAATATGTTTGTTTTTTTAAGCATTTAAAAAACTCTCTGACAACTCAAATTCAAAGCCCTAACAAGAAAAATCCAGTTTTGCATTTAAAATAGTCTTGCAAATATCATAAACTTTAAAATAGATCGTATCTCAAATTTTCATGTTTTCACAAACTTAGTAAAATTTTCAGGTATATTTTTAGCTTAAAAGCACAATTCCAGAACCCATGACAGTTTTTATTATATGTTCAGATCCTTTTATATACCAAATTCTTTTTTTATTCTTTATGTTTTTTAGAGAGACAAGGTCTTGCTATGTTCGCCAGGTTGGTCTGGAACTCTTGGCCTTAACCAATCCTCCCTCTTTGGCCTCCCAAAGTGCCAGGATTACAGGTGTGAGCCACTGTGCCTGGCCTAATATACCAGATTTTATTAAACATTACAAATTCATTAAATACCACATATATTAAACAGTCCCTATAATTTAAAAGTTTATTCCAGACCTTTAACTAAAAGTATAAATGATGTTGGGTTCATATATTTCATGATCTCTGAATTGAATTTAAATTTTTCTGTGATTGATAAAATACTCATCAAGGGAAGCAAATTTACCATTTCTGGGGAAGTGAGGATGACAATTCATGATAATGATGTGATTACCTAAGAGTTAGAGCCCAGGAACAAACCCAAGGGCCATATACATACAGAGTGAAAATTTGAACCTTAAATGGACACGTTTAGTCCTTCTTTATATTCACTATAAGGTAAAGGTCTTTAAATCCACATTCATATTCACTTCTTTCACCTGGTTTCTGTTGACTAAAGTCTGTATCCTCTGTGGTTTTACCTAACTTTTTTCAGCTAACTTACTAAGTTTAATCTGAATTAAATTGTATAATATTTCCAATTTTGGCAGTATGTGTAACTAGAGATATTAAGTTATATTAATGGCTTTATCTTGTCTATGTGTCCATTTATTCTCATTCCATAGACTCCTTGTTATCTTCCATATTTTGGTGTCCTTCTTTTTTTTTTTTTTTTGAGACAGAGTCTCACTGTCACTCAGCAGTGCAGTGGTGCAATCATAGCTCACTGAAGCCTGGAGCTCCCAGGCTCAGATGATCCTCTCACCTCAGCCTCCCAAATAGCTGGGACTACAGGTATGCATCATCATGGCTGGCTGTTTTTTCTGTATATTTTGTAGAGACAGTCTCACTATGTTGCCCAAGCTGGTCTTGAACTTCTAGACCCAAGTGTTCCACCCTCCCCAGCAGCCCAAAATGCTGGGAATACAGGCATGAGCCACTATGCCCAGCCAATGGTCTCATATTTTGAATACAACTTTATTGTCAGCCAATACCAAAGCTCAATGTTGAATATATGTCAGAGAGATGGCCTTGTAAACCCAAATTTTATCATTTTATTTGCCTATCTTTAGTACCTCATGTAAATGGAATCATATAATATTTGTCCTTTTGTGTCTGACTTATTTCACTTAGTATAATGTTCCAGTGTTCATCCATGTTGTAGTATGTATCATACTTCCGTTGATTTTCAAGGCTGAATAGTATTCCACTGTGTGTATATAGCACATTTTCTTTATGCATTCATCTGTTGATGGACGTTTGGATTGTTTCCATCTTTTAGCTATTGTGATTAACACTGCTATGAACACCAATGGACAAGTACCTGTTTGAATGCCTGCTTTTAATACTTTTAAATATATACCCAGAAGCAGAATTTCTGAATCACATGGTAATTCTACGTTTAACTTTTTGAGGAATTGCCATACTCTTTTCCACAGAGGCTGCACCATTTTATATTTCCACTAGCAGTGCAAAAGGGTTCCAACTGTTCCACATCTCTGCCAACACTGGCTGTTTTCAGTTTTTCTGGGATTTTATTTCTTTATTTGTTTCATGATAGTCATCCTAATGGGTGTAAAGTGGTGTCTCATTGTGGTTTTAAATTGCATTTCCCTACTGATTAGTGATGTTGAGTATATTTTCACTTGCTTCAGTTGTATTTGACATAAAACTGGGCATGGTGTATGGAAGAGCATGGAAGCTGTATTCAGGTACACTAGGTTAGAATTTCAAGTCAAATAAGTACCACTATATGAATCAGAATAATTTATTTAAAGTTTGAGCTTCAGTGTGCTCATTTAGAAAGTGAGGGAAAAAATACTGATTTTGCAGTGTTTAAGGTACACGTTCAAATGATGATATTATTAATATTCTAAAATAAGAAAATCAATTAATGTTTAATTTCAAGATACTAGATGTGTTGGCAAAATTCCAAGTGAGAGTTCAGTGTTTCTAGTAGTGAAGAAATTCTCTACTTCCCAAGTCATTTAACATCACATTAAAAGAGAAATGAAGATAGTCCTTAAAATAATAAGACTACTGATCATAAACTTGTATTTTAACGTATAAAAGTTACAGTGAAAAAAAATTTAATGTCTTTTAAAAAATAAAACACAGCCCACATTTTTCCCCCTCTTCTTTACTCCCAAATCCTTTTGCATGGTTAAAGATTTAAGTTAAATAACAGAAGAAATTCTAAATTTCTTGTAATGGAGGGGTTTGAAGAAACAATTAAATCTTCAGCTACCAGCAGACATTTTTCAGTAACAGACAAAGGTGATATTTTGTTTAACAGAGACAGAGAATTAGGTTTAGTGGTGCTTTTGGGGAAGAGTGATAGATCTAACTCCCCTATCTAAGTGAGAACCATTATTTTGAATAAATACTTCCATGTCAGAGAAAATGGAGACCAAGACCCTGTAATATAGACAAAAGAAAGGGAGGACGGACACAGGACTGCCCACTCCTTTTCAAGCAGAAATCTGTTACAAATGAAAGCAGTATTTATTAAAACATTTATTTTCTGACTTTCTGCCAAGTTATATCAAGTAGATATGGAGGACGATCTGAGAAGTAATCCGGCTTGCAGCCATTAATCACACGTCACTGCTTCACCTTGGGTGTTTAAGAACTCCCCTTTTGCCGAAGCAATGGATGACTATGCAGAGATTCATGTTATGACTTTTAAAACAAGAGTCTCAGATATAAAAATCTTGTACTCATAACATACTGAACACGCAAGACTTCCACTGAACTATTTCTTGAATAAATTAAAACATATTTGTCAGCTTATTTGATTAGTGCCTATACCGACATCTCTTGAGAAAAATGAGTGAGTTTTCATGGCTCCCATTGAAACGCTTAGGTTAATGATTATGGTAATCTTTTCTTGTACCTCCAGAATGAAAAGCACACAAAGTGGAAACAATCATTTTTTATAAAAATGACTCAGACCTGGGGTTGAATCCTTGCACTAGCACTTAATATCTGTGGGTGGCCTATGCCAAGTTACTTAATCTCAGTGAGCTTCAGTTTTCTCATTGCTGTGATGGGGATAACATTACCAGCCTCACAGGACTGGTGGCATCATGAAATGTGATGTTGGTGAATGCATCTGGCACAGTGCCAGACTAGCAGATATTCAAAATAACTTTGTTTCTATCTTTTCTTTTAACTGTTGTATTTATTTTTCTTAATTATAAACTTTCCATGAATGTACGACTCATCTCTCCAACTTTATATATAAGCTTCTCAAGGGTAGAAAAATTGTATCTCCTTTTTCTTCTATATGAATATAGGGCACTACACATAGTAATCAATATGGTATGTCTTTTTTCCTAATTATAAAAATAATATATTTTCACTTTAGCTGATTTAGAAAGTACTGAGACTGTAAAGAAAAGTATTTTAAATTGCCCATAATACACCATAGAGAGAGCCACTCATAACTCTTTTTGACATATTTCCTGCTAGTATTTTCCCTGTGTGTGTTTTTAATAATTAGGATCATGCAGTACTAAGAGATTTGTGGTGTGTTTAACTTTATACAATGAACATTTCTCATATCAGTATTTTTTAATGTGAATTTTAAAAGCTGCATAATAGTCCATCGGCTGAATGTTCATGTTTTATTTTTTCACACCACTACTTTTGCACATATTTCCAAATTTCCACTATTATAATTAATAATTCATAAAATGAAAGTGCACATGAATCTTTGTGAAAATTTCTTGTGATTACATTAAAAAATTCCATTCAGTGGAATTAAAAGATTAAACGTAGAATACTTTTTAAAGGACTCACCCTTTTTACCCCCAAATTAATATAACTTTATGATTTTTACTTATTTATAAAGGAGTCCTAATACAGTATTTAAGCATTACAAATATTATTCCTGTGGAAAACCACTATATCTCTTGTTTATTGCTGTATTCCCTGTGACTTGCACATTATAGCAGCCCCAGAGATATTTGTAAAGTTAACCTGAATTACCTTAAAACCTTGGCACTATTGACATTTTGTCATGGATAATTGTAGAATGGTTAGCCACATCTCTGAATTTTCCCTGCCTGAAGCCAGTAGCACTTCCTCAATTGTGACAATCAAAAATGTCCTCAGTATTGCCATATGTCCCCTGAGGGGAAAAAAGCTTTCCCTTACACACAGCTACTGAGAAATATTGCCTTACAAACTAAATGCAAAACATCAGCAATTTCACTAGCTGTAAATACAATCTTTAACATTGTGGTGCATATCACTTGTCTATGAATTTTCACATCTATATTAATTTTTAAATAGGAACATAATATTTATACACTTTTATAGCATGTTGTTTATGTTTAATTACTTAAAGTATCTTGGGTTTCCATCTCTAGCAATGATAAAGATTTCTTTCATTCTCTTTAATGGCTGAATAGTGTTCCATTGTGTGGAGGCACCAAAATTTCTATAACCAATCCCTATTGATATATATTCTGGTTGTTCTGAATTTCTTTACTATTATAGAAACTATGTCAGTTAAATACAAATATATATTTGTATATACATATATACATATAAAAACACAATACATTCATCTTTAAATTCTCATCCACTTTCTTCATTAGGATAAATTCCCAGAAGTGGAAGACATTGCCAAGTTTTTCTTCAGAAAGATGGTACCAATTTATAGTTACAGAATTAAATTTAAGAATATGCGAACTGTTCCAATTTTTATTTGCTTTTCTAATTTAATTTGAGAAGGTACAGATTCCCCCATACCCTTGTCATGCCTGATCTTATCAGTGTTTTACTTTTTTTCAGATATTTTATAAGAAATAAGTATTTTCATCTTAACTTATATTTCTTTGATTACTAGTGAAGTTGTGTATCTTTTCATATATTTTGAGGACAACTGGCATATCATCATATGTTAATTGCCACTTCTTATGCTTTGCCAGTTCTTTTGGGGGGTGTTATTCATTTATTTTCTTAAATATTTGTAAAGGCTTTTCATATGTTAGACGAAAATAAAAGAGAAGAAAGAGTAGTAAAGTTATTGGCTGAGCGAGTCAATAGCAAATTAGGGGTCTTTAAAATATAGATATTCTAAATCAGTGATTCTTAAAGTGTTTGCTATGGACCTTTGGGAGATCTGGAAGATTAACGGCAGTTTCATACTAATACCAAATGTTACTGTCTATTTATCTTTTTACTCTCATTCTCTCATAAGTGTACAGTGGAGTTTTTTAAAGGGTAAATGACGTGGTGACTTTATTTTTCTACTAACTAATGGAATGTGTGACTTTATATTCAGGAATTTGTAGAATTCTCTAAGATAATAGCTTTAGAATGTGTGCATATATATGCATTTTGAGATATTAATTTATATTTATCTCAGTATTTCTAATGTGCCCTTTTTAGTTATCTTTTTTACATCTTTTATAATCTTTTACTTCATTATTGTCCAAAATATAATTATTTTGAAATCCTGAAATTTTCCTTATATTTCTATAGAAACCCAAAACAAAATAAGTGTACATTGTGTTCTTGTTTAGTATTGATATTTTAATTGTTTGAAAATTTTTCTAATTTTTAAAAATTTCCCTAATACTATTATTTTAGTTAAGTAATATTATTCTAAAGTAAGTATAATTGACTTATACTATTTTTTCTTGTATTTAAGGATGAATTCTTGGCCTGAAAAAGGGGAATCAAAAGACGTGCTTTCCTGTGCTTCAGCTGCAATGTCTATTTCTCAAGACGCTGAAAAAGATGATTTAGAGTTTTATGATTAATGGAAGGGAGGAATCTACTCTAAAGAAATTGGATAATACTATAAATAAGAAATAAAAATTATTTGACAAAAGCTATCTTCCCCTTAGGGATTATATGTACTACTGATTTACCTTACTGTATCTTATTCAACAGAACGTTTTCAAATAGTATCATATTGCCAGTTACATTGTGGTATCATTTTGAGACAAATCATTTGGGGTTATTAATATAAAGAATTGGACAGTTTAAATGTAGATGTGATAAGCTATTTTAAAATTCAAAATTGTTACAGCTTTTCAACTCAAAATGAAGAAGCCAATGACGCATCTTACAGAATAACTTATATACTGCATTGGCTAGAGAAGCACATACAATAGCTGAGAGACTAATAAAGCCTTATATGGTTGACATTGTTAATACCTACTGGTGAAAAGTTAGTAAAGTAAATCATGACACTGACACTTTCCAATGACACAGTAACTTGCCACATTAAAGATTTAGCTGCAATCATGGAAGCTGAGTTAATATCTGCAGAGTTGTACTTTTGCCTTGCGAAATCTACAGGCTTGGCTTTATTTGCTGTTTTACCTGTATTCATACAGAATCAGTACCAACCAATCATAGAAGTTTTCCTGTTTGAATTATTGACAACAAGTGCAAATGGTGATGAAATATTCCATGTGCTTATGTTGATCACCTCCTTTTCAGTTGTTGATGAGGGAGCAATTCTCATCCTAAGGTTATGGAGATGACCAAACATACAACACCCAACACTGAACAGATGAGATCGACCACGGTATATTAGTCACACATACTCACAGCCTGGAGTAGGAGCACACCGCACCATGTTAGGGCCACATGAGGGTAACACTTGGGAAGAGAGTGAACAAATAAAGGGTTGTCGGGGGGCAGGCTTTGGTAGTATCAAGAAGGTGGGGCACCCCTGGTTCCCAAGGGAAGATGCCATTGTCTTATTTAAATAATTCCATAGTTTGGCAGGGATCTGAAAGCTACCACTCAGGATAAGCCGGAATTACATTCATTTGATTTGATAAGGATTACTTGGCTAAGGCACCTTATCTGTAGGATCAGAATGGGGAGGGAAACTTGCAGCTAGGCCATTGTTTAGGCACCAAACTGTAACAGTAGTCACTGCAATTTTTCCTGCTGTACTCTCACAGAAAAAAAAAAAAAGTCGCTTTCACTTAAGAATGCCCTTGATGTCCTTGATGAAACAGTAAACATTATTCTTTTCATTAAATATCAACCATTGAGTAAACATCTTTCGAATATATTTTGTATAAGGAAATGGAAAGTACAAATAAAACACTTCTATACACTGAAGTACAATGGCTGTCTCCAGGAGGAGCACTTGTGATCATTCAAGTTGCGAACTGATCATGCTGCTTTTTAATGGAACACTACTTTTATTGAAAAAATGAATGACAGATAAACTCAGGTTATTCATACTTAGGTATTTGGAAGACATCTTATCCTTCAAAGAAAACAACAGACAGTATTTATTGGCAATGATAAAATTTGAGCTTACAAGTGAAAATTTAAATTGTTAGAAAACTTGTGTCTGTTCCTATGAACTTGACAGTTGCCCAATACTTAGTAACTTTTCTGATGAGGTCAGTAGTGATATTGAATAATATGATTATTTGATGTATAATGGAATATATCATTTGGAAAATATTCATAACTCACTGAACTGATATTTTCCAAATGTACACAGTTACGAAAGCATGTAAGAGTAAATGGCTGATTAAAAGTGCTAGTTAGACAATGGATTTTAATGTAATAGAGTGTAAAAAGCTCGTTGGTATGTTGTCAAATTCCACACTAATCTTTTAGAAACTAATATTGGTCAAGTTTTACTGTAGTATCAGAGAAGAATATTCTCAATTACACTTAGGTGCTGCATAACAACCACATTTGTGATGGACCGCATACCAGAATGGTCTCATAAGATTATAATAGAGCTGCAAAATTTATATTGCCTAGTGATATCGTAGCTATTATAATGTGGTAAGGTAAGGGATTACTTACATATTTGTGGTGATGCTGCTGTAAACAAACCTATTCCTCTAGAAGAGTCTCAGTCAGGTCCTTCAGAAGGTATCCAGAACAAGGCATTGTTATCACAGGAGATGACAGGTCCTTGAATGTTATTGTCCCTGAAGAACTTCCCATGGGACAAGATGCAGAGGTGGAAAGCAGCGACATTAATTATTTTGACCCTGTGTAGGCTGTTGGTTATTGTCAGTAGGTTATTGTTACTGAAATCAGCCTCCCCAATAACTTGAGGGCTAAGGTTTTTCAAAGATAGTTCAGGGGAGGGGGTGAGGGTGGCTAGGCAATGGGTGCTTGCTGCTGATTTTGGGGGGTTGTAATCATATAGAATGGGAAATTGTCCTCATGTGCACTGAGTCACTTCTGGGTGCAGCCACAGGAGAGGATGGCAGGTCTAGGTGGAGCCATTGGTCTTCAGGCATGCAAAAACCCTGTGAAAGGCCAATCTTAGGTTCTACAATAGTGATGTTATCTGCAGGAGTATTTGGAGAAGTTGCATATCTTGTAACCTCTGGAACTGTGGCTGGCAATCCTTTATTGTGTATAACCTAGCAGAGTTCAGGCTCCTCTATCCTCCTAGCATGGTGGTCTCTCATTAGCTTTCAAAGGTGGTTGAATTTTAGAGAAGGGCTACTACCACTTAAACTATCAACTAAATGTCTCCTAAAGTTAGCTTGGCCTAGGCCTAGGAATAATTAAGGGCAGACTGAAGATCAAAGGCAAGAAGGGGGTTGGCCAGATCAGATCTTCTTCACTGATATAATTTTCTCACTGTTATAATTTTTGCAAAGGTAGTTTCAGCCTAAGTGTACACTGTTTATAAAGTCTACAGTAATGTCCCAAGCTTTCACATTCATTCACTAATCTCTCACTGACTCATTCAGAGCAACTTACTCTCCTGCAAGCTTCATTCATGGTAAGTTCCCTACACAGGTGTAGCATTTTTTATCTTTTATGCCATATTTTTGCTGTACATTTTCTATGTTTAGATACACTAATACCATTGTGTTACAACTTCCTACAGTATTTAGTACAGTACATGCTGTACAGGTTTGTAGCCCTAGGAGCAATAGGCTATGCCATATAGTCTAGGTGTGTAGTAAGCTAAACCATCTAAGTTTGTGTGAGTACACTATAATATTTGCACAAGGATGAAATTGCTGAATCACGCATTTCTCAGAAAGAATTCCCGTCCTTAAGCAACTCATGACCTGGAAACGCTGTTAAAAAAACTTACTCCTCTTCCAATTACACATCTGTGTGAAGCTAGTTTTTCTTTGTCCACTCAACCAAAACAACATATTAAAGCAGAGTGGATGTAGAAGCAGTCATGAGGATTCAGCTACATTTTATTAGGTAGACCTTCTGTGTTTGTGCTTTTTTTTTTTTTTTTTTTTTTGAGATGGAGTCTTGCTCTGTCGCCCGGGCTGGAGTGCAGTTACGTGATCTCGGCTCACTGCAGCCCCTGCCTCCTGGGTTCAAGTGTTTCTCCTGCCTCAGCCTCCCGAGTATCTGGGATTACAGGCGCCCGCCACCGCGCCCAGCTAATTTTTGGTAGAGACGGGGTTTCACCCCATTGGCCAGGCTGGTCTCCAACTCCTTACCTCGTGATCCAGCCGCCTCGGCCTTCCAAAGTGTTGGGATTACAGGCGTGAGCCACCGTGCCCAGCCTGTGTCTGTGTTTTAACACACAATTTTGTTTACATCCTCCCAAAGTGTCTGTCCTTACATTTGCAAATTTATTCTTTCTTTCATTTGCTGTATATAATAAGTTGACAAGTTGTTCAGTCCTATTACTTATATTTCTGTAGAAACTGAGTCTATTTTATTTCAGTCTATATAGCTTACTACCCTAGTTCAGGTCATCATAATCTTTCACTTGAATTATTAGTAAAGTCTCCTTATAGATATCAATGATTCAGTTAGAAATCTCAGTCAGAGATTTCCAAAAATGTAAAACTCATTCTGAATTCTCAAATTCCATAAATGTAAAACAATTTCACTAAATTTAGTTATCCTTGGAATCTTTTTCATAAAATATATTATTTGTGTTAACATATTAAGGAATTTAATATTGATATTGAAAATAAATATTTTTAAATTTCTCAATTTGAATTTCAAATATGATAAATATCAATGGATATAACCCATATAAATACAAGTTCTTTGGGATTCTTAGTAATTATTACAAGTATAAAAGGGTCCTGAGACCTAAAAGTTTGAGATCCACGATTTTAAAGAATATTTTTGTCAAGGAAAATGAAATATAAGTTTGGAGACCTTCTATAGTTTATATATTTTCCATTAGTCTATGTAATTTCTTATGGAGAAAACCTGTGTTCACTGAGTAAAAGTTAGAATGACTTTTCTAAAGGGAAATAGCTAATATGTTTAAACATGTTCAGTTCTTGCTTTGTTTAATCCAGAAATGCCCTTTTAAGAGCTTATGATAAATAAAAGAGGGCAAGTGCAAAATTTTTAAGTTTGTTCAAATATACATATAAATTTAAAACACTGTTCATAAGTGGAAAAAAGTGGAAGTGACTTAAATGTTCATCAATGAGTATGTTATTAAGATTTTTCTCTTGATTCTCTTTTTTTTCTCCCTATATTACCATAACCACATTTCAAATGACTTTCAAACTAATAAATTTAGTCCAAATTCTTAGTATTTCCAATATCTTGGGGAATTTTCTACTTGAATATGGAATGAATGTTGAAGATACTACCAGTATCTCAAAGTCAACATCCCAAAAGCCAGATGTATCTGTTGAACCATATAAAATTGCCAATACCAATTGTTTTTGCATCACAAAAACTGGAATTTTACATGACTCACCCTAATAAAATGTGACATCATCCTCCCAAAGCTTCCATCCTTACATTTAAAATTTCATTATTTCATTCTTTCATTTGCTGTGTTTAATAAGTTGACAAGTTGTTCAGTCCTATTGCTTATGCTTCTATAGAATCTGTGTCTCTAATTTATTTCAGTCCATACAACTACTACCTTAGTTCAGGTCATCATAATCTTTCACTTGAATTATTGGTAAAATCTCCTTATGGGTCGCAATGACTCAGTCAGAAAAATTGTGTACCTACTCCATTCTAGGTCCTTGGTTAAGGGGATGAAGGTGCAAAGATGAGTGGAACATGAATAAACTCCACGGGATTCAGGCTCCAGTGGACCAAGAAAAATGGACCTACAATCTAATATTCACAATAATAACACAAAGACTTCAGAGCAACTGAAGTCAAACATAGTGAAAGAAGTAAAGTATGTCTTCTGTATGCAAATGGAAATCTTTTAATGATTATTTCCCTTCATTCTTTTTTTTTTTTTTTTCATTTTAAACTTATTTACCTTCTACTCTGAGCCAGACATTGTGGTCAAGCCTGGTGATACAGTGGTGAAAAAAACAGTTAAGGCCTCCCCTCATGAATCTCACAGAGTAAAGAAGAAGGCCATTAACAGTAGCATCACATATATAAACATATAATTACAAGCAATGGTGGAAGTTTTAAGGGAATTAAAAGTAATGGCAAAAAAAATGCAATTACTTTTACACCAACCTATATATGGGGTATACGTGGACATAATTGAGATTGGGAGAAAATGAAAAGTGTTCATGAGGAAGTGACATTTAAGCCAAGACTTACAGATAAGTAGATTAAGCAAGAAAAGAGAACAGTCGAGGTATTCCCAGCAAAAAGAACAGCTTGAACAATACAATGTGTAAGAGAGAAGTGGGCATATTTGTGTGACTACAAAGCATATGTCGGGTGAGATAATATACATTAAAGCATGTTACAAACCATAAAGCCCTAAGTTATGTTAATTATTACTGGCAACACTATTCACAAAGACAACAATAACCACTGATCTCATGTATCTCATGAATAATGTTACTTGATACCTATCATGACTCAAGAAGCACTAAGATTTGAATATGGTGCCCTATTACTTTTCCTCTGAAGTGTCTACGAAAGGGAATTTTATAATCTCTGTGATGTACAATTTCTTGTTCACACTAGAGAAATGGAAACATAAATGAGTTATCTTTCTCATTAAAGTAAGTCAGCCACCAAAACCTATCAATTATAGAACAAAAATAGTATTTAAATCCACCCATGCTTCTCTGTTTTCACCTATATTACCCGAATTCAAGCAATAAATTCAGCTGTGGACTTTACAAGTCCCTAGAAGGACTTTAGAACCTCCTTTTAGCTTCTGAAAAGGGAGTAAAGCCCCTTTACTCCCAGCCACCAACCACAGTATACTTGATCATGAGAGTTATAGCTGTGAAACAAATTTCATTATGTTACTTCCTTACTTAAAAATCGACAGATTAAAGAGCATAACTGTATTTGTTGATGCTTTTTATACATGAAACCCCTAATACATCATACATCGGTGAAGCATTCTAGGTTTGTATTGCACAAGTAAATGAGATGAGGAGAAAGAAGCTGAGGCCCTGGATTAAATATAGATGAAAACAAGTATGCATAGTACGTTAACCTGAGGCTAAATACGCAAAAGATTTGTCTTTGGACATTCAAATCTGATCTTAATGGGCAGTTATTTTCATTAAAAATAAACTAAAATAAACTGTATATTTATTTTTAACATTTATATCTCTTTAAAAATGCATAGCAACAACTTATTTAGAACATCTGTTTAATGATATAAAACAGGAGGTGTTTTTCTCATATTATCATCAAATTTGTACATGTGGCCTTTGTTAATAAAACACTTTGTCTTTCCCTATGCTCATCTTAGGAACACAAAAGATCAATCTTCAAACACTTTTCTGAACTTTCTTAAATGCCTTAATTCCATTCAGGATTCATGTGACTAAATGTAACAGCTATCTTTACAAAGATCTTGCAAGCATTTTAAACCCAACTTTACGCACGTAGCTAGCTGCTTTCATGTTGAAGTTGTTTCCAGAATATTATAGGAATTCGGCTTTGAATGGGGACAAACACCTTTCTAGTTCCACCTTGGTGCATTTAATTCACTTCCTAGAAAGAATCACAGAATGAAGGAACCTAATTTCCTGTACTTTGTTCTTCCTCTTTCCTGCAAACATGAACAGATATCCACTGATGTCCAACAAATACTTAATACTATTACCAATTTCTTTTGAAAAGGTTTAGTGGGGAAGCAAAAAAGGATGGAATAGAAATAGTAAAAATTCTCATATGGATTAAAGAAATTCAATTCCATCTCTAGAAATGTGTATTAGGAAACCTCACTCCGAGGAGAAGATGATGCAGAGATCTGAGAGCTTTCAAAATTAGTCTCACTGCTTAGATACAGAAAACAGGTAATATAGAAGCTTTCTTAAAGCTCTGTTGAAACCTTCACTTAACTTGTACATAGACCAGATAAACGGTTTCCATATTTTGGGCATGTAAAGCAAGACTGCTGCCAATAATACCAATAATCTTCATCATCATAATAATAAAAAACAAGATAGCCATGTCATAAAATCCACACTGTCTCCCTAACAGCTTGGCCTTCAGGTGTTATATGTCTTATCAATGGATTGAAAGAAACACTGCTATTCTTTGCTTCTAGAGCTTTGTCAAGCAATAAAAGATCAAATAATGTCTTTTGAAACTCTCGATAGCCCAAGATGGACAGTTAAAATAGTGTCTTGCTGCTAGATATTCCTATCAATACCTTTCATATCATTTTACTTCTCCTTACAAATCAAACTATGATTTGCCATAAACTGAACTGTAACCTGGGAATCCAGCTGTATTGTCAGCCCATATGTCATCAACTATCTCAAATAATAGCGTATCTGAACTCAGGGGGCAATTTTGTTGATATATGATACAGAATGGAACACAGCTTATTCTTTTGCTGCTATATTGACTTTGCTGTATGACAGTAGCAAGAACATGGCATATTTTATTTTTAATTTTCCTAAACAGCCAGGGCTTAGAAAGTACCGAAAACAAAAAGATGTAGCAATTTTCCTAACTATATTGTCACTTTAATATGCCACCAGAAATCGATTATAATTATGATAATAGTCTTATTATTTAATTTTTAAAGATTATATTTTAAATTATTTATTTATTGTATTATAAAGATATTTAAATTAGGGTTAATGAGTATATTCAAGTGGGCACTAGCTATTTAAGAAAATGAGTACTGAAGATTTATAAGCAGTCAGGTTGAGGGATGGATGCATTAAGTAGTCACTATGTTTTAAGTGTTTGCTATGCATTGCTTCATTCTGTTTTCGCACTAACCCTATGAAATAAGGGTTACTGGTGTCCCAACTGCATTCCCTTCCCTTTACCACTTCGGTATACACTGTCCAAATTACAATTGCCTGCAACTTTAACCCTTACCCAAGAGCTTTCTCTGGCTGCTGAATCCCACAGTACCAGCTTGTGTGGTTGACTAGTAGGCTAGCAGGGAATTACTGCAGACTTCTTCCAAAGACTGAGAAGAGTTGGTATTCCCCTCTTCTGCCTTTTCCACTGTGAGGTAACTCTACTACTGTACTGACTCACAAAATTCCCCCAGTGGATTAATTTCCAGGGCTTACATGTCAACTGCCCATTAAAACACATTTTATTGGCTACCTTTCTTTTTTTGTCTCACTTTCACTCATTCATACTGGTTTTTGTTGTTGTTGTTGTTACTTTTCATATAAAATACTTGCACTCAAATTCCTGTGTCGAAGTCAGCTTCTGAGAAAACTCAAAGTAAGACATCTCCATTTTACAGAAAGATAAGCTCAGGCTTAGAAAAATTAAATTAATTTCCTAAGTTCACACAGCTTCCCAGGATGCAGGCCCAAGGTATTATCTTCAAATCCCAACACCTAACCATTAGACATACTACTTCTATTTGGTAATGTAAAAGGTCTTCAACCTCAACTTCAACAATATACTCATAAGCACTAATTAATAACACTCTATTCACTCAGATATCTCATTTCTAAATAAAATTGAGAAGCATCATTAGGAAAACAAATATTATGAAAATAATCCAAGAAACAAATATTAAAAATATTTTTGAAAAATACTGGACAAAAAAATTTACTTGAATTTAAAATGTAGACAATTCTTTTTTAAGAATTAAGAAAATTGCCGATCATAATTCATGTTTTATCCTAAAGAAGTCCTAAATGAGAACTGGAATGTGCTCAGTATAGTAGCTAGTTCATAGTAGGCCCTCAACAAACTTGGATTCGTTTATTTTTTTCTCCTCCTCCAGCCCTGAAGCCTTCATGGTGAGGGGAATGAACAGTTTTCCCCTACTATGCATCAGAATCACAAGGAAGATTTTAAATAGAGAAACATAAAATAAACCCACTTGATCGTAGTGTATTATCTTTTTGATGTACTGTTAGATCCAGTTTGCTAGTATTTTGTTGAGAAGTTCTGTATCTATATACATCAGGGATATTGGGCTATAGTTTTCTTTTGTTGCTTTGTCCTTATCTGGCTTTGGTATCAGAATGATACTGGCTTCATGGAATGAGTTAGGTAGGATTCCTTTCTCTTCAATTTTTTGGAATAGTTTTTAGGAGGATGGGTACCAGTTCTTCTTTATAGGTTTGGTAGAATTTGGCTGTCAATCCACCTGGTTCTGGGATTTTTTGGGGGGCAGGGGTGATTGGTAGATTTTCTTTTTGCTGATTCAATCTCACTACTCATTATTAGTTTATTCAAGATTTCCATTTCTTCCCAGTTCAATCTTGGGAGGTTGCATGTTTCCAGGAATGTATCCAGCTCCCCTCTAGGTTTTCTAGCTTGTGTGTGTAGAGTTGTTCATAGTAGTCTCTCATGATCTTTTGTAGTATTAGTTGTGGTATCAGTTGTCATGTCTCCTCTTTCATTTCTTCTGATTGTGTTTGGATCTTCCTTCTCCTTTCTTTGGTTGGTCTAGCTAGAGGTTTATCAGTTTTGTTTTATGCCAGGGATACAAGGATATTTCAACCTTTGCAAATCAATAAACATGATTCATCACATAAACAGAAGTAAGAATTAAAACTATACAATCATCTCTATACATACAAAAAGAATTTGACAAAATTTAGCATTCTTTCATGATAAAAACCGTCAGCAGACTAAGCACAGAGAGAATATAAATCAAAATAATAAAGGCCATATACGACAAACCTACAGCCAACATCATATTGAATGGGGAAAAGTTGAAAGCAGTGCTCCTAAGAACTGTAACAAGACAAATATGTCTACTTTTACCACTCTTATTCAACATAGTACCCTAACCAGAGCAGTCAGGCAAGAGAAAGAAATAAAAGGCATCCAAATTGGAAAAGAGGAAGTTGAATTATCTCTGTTCACAGATGATATACTCTTATACCTAGAAAACCCTAAAGACTCCTTTAAAAACTCTTAGATTTGATAAGTATAGTAAAGTTTCAGGATATAAAATCAACATACCTAAATCCATAGCATTTCTATACACCAATAACCAAACAAGAACCAAGTTAAGAAGACAATCTCATTTATGATAGCTACAAAAATAATAAAACACCTAGGAATATATTTAAACAAGGAAGTAAAACATCTCAACAAGGAGAACTACAGAATGCTGATGAAATAAATTGTAGACGACACAAACAAATGGAGAAACATCTCATGCTCATGGATCAGAAGAATTAATATTGTTAAGATGACCATACCACCTAAAGCAATCTACAGATTCAATGTTATCCGCATCAATATACCAATGCCATTCTTAACGGAATTAGAAAAAAAAAATCCTAAAATTTATATGGAACCCAAAAAGAGCTCAAGTAGCTAAAGCAACTTTAGCAAAAGAATAAAGCTGGAGGCATCACATTACCTGACCTCAAATTATATCACAAGGCTATAATAACCAAAACAGGATGATACTGGTAAAAAAATAGTCACATAGATCAATGAAACAGGTTAGAGAACCCAGAAATAAAGCTGCATATCTACAGCCAACTGATCATTGACAAAGATGGCAAAAACATACACTGGGGAAAGGGCACCTTATTTACTAAATGGTACTGGGAAAATTGGATAGCCATATGCAGAAGAATGAAACTGGACTTCTATCTCTCACCATATACAAAAATCAACTGAAGATGGATTAAAGACTTAAATATAAGACCCGAAACTATATAAATATTGGAAGAAAAGTTAGGAAAAAATGCTTCTGGTCATGAATTCTAGGCAAAGAATTCACGACTAAGACCTCAAAGGCACAAGCAACAAAAACAAAATAGTCAAAATGGGACTTTAAACTAAAAAGCTTCTGCACTGCAAAAGGAATCATCAAGAGACAGCCTACAGAAAAGGAGAAAATATTTGAAAACTACATTTGACAGAGGACAGATACCCAGAATTTACAAGGAACTCAACAACAACAAAAATAAATAGCCCCATTAAAATGTAGAAAAATGACATGAATAGATATTTTTCAGAAGACATACAAATAGCCAAAAAGCATATAAAAAAGTGGTCAATATCACCAAGCATCAGATAAATGCAAATTAAAATGACAATGAAATATAACTGTCAGAATAGCTATTATTAAAAAGACAATAACAGATGTTGATGAGAATGCAGAGAAAAAGGAATGCTTATACACTATTAGTAGGAGTGTAAATTATTAATAGTATAAACTCTATGGAAAACAGTAGATAGAATTCTCAAATAACTAAAATGTAACTACTATTTGATCTAGCAACCCCACTACTGAGTATCTACCCAAAAGAAAATAAATCATTATATAAAAAAACCCTGCACTTATATGTTTATCACAGTGCTATTCACAACAGCGAATATTTGAAATCAACCGAAGTATTCATCATTGGAAAATGGACATATATATATGTCATATATATGTGTGTGTGTGTGTATCTGTGTGTGTGTATATATATATATATACACACACACATTCAAATACCACATATTCTCACTTGTAAAGGAGAGCTAAATAATGTGCATACATGGACATAGAGTGTGAAATAATACATATTGGAGACTTGGAAGGGTGGGAGGGTGTGAGGAGGAAGATGGATGAGAAATTACTTAATGGCTACAACGTACATTATTCAGATGGTGGTTACATTAAAAGCCTAGATAGATTTCACCACTATACAATATAACCATGTAACAAAATTCCACAAATAAATAAGTAAATCAAATTAAAATTATACACATAATTTTTCTAAAAAATAATAAATAGGGAGGCCTGAGTTCCTATCCATGAGACTTTGACTTAGCATAATTAGATATGTCTATTTTTTAAAGTTCTAGAATCCAGGGACAGGGTAGTCACCCCTGTGTCATAGCCAGGGCTGAAGGAGAGTTACTACTACAACCTGCCTAATCAGCCCTGATTTCAGAGAGTAAAGGAGTTAAAGAAAACAGACACTGGGCTGGGCACGGTGGCTCACGCCTGTAATGCCAGCACTTCGGGAGGCCGAGGCGGGCGGATCGCCCGCCTGAGGTCAGGAGTTCAAGACCAGCCTGGCCAACGTGGTGAAACCCCGTTTCTACTAAAAACACACAAAAAAATTAGCCGGTCATGGTGATGAGCACCTGCAATCCCAGCTATTCGGTAGGCTGAGGCAGGAGAATGGCTTGAGCCCAGGAAGCAGAGGTGTCAGTGAGCTGAGATTGCACCACTGCACTCCAGCCAGCCTGGGCGACTGAGCGGGACCCGGTCTCAAAAAAAAAAAAAAAAAAAAAAAAAAAAAAAACCAAAAAAAACTCAGGCACTGTTTAAATTCAATGGACTGATTCATTGGGTTTAAACATTTTTAGACTTTTTTTCCTTGGGTTCTGTTTGCCTGACACTTTGATCTCTGTCAAATATTTGTTTAAATGTTCCCTTCTTACTGGGACTCAACCTAACCATCCTATTGAAAATTCACTCTTGCCCCGTCCTGTTGCCTCATCTCATTCCTCTGTTCTAGTCTCCTTTTTTCCCATATCACTCATCTGAATCTAACATAGTATTTGCTTTACTCATGCATTGTATCTATTATGCATTTTTTGCCTTCCTTAAATAGAATAAAAGGTAAATGAAAGAAAAATAGCTCCTCAAATTTCTCAGAAATTCTAATATGCTTATCTAGAATCTCTGAGCCTCCTTGAATTTTCTCATAAAATCTAAATATCCCAGCTATAATTTTGCCATATCATCTCTCCATGTGTAAGCAAATTTAAATAGTGATTTTATTACTAGCATTTTATTCAACGTAGTGAATAGCAGGATCTTTGCTAACAGATTTTATGCTAAGAATGGTTTATTTATTTTTATTTTATTTTTTAAATTTTATTATTATTATACTTTAAGTTTTAAGGTACATGTGCACAATGTGCAGGTTTGTTACATATGTATACATGTGCCATGCTGGTGTGCTGCAGCCATTAACTCGTCATTTAGCATTAGGTATATCTCCTAATGCTATCCCTCCCCCCTCCCCCCACCCCACCACAGTCCCCGGAGTGTGATGTTCCCCTTCCTGTGTCCATGTGTTCTCATTGTTCAATTCCCACCTATGAGTGAGAACATGCGGTGTTTGGTTTCTTGTCCCTGCGAGTTTGCTGAGAATGATAGTTTCCAGTTTCATCCATGTCCCTACAAAGGACATGAACTCTTCATTTTTTATGGCTGCATAGTATTCTATGGTGTATATGTGCCACATTTTCTTAATCCAGTCTATCATTGCTGGACATTTGGGTTGGTTCCAAGTCTTTGCTATTGTGAATAGTGCTGCAATAAACATACATGTGCATGTGTCTTTATAGCAGCATGATTTACAATCCTTTGGGTATATACCCAGTAATGGGATGGCTGGGTCAAATGGTATTTCTAGTTCTAGATCCCTGAGAAATCGCCACACTGACTTCCACAATGGTTGAACTAGTTTACAGTCCCACCAACAGTGTAAAAGTCTTCCTATTTCTCCACATCCTCTCCAGCACCTGTTGTTCCCTGACTTTTTAATGATTGCCATTCTAACTGGGGTGAGATGGTATCTCACTGTGGTTTTGATTTGCATTTCTCTGATGACCAGTGATGATGAGCATTTTTTCATGTGTTTTTTGGCTGCATAAATGTCCTCTTTTGAGAAGTGTCTGTTCATATCCTTTGCCAACTTTTTGATGGGGTTGTTTTTTTCTTGTAAATTTGAGTTCATTGTAGACTCTGGATATTAGCCTTTTGTCAGATGAGTCGGTTGTGAAAATTTTCTCCCATTTTGTAGGTTGCCTGTTCACTCTGATGGTAGTTTCTTTTGCTCTGCAGAAGCTCTTTAGTTTAATTAGATCCCATTTGTCAATTTTGGCTTTTGTTGCCATTGCTTTTTGTGTTTTAGACATGAAGGCCTTGCCCATGCCTATGTCCTGAATGGTATTGCCTAGGTTTTCTTCTAGGGTTTTTATGGTTTTAGGTCTAACATGTAAGACTTTAATCCATCTTGAATTAATTTTTTGTATAAGGTATAAGGAAGGGATCCAGTTTCAGCTTCCTACATATGGCTAGCCAGTTTTCCCAGCACCATTTATAAAACAGGGAATCCTTTCCCCATTGCTTGTTTGTGTCAGGTTTGTCAAAGATCAGATGGTTGTAGATATGTGGCATTATTTCTGAGGGCTCTGTTCTGTTCCATTGATCTATATCTCTGTTTTGGTACCAGTACCATGCTTTTTTGGTTACTGTAGCCTTGTAGTATAGTTTGAAGTCAGGTAGCATGATGCCTACAGCTTTGTTCTTTTGGCTTAGGATTGACTTGGTGATGCGGGCTCTTTTTTGGTTCCCTATGAACTTTAAAGTAGTTTTTTCCAATTCTGTGAAGAAAGTCATTGGTAGCTTAATGGGGATGGCATTGAATCTATAAATTACCTTGGGCAGTATGGCCATTTTCACGATATTGATTCTTCCTACCCATGAGCATGGAATGTTCTTCCATTTGTTTGTATCCTCTTTTATTTCATTGAGCAGTGGTTTGTAGTTCTCCATGAAGAGGTCCTTCACATCCCTTGTAAGGTGGATTCCTAGGTATTTTATTCTCTTTGAAGCAATTGTGAATGGGAGTTCACTCATGATTTGGCTCTCTGTTTGTCTGTTATTGGTGTATAAGAATGCTTGTGATTTTTGTACATTGATTTTGTATCCTGAGATTTCGCTTAAGTTGCTTATCAGCTTAAGGAGATTTTGGGCTGAGACAATGGAGTTTTCTAGATATATAATCATGTCATCTGCAAACAGGGACAATTTGACTTCCTCTTTTCCTAATTGAATACCCTTTATTTCCTTCTCCTGCCTAATTGCCCTGGCCAGAACTTCCAACACTATGTTGAATAGGAGTGGTGAGAGAGGGCATCCCTGTCTTGTGCCAGTTTTCAAAGGGAATGCTTCCAGTTTTTGCCCATTCAGTATGATATTAGCTGTGTGTTTGTCATAGATAGCTCTTATTATTTTGAGATATGTCCCATCAATACCTAATTTATTGAGAGTTTTTAGCATGAAGGGTTGTAGAATTTTGTCAAAGGCCTTTTCTGCATCTGTTGAGATAATCATGTGGTTTTTGTTTTTGGTTCTGTTTATATGCTGGATTACATTTGTTGATTTGCATATATTGAACCAGCCTTGCATCCCAGGGATGAAGCCCACTTGATCATGTTGGATAAGCTTTTTGATGTGCTGCTGGATTTGGTTTGCCAGTATTTTATTGAGGATTTTTGCATCAATGTTCATCAAGGATATTGGTCTAAAATTCTCTTTTTTGGTTGTGTCTCTGCCTGGCTTTGGTATCAGGATGATGCTGGCCTCATAAAATGAATTAGGGAGGATTCCCTTTTTTTCTATTGATTGGAATAGTTTCAGAGGGAATGGTACCAGCTCCTCCTTGTACCTCTGGTAGAATTCGGCTGTGAATCCATCTGGTCCTGGACTTTTTTTGGTTGGTAAGCTATAGATTATTGCCACAATTTCAGAGCCTGTTATTGTTCTATTCAGAGATTCAACTTCTTCCTGGTTTAGTCTTGGGAGGGTGTATGTGTCGAGGAATTTATCCATTTCTTCTAGATTTTCTAGTTTATTTGCGTAGAGGTGTTTGTAGTATTCTCTGATGGTAGTTTGTATTTCCGTGGGATCAGTGGTGATATCCCCTTTATCATTTTTTATTGTGTCTATTTGATTCTTCTCTCTTTACTTCGTCTTGCTAGCAGACTATCGATTTTGCTAATCTTTTCAAAAAACCAGCTCCTGCATTCATTAACTTTTTGAAGGGATTTTGTGTCTCTATTTCCTTCAGTTCTGCTCTGATTTTAGTTATTTCTTGCCTTCTGCTAGCTTTTGAATGTGTTTGCTCTTGCTTTTCTAGTTCTTTTAATTGTGACATTAGGGTGTCAATTTCGGATCTTTCCTGCTTTCCCTTGTGGGCATTTAGTGCTGTAAATTTTCCTCTACACACTACTTTGAATGAGTCCCAGAGATTCTGGTATTTTGTGTCTTTGTTCTCGTTGGTTTCAAAGAATATCTTTATTTCTGCCTTCATTTCTTTATGTATCCAGTAGTCATTCAGGAGCAGATTGTTCAGTTTCCATGTAGTTGAGCAGTTTTGAGTGAGTTTCTTAGTCCTGAGTTCTAGTTTGACTGCACTGTGGTCTTAGAGACAGTTTGTTATAATTTCTGTTCTTTTACATTTGCTGAGGAGTGCTTTACTTCCAACTATGTGGTCAATTTTGGAATAGGTGTGGTGTGCTGCTGAAAAAAATGTATATTCTGTTGACTTGTGGTGGAGAGTTCTGTAGATGTCTATTAGATCCGCTTGGTGCAGAGCTGAGTTCAAATCCTGGGTATCCTTGTTAACTTTCTGTCTTGTTGATCTGTCTAATGTTGACAGTGGGGTGTTAAAGTCTCCCATTATTATTCTGTGGGAGTCTAAGTCTCTTTGTAGGTCACTAAGGACTTGCTTTATGAATCTGGGTGCTCCTGTACTGGGTGCATATATATTTAGGATAGTTCGCTCTTCTTGTTGAATTGATCCCTTTACCATTATGTAATGGTCTTCTTTGTCTCTTTTGATCTTTGTTGGTTTAAAGTCTGTTTTATCAGAGACTAGGATTGCAACCCCTGCCTTTTTTTGTTTTCCATTTGCTTGGTAGATCTTCCTCCGTCCCTTTATTTTGAGCCTATGTGTGTCTCTGCACGTGAGATGGGTTTCCTGAATACAGCACACTGATGGGTTGTGACTCTTTAGCCAATCTGCCAGTCTGTGTCTTTTAATTGGAGAATTTAGTCCATTTACATTTAAAGTTAATATTGTTATGTGTGTATTTGGTCCTGTCATTATGATGTCAGCTGGTTATTTTGCACATTAGTTGATGCAGTTTCTTCCTAGCCTTGATGGTCTTTACATTTTGGCATGTTTTTGCAGTGGCTGGTACCGGTTGTTCCTTTCCATGTTTAGTGCTTCCTTCAGAAGCTCTTTTAGGGCAGGCCTGGTGGTGACAAAATCTCTTAGCATTTGCTTGTCTGTAAAGGATTTTATTTCTCCTTCACTTATGAAGCTTAGTTTGGCTGGATATGAAATTCTGGGTTGAAAATTCTTTTCTTTAAGAATGTTGAATATTGGCCCCCACTCTCTTCTGGCTTGTAGAATTTCTGCCAAGAGGTCTGCTGTTAGTCTGATGGGCTTCCCTTTGTGGGTAACCCGACCTTTCTCTCTAGCTGCCCTTAACATTTTCTCCTTCATTTCAACTTTGCTGAATCTGACAATTATGTGTCTTGGAGTTGCTCTTCTTGAGGAGTATCTTTGTGGCGTTCTCTGTATTTCCTGAATCTGAATGTTGGCCTGCCTTGCTAGATTGGGGAAGTTCTCCTGGAAAATATCCTGCAGAGTGTTTTCCAACTTGGTTCCATTCTCCCCGTCACTTTCAGGTACACCAATCAGATGTAGATTTGGTCTTTCACATAGTCCCATATTTCTTGGAGGCTTTGTTCATTTCCTTTTATTCTTTTTTCTCTAAACTTCCCTTCTCGCTTCGTTTCATTCATTTCATCTTCCATCACTGATACCCTTTCTTCCAGTTGGTCGCATCGGCTCCTGAGGCTTCTGCATTCCTCACGTAGTTCTCGAGCCTGGCTTTCAGCTCCATCAGCTCCTTTAAGGACTTCTCTGCATTGGTTATTCTAGTTTTCCATTTGTCTAATTTTTTTTCACAGGTTTTAACTTCTTTGCCATTGGTTTGAATTTCCTCCTGTAGCTCGCAGTAATTTGATCGTCTGAAGCCTTCTTCTCTCAACTCATCAAAGTCACTCTCCGTCTAGCTTTGTTCCGTTGCTGGTGAGGAGCTCTGTTCCTTTGGAGGAGGAGAGGCACTCTGCTTTTTAGAGTTTCCATTTTTTCTGCTCTGTTTTTTCCCCAGCTTTATGGTTTTATCTACTTTTGGTCTTTGATGATGGTGATGTACAGATGGGTTTTTGGTGTGGATGTCCTTTCTGTTTGTTAGTTTTCCTTCTAACAGACTGGACCCTCAGCTGCAGGTCTGTTGGAATTTGCTAGAGGTCCACTCCAGACCCTGTTTGCCTGGGTATCAGCAGCAGTGGCTGCAGTACAGCGGTGGCTGTAGAACAGCGGATCTTGGCGAACTGCAAATGCTGCTGTCTGATCGTTCCTCTGGAAGTTTTGTCTCAGAGGAGTACCTGGCCATGTGAGGTGTCAGTCTGCCCCTACTGGGGGATGCCTCCCAGTTAGGTTGCTCGGGGGTCAAGGACCCACTTGAGGAGGCAATCTCCCTGTTCTCACATCTCCAGCTGCCTGCTGGGAAAACCACTACTCTTCAAAGCTGTCAGACAGGGACATTTAAGTCTGCAGAGGTTACTGCTGTCTTTTTGTTTGTGCCCTACCCCCAGAGGTGGAGCCTACAGAGGCAGGCAGGCCTCCTTGAGCTGTGGTGGGGCTCCACCCAGTTCGAGCTTCCAGGCTGCTTTGTTTACCTAATCAAGCCTGGGCAATGGCAGGCGCCCCTCCCCCAGCCTCGCTGACACCTTGCAGTTTGATCTCAGAGTGCTGTGCTAGCAATCAGCGATACTCCGTGGGCATAGGACCCTCCAAGCCAGGTGCGGATATAATCTCCTGGTGTGCCGTTTTTTAAGCCCGTTGGAAAAGTGCAGTATTAGGGTGGGAGTGACCCGATTTTCCAGGTGCCGTCTGTCACCCCTTTCTTTGACTAGGAAACGGAACTCCCTGACCCCTTGTGCTTCCCGAGTGAGGCAATGCCTCGCCCTGCTTCGGCTCACGCATGGTGCACTGCACCCACTGTCCTGCACCCACTGTCCTGTACCCACTGTCTGGCACTCCCTAGTGAGATGAACCCGGTACCTCAGATGGAAATGCAGAAATCACCCGTCTTCTGCATCACTCATGCTGGGAGCTGTAGACCGGAGCTGTTCCTATTCAGCCATCTTGGCTCCACCAAGAATGGTTTATTTTCTAAATGCTGCTCTAGTATCAAGATAACTGTGTTTCTTAAATTCCAAAATATCTTGTATTCTGACTAGAGGATGTGGCATTAAAAAAAAAAAGAAAGAATATTTCAGAATTAAATAAAGGTCAAGGATTTGTAAACTACAATTTCTAAGGCAGAGAGAGAATTTGAGTATTGTGCTATGACTAATACTAGAATGATTTATTAAAAGCTCAAGTCCAGCTACAGCTCAACTAAGGTCCAAGGTGTAATCAAGTTTGAAGATGCAACTCTAGAGCTTGAATTAGATGTAAACACTAGAAATTTATGTTTTGCTCCTTGAAGTATTTGTTTTTCTTGGTTCAGAGGCACCCTGGGGAAATGACCCTGTCTTGGGTTCAGCTGTATAATTCAGAATGGCTTAGAATGTAGGAATCTGACTGTTCTCTGATTTCTTCAGAGGGCTTCAAATGGCCTACTTATGAAACAAATTTTTAACATCAGTGATAGAGCATGCTGAAAAAAATCACACTGATTCTAAGCTATCAAAATTTCATTGTGGTGTAAGATGGAGGCAAAATTAAGATCATTTTTTAAAAAATCCTGCTATAAAGTTGTTGAGAGAGTGCTAATAAGTCTCCAAATTTAGAAATGCCAATTTTATGAATTATCTGTTGTAATATTTGGAGAAGTTTATAGTCAGTGAAAAAAGCATTATTAGTTGGATTGCCTAATCTTTGAAAAAGTCCATGCCAGGAATTAATATAATTGCAGATCTGAATGGCTGTAAAATCTATACCTTATGCAAAGCACAGAAGAAACAGAGGAACTAAAGTATTGACAGAATAGCAAACTAAAACATTCTTTGCCCTAGAGAGCTGCTAGGAGCTGGCTCCAGCTCACCATAGTCCCTTCATCTTTTTCCTTGTTCTATTTTATTTTACAGTCTTTGAAAGATTTTGAAGAATTTATAAAATGGAAAAATTACCATCAACCATATATTTTTGAAGGAGGATTATGGCAATGTTAAGGTGGAATGAGGAAGACTTGAATATGGGGGAAATCTGAAGGTGATTTAGGGACTAGATGAAAAATGATGATCTGATCAGGGATCAGAAAGAGTAGAAGCAGCAATGAAGGAATTATCTGAGGAACACTGTGAAGGTAAACCCATGAGGCTCTGTGACAGATTAGATTGGGCAGGGGGAAGGTAGAAAGAGAATGGGAGTAAAACGAAACCTAAGGTCTCCAGGTTGGAAACTGAATAGAAGTCATATATAAAACTGGTAATACCTAGTCGGCTAAAAGTAGGCATATAAGAGAAAAATATATTAGTTTAGTTTGGTGTATATTAGTCTTGAGAAATCTGCAGAGCATCTAAGTGAACATATTCAGAAGCCTTTTCCATTTGGAAATAGGAATCTATATCTTGGTAGGAAGGTCAGCCTTGCATTCATCACTGAGAAGGAGATCACTCAAAAAACAAGGTATGAAAGGAAATGGACCAAGGATGGAAGCCAGAAAAATGCCAATATTTAGAGAGCAGTAGGTGTAGTAAAGTGAAATGAGAAAGAGTGATCAAATACAGAGAAGAATCATGCAAGATACATAGCAGTAATTAGACACATAGAAGAGATTCAAGAAAGAGAAGGTGGCCAACAGTCCCAAGCATTGTAGAGAGGTTAAGGAGAATTACTAAAAAGAGAACTTTATATTTAAAACATCATCGGTGACCCTTGAGGGAGGAATCCTATTTCAGTGGTGGAAGGTTGGAACCAAATTAAAGTGGGTTCAGAGGATGTGGGAGGTAACGTAGAGAGTGGTGGGTGATTAATGAAAATACTATTAACAGAAGAACTTAAGCAATGTGTAATATAATGGCCAGACTCAAAAGCAAAATTTGGTTGGATTGATAATAATGATGTCACATAGGCTCAACTACAAAGAGAGAGAGAGAGAGAGAGACAAAAAATCTGAATCCCCAAGCTTTGAAAATTTAGAACATACTACTACCCTATAAGTGAAATTTACTAAAAGTCTTTCCCAAGATGTTGCATAGCATAAAGCATGAACTTAGGAGTTTAGGTAAAACGAGAGTTACTATTAAAATGAGAAGCAGATAGGTCTTTTTGGGCATTTAACATGCCATAGAGGATTTTATTTTCATAACCACTTACATCTAAGACAGATCCCTTAAATTTTCTAGGCTTCTGCATATTAACAGTGCTCTGGGAAGAGTTGATAGTAAAACTTTGGAGATTACGTTATTCTGCTGGCTTAAAATAATTTAAGAATTTCTCCCAAAAGATTGAAATGGAAGGAAAATTCAACAGGACAAAATTCTGTTTTTATCAATGTCAATGTAATAAAAAGTATTTCTTTTTTAACTGATGCTAGAGGTGTGTACTTGAAAACAAGATATGGCCTAGTGGGTTAATCTCACTTTGCCTCCATTCTAAGTACGATTTCTCTAAACTGTAATTCATTGTAGCTGATATATGAAACAGGTTGACAAATGGTTTCGGAAATTTTTTAAAATTGTGTCTGCTTTGGGAGCCTTGGATTTACTTTCATTCTGAACTCCAAAATGTAACCTGCCTCCAAAATGTGGAGCTATATAACTAGGGATTCCAGTTTTATTTTGGTATAAATTTAACTGTCTGAGTCAAATATCAGATCCTCTTTAGTTTCATATATTTGCAATATTTTAAAATGTGTCTATCTTTTTTTCAGCATGGAGGATGACAGGGCTTTTGGGACTTGTGACAAGTTGTTAAATTCTAAAAGCCTTATGTTCTAAACAGTATGTTTACATATTCAGGATATAAAATGATATGCTCCATTTCCATTTTATAGTTCCCTTCCATTTAAAGGAGTACTTTCTTATTTTTTAACTGACAATTATTTGACATTTGCTTTGCTTAAGCCCACTTACTTCTGAGGTCTGAATGACCAATTCAACATTTGGAACATGGGTAAGTAGTCAAGCAGTCAAGTAATTGTTAGGGCAAAGGAAGAAAGCTGGGGCAATTTTTCTAAAAAGGAACCAATGGGAACTCACTCCCCATTTTCTTCTTTGTCCCTCCCCTTGTCTCTCAAGAAAACCAGATCCAAGTAAGCATAAAAGGAGAGAATCATTCAAATTAGAATCAACAATGAATTCAAAGATACAGAATATAATTTCACTCAGCACATATTCCAGATGATTCACTTTGCACTCTTCACTCTGGGTTCTAAAATTAATCTCTTATGCATCCTGCTTTCAAAGAGCTATGGTTTTGTAAGGGAGTTAAGAAAGATATGAAAATAATGACAATTTGGGGTACAAAGTACTCACTATATACAGGGGTTTAGAAGAAGATTTTTTTTTTTTTTTTAAGATGGAGTTTCACTCTTGTTGCCCAGCTGGAATGCAGTGGCATGATCTTGGCTCACTGAAATCTCTGCCTCCAGGGTTCAAGCAATTCTCTTGCCTCAGCTTCCCAAACAGCTGGGATTACAGGTGCCCACCAACAGTTCTGGCTAATTTTTGTGTTTTTAGTAGAGATGGTGTTTCATCATGTTGGCCAGGCTGGTCACGAACTCCTGACCTCAGGTGATCCACCTGCCTGGGCCTTCCAAAGTGCTGGGATTACAGGGATGAACACCAGTATAGGGCCAAGAAGAAGAGTTTTGTATGGAAAGAAGCATTCATAAAGAAGTTGAAATTTGATTGAGCTTTAGATATTATTTAGGTTTCAACAGGCAAAGATTGGATGGAAAAAAGTTATCTAGCATTTGAACATGCCACCACAGGGAAAAACTGTTAGCAGAAGGAGCAGTCTGAGCAAAAGCACAGACAGGAATTTTAGGGAATAATGAAGTTTGGCTGGACATTAGATGAGATACGACATTGGGAGGCAGGGGGTGAGTGAGGGTCTGGAGGATGTTGAGTACTGAACTACACAGTGACACTTTTTTTTTTTTAGGTAAATAGAAAATCATTACAATTTTTAAATAAGGTTATGGTGTGATCAGAGCTGGCCTTTGGAAGGATAAGACTAATTTTGTGGCAGTGGGTAGGGTTGCTGGAGTGTAGCTATACTATGTTATTCTCATTGTAGACTCAAGATAGTTAAGAATATTGTCGCGAAGCACGAATATGTAATAATTGCAAATTAATCCTATAAACCCTTAATGGGTAATAAAAATAAGTTTGAAGCACCCTATTTTCACATGAAGGGTTTCCTGTTAATTAAAGTCTTTAGTGACATTTTACATTTTATCCAGAAATTGTGGTTTTGTTTTTCTTTTCCCTGAGTATTGATGTTTACTTTCAAGGCAAAATAGAAGACAATGTGATTTATTTTCACCAATTCCTTGGTTTACGGAAGTCTGTAGAATGATCTATGGCACATTATATTTTTATGGCATATGTTACAGTATGTTGGTAAAATGAATTATAGTGCTTTATTAAAGATTTGAAAGAATATGTCTTTTACATAAAGAACAAAATGTAAGGAAAAAATCCTTCTAATGAAGAAATTGTTATTAACCCTGTAAGAGTGTTTCCAATTCAGTTTAACTCAATATCAAAAGGTTACATTATTTCATCAATATTAATATCAATATCAAAAGGTTACATTATTTCATCAATATTAATATCAATATCAAAGGTTACATTATTTCATCTAAATATTTTATTTTCATTGTGAAAAAATGCACTGATTTAATGGATTTTTGTGTGTGTGATTTTATGTGTTTACTATTCTTCTATATGACTTCAATGACTTAATTTTTGTCCATGGGAATAATTTTACTTTTTCTTAATTTTCATCTTATCTGTTTTACATGCTTGTTAATAGAAATAATGATAATCTCGGACGGGTGCAGTGGCTCATGCTTGTAATACCAGCACTTTGGGAGGCTGAGGCGGGCAGATCACTTGAGCTCAGGAGTTCGAGACCAGCCTGGCCAATGTGGTGAAACCTCGTCTCTACAAAAACACAAAAATTAGCAGGGTATGGTGGTGCACACCTGTAATCCCAGCTACTCGGGAGGCTGAGGAAGGAGAATCTCTTGAACCCGGGAGACAGAGATTGCAGTGAGCTAAGACCGGGCCACTGACTACAGCCTGGGCACCAGAGCAAGACTTTGTCTCAAAAAAGAAAAAAGAAAAGAAAAAAATAGAAAGAATGACAATCTTTACCTGTTATTGAATTCTGAATTGTTATATTTTTGCGAGTCATAACATGTATTTCATTTTCCAAAGAAAAAAGAGCTCAAACACAAAGAAACAAGTTTAGCCATTGACATTTCTTTTTCAGGAAGCTCATGTTCCTCTTTCAAATGGCAAGTTGACTCTAGAGCACCACATTGATATTGATCATAAAATGGTGAAATGCTTAAGATCCTCAAATTGCTGCAATCTGGAGCATGTATGATAGTCACATAAAGTTCATCCTGGCACCATGGTCCTTTCTAAATGGAGCTGGCAGTTCATTTTCAGTTTGTCCCAATTAGCCATTCCTTTTAACAAAGGACTAGGAAGTTGTAGCAAACCCATGGAACCCGGGTAGGTGGAAGGGAAGTAGCTTGAAGCAGGAATGGGAACCCAGCTTATCGCACAAACTACATGAGCAAACTTAGTAAAAACTCCACACATAACATTTTGAGCAATTACAGATCTATGAACTAAGAATTTTCTTTAAATGGAAGGAAATAAGAACTCTGATATTAGGAAGTAGCATCTCAGAATAAACTAATACATAAATAGAAAAACTTAAACAAGAAAAATCCATACTGTAGGGTAAAGATTTTCACCAGCTTTTTCTATACCATGCTATTCATTTAATAAGGACATATATATTGAGTACATAATAGAGACTTATAATTTATGAGTAAGCTACTATATATTTCATAATGGGTAGTATACTCCATGAGTCAGTCTTAAAGCCTTTTTTGTTTGAGTAAATATCTTCTCCTAGTATTGTTTAGAGAAGCACCTGTGTTTGGCAGGCTCTAGCAAACTTTTGCAGTCATTATATATTGTATCTGCACAGCCTACAAAAATCAGGAAAGCCATCTCCCTTACAGAATATTGCCTTACTGAGACTTATCTTGTCTTAATCAACTGAATATTACGATAGATTATGAGAACCTAATCATAAACTTTTACTGAACAGTTTTCTTTGGTAGAGATAAGAGGGAAGCAATTTTTAAAAGGACAGATAACTGCAAAATAATTTCATAAAACATCTTTATGGTGATAAACCCCAACTTTATATACTTGTATAAATGTGCACATTGTCTCTTATGAACTCACATAATCCTTTACGTGTAGTATCTGTTAAACCATGACTAACTTCTGTAGTATGACCCTAGGACTCATATTTATAATAATAACTGCAGACACACAGTGCTTATTAAGTGCCAGACACTATTTTAATTAGATAAAATCATCTAATCCTCATAGTCATGTAACCCTATATGCAGGTATTGTTATTATAATGATTTTACAGACATGCAGATGAATAAATAACTAAGATAAGAAGTGTCAGGCCTGGGCTTTAAAACTGGGCAAAATCCACATCCTCAACAGCTATCCACACTGCCTTTCATTAAGACACGGCTTGTCAGAGTGAGCTTACTAAAGCAGGGGTTCCCAGCCCCTGGGCCACAGACCGGTATCATTAGGGACTGGGCCCACAGCAGGAGGTGAGCAGCAGGTGAGTGAGCATTGCCACCTGAGCTCTGCCGCCTCCTCTCAGATCAGTGGAGGCATTAGATTTCTTACAGGAGTGAGAATCCTACTGTGAACTGCACACGTGAGTGATCTAGGTTGTGCACTCCTTATAAGAATCTAATGCTTGATGATCTGGGGTGGAACAGTTTCATCCCGAAGCCACCCCCCCCCCATTCATCTAAAAATGGTCTTCCATGAAACTCATCCCTGGTGCCAAAAAGGTTGAGGACCGCTGTACTAAAGGATAAGAATAGACTAGTGGGCCTTTCTCCATCAGCTAATGTGAACTGAACTTCTACTAAATGCCAAATACCATTTTAGGCACAGAAGACACACACAAAAAGCAACCCTGCCCCTTGACCACAGAGAATATTCAATACTCTTAACTAACCCCCAAAACACAAAGTTTTTTTAGTACTCTGAAGCAGTAAGCTTCAATTCTGTATTTCAGTTATTTCAATGGGAGTCAACCATTAAGTCTGTGTCTAAAAATAGAATTGCACTGAGTCAGTATTTCAACTCCCCTGGGCTTTTCCAGATAATTCTATGATGGAGGGCCAAGATTTCTAGCAGAAGGAAAGCACAGAGAAAATTAAGATTACTGAGGTGACTGCTCCTCTTGAGTCTCATGTGATTGAACGCCGTATAAGACCATTGAGACTAAGACACTTTACACCTCTGTGAAGCATCTTTGTGGAGGTGAAAGGACCCAGGGCTTAATAACCAAAAGCTGGTTCTTCTCCTCACTAACTTCTAGGCTAATTCTTCTCACTAAGTCTGTTTTCAGATTTGTAAAATGAGGGCATAGGGGCAAAAAATGTCTTAAAACACTGTATTACTAAGTGGTGTGTGTGTGTGTGTGTGTGTGTGTGTGTGTGTGTGTGTATGAACTTCAAAATCCTGTAACTGTATGTTTACAGAGGGAAGATTTGAAGTCTTTACAGGGACAATTAAACTCAATACTCAATAAACAGTGACATGTGGGCTTTCTTTCATCAGTCCTGGTTGAATGACATTACAGCTGCTCTGACCAAGCCTTCAGAGAGTCGCTTGCTGTAGCTGTCAATCAAAAATATTCAGAGAAAACATACTACCATATTTTGGGGGAAAGGGGTTGTCTTGGTGGGAGAAATAGGGGTGGAAAGAAGATATCTAGATATGATATTACCATATGTTTTTCAAAGTTAACCAGAAGGCATCTTATAAGCACCTACCCCTGAGAGGTTCATTGCTACGAGAAAGTTCTGTACCTTAAAAAAAATGAATAACAGGCAGCTCTAAAAATAATATAGCCATAATAGCTCTTTTTATACTATCAATCCTCTCCTTTCCTGAGAACTTGGAATATCTACTCATAACAAAGCATTCTCTTCCTCATGCTATAAAATCCTTACCCTAGTACCTTTAGTCCACTATTTCCCCTTGAGTATTCTGGCTTTAGTCTTCTGACTGGAATACCTTTTTCTGAACTGAAAGATCTCAGAGCTACATTCTTGAATCACCTTGGCACCCATACTTTTCTGGAATGTGTTCTCCTTTATTTATTTAATTTCTATTGAAGTAAAATTTGTATAACATAAAATTAATCATTTTAAAGGATATAATTCAGTGGCATTTAATACCGTCACAATTTTGTGCAACCATCACATCTATTCATCACCCCAAAAGAAAACCTCACTCCCATTAAGCAGTCACTTCCACTCCCACTCCCCCAGTTCCTGGCAACTACTAATGTGCTTTCTGTTGCTATGTATTTACTGGTTCTGGACATTCCCTATAAATGAAATCATAGAATATGTGACCTTTCCTTTCACTTAGTATAATATTTTCAAAGTTTATCCACTTTGTGTCATGTAGAAGTATTTCCTTCTTTCCTTTGAAAGATAGAATGTTATGGCTGGGCGTGGTGGCTCATGCCTGTAATCCCAGCACTTTGGGAGGCTGAGGCGGGTGGATCACGAGGTCAGGAGATTGAGACCATCCTGGCTAACACGGTGAAACTCCATCTCTACTAAAAATACAAAAAATTAGCTGGGCGTGGTGGCGGGCATCTGTAGTCCCAGCTATTGGGGAGGCTGAGGCAGGAAAATGACGTGAATGCGGAGCTTGCAGTGAGCCGAGATCCCGCCACTGCACTCCAGTCTGGGCGACAGAGCAAGACTCCGTCTCAAAAAAAAAAAAAAAAAAAGATAAAATGTTATTCCATTATATAGACACACCACATTTTGTTTACCCATCCATAAACTAATAAACATTTGAGTTGTTTCCACCTCTTGACTATTTGAGCAGTGATGTTATAAAGTTTTCTGTACAAGCATTTGCTTGAATAACTGTTTTCAATTCTTTTGGGTATAGTCATAGGAGTAGAATTGCTGAATCATATGATAATTCTATCTTAAATTTAAATTATTTTATTTTATTGTGGCAATAAAACACCTAACACAATGTCTACTTTCTTTTCTTTTCTTTCTTTCTTTTTTTCTTTCTTTCTTTTTGGAGACAGGGTCTCACTCTGTCTGGATTCAGTGGCATGATCTCAGCTCACTGCAGCCTCTGCCTCTGGGGTTCAAGAGATTCTCCCATCCCAGCCACCTGAGAAGCTGGGACTACAGGCTTGTGCCACCACGCCTGGCTAATTTTTGTATTTTTAGTAGAGACAGGGTTTCATCATATTGCCCAGGCTGGTCTCAAACTCCTAAGCTCAAGTGATCCACCCTCCTCGGCCTCCCAAAGTGCTGGGATTACAGGTGTGAGTGACTGTGCCTGGCCAATATCTACCTTCTTAAAATTTTAAGTGTACCGAGGTCAGGAGATGGAGTCCATCCTGGCCAACATGATGAAACCCCATCTCTACTGAAAATAAAAAAAATTAGCTGGGCTTGGTGACATGCATCCATAGTCCCAGCTACTGGGGAAGCTGAGGCAGGAGACTCGCTTGAACCCAGGAGGCAGAGGTTGCAACGAGCCGAGATCATGCCACTGCACTCCAGCCTGGGCCACAGAGCGAGACTCCATCTACAAAACAAAACAAAACAAAATTTAAGTGTACAATACATTATTGATACACTATTGATGACGATAGGTACAACATTATGTAGCTCTCAGCTAATCAATAATCAACTTATTTATCTTGCTTAAGTGAAAATTTACGCAAGTTGATTGGTAACTCCTCATTTACCCCTCCTTCAGCCTCTGCTAATCATCATTCCACTCTTCAATTCTATGACTTTTAATATTACAGTTACATCATGTAAGTGAATTATGAAGTATTTGCCTTTTTGTGATTGGCTTATTTCAGTTAGCATAATAGTCTCCATATTCATTCATGCTGTTCCATATTGCCAAATATCATTCTTTTTTAGGCTGAATAATATGCCCTCCTATGTATATACCCTGTTTTCTTCATCCATTCATCTACTGATGAACATTTAGATTGTTTTCACATCTTGGCTATTGTGAATAGTGCTATAATGAACATGAGAGTGTTAATATCTCTTCTAGGTCCTGATTTTAATTCTTTTGGATAAATACTAGAAGTGGGATTGCTAGATTATATGGTAGTTCTTTTTCAATTTTTTAATGAAACTGTATTATTTTTCATAGTGGTTGTAACATTTTACATCCCCAGCAATAATGCACCCAGATTCCAATTTCTCCACGTTTTCCCCAACACTTGTTGTCCTTTGTTTTTTTGATAACAGCCATCCTGACAGGTATGAGGTGATACATCATTGTGGTTTTGATTTGCATTTCTCTGAATATTAGTGACATTGAAGATTTTTAATATACCTGTTGGCCATTTATATGTCTTATTTGGAGAAATATCAGTTAGGTCCTTATCCCATTTTTTAATTGGGTTATTACATTTGTTTTGCTATTGAGTTGTAGGAGTTCCTTATATATCTCGGAGATTAACCCATTATCAAATATATGATTAGCAAACATTTTCTCTCATTCCACGGGTTGACACTTTACTCTGTTGTTTCCTTAGCTGTGCAGAAGCTTCTTCATTTGACATAATTCCATCTGTCTATTTTTTGCTTTTATTGCCTGTGCTTTTGGTGTTTTATCTATGAAAATCATTGCCAAGACCAAGTCGTGAGGCTTTTCCCTTGTGTTTCTTCTAGATGTCTTATAGCGTCAGGTCTTACGTTTAAATCTGTAATCAGTTTTGAGTTGATTTTTGTGGATGGTGTAAAGTAAGATTCCAATTTCATTCTTGGCATATGGATATTCAGTTTTCCCAACACCGCTTATTAAAGAGACAATTCTTTCCCCATTGTGTATTTTTGGCATCCTTTTTGAAATGCAGTTGATCATGTATACATAGATTTATCTCTGGGATTCCTATTCTGTTCCATTGATCTATATATCTGTCTTTATGGCCATGCCATATTGTTTTGATTATTGTAGCTTTGTAATATAGTTTGAAATCAAGAACTCTGATGCATCTTATTTTGTTCTTATTTCTCAAGAATGATTTGAGTATTCATGGTCATTTGTAGTTCCACATAAATTTAGGACTGTTTATCTATTTATATTAAAAAAGTCATTAGAATTTTTATAGAAAGTTCATTAACTCTGTAGATCACTTCAGGTCATATGGACATTTTAACAATATGAGGTCTTTCAGTCCACAAACACAGGATACCTTTCTCTTAGTTTGTGTCTCCTATAGTTTTTCTCAATATTTTATAGTTTTCAATATAGACATACCTCATTTTATCGGGATTTTTCTTTAATATTGCTTCAGTTGTTACTTTTTTGTTTTTTTTTTATGAATTGAAGGTTTGTGACAATCCTGCACTGACTAAGTTTATTCAGCATAATTTTTCCAATAGCATGTGCTCACTTCATGTCTCTGAATTATATTTTGGTAATTTTCACAATATTTTAATTTTTTAAATTATTATATCTGTTACAGGGTTCTGTGATGAATGACCTTTGATGTTACTATTGTGATTGTTAGGGGCACAACAAGTTACACCCATATAAGATAGCAAACTTAATTGATAAATGCATGTATTCTGATTGCTCTATCCACAGGCAATTCCCATATCTCTCTGCCTCAATTCAGGTCTTACTATCCCTGAGACATAACAATATTGAAATTAGGCCAATTAACAACCACACAATGGCTTCTAAGTGTTCAAGTAAAAGGAAGAGTCACATGTCTCTTACTTTAAATCAAAAGCTAGAAATGATTATGTTTAGTGAAGAAGGCAGGTAGAAATCCTAAGATAGACTGAAAGCTAGGCCTTTCACACCAAACAGTTAGCCAAGTTGTGAATGCAAAGAAAATGTTCTAGAAGGAATTAAAAGTACTACTCCAGTGAACACACGAATGATAGGAAATCAAAATAGCCTTATTGCTGATAGGGAGAAAATTTGAGTAGTCTGGATAGATCAAACCAGCCAAAGCCTAATCCAGAGCAAAGTCCTAGCTCTTTTCAAGTCTATGAAGGTTGGGAGAGGTGAGGAAGCTGCAGAAGAAAAGTTTAAAGCTAGCAGAGGCTGGTTCATGAGGTTTAAGAAAAGAAGCTGTCAGCTGGGCATGGTGCCTCATGCTCGTAATCCCAGAACTTTGGGAGGCCAAGGCGGGTGGGTCACTTGAGGCCAGGACTTCCAGACCAGCCTGGCCTATGTGGTGAAATTCCATCTCTACTAAAAATACGAAAATTAGCCAGCTACTCAGGGGGCTGAGGCAAGAGAATCGCTTGAATCAGTTGAGCCCAGGAGGTGGAGATTGTAGTGAGCCGAGATCGCACCACTGCACTCCAGCCTAGGTGACAGGGTGAGACTCGGTCTAAAAAATAAAAATAGGAAAAAAACTGTCTGTACAACATAAAAATGCAAGTTGAAACAGCAAATGCTGATGAAAAAGCTGCAGTAAGTTATCCAAAAGATCTAGCTAGCGTAATTGATAAAACTGGCTACACTAACCAACAGACTTTCAATGTAGATGAAACAGCTTTTTGTTGGAAGACGATGCTCTCTGGGACTTTCATAACTAGAGAGAAGTCAATGCAGGTCTTCAAAGCTTCAAAGGATAGGCTGAATTTCTTGTTGGGGGCTTAATGTAGTTGGTGATTTTCAGTTGAAGCTGAAGCTAATTTAACATTCTGAAAATATGAGGGCCCTTTAGAATTATGCTAAATATTTTCTGCCTGTGTTCTATAGATGGAACAACAAAGCACTGATGACAGCACGTATCTGTTTACAGCATGGTTTGCTGACCGTTTTGCTCACTGTTGAGACCTACTGCTCAGAAAAGAAAAATATTCCTTTCAAAATATTGCTGCTCATTGACAATGCACCTGGTCACTCAAGAGCTCTGATGAAAATAAACAAAGTGATTCATATTGTTTTCATGCCTTGTAACACAATACCCATTCTGCAGCCTAGGAATCCAGGCATAATTTTGACTTTCAGGTCTTATTATTTAAGAAATATATTTTGTAAGGTTATAGCTGCCATACATAGTGATTCTTCTGATGGATCTGGCAACGTAAATTGAAAACCTTCTGGAAAAGATTCACCATTCTACATGCCATAAGAACATTTGTGGTTGGGAGTGGGGGCTCACACCTGTAATCCCAGTGGTTTGGGAGGCCAAAGTGGGAGGATCACTTGAGGTCAGGAGTGTGAGACCAGCCTGGGCAACATAGGAAGACCCTGTCCCTACAAAAATAAATTTAAAATAAAGTTTAAAAAAACCCAGGCATGGTGGCACATGCCTGTAGTCCTAGCTACTCAGGAGGCTAAGGCTGGAGGATCACTTGAGTCCAGGAGTTCAAGGCTACATAGAGTGAGCTACGATGGTGCCACACAGCCTCAGGGCCAGAGCAACACCCTATCTCAAAAAATAAAACAAGCGAACAAACAAAAAACTTCCAGGAGGTCAAAATATCAGCATTAACAGAATTTGAAAGAAATTGATTACAACCCTAATGGACGACTTCGAGAGACTCAAGACTTGAGTGGGGAAAGTAACTGCAGATGTCATGGAAATGGCAAGAGAACTAGAATTAGAAGTGCAGCCCAAAGATGTGCCTGAATTGCTGCAATCTCACGATAAAACTTGGACAGATAAAGAGTTGCTTCTTATGGATGATCAAAGAAAGTGGTTTTTTTTTTTTTTTAGATGAAATCTACTGCTGGTGAAGATTCTATGAACATTGAAATGACAACTAAGGATTTAGAATATTATATAAACTTAGTTGATAAAGCAGTGGCAGAGTTTGAGCAGACTGACTCCAGTTTTTAAAGAAGTTCTACCATGCATAAAATGCCATCTGCAGCATTACATGCCACAGAGAAACCTTTCATGAAACGAAGAGTCAATCAATGCAGCAAATTTCACTGTTGTCTTGTTTAAAGAAATTGTCACAGCCACCCCAACCATTAACAATTACTACTTTGATCAGTAGACAGCCATCAACATTGAGTCAGGGCCCTCCACAAGCAAAAACATTATGACTCACTGAAGGTTCAGATGATTGTTAGCATTTTTTTAGCAATAAAGTATTTTTTAGTTAAGACGTATACTTTTTAAAGACAATGTGATCACACACTTAATAAACTATAGGATAATGTAAACAACTTTTATATATGCACTGGGAAACCAAAGAATTTGCGTTACCCATTTTATTGAAAAATTTGCTTTATTTCAGTGTTCTAGAACTGTACCCATAATATCTCTTAGGCACACATTTACATAAGTCTTTTACATCCTTACTTAAATATTTTATTCATCTTGGTGCTATTGTAAATGGGATTGTTTTCCTAACTATCTTTTCAGGTATTCTTTTTTAGTGTGTAGAAATGTTTTTTATTTGTATGTTAATTTTTATCATGCAGCTTTACTGCATTTATTAGTGCTAACAGATTTTTATGGAGTTTTTAGGATTTTCTATATATAAGATCATGTTGTCTACAAACAGGGGCAATTTAACTTCTTTCTTTTCAATTTGGATGCCTTTTATTTCTTTTTCTTGCCTAATTGCTCTGGCTTAGACTTCCAGAACTATATTGACTAGAAGAAGCAAGAATCCTTGCCTTGTTCTTGATCTTAGAAGAACAGTTTTTAGTTTTTCACTATTGAATATGATGCTAGCTATGGGCTTCTCATATATGGTCTTTATTATGTTGAGTGACTTTCTATTCCTAGTTCGTTGAGAGTTTTTATCATGAAAGAGGGCTGACTTTTGCCAAATACTTTGCATCTATGGAGACGATTAAATGATTTTTATTCTTTATTTTATTAATGTGTTGTTTCACATTAATTGATTTTGGTATGTTTAATCATACTTGCATTTTAGGGATAAATTTTATTTAGTCATGCTATATGAGTCTTTTAATGAGCCATTGGATTCAGTTTGCTAGTATTTTATTGATAATTTTTGTATCTATAGTCATCAGGGATACTGGCCTGCAGTTTTCCTTCCTTATAGAGTTCTGGTCTGGGTTTGGTATAAGGATAACTCTGGCCTCATAAAATGAATTTGGAAATGTTCACTTCTCTTAAATTTTTTGGAGGAGTTTGAGAAGGATTGGCATTAATTCTTTTTTAAACAGGTAGAATTCACTAATGAAGTTACCTGGTGCTTGGCTTTTATTTGTTGGGAGAATTTTGATTACTGACTCAGTGTTCTTACTACTTATAGGTCTGTTTAGACTTATTATCTCTTTATGATTCAGTTTTGGTAGGGATGTAAGTCAGGAGGGCTTCCCAGGGGAAGTGACATTTAAAATGAAAAAGGGAACATGAATATAAATTATCTTGAGAGTTTTATATTATTATGACCATTTTATAGGAAAAGAAAATAAGGCACCAAGAGGTTAAATTGTTTGGTGTATGATAAGAGTATATCTTGGAGTCAAGGCAGCTTTTTGTAGAGGGTAGAGGGTATGAACATGGGGATGGGGAATCGGTTTTGCTTTTAAAGATGGAATAGATTTGAATATATCTTTAAGCTAATGCGAGGAAATGAGGCCCTGTTTGACAGAGAGATAAGAATTGTAGAGCTCACTAGAGAAATTGGCCTGGGTGTTACACTGTTTGTACAGAGTAATCCTTCAGTTTAAATGGTAGAATGTATGTGTGTACAAGGGAATTTTAATCTATACTCGAGGGATGGGTTGGTTAGCTTTCAAATTGTCCTAATCAAAAATCCATACTTCAGATGTTGATACTTCCAAAATATTGTTTTCAAAATCTATACCAGAGGATTTTACTTAAATTATCCTAAAATATATGTTAGAAATTAACCTCATAGTTTTGTATTGGTATAATGACTAGTGTTTAAAATATGTTATTGAGATCCACCATACAGCATGGTGACAATAGTTACTAAAAATCTATTTTATTATTGAAAAAATGTTAAGAGCAGATGTTGTGTTCTCACCCCCAAAAATGGTAAATCCTCATAAAATGCATATATAATTAGCTAAATCTAACCTATCACAATGTATTCATACTTCAAATTATGATATACATAATAAATACATGTTATTTTTTCTGTTAATTTAACAATAAATTTGATAAAAAGCAAAAAATGGTTTTTAAACTTTTTTAAATATACGTTTTTGGCTAGAAAAACTGTCCAGGACCCACCACACTTGTCTTATTCAGGTTAAAGATCCTGGCAAGTCTAACCACGTTATATCTTTATAATATTGCTTCTGCTTCCCTGCACTTCTGAAAGAACTCTGTCAGCTAATTAAACCTTATATTAGTTGGTCCAGTCATATTCTTTTAATACTCGAGTGAAATTTTATTGCAGGACTGGCTACATAATTTGCAAGATCCAGTGTAAAATGAAAATGCAGGACTGCTTGACAAAAAGCAAAAATAAAGTGCCATTATGGGTATTAACAGAGTTTTTTTCATCTGAGGTCTCACTTTTGACTTCTTATAGTGTTTTTGTTGCTATTTAATGACTTTTTAAGTAAAGAAAAATTTAAATTTAAAATAATTATCATCTTTGTATTGTACAATGGTATTTTAAATAGGAACATTTAACTTGTAGGCAAAATTAACAAAAGCATAGAATTCATATTTCATAGTTCATACTTGCATGTATATTTTGTTTTCAACAGAATGGTGGGATTCTTTTGTGACTATATTTTTTTTCTCAACAGAATAGTGGAATTTTGTTCTTAGTAATGGAAACATTGAATGAAACTGATTCACCAGGTTTGATTTCATTTTGTGATACACACACATTCTACCAATTCTTTGCTTTCAACTTATTGATGAGTAAGAAAGAACTGAAAAGAAAAGGAAGTACAAATTGCCCTATCTTTTTCTTTCTATGTCATCGCTTTGAGTATAAGTCATTGACTTAATAACAGGGAAGTGACACAAGTAAGAAAGAATATGACAAGGTACCTTTGTTGTTTATGCTGGGTTGTGGAATGCCACTGGCTTCTTTCTTTTTTGTGCTTTTTTTTTTTAAGGACAGGGTTTTGGTCTGATACCCACGCTGAAGTGCTGTGGCATGCTCACAGCTCACTGCAGCCTGATCCTCCTGGGCTCAAGTCTCCCACATCAGTCTCCTGAGGAGCTGAAACTACAGGTGTGTGCCACCATGCCCAGATAATTATTTCTATTTTTTGTAGAGGCAAGGTCTTGCTTTGTCTCCCAGGCTGGTTCCAAACTCCTGGGCTCCAGCAATCCTCTCACCTCAGCCTCCCAAGTGCTGGGATTACAGGCTTGAGCCACCACACCTGGTGCCCTCTTTTAAAAAAAAATAAATAAATTTTATTTTGCATATTTAAAGTATACAACATGATGTTTTAAGACACACATATAATGAAATGGTTACTATAGTGAAACAAATTAACACATCCATCATCTTACACAATTACATTTACCCCGCCCCATAACAACAGCAACTAAAATTGCTAAAATCGGCCGGGCGCGGTGGCTCACGCCTGTAATCCCAGCACTTTGCGAGGCTGAGGTGGGCGGATCACAAGGTCAGGAGATCGAGACCATCCTGGCTAACATGGTGAAAACCCGTCTCTACTAAAAATACAAAAAAATTAGCTGGGCGTGGTGGCGAGCGCCTGTAGTCTCAGCTACTCGGGTGGCTGAGGCAAGAGAATGGAGTGAACCTGGAAGGCGGAGCTTGCAGTGAGCCGAGATCGCACTACTGCACTCCAGCCTGGGTGACAGAGCGAGAGTCTGTCTCAAAAAAAAAAAAAAAAAAAAAAAAAAATTGCTAAAATCTACTTATTTAGTAAAAGTTCTGAATTCGATACACTATTGTTAACTATAGTCCTCATGCTGTACATTAGATCTTTAAACTTATTTATCTTACATATTTGCTACTTCATATCCTTTCACCTACATTTCTCCATTTTCCTCCCTGATCTTGGTAATCATTGTTTTATTCTCTATCTCTATATATGTGATCCCCTCGCCCCCTTTTTTTCAAAGATTCCACATGTAACTGAGATCTTGCAATAGTTTTCTATGTTAGGCTTATTTCACTTAACATAATGTCCTCCAAGACCATTCGTATTGTGGCAAATGGTAGGATCTCCTCCTTTTTAAAGACTAAATAATATATACACACACATACACACCACAGTTTCTTTATCCATTTGTCCACTGATGGACATGTAGGTTGTTTCTGTATCTTGGCTTTTGCTATCCATATTATTCATGCTGCAACAAGCAGGAGACTGCAGATATCTTTAAAAGGCTGTGATTTCATTTAGTTTGAGTATATACACAGAACAGGAATTGCTGAGTCATATGGTAGTATTATTTTTATTTTATTTTATTTTAGTTACCTCCCACCAAGAGTATCCATGGGTTTCTTTTCTCTACATCCTTAACGACACTTATCTCTTATCTTTTTGATAATAGCGATCTTAGCAGGTATGACGTGGTATCTCATAATGGATTTGATTTGAATTTCCCTGAGGATTAGCGACGTTGAGCACCTTCCAAATATCTGTTGGCCATTTTCATGTCATCATTGGAGAATATCTATTCAAGTCCTTTTTAAATCAGATGATATATATTTTTGATATTGAAAGATATGAGTGCTTTAAGAATCTTGTATATTTATTCCTTATCTGATATATGGTTTGCAAGTATTTTTTCCCAATCTGTAGGTTGCCTTTTAATTTTGGTGATTGTTCATTTTGCTGTGCAGAAACTTTTTAGTTTGATGTTGAACATTTATTTATTTTTACTTTCGAAGCCTGAGCTTTTGGTGTGAAATCCAAGAAATCATTGCAAAGTCAATGTCGAGAAGGTTTTTCCCTGTTTTCTTCCAGGAGTTTTACAGTTTCAGGCCTCACATTTAGGTTTTTAATCCATCTTACGTTGACTTGATGTATGGTGTAAGATAAGGGGCTAATTTCATTCTTTTGCATGTGAAAATCCAGTTTTCCCAGACCATTTATTAAAGAGACTCTCTTTTCCGCATTGTGTATTCTTGGTGCCATGTTGAAAATTAGTCCACCACATAAATTTGAATTTACTTCTAGGCTCTCTATTCCACTGATTATGTGTCTGTTTTTGCTAGTACCACAGTCTTTTTATAATTATATCTTTGTAATGTAATTTTAAATCAGAAAGAGTGATGGCTTCCCCTTTTTTGCAGGGTACGGGAATTACTTTGGTTATTTGGGGTCTTTTGTGGTTGTATACAAATTTTAGGATTTAAAAAAATATTGCTGTGAAGAATGCCATTGAAATTTTGATAGGGATTGCATTGAATCTACATATTGCTTTGAGTAATATGAACCTTTTTAACAATATTTAATTATTCTGATGCACAAGCATGGAATATTTTTCCATTTATTTGTGTCCTTTTCAGTTTCTTTCATTAAAGTTGTATAGCTTTCAGTATATGGGTCTTTTACCTCTGTAGTTAAATCTACCACTTTATTTTTGGTATTTTCTTGGGTACTATTTTAAATGAGATTGTTTTCTGGGTTTCTTTTTCAGCTAGATTGTTATTTGTGTATAGAAACACCATACATTTTTTACAATGGTTTAACATCCTGCAACTACTGAATTAATATATTAGTTCTAACAGATTTTTGGTGGAGTCTTTAGAGTTTTTGATGTACAGAATCATGTCATCTGCAAATACAGATAATTTTACTTCTTCCTTTCTGACATGGATACCTTTTATTTCTTTTTCTTGTTTAATTGCTCTTGACAGTACTTCTAGTACTATGTTAAATAGAAGTGGTGAAGGGCAACCTTGCCTTGTGCCATGTCTTAGAGAAAAAGCTTTCGGTTTCTCTCAATTGATCATAATGTTAGCTCTGAATTTTTTATAACTGTCATTTATTATATTGAAATTTTTATACTTAAACTGTCGAGTTTTTAATCAAAAAAAGATGTGACACTTTGTTGAATTCTTTCAGCATCAATTGATATGATCATGTGGTTTTTGTCTTTCAGTCTGTTAACGTGATGTATCACATTGATTGATTTGCATATGTTAAATCAGCCTTGCATACCTGATATAAACCCCACTTGGTACTTTGTTGAATTATATTTGCTAATATTTTATTGATTACTTTTGGATCAATGTTAAAAAAACTTCAAGAAAACTAACTCTTAGTTTTATTAAAAATATCTATGGTCTTTTCTTTTCTGTTTCTGTTCTGACCTTCATTATTTCCCTCCTCCTGATAACTTTGGGTTTAGTTTGTTCTTCTATTTCTAGTTCCTTGTAGTGTATTATTAGGCTATTTATTTGGATCATATCACTGTAGGTAGAAACAATATATAATATAATTTCAACTTTTTTTAATCTAAAAAGACTTGTTTTGTGGTCTATCAAATGTTCTATCTTGGAGAATGTTCCATGTGCACTAGAGGAAAATGTATACCCTGCTGCTGTTGGATGTAAAATTCTATGTGTCTCTGTTAGGTCCATTTTCTGTAAAGTACAGTTTAATTCCTGTATCTTCTTATTAATTTCCTGTTGGGTTAATCTGTCGACTGTTGAAAGTGGAGTACTGAAGTCTCCTACTATTATTGTATTGCTCTTTCTCCGTTCATGTCTATTGATATTTGCTTTATATATTTAGATGCTCTGATGTTGGGTACATAACAATTGTTATGTTCTCATGAAGAATTGAGGCATTTATCATTAAATAATGACCTTCTTTGTCTCTTGTGACAGCTTTTCAGTTGAAATCTATTTTCTCTTAAGTACAGCCAGTCCTGCTGTCTTTGGATTACAATTTTCATGGAATATCTTTTTCTGTTCTTTCGCTTTCAGAATATGTGTGTTCTTAAGGCTAATAGACAGAGTATAACTGGATCTTACTTTTTATCTATTCAGTCACTCTACATCTTTTGACTGGAAAAAGTAAACCATTTACATTCAAAGTAATTAATTACTGATAGATAAGGAACTACTACTTCCATTTTATTCAATGTTTTCTGGTTATTTGGTAGATCTATTGTTCCTTTCTTTCTTTCTTGTTTATATTTGTGATTTGGTTTTTTTTTTTGCAGTGATAAGTTTTTATTCCCTTTTCTTTTTTGTTTGTGTATCTGTTACAGTTTTTTGCTTTGTGTTTACCTAGGAATGAAATAAAACATCTCATGAGTATAATAGACTATTATATACTGATAACTTAAATTCTGTTACATATGGAAACATTAGACTTGTACCTCTCTCCCACACAATTTTTGTCACTTATGTCACTATTTACATCTTTTTATATTATGTATTTCTTAAAAACTTATTGTAGCTATTATTATTTTTGACTGTTTTGACTTTTAACTTTCATACTAGAGATAGAGATGATTTACAGAGCACCATAACAGTATTGGAGTATTCTGGATTTGACTTATATTTACCTTTACCAGTGACTCTTAGACTTTCATATGTTTTCATGTTAGTAATTAGCACCCTTCTGTTTCCACTGGAAGAACTCCCTTAGGCATTTCTTGTAGGGTAGGTCTAGTGGTGATGAATTGCCTCAGCTTTTGCCTGTCTGGGACTTTATTTCTCCTTCATTTCTAAAGGACAGATTTGTTTGGTATAGTATTCTTGGCTGGTACATATTTACCTCGTTGGCAATACCCATTAATGATTGTCATACACCATTGCTGGGAGAAGCAAGCACTGTCCATGACTCCACTGGGAGAAGACAACTGGAAGCTCATGCCTGGAATTTGCCTGGAATTTTCCCTGTGTGCCCCTTCTTTTTGTTCATTTTGCCATAATAACTGTAAACATTAGTATAATAGCTTTTCTAGGTTCCATGAGTCCGCCTAGTGATTCCTTGCAAATAAGGGTTATCGTGAGGAACCTTCAAGACTTGTATTATCTTTCTATAAATTTCTTAAGTTAATGTTTTATGAAATCCAAAGAGTAGAGGAAAGATCATAGACATGTTTGAGCCATTTTCTTCCATGTATACATTAGTAGCAGAAAGATGTAACTGTGATGGTTTATGTATGTACATAGTTTATGTAACTACTATGTATCCAAGGCTATGGTGGTGGAGGATGGATAAGATATGGTCTTTTCCTCAAGGCTCAACTAGTGTATCAGAAAGAAAAGACATTAAAAAACATAAAATACAAAAAGATATGGACATTATATTTCTTAATTTATTTTTATCTGAGTTTACTTCTATTCAAAAGGAATGAAAAAAATAATATTCACCTGGAAAATGAAGACAGGTTTACAGACTTCTTTCAAGAGCTAAGAGCTAAAGAAATACGAGGTTTTGGCATATCCTAACAAAGGATCTTGCTTCATGAAAAAGTTGTTTGTGCTATGCCATGAAGGTATGCCATTTCATTCCCCTCACTTGAAACTAGGGGTAAAACACTGGAAGTTTTTTATTATTCTCTCCTCTTAGAGCAATGCATTATAAACCAATTAAAAAAATAATTGATGTGTGTTTTATTTTTATGTTATTAAAATTGCCATATTCCAACCTAGTATCTCCTTGTATGTTTGCTAATTTTCATACTAATAACAATATGTCTATGATATTTATTAGCCCATAAATTATAACTATTTAGAAATCCCTGCTTCCAAGTCTTAAAAGTAAACAAAGACCTATTTTTCATTGCCTTTTTTCTACCCAATACTTTCCAATTTGTGTTGTCTAGCCTTCCATTCTAATCAAATTTTATAACAGCAAAAGTTCATGTATGACTCTGTGATTCCACTTGGTATTCCATCCTTTATGCTGCCAAGAGGTAGTACAGTTAAAGTCTGAAAATGTAAGTTCTTATCAATAAAAAAAGAAATCAATTATTAATAGAACTCTAAAAAGTGGTAGGTAAAACTTGTGTAAATTTAACAACTAGGCGAAAAAAGTCTTCTTACTTTTTCTTTAATAGCAGGGGCTAGAGCACTCATAATTACCATTTACTTTTTATGTTTAAACCACATTCGATACTAGCTAAAAAATAGTAAATAAATATTAACGAATTACTTCTGTGACCCGTTAGCTCAGTTAGCTCACTGTTTCCATGAGGCATTAATGAAGCCAAGGTCATGGGCATAATGGTGATCATTTGATATAGAACATTAATGACTATGAAGGGTTTTATGAATATTAATCCATTTGTTCCTCACAATACCAGTTTAAGGTCCTTAGAACAAGCATACTTATTATTGCTTTATGAATAAATAAATAGATTCAAAAAGGTTAAGTGACTCATCTAAAGTCACTTAGTATATGGGGGTAAAAACTTGACTCTAGATGTTTTCCACTCAATAGCAATGCTTCAGTTTGGATTTGTTAATGATTTTTTGTAAATAATAAAATATCTATGACATTCATTACTCTATTTATTATACCTGCATTTAGAAGACCCTGACTCCTGGTTTGAGATTATGATAGACTCTCTCCCAACTTGCAAATAAATTACAGGCAGAATCATACATGAAGGCAATAATTAAAAATAGCTTTAAAAATAGGAACAGAAGTAAAATGAATATGGTAACATTGGCAGGCATTTCCACCAACTTTAATTCTGCGACTAATGGATGAAGAAGCATTATCAGTGGCCTGCGTGCAATGTACCCACTGAACCAGTACGGAAAAACTGAAAATGAAATGGAGAGACAGAGACTTTGACTCATTTTTACTGCCTGTTTTTTAGACACCAGATATTATATTAATCAGAAAACTGAGCAGTCACCTCTGTACTGTTTTTGAGATGGCTGAAATCTTGTTCCTCCCCTCTCAATGGCCCACATGTAGCAGAGTACTTCTTGTATAACGAGGCCAGTGGTAGGGGAAAATGGAAAGTGGCATTCACATCCAAGGAAAACGACCTTTCAGGTAAAGCTATATAATGGAAACAGAGAAAGGAAGGCACTGGAAATAGTGCTTGCTAGGAAGTATAATCATGGATTGCACGTGGTTAAACAACTGAAGGCTGCCTTACGATATATGCTATCTCTGCTGTGGTAAAGAACTGAGTAGTAAGAGCAGAATGTTCTATTCCAGTGCCAGATGAAGGTTTCTGCAGTATCAGAAATTGAGCTAGGGTTGTGCACAGATGATGGGATGTTTTTACCAATACACAAGTGACAGTGCAGATGGCCATGGCAATCTATGCTAGCACTATGTCTGCAAATCCTAGGCCTAGGATTTCAAGCCAGAATGAAAAAAAAAAAAACCTAAGAACATAAAAATCTTCACCAGTGTCAATGTAGAACAGAAATGATGCCAAACAAATCAAGTCAGTAATGCCAGCAAAAATCTTCAAAATTTCTCTCACAAAAAAGTGATGAAGTGATAAGAATGACAAATATGATATCAGATACAAAGAACAGAGAAACAATATCCAATATATTGAAAATAAGATGTTCTGAAAAAGAAACAAAGCAAGTAAAAGAGAAGGTATAATTAAAGTTATAATAGAAAAATATTTTTCTAGGTAGAAAAGACCAGAAGCTATAGTTTTCTAGGAAAAATTAATAACACAGTTTGGATTGCAAATAAAAAGAGTAGCTAACTTTTTTCAATATTAACTTTCAGTAGCAAATAGAAATATGTTTATAGTGATCTGAGATACAAAAATTGGGAATACAGAATTCCAAATCAAGCCAAGATGTCATTTATGTATGCTAGTAACAGAAAACATCCTTATATATGCCAAAGCTCCATAAATATAACACTCATGCCCTCTCATAAATGAAAGAAACAAAATAAATCCTCACAGACATACTCCATACAACTGGGAGTTTAATCATCACCAAGATATTTTAAATGGGGAAGTACTTGGGAATTGGTCAGTATTGAGTAATGAAACTTGTTACAAATATGCAGTTAAATTTTTTTTCCCCTGGAGAGTTTCCCTGATGTTTTCTTTCAGTAGTTTCTAGTTTGAGTTCTTAGATTTAGGTCTTTAATCCATTTTGATTTGATTTTGGTGTTAGGTGAGAGATAGAGGTGTAGTCTGTGCATATGGATATCCAGTTTTCCCAGCCCATTTATTAAAGAGATTGTCTTTTCCTCCATGTATGTTCTTGACATGTTTGTTGAAAATGAGTTCACTGTATAAGTGTTGATTTGTATCTGGGTTCTTTATTCTGTTCCATTGGTCTATGTGTCTGTTTTTATGCCAGTACCATGCTATTTTGGTTACTATAGCTCTGTAGTGCAATTTGAAGTCAGGTAATGTGATTCCTCCAGTTTTGTTCTTTTTTCTCAGGATTCTAGGTCTTTTTTGGTCCCATAAAAGTTTTAGGATTTTTTTTTTTCTATTTCTGTGAAGAATGTTTTTGATATTTTTATAGAGATTGCATTGAATCTGTAGATTGCTTTGGATAGTATGGACATTTTAACAATATCGATTCTTCCAATCCATGAACACAGACTAGCTTTCAATTTTTTGGTGTCCTCTTCAATTTCTTTTATCAGTGTTTTATAGTTTTCACTGTAGAGATCTTTCACCTCTTTGGTTAATTCCTAGGTACTCTATTTTATTTGTAGCTATTGTAAATAGGATTACTTTTTTTATTTCTTTTTCAGATTGTTAATTGTTGGCATATTGAAATACTACTGATTTTGTGTATGTTGATTTTGTGTCCTGTACCAATACTGAATTTGTTTATCAGTTCTAAGAGTTTTCTTGTGGAGTCCTTAGGTTTTTCCAAACATAAGATGATATCATCTGCAAACAAAGATAAATTTATTTCTTCCTTGTGTAGTTGAATGCTTTTATTTCTTTCTCTTGTCTGCTTGCTCTAGCCAGGACTTCCAGCACTCAAAAGATTTCTTGAACTATACCCCACAGCATAGACAACCAAAGCAAAAATGGACAAAAGGGATCACATCAACTTAAAAAGCTGCTGCACAGCAAAGGTTAAAAACCAACAAAGTCAAGAGACAACCCACAAAGTGAAAGAAAGTATCCATAAACTATCCATCTGACAAGGCATTACTTACCAGAACAGATAAGGAGCTCAAACAGCTCTGTCGGAAAAAATCTAATAATCTGATTAAAGATGGGCAAAAAAATCTGAACAGACATTTCTCAAAAGAAGATACACAAATGGCTAACAAGTATATGATAAAATGCTCAACATCATTTAAAATGAAGGCAAAATAAACATGAAATGCCAAAGTTTCCCTAGACTGGGAGTAAAAATGAATTAAACAATTTTTTTTTTCAGACTGTGTTTCATGGAGTTCTTGAGGCTTCTTGGGCCACAGTTAGGGCTGAAGGCATAAGGTAGGAAGGGATGACCAGGTGGACCTGCTGCTTGATCTTTTGTCTCTGATAAAGCAGAGCAGTTTTATGGGGTTTACACGTGGGACTTCTGAATTATTCGTTGTTTTATCGGTGAAAATGTTTGATAAACATGCTCCAAATTACAATTCTGCTGAGCTTTCATGGAACAGATTAATAATAGAAAGACCACTTGTTCACAGACAGGGCAGGCTCCATGCTCATTGGACCTGTGCAATCACACAGAGCCCCATGCTCAAAGGAGCTCCATGCTTGGGGCTTAATACTCTCTGGTGATGGTCTTAAAACGTTTAATAATTTTATTTTGAATTTTGATTTTGTCATTGAAATCAACAGGACAATGGAGCCTGTATTGAGGGATTGAAACCTTCGCTCACAAGAGAACCTGCTCAGAGTTAGCCCTGATTCCCACCCTGCCTTCCTTGGTAGGCTCTCTACACCCTGCTCCTCGTCCCACGATACCTCTGCTTCTCCCATCAGTGTTAGCTACTCCTGTTCTGGCCCAGCAACTGCTGCTGTCTTTTGCCTCTTTCAGGAGCCTGGGTGTGGGTGTAGAGAGAGTCTAGATAGAATGAACAACATGCAGCATCTCAGAGTGGGCGTGGCAGGAGCTGTCTCCATCAGGGGCAGGCAGTGCCTCCATGTGCATTCAGCATGTACCTAGGCAGTGAGGAGCTTCTCACCCACCCCATCCTGATAATGGCTCATTCAGGTCCTGAGGTTGTAATCCTTGGCAGTATCCCAACCACCATGGGTTGACGTGGCAGCTCATGGGAAGGGGAGATTTATTTATCCACCTCTGGTTGGGACATGGTGCTGTGGAGTGGTGGCTTGAAACCTGGAAGCCAGTGGGCTGTGCTCAAGCCAATGGGACACCTGTGAGCATCTTCTCCCAATGGGTATCCCTGTCCTGAGAGATTAACACTAAATAGGAAATTAAGCACCATGACAGGTTCAAAGAGACTTGGGAAGAAAAGAAAAAGCTTATATTTCAGTGCTTTTAATGACACTTTCTTTTTTTTTGGACAAGGATCCCACGATTTCATTTCACACTTGGTGTTATAAATCATGTAGCTATCCCTGTACAACTCTTTCTTTTCAGATATTTCTGAAAGATCCCTAGGTGCTTACTGATTTCTTCATTACTTCTGGTCACCCTGGAAGCTAGATTCAAAGCCAACCACACCAAGACTAATTGTGTGAGGAATTCACGACTGATCCCACAGTGAACAGGAGCAGGAGGATTGGTGAATCTAGAACATCACCACTGATGAGGAAAAGCAGGAATCTCCACCAATGAAAGGAGAAAGGAAATAATGCAGACAAAGACTGGTATCAGTCCTCTAGAATACAGAGGGAAAATCACTTGAGATGGTTTTCGGGGAAGAAAAGTCAAGAGCAATATAATGACTGGAAGGCCAATGGGTGCAGATTAGAAGATGACAAGGTATTCACTAAGGAAGGAACACTGTATGCGTGCTGCAGAGATGACAAATGTGAAAAATAATTTGGAGGTGGAATCAATGGGATATTAGATGGATCTTTAAAATAAGCAAAAAAAGAGGGTTAGGATGGTTTCTGTGTTTCTGGCTTGGGAGAGCAGATAGCTGGAGATCTCACCTATCAGTATAGACAGGAGTGATGAGAGATTTAGGGTGTTTAATGTTGAGTTCTTCTTTAGAAGTGTTGAGAGGTGTATTAGGATATTGCAGTTGTACTTGACAGAAATCTAACTCACACCATTTCAAACATCAATCACTGGGTTACATAAAAAGAAAGAGGGTGATACAAGAAAACAAATGGTGTCATCAATGCTCTTTGCTTTGCCTTTCACCTTTATGCCACTCTTGTTTTAGGCTTATTACTTTCAGATGTTGCTACACAGCAGATATACAGATTATCTAGCAGCTCTGGATCCACTCTTACAGTTCATGATCCAAGACTAAAGAGAAACTTTTTACCTCCCAATATAAAGTTGAAGGAAAGGACATGAATGGCTTTGGTTATACTCTCATTCTCACATCAAACATTGTTGCCAAGTGGAAGGGAACTATGATTGGCCAGGTCTGGGTTATGCACCAGAGAAGGACAATTCTGGGACAAGCATCCTTGGAATCACATGGAGAGACAGAAGAGCAGTTCTGCATTGGAGGAGGTTGCTGATACTAAAAGAAGGAGGGAAATACAAACTAAAGCATCAGACTCTAGTTATAAATTTTTTGTGAAATGTCTAGATGGGGTTGAATATCAGAAAATTGACATAGATTTCTTGGATCCATGTAGCAGGTGTAAAGAGAAGACTGAGGCCTCTGATCTCTTCTGTTGAAACTATACTACGAAATAACCTTTCTGTTCTTTCTACTTCCACACTGTGACCTCTATATTTTCCTGATCATATCGTGCAGCCCAGCCCAGCTCAGCACTACGTATTGGGGCAGAGAAAACTTTCTGGCTATTCATTTTCCTCCTTTTGCACTGACTTGGTTGATGTGCTTTGAACTGACCATCTCTCTCACTGCAGTTGTGGGAGCCCACCCTTGGGTGAGAAGTGAAAGTAAAATATACACATAGTTCAAGGCCTAAAAAAAACAAGAAATGTTGTGTTAGCCTGAGGCCCAATTCGAATCTCTCTCAATGCAACTTTTACCAGAGCTTTGCATAAAGGTAGAAGATAATCACCTAACTATTGACAAAGTAGTACTTTCCAATTTGGTTATTATCCATGTAGATTTGCTTCCTTGTGGAAACCAGAAGGAAAAATAATAATTGTGTTTATTCATGCACCAGAAACTTCTAAAAACATCCAAGAATGGAGAAGTAAGGTCTATAATTATAGTTTTGAGAGTAGACATTTGTAAGTGATCGCTGGAATCATGGGCATGGAGAGGATGACTCTAGTGTGAAGGAAGTATAGAATGAAAAGTAAAGAGATGCTTGAGCCTTTTTCTTTCTTGCGAATGATACTTATGATACTAAAACACTAACACCAACATCTGTGTGCTCCTTTCCTAGATGATAGATGCTATTAAGCAAGAAATTAAAAGTAAGTCCTCTTGGGCAAAGCCTGTTGTTTTCTGTAAAACATCGACTTTGTCTGTTTTTACTGTAGAATTAAGAAGAATATACTCACCTATGTCCCCAGTGAGGGAAGGGGTTTGTTACTGGTGACTGAGGCAAGTGATAACTGAACTTGCCTCAAGTGACCTAAGAGATTTTCAGCTGGATGTCACTGTCCATGATTTCTGTCTTTAGGAAAGCAATTACAAGGATAAAACCAATCTTTCCCTGGGATTGGTCAGTGATGAATTGCAAGATGTTTGGCAGCAAACAATGATATCCCTTCTGTCATCTTATCTCATAAATGCCATGAACTGACCCAGTCTTGAGAATCAGGAAAAATGAGGAATGTGAAGAATTATCACTTTCAGGTGGAAAGCAAGGATATCACAAGTATCTGCTACAACTACTATATTAAGCACTGGCTCTTTGTCAGGGACTTTGTTGTATCCTTCATACATGTTATTTTGTTTATTCTTTATTATATTTTAAAAATATGCATTAAAAAATACATATACTTTAAAAATGTGTATTTTTCTTATTTTACAGATAAAAATCTTAAAGTGAAATCATTAACTCAAAGATCACGTGGTGTCTAAGTAGAAGATTCAGTGTTTAAATTTGGGTAAATCTGATGACAAAATTCATGCTTTTCCAACAAGCGATATGGCTTTCTCTAAGTAAGAGAAAGAATACGAGTGAATGGATGTCACAAAAGCCAAGGTAAATGGAGTTATTGTAATTAGAAGATGACATATTCAATGTTTCAAGGAATCAAGTAAAATAAGAACTGAAAATAAATTATGTGATTTGAAAATTATGTGATTTCATTAACATGGTGAACTAAGGCCCTTCACTATTATAAATATATAGAAATAATGGATAAAAGATAACCAAAAATACTTTTAATACAAAGCTGAACTCAAAAGAAAGGGGAAAAAAAGCTCAAAATGCCAAAAAGAAGATTGAACTCAAACACATAATGGGAAGTAGAAGTTAATATTTTGCTGGGAGTTTGGGGGCTCAGATTCATATATTGACCCCAGGATTGGATCTTAGATTTTTAATATCCATGTAGGCCTGGGGACACAGCTTCTGGCAGGGAGGGCCTCAAAGGGCTGCCCTGTCTCTTACAAAGGAAATTAAAAAGCTGTATACCTGGATGACAACACAATAATAAAGTTCTCTATTAGCACAGAGAAAGAAGAGAAAGACAGTCACTCCTGAGACACAGGCATATACTACCTACATGGTTGAGAATGAACAACACACTTGACACAGAAATACCAGAACTTTCCTGTAGGGCACATTTACAACCCAAGACACAAGGTACTCCCACAGCTAAAACAACTGCTAAAAAAGAGCTGACAGTACAAAATTGTGCATTTTATAATGAAGCAAACCATAAGACTGGAGAGCCTGCAAGTCAGCAATTAGTGGGATTGTCACCCTAAGAAATAGGACAAATAAAATAATAGGACAGAGATCATCAAGCAAGTATATTAAAAATTCTTAAAGAGGTTTTAAAAAATTTTTTAAAAACTATAATTACAGAATAGACAAGAATGAAATATGTCCATTGAAAGAATAGGTAACTGAACATTTAAAATAGAACCAAATAAAATTTCTAAAAATAAATACAGTGACTAAATTTTTATAAAGACTTTAAGAGCTTTATTGATATATAATTTATGTATCAGAAAATTTGAAGCCAGGTGTAGTGGCTCATACCTGTATTCCCAACATTTTGGGAAGCCATGGTGGGAGAATCACTTGAGGTCAGGAGTTCAAGAACAGCATAGGCAGCATTCTCTCAAAAAAAAAGATTGTTTTAAATTTGTCAGGTGTGGTGGCACAAGCCCATAGTCTCTGCTATTTGGAAGATTGAAGTGGGGGAATCACTTGAGCCCAGGAGTTCAAGGCTGCAGTGAACTATGATCGTGCTACTACACTCCAGCCTGGATGACACAGCAAGACACTATCTCAAAAAACAAAAACAAACAACAACTCAGCCATTGTAAGGACACACCTCAATAATTTTTAGTAAATGTGTAGATTTTCACAACTATTACAGTTATCATGTTAGAACATGCCTCAAATAGTCACTGAATTCCCTAAAAATTGAAAATTAATTAAAACTGATGGGCAGACAAAACTCTGGAAAAGAAGTATAATCTCTACTGGGGGTAGTAAGGCAATCAGTGGTTGCCTATGGTCAAGATTCAGAGGAGATAGACTGAGAAGAGTATAAAGAAACTTTCTGGGGGTGATAGAATGCTCTATGTCTTGGTTACAGTGGCAGTTACAGGTTATATAAAATTTCAAAACTCAGAAATATATACTCAAATGGGGTGCATTTTACTTTAAGTATATTATACACCAGAAAAGGTGATTTAGAAATTAATGGGTATTTTAAATAGCAGATTAGAAATAATTTAAGAAAGAAGCAGTGAAATGGATAATAGACAGGAGGAAAACATTTAGGAAGAATCCAAAAGTTAAAGAAGTGGAAAATAAGAAAGACTGGTATGACTTGGCCCCAGTGATTCTTGCCTTCTGGTATTTAAGCTCTAGCTTAATCCTTCTCCCTTGGTTGTTGGCCGGACCATGCAACTTATTTCTAAAAATGCCGTATAGATAAAGTGATGAGATGTCAGTTTTGTGACTTGATAATAAAAGTCTGTGCCTTTCATCTTTGCTAGGGCTTTCTCTTGCTGGCATTCTCTCTTGCCTTCTCCCTTGCTCCTGCTGGGGAGGCATGCTGCCGTATTGTAAGATGCCCTGTGAAGAGGCTCATGTGGCAAGAAGTCAAGGGGGCTCTCCACCTACAGCTCATGAGGTATTAAGGCTTCAGTCTAACAGCTTGTAAGAACCCACCAACCACATGAATGAGCTAAGAAGCAGCCCTTTCCCCTTGAGCCTGGAGATGACTGCACTCCGGTGAGAAACCCAGCATTCGAGAACCCAGCTAGGCCACACTCAAATTCTTGGCCCACAGAAATCAAGATAGCAAATATTGCTGTTTAAGCCACTAAGTTTGGAGTAATTTGTTATACAGCAATAGAAAACTAATACAATCAAAGACATAAGAAATAAAATGAGAAAGTATAGCATTTATCTTTTAGGAGTTCCAGAAGTAGAGGAAATATTTGAAAAGATAATGAGTGAGATTGAATAGAGGCAATGATTGAAGAGAAAATGGTTGTAAGATTTTCCAGAATGAAAGAAAACACATGTACTCAGGTTGAAGAAACACAATAAGCACCAAAAAGAATAAAAACATATCTAATGAATTGCATCATGATGAAACCACAGAATATCAAATACCAAGAGTTAAAAGCAGTTAAAGAAAAAAGATTACCTTGAAAGGAGCAGCAATTTGGTTGATAACAAACTTATCTTCAGCAACAATAGAAATCAGAAGAAATAAAATAATATGTTCAGCAACAATAGGAATCAGAAGAAATAAAATAATATATTCAAAAGTTAGGGGGGAAATGGCTGTCAACCCGTAATCCTACATTCAGCCAAATCATAAATCAGTAGTAAGGAAAAGAATGTCATTTTCAGATGAAGATAGAAATTTTAGCATTCATAAAGAATGTACTTTGGAAATCAGTCTTTGCATAGTAAAAAAGACTTGAAGATTTTTACCAGTGCTGATTCAATAGAGAGGTGTTGGGGGAAGACATGTAATAATGGTTCAGAAGTTAGCAGGCTGGAGGAAGTCCAGAGAATTGATGAGATGAGGCTCATCTTGCATCTCTTGTTGCATGTCTTGCATCACAGTGGGTGAAAATGCTATTTATGTGTGTTGTTGTGGACAGAGCAACAAAATTCAGAATAACTTTTTATTGAAATCAGCCAGTGAGCTGGCTAAACACAAGAGAAAGAGTTATTGAAAAAGGTCGATTGTCCAGCTAAGAATGGAAACCAAGCAGTTACTATCGTGAATCCATAACAAATTATGTAGGCAAAAATATATCACTCCTTTAATTCAAGGGAAAGTTAATTTTAGAGAGATATGATTAGGTATTTGGTGATAGTATTTTTTAAATCTAGATTTTTTAAAATGTTTTAAAAAGTAAATTATTTTATTTTCAGTTCAAGGATACATGTGCAGGTTTGTTACATAGGTAAACTTGTGCCATGATGGTTTGCTGCACCCATCAGCCCATCTCCTAGTTATTAAGCCCGGCATGCATTAGCTATTTATCCCGATGCTCTCCCTTCCCCTGCTCTCCTCTGACAGGACCCAGTGTGTGTTGTTCCCTCCCTGTGTCCATGTGTTCTCATTGGTCAGCTCCCACTTATAAGTGAGAACATGCAGTGTTTGTTTTTCTATTAAAAAGTCAAGAAACATGTTGATGAGTCTGTGGAGAAACAGGAATGCTTTTACACTGTTGGTGGGAATGTAAATTAGTTCAACCATTGTGGAAGACAGTGTGGCAATTCCTCAAAGACATAGAGGAAGAAATATCGTTTGATCCAGCAATCCCATTATATCCCAAAGGAATATAAATTATTGTATTATAACAACACATGCATGCATATGTTCATTGCAGCACTATTCACAAGATCAAAGACATGAAATCAACCCAAATGCCTGTCAAAGATAAACTGGATACAAAAAATATGTGGTACATATACACCATGGAATACTATGGAGCCATAGAGAGGAAAGAAGCCATGTCCTTTGCACGCACATGGATGGAGCTGGACTTTTGAAAGATAACTCAAAATGATTATCTATCATAGCAAGCAGGATTTTCAATAAATTTGTGGCTCATAATCAAGGAGACAGGGAAAAAGGAAAAAGCAAGTTGTCATAAATATTGATTTTGATTTTCTTACCATTTCATGAAGGGTGTTTCTTTTCAAAACATTTTTTTCTTTTTTCCTTTCTTTCCTTTCCTTTTTTTTTTTTTTTTTTTTTTTTTTGAGATGGAGTCTTACTCTGTTGCTCAGGCTGGAGTGCAGTTGCATGATCATAACTCACTGCAGCCTCAAATTCCTGGGCTCAAGGGATCTTCCCATACATCGTCTCAAGTAGCAGGAGCTACAGGCATTTTATTTTTTGTAGAGATGGGGGTCTCACTTAATTGCCCATGCTGGTTTCAAAATTCTGGGCTGAAGGGATCTTCCTGCCTCAATCTCCCAATTACAGGTGTGAGCCACAGAGCCTGGCCTCAAAACACTTCTGGGTAAAATCATTTTAAAGAAGGACTCTTGTTTTAATAGCTAGGAAAGTTCTTCCTTGGTAAGAGGAAACTATTTTAGTTGCATCGGTGGACAGAAATGTAAAAACAAAAAGTTTGCTGTGTATTAAAATATGAAAAAAAGCATGTCTTCAAGAATTTATTGTAACAATCTTGAATCTGCATTTTTTTAGAAGCCGTATTTTGGGTACACTTAAATTCTTTATTATGACACTCAGACTGACATTTCAGGGCACCAAGATATAAGAACTAGTTAAAGAGTCTCACCAGCTTTCATAATCCTCACTCTGCTTCCCAACCATCCCTTCCTTAAATGGGAAATTTGGGGTGCTAACTCTTCCTGGGCCCAGAACTCCCTTAGTTAGAGAATGGTTGCCCTCACCTCACAGCCCAGATCTTCAGAGATAAACCAGTTGTAACAAACGTAAGAGGGTGTTCTAGGGCTTTTCATTTCTCTCCCTCAGGCAGAACTTGTGAGTCCACAGTGAAATCTAGTTGTAATTTTGTTTTGTTTTCTTTGGCATACCAAAGTGAAAATTGCTCCTTTACATTTTTTCATAGCAAGCATTTTTTCATTGGTTTCCTAAACAAAAGGGCCATCAACCAAGAAATTAGTAGATCTGCTCAATTTCCCTCAATATAAACCTTATCTTCCAGAAATATATCTGATGGTTTGGTCCATCCTGTTTAAGAATGCCAAACATAATCCATTATTCTTCTATGATCCCATAAGAAGGAAACATTATGCATGTGAGCAATGCCCCATTACATGGACCATTTCCCTGAGGCTTCCCACAAAGGACAGAAGGAAACAACACAGAAGGATGAATAAGAAGCTAAGGTGATCATTTAGTGACTTAAGAAGGTGATCAAAAGGTATATGAACAGTTGGGGAAGAATGGCTAGTGGTTTGTGCCCAAGGAACCTTGTGAAAGGAATAGATAGATAAAATATTAACAGGTTTGATTTACTTTCAGAAGTTTGGAGAGGTGGTTGCAATGTTAGGACATATACTAGGGAACATAGTCATTTTTAAGGATTAATTGATCTTAACATTTTGGATTTTGTTAGTAAAGATGGTATTGCTCTTATATTACTCATATATTATTTGTAAATTTTCAGCAAGAATGTTTTATTGTCAGAGAAAGCGCACTGTCACTAATTTAAGGCTTTCCACTCTTCACTTTTTTGAAGGTGAAGAAACAAGATCAGATGGGTTAAGCGACTTGCTCAAATTCACATAGCTATTAAGTAGCCAGAGACAGAATTCAAAACCCCAAGTTTACCTAATGCCAAATGTGCTCTCTGCTCTACCTCATTGGGTATCATGGAGCCAGACTGAGATGGAGATGTCTAGATCAGCTGACTCACTTCTCTGGCTAGGGAGGGCCCCCTGGATGGCAAGTGCTGGATAGAAGCTTATTCTATGCTCCTCCAGGCAGTGTCAGGCTGTCTCAGATATTCTGGGGAAAAAAAATTGCAATGCAACATTTATGTCACCTTGTTGACGAAAATTCATCATCTTTAATCAACTCAGCACATTTGCAGTTGGGACCCAGCTCCTCACTCACCGAGAGTCAAATTTTCAAATTCAGAATAATCCATAAGTGTTCTCAGCAATCACCCCTGGACCTCTCTTTTATTACTCATGATATTTAATTAAACTCGGTTGGGCTGTTAATAGGTTTTATTCAAGTGTCTCTGAACATACTAAGTCAATTTTGATTTAACAGTTGTTTTTATTCTGCAGGTATTGTAAATTTTCGGCAAGAACATTTTATTGTCAGAGAAAGCCCACTGTCACTAATTCAAGGCTTTCCACTCTTTCACTTAGAATTTTAGCACCTTTAATTCAAAGACAATCTATTTTCACAGAAAATGCCATATAGCACCACAAACATTTGTTTTGTTTAGGATTACCATAACTGAGATTTGTCTGTACCATAGAACTAGAAAGGAATTTAAAAATAATCATTCTGTGGCCTACATTTTACATGAAAAGAAATAGAGTATTAGAGTAGTTAAACAATGTGGTCCAGGTCACAGGATGGCAGAGAGGACAAACACACAAGACTTGTGGACAGACCAACACTCCACCCCATCATGTCCTTTATGCTGCCAAATACAGAAGTGATAACATCAGAGAAGCCCCCAATCCCATATTAATGTTACTCAGATGAATACTTTACTCCAATACCACATTTTAAAAAAGTAGGGCAAAGATCTCTAAAATATGACAACTCATAACCATGTTATACAAGATAAACTCAATTCTATTCTAACCAATCATATTCATTAGCAATAACTGTTCTCCACACGAACATGTGAGATATCTTGACAGGCCTGCTCTGACAGGTTCTCTGCTGCTTCTGCTGCTGCTGCTGCTGCTGCTGCTGCTGCACTGAACATGGCTGATCCTTTCTGCATGATGGTGAAATGAATATATTGAATCTGTGGTGCATTATACTCCTCACAGACATTTATGAATATTTTCTCTTTACAGCAATTCTGCAAAACACTCATCTTATAATTTTCATTTCATAGATGAAGAAACTGAGTCTTCAGTTCTATGTCAGGTGGAGGGAGAGTCACCAAAAGAGTTGAGGGAATGGAAGCTGCCTGGTGAAGTGAAAAGTACTGGATGGAGGTTAAGAGAGTTTCTTCTGAGGTCCTCAGATGGGCACCTCCAATACCTTCTTTTCATCTGCTGTAAAATGAAATGTTCAACTAAATAAATTCTAAGTTTTATTGCAGAGGTAACAAGCCAGAATCCATGTATCCATGTCTCTTGATGCCTAATCTCTGTAACTAACAACACTGAATGTAGTCCATATAAAAAGAGTAGAAGGCTCTCTTACACAAACCTGAACTGACTGCTGAAGGCTAACTGTGTGGCTTTGATTGAGGACCATGCAATGGAGAAAAGATGGAAACTGCAGGGTGATGCTTTCCCATCAGTGCTAAATTTGAGGGCTCAGCAGGAGACCAATTAATGCTCTGAAGATTTATGACAATGTAATCTGAATTTACATGTTTACAGATACTATTAGCAGTCATAACCAGAATGAGAGTAATGATTGGAAAAATATGTGCCTAATAAACGTTATTGAATCACTATGCCACTCTTGAAATTGTTTTTGAAATCATTGCTAAAAACTCCATCTTCCTTTTTTATTATTTTTTAAATTGATAGATAAAATGATGTGCATTTATCACATACAACATGATGTTCTGAAGTATATGTACATTGTGGAATGACTAAATCTAGCTAATTAACATATGCATGAACTCACATAGTTACAATTTTTGTGGTGGGAACATTCACTTTCAATAGTTTTCAAGAATGCAATGTATTGCTATTAACTATAGTTAACCATGTTGTACAATAGATCTCTTGAACTTACTCCTTCTATCTAACTGAAATGTAGTATTCTTTGACCAACAGCTCCTCAACTTCCCCTCTTCCCCTACAACTGCCATAGCCTCTGGTTACCATCATTCTACTCTCTAGTTCTATGAGACAAACATTTTTAGATTCTGCATGAATGAAATTATGCAGTATTTTTCTCCTTGTGAGTGGGTAAATGGACAAAGCTCTATCTTCCTTGAATCAGCTGTGCTTTTCAAGTTTCTTAGAATGGAATATCTGCAAGTCTACCTTCATTACTAGACAAATACTGAAAATTAATGGGTGCAACAGCAGCTGGGTATAGTTCTCAAAGTTTGCGGGAGGTTAAATGAGGTAAGAAGCGAATCTGCCAATTTAATGTGAAGCCATAATTTTTTTCTATAACTTTTAATTGGATTGGTTCCAAACATTTCCAACTTGTCCCACTCCCTCTGTCTACTGTGACTCTATTGAGAAGTATTGGTTGGATTTAGTGACAGAAATGATCGTTACAGGAAATGAAAAGAGAAAGCCCAAGCCAAAAAGTAATTTAATTCTTTAATTTTTTTACTTTGATCATTAACAAGCCAGAAGACTAAGGTCAACATGTATTAATTTATTTGTTTTCTTTAAATAAAGTGTGTGTGTGTGTGTGTGTGTGTGTGTGTGTGTGTGTGTGTGTACTGGTCTCTAACATAGTTCTGCATTTCTCGCTAACCTATTTCCCAATGACAGATGTTAACATCCACATAATAAGAAAGTTCCTGGAGAATAAATTCAGCACATATTATTAACTCTTAGACAAAGTAGGTTTTTGATAAATATTTGCTGTTTTATTAAGTACATAACTGTAAGATACAATATTAGGCCCTTAAAAGTTTATCTTCTTAACATTTAGAGTGGTTGAAAAAAAAACAAGGGCAATAATCTACATCTTTTCATTTAAGAACTGTAATATCCCGTCTCTGTTTTTAATTTTATTCTCATTTATTTATAACAAACAGAAAAAATACTGAATAAGGTATCAAGAATGAAGAATAGAAAGGAAACAACATGAGGTGATTTGTTGGAGCAGGGAGGGAGGATTATAGTTTATGAAGGAGGAACACTTTAAAGACATGGATCGGGGGTGGAGCCAAGATGGCCGAATAGGAACAGCTCCAGTCTACAGCACCCAGAGTGAGCAATGCAGAAGACAGGTGATTTCTGCATTTCCATCTGAGGTACCAGGTTAATCTCACTAAGGAGTGCCAGACAGTGGGTGCAGGACAGTGGGTGCAGTGCACCGGGCATGAGCCAAAGCAGGGTGAGGCATTGCCTCACTCAAGAAGAGCAAGGGGTCAAGGAGTTCCCTTTCCTAGTCAAAGAAAGTGGTGAGAGATGGCACCTGGAAAACTGGGTCACTCCAACCCTAATACTGAGCTTTTCTAACGGGCTTAAAAAACGGCACACCAGGAGATTATATCCCGCACATGGCTTGGAGGGTTCTACGCCCACGGAGTCTCCCTGATTGCTAGCACAGCAGACTGAGATCAAACTGCAAGGTGGCAGCGAGGCTGGGGGAGGGGTGCCTGCCATTGCCCAGGCTTGCTTAGGTAAACAAAGCAGCCTGGAAGCTAGAACTGGGTGGAGCCCACCACAGCTCAAGGAGGCCTGCCTGCCTCTGTAGGCTCCACCTCTGGGGGGGCAGGGCACAGACAAACAAAAAGACAGCAGTAACCTCTGCAGACTTAAATGTCCCTGTCTGACAGCTTTGAAGAGAGTACTGGTTCTCCCAGCATTCAGTTGGAGATCTGAGAATGGGCAGACTGCCTCCTCAAGTGGGTCCCTAACCCCAGAGCAGCATAACTGGGAGGCAGCCCCCAGTAGGGGGAGACTGACACCTCACACGGCCAGGTACTCCTCTGAGACAAAACTTCCAGAGAAACAATCAGGCAGCGGCATTTGCAGATCACCAACATCTGCTGTTCTACAGCCACCGCTGTTCTGCAGCCACTGCTGCTGATACCCAGGCAAACAGGGTCTGGAGTGGACCTCTAGCAAACTCCAACAGACCTGCAGCTGAGGGTCCAGTCTGTTAGAAGGAAAACTAACAAACAGAAAGGACATCCACACCAAAAACCCATCTGTACATCACCATCATCAAAGACCAAAAGTAGATAAAACCACAAAACTGGGGAAAAAACAGAGCAGAAAAAATGGAAACTCTACAAAGCAGAGTCCCTCTCCTCCTCCAAAGGAACGCAGCTCCTCACCAGCAACGGAACAAAGCTGGACGGAGAATGACTTTGATGAGTTGAGAGAAGAAGCCTTCAGATGATCAAACTACTGTGAGCTACAGGAGGAAATTCAAACCAATGGCAAAGAAGTTAAAACCTGTGAAAAAAAAATTAGACAAATTGATACCTAGAATAACGAATGCAGAGAAGTCCTTAAAGGAGCTGATGGAGCTGAAAGTCAAGGCTCGAGAACTACATGAAGAATGCAGAAACCTCTGTAGCCGATGCGATCAACTGGAAGAAAGGGTATCAGTGATGGAAGATGAAATGAATGAAACGAAGCGAGAAGGGAAGTTTAGAGAAAAAAGAATAAAAAGAAATGAACAAAGCCTCCAAGAAATATGGGACTGTGTGAAAAGACCAAATCTACATCTGATTGGTGTACCTGAAAGTGACGGGGAGAATGGAACCAAGTTGGAAAACACTCTGCAGGATATTATCCAGGAGAACTCCCCCAATCTAGCAAGGCAGGCCAACGTTCAGATTCAGGAAATACAGAGAACACCAAAAAGATACTCCTTGAGAAGAGCAACTCCAAGACACATAATTGTTAGATTCACCAAAGTGGAAATGAAGGAAAAAATGTTAAGAGCAGCCAGAGAGAAAGGTCGGGTTACCCACAAAGGGAAGCCCATCAGACTAACAGCGGACCTCTCGGCAGAAACTCTACAAGCCAGAAGAGAGTGGGGGCCAATATTCAACATTCTTAAAGAAAAGAATTTTCAACCCAGAATTTCATATCCAGCCAAACTAAGCTTCATAAGTGAAGGAGAAATAAAATCCTTTACAGATAAGCAAATGCTGAGAGATTTTGTCACCACCAGGCCTGCCCTAAAAGAGCTCCTGAAGGAAGCACTAAACATGGAAAGGAACAACTGGTACTAGCCACTGGAAAAACATGGCAAAATGTAAAGACCACCAAGGCTAGGAAGAAACTGCATCAACTAACGAGCAAAATCACCAGCTAACATCATAATGACAGGATCAAATTCACACATAACAATATTAACTTTAAATGTAAATGGGCTAAATGCTCCAATTAAAAGACACAGACTGGCAAATTGGATAAAGAGTCAAGACCCATCAGTGTGCTGTATTCAGGAAACCCATCTCACATGCAGAGGCACACATAGGCTCAAAATAAAGGGATGGAGGAAGATCGACCAAGCAAATGGAAAACAAAAAAAGGCAGGGGTGGCAATCCTAGTCTCTGATAAAACAGACTTTAAACCAACAAAGATCAAAAGAGACAAAGAAGGCCATGACAAAATGGTAAAGGGATCAATTCAACAAGAAGAGCTAACTATCCTAAATATATATGCACCCAATACAGGAGCACCCAGATTCATAAAGCAAGTCCTGAGTGACCTACAAAGAGACTTAGACTCCCACACAATAATAATGGGAGACTTTAACATCCCACTGTCAACATTAGACAGATCAACGAGACAGGAAGTTAACAAGGATACCCAGGAATTGAACTCAGCTCTGCACCAAGCAGACCTAATAGACATCTACAGAACTCTCCACCACAAATCAACAGAATATACATTTTTTTCAGCACCACACCACACCTATTCCAAAATTGACCACATAGTTGGAAGTAAAGCCCTCCTCAGCAAATGTAAAAGAACAGAAATTATAACAAACTGTCTCTCAAACCACAGTGCAATCAAACTAGAACTCAGGATTAAGAAACTCACTCAAAACCACTCAACTACATGGAAACTGAACAACCTGCTCCTGAATGACTACTGGATACATAAAGAAATGAAGGCAGAAATAAAGATGTTCTTTGAAACCAACAAGAACAAAGACACAACATACCAGAATCTCTGGGACGCATTCAAAGCAGTGTGTGGAGGGAAATTTATAGCACTAAATGCCCACAAGAGAAAGCAGGAAAGATCCAAAATTGACACCTTAACATCACAATTAAAAGAACTAGAAAAGCGAGAGCAAACACATTCAAAAGCTAGCAGAAGGCAAGAAATAACTAAAATCAGAGCAGAACTGAAGGAAATAGAGACACAAAAAACCCTTCAAAAAATTAATGAATCCAGGAGGTGGTTTCTTGAAAAGATCAACAAAATTGATAGATCACTAGCAAGAGTAACAAATAAGAAAAGAGAGAAGAATCAAATAGACACAATAAAAAATGATAAAGGAGATATCACCACTGATCCCACAGAAATACAAACTACCATCAGAGAATACTATAAACACCTCTACGTAAATAAACTAGAAAATCTAGAAGAAATGGATAAATTCCTTGACACATACACCCTCCCAAGACTAAACCAGGAAGAAGTTGAATCTCTGAATAGAACAATAACAGGATCTGAAATTGTGGCAATAATCAATAGCTTACCAACCAAAAAAAGTCCAGGACCAGACGGATTCATAGCTGAATTCTACCAGAGGTACAAAGAGGAGCTGGTACCATTCCTTCTGAAACTATCCCAATCAATAAAAAAAGAGGGAATCCTCCCTAACTCATTTTATGAGGCCAGCATCATCCTGATACCAAAGCCAGGCAGAGACACAACCAAAAAAGAGAATTTTAGACCAATATCCTTGATGAACATTGATGCAAAAATCTGCAGTAAAATGCTGGCAAACCAAATCCAGCAGCACATCGAAAAGCTTATCCACCATGATCAAGTGGGCTTCATCCCTGGGATGCAAGGCTGGTTCAATATACGCAAATCAATAAATGTAATCCAGCATATAAACAGAACCAAAGACAAAAACCACATGATTACCTCAATAGATGCAGAAAAGGCCTTTGACAAAATTCAAGAACCTTCATGTTAAAAACTCTCAATAAATTAGGTATTGATGGGATGTATCTCAAAATAATAAGAGCTATCTATGACAAACCCACAGCCAATATCATACTGAATGGGCAAAAACTGGAAGCATTTCCTTTGAAAACTGGCACAAGACAGGGATGCCCTCTCTCACCACTCCTATTCAACATAGTGTTGGAAGTTCTGGCCAGGGCAATTAGGCAGGAGAAGGAAATAAAGGGGTTTCAATTAGGAAAAGAGGAAGTCAAATTGTCCCTGTTTGCAGATGACATGATTGTATATCTAGAAAACCCCATTGTCTCAGCCCAAAATCTCCTTAAGCTGATAAGCAACTTCAGCAAAGTCTCAGGATACAAAATCAATGTACAAAAATCACAAGGCATTCTTATACACCAGTAACAGACAAACAGAGAGCCAAATCATGAGTGAACTCCCATTCACAATTGCTTCAAAGAGAATAAAATACCTAGGAATCCACCTTACAAGGGATGTGAAGGACCTCTTCAAGGACAACTACAAAGCACTCCTCAATGAAATAAAAGAGGATACAAACAAATGGAAGAACATTCCATGCTCATGGGTAGGAAAAATCAATAATGTGAAAATGGCCATACTGCCCAAGATAATTTATAGATTCAATGCCATCCCCATCAAGCTACCAATGACTTTCTTCACAGAATTGGAAAAAACTACTTTAAAGTTCATATAGAACCAAAAAAGAGCCCGCATCGCCAAGTCAATCCTAAGCCAAAAGAACAAAGCTGGAGGCATCATGCTACCTGACTTCAAACTACACTACAAGGCTACAGTAACCAAAACAGCATGGTACTGGTACCAAAACAGAGATATAGATCAATGGAACAGAACAGAGCCCTCAGAAATAATGCCGCATATCTACAACCATCTGATCTTTGAAAAACCTGACAAAAACAAGCAATGGGGAAAGGATTTCCTATTTAATGAATGGTGCTGGGAAAACTGGCTAGCCATATGTAGAAAGCTGAAACTGGATCCCTTCCTTACATCTTATACAAAAATTAATTCAAGATGGATTAAAGTCTTACATGTTAGACCTAAAACCATAAAAACCCTAGAAGAAAACCTAGGCAATACCATTCAGGACATAGGCATGGGCAAGGACTTCATGTCTAAAACACCAAAAGCAATGGCAACAAAAGCCAAAATTGACAAATGGGATCTAATTAAACTAAAGAGCTTCAGCACAGTGAAAGAAACTACCATCAGAGTGAGCAGGCAACCTACAAAATGGGAGAAAATTTTCACAACCTACTCATCTGACAAAGGGCTAATATCCAGAATCTACAAGGGACTCAAACAAATTTACAAGAAAAAAACAAACAACCCCATCAAAAAGTGGGCGAAGGATATGAACAGACACTTCTCAAAAGAAGACATTTATGCAGCCAAAAAACACATGAAAAAATGCAGAGCATTTTTTGCTCTGAAAAATTTTCTGAGCAGTTTTTGTTCAGAAAAACTGGCCATCAGAGAAGTGCAAATCAAAACCACAATGAGATACCATCTCACACCAGTTAGAATGACGATCATCAAAAAGTCAGGAAACAACAGGTGCTTGAGAGGATGTGGAGAAATAGGAACACTTTTACACTGTTGGTGGGACTATAAACTAGTTCAACCATTGTGGAAATCAGTGTGGCACTTCCTCAGGGATCTAGAACTAGAAATACCCTTTGACCCAGCCATCCCATTACTGGGTATATACCCAAAGGATTATAAATCATGCTGCTATAAAGACACATGCACATGTGTGTTTATTGCAGCACTATTCACAATAGCAAAGACTTGGAACCAACCCAAATGTCCAACAACGATAGACTGGATTAAGAAAATGTGGCACATATACACCATGGAATACTATGCAGCCATAAAAGAGGATGAGTTCATGCCCTTTGTAGGGACATGGATGAAATTGGAAACCATCATTCTCAGCAAACTATTGCAAGAACAAAAATCCAAACACCACATGATCTCACTCATAGTTGGGAATTGAACAATGAGAACACATGGACACAGGAAGGGGAACATCACACTCCGGGGACTGTTGTGGGGTGGGGGTAGGGGGGAGGGATAGCATTAGGAGATATACCTAATGCTAAATGACGAGTTAATGGGTGCAGCACACCAACATGGCACACGTATACATATGTAACAAACCTGCACATTGTGCACATGTACCCTAAAACTTAAAGTATAATAATAATAAAATTAAAAAAAAAAAAGACATGGATCCCGCCCACTGCCCACCAGCCCAGTGAGTGCAGGTGGAAAGAGGGTTGGTTGCATAGCATAGCTGCCAGGCTTTCTACTTTTGACCTCATCTCAAGAACATACAGGTAATTCAATTTTAGCAAAGTAAGGTCAGTTGCTTCTCATTTTAAATATTATTCTATAGAATATCTATATTAGTAAAAGTTGGTCTGAATATAATTCCACACAATTGGTATGTCACTCTCCCTCCTTTATTATATTTCAGTAAACTGAACTGAATTAATATAAACTATATTATAATTCAGTAAACTGAATTCAGCAAAATTTGTCACTGATGTAGATAATCTTTGAAAAATTTGATTTTTAATTTCAATGAGTAAGCAGTTTTAAAACAGAATTTGAAATGAAGAGTTATGACCTTTATATGGGTCTCCTCAGGCTGCCATTACAAAATACCACAGACTGGGTGGCTTTGACAACAGACACTGATTTTCTCACAATTCTGGGGGATGGAAGTCCAAGGTGAAGATGCCAAAAGTGGTATCTAGTGAGGCCTCTCTTCCTGACTTGCAGACAGCCACCTTCTTTCTGGGCCCTCACATGGTTTTTCCACTGTGCTAATGCAGAGAAAGGGACAATCTAGTGTCTCTCCTTCTCCTTATAAAGACACCAGCCCTGTTGGATTACAGCAGCATCCTTACGGCTTCATTTCACCTTAATTACCTCTCTAGAGGCCCTGTCTCCAAATACAGTCACTTTGTAGTTAGGGCTTAAACATATGAATTTCAGAGGTTCTCAATTTAGTCCTTAACAACTTCCTAATGTAGACTGTATTACCCTGATCAGCAAGATCAGGAAGTCAGAGCATATCTCTGCACCATAAAACATGGGCCTGAGAGTGTTCAGACTGGAGACTTTTTGTCAATTTAACAACTAAATTAGATTAACTGGAGGGCCATTTCCCGTTGACTGTGCACAGGCAGGCCTTTAAGAAAGCAAATGGAAGAGTAGGTGAATGTCAATTGGTCCTTTTTGCTGCACAATTTACTGGCACAGGAGACCTTGAGGAAAGAGTCAAAATTTAGGTGAAGTATCCGTCTGCCCGTGACCTTCCTGGCATCATTTACTGCATGGGTGAGGCTACCCCAGAGACAGCATACAAAGGCAATGAAGAGAGGGAGGAGAAAATAATGCTGACAAGAATGTACTAAATGCCAGGAGCTATAATAATCTGAAGAAAATTCTAATGTTTTCCCTGTATTAATAGCTCTAGCACAGATTTTCCTTGAAAGTTTAAATGCCCAACTATAGGATAGATTTTGATATCTGTAGATGGTTTACATTTCCAATGTTCCCAGTCCTGGTGGGTAATAAAAATCTCTGTAAATATTTGTTGATTTTATGTAACAGATTTCTATTCCAAAGTTCTATTCAGTTAGAAGTATTTCGCCACATCTTAAAGGATAATACAGATGTTTCTGTGTACTTTTCTGCTTTTTTTGCTTTATTCAAAGTACGTTCTATTTAAGGGGAATGCTCTACATTTTAATACGGTAGACACACTCTTCCTAAATCAGCCATTCAGCTTCACATTTCTGTGCTAATGCTTTGGGATGTAGAGTTCACATAAATAGATTTTATTTCTTTTTATCAGTGACATTTTCTTTTCTAAGAAATGAAAGAGATTCAGCAGAGCAGTGATTCATTACTTCCTGTGTGGAACATGCTAGGAATGGTCTCTAGTGTGTTTTTGAGCCATCTGGTTTGCTCAGTGTCCCAAGACATGTATCATGTGTTTTGTGTTTTTGTTGTTCTTATTTCTTGCTTTGAGGGGTTACCTATACTCTGTTTTTTTGTTTAAGTCCTATTTGAAAGACGGAGGGTATCAAAAAGTTGTAATCATCATTACAGGCCATTAATAAAAATTGTCATTGATTTTAATTATAATTTAATTTTACCTACCCCTTTGAAACAATACTATAAATAATTCTAAGTATTTGTTTAATTTTTATAATAATAATAACTAGGTACTCTCCTAACTACCTTACATATGCTTCTCATGTTATCCTTGCAAATAACCTGATAAGAAAGGTTTGCAATCCCATTTGGTACACTATTTTGTTCATTGCTGTATGCTCAGTACTTTGTGCAGTGCCTTCCTGATATCATTTGATAAATATTTGTTTCACAACTGAATGAATGATGAAACTAAGTCATGGGGAATTTAATTTCCCCAAGGGTTGTACAGCTAGTAAATCTGGTAGTAGAAATTCAAACCCAGTTCTGTCTAAATTTAGAGCCTAAGAGGGAAAACTGCCTGGAGTTAGTATGAACAGTAACAAGATATTACAATGTGCCTTGGTTAACCATTCCTGAATTTTGCAAGCCAAATTCTAAAGAAGCATTTTTATTCCAACTGAAGTTTCTCACACTACCGCTGAAGCACTATTTCTTTTTTTTTTTTTTTTTTTTGAGACGGAGTCTCGCTCTGTCGCCCAGGCTGGAGTGCAGTGGTGCCATCTCCGCTCACTGCAAGCTCCGCCTCCCGGGTTCATGCCATTCTCCTGCCTCAGCCTCCTGAGTAGCTGGGACTACAGGCGCCGGCCACCACGCCTGGCTAATTTTCTGTATTTTTAGTAGAGACGGGGTTTCACCGTGTTATCCAGGATGGTCTCAGTCTCCTGACCTCATGATCCGCCCGCCTCGGGCTCCCAAAATGCTGAGATAACAGGCCTGAGCCACCGTGCCAGGCGGAAGCACTATTTCTTTTGTTCTTGTTACAGTGAAAATGCAGAAATTTTATCTTCTATTACTTTCCACGTCATGGTATATCTGAATACCAGGAGAGTTAAACTTAAGTTTCATAAATTGATTTATTTTAGTACAGGAATTTCCTTCATAAAATAATCTTAAAGTGAATTATTTCTTGCACAATAGAATCACACAAAGAGTTTTTAAAATTCCTGATGTTCAGGTCATATCCCAGGCCAGTTAAATCAAAACCGCTGGGGATAAGGCTAAGGCATCAATATATTTCAAAGCTCCCCAGGTGATTTCAAAATAAGGCCAGGTTTGAGAACTAGTACATTCAAAGGAAAAATAATTCTCTACTAATATCTCTTCTCAGATAAATGCTGTTATTTCCCTCACCCACTTCTTCCCCCAAAATAATCCCTTGTTTCCTTAGCCTTTTACCCTGAGTTGTAAGTTTTTATTTCTATTATTTTATTAGCTGTTTTGTAACTCTTTGCCAAATTCTTTATATGTAGAAATGAATTAAAAGCAAAACTATAGTAAAGGTCAGATATGTTTCATATATTAACCAAGACTTCTTTCTGATAGTTATAGGCAGTGATACTATAATACATATGAAATGACCACGTTCTAAATTTAATTATTCAACTCACCGTGAAAAGTATGAATGATACAGAATTTCATGCAATCATCATTTAATGTGAATCCTTTTCCTGCTCTGCGATCACGAGAATAACTCTTTCATCAGAGTGACAGAGCTCACTAGTTGGATTTCAAACCTACATATTCAGTGTTACTTACAGTATATAATTGCCTCTGGCTCCAAAGAGCCATCTACACTCTTATTTATCAATTTAGTGCCATGCTAGGACATATTAGAATGGTTTATTTTATTTTTAGTCTTAACTTGGATTTTTTAGACTTCTCCTACTCACTACAGTTACCATTTAAAATGCCAGAAAAATTCATTTTAAAGGAAAATCACCTGAACAGCACCATTGGTTTACAATATAGAATGACAGCTTAGGAGCCTATGATTGCCAGCTCTTCATGGCTGCATGAAAAGTTTCAACTTTTCCTAAACTCAAATTTAACATGCTTGAAAAAGAAAAATACTTTTATTGTTTAGTCATGGCAGTCTAGGTTACTTACACACATAAACACACAGACACAAACACACACACCCCTAGACCAAAAACAAGGAAAAATATTGCATAAAATATTTTCTTAATGTTGAAAAGCTTACAATATAGTAAATAATTGCCAGCTCAAAACATATGAGAAAAAAAGAACCCAGAGTGGTCAAATGGACACTCAAAGCCTGCTTTGGTCCAGAAGTCCTTTATCCAGGATTAAATGAACTTGCTATGAACTAAATGTCTGTGTTCCTCCCAAAGTCCATATGTTGAAATCTTATGCCCAATGTGACGGTATTAGGAGATGGTGCCTTTGGGAGGTGCTTAGGTCAGGAGGGTGGAGCTCTCCTGAATGGGATTAGGGCTCTTATAAAAGAGAACCCAGAGAGATCCCTAGTTCCTTCCACCACGAGGACACAGTGAAAAGACAATTAATCATAAACCAGAAAGTGGTCCCTTAGCAAACATCGATCTGTCACAGGCTTAGCTCTGTACTTCAAGCCTCCAGAACTGTGAGCAATAAATTTCTGTTGTGTATAAGCCACCCAGTCTGTGGTACTTTGTTATAACAGCCTGAAATGATTAAAACAAAACTATAAAACTGAGCTATGATCTTGATGAACTTACAGAGTAAGGGGGCAGAAATCTTAGTTAAGGGTCTGCTAAAGATAGAAAATGTAAAAAGAAACCACTTACCTTAAAGCTGGCACCACAATACACTATACTTTTAGGGTAAGCTTGCACCCTAAATCACTATGCCTTCAGGGTAAGACAGAACTAGATCCACCAAACCACAGATCTGCAGAAAATTTACATTGGCAGCAAGCAGATTGGAGAGACTGTACACTAAGAAAACTATCTTGAGATATTATAACCATGGCTGCTGTATCTGCAGCCCACATTTTTCTTTTTAGCATTGTGTTCCAAGAAACCATAAGCTATAAATTTAGAGTAGTATTGAACTAATAGTGCTCCTAAACAGCTGAGAGAAACAAATGCTAATCATTTCTAGGGGAAGGGACATATATCCTAAGCCTCAAGGAATCCCCATAAATATTTTTTTCAATTACGACAAGCAGCATACAATTAAAGATAACCAAGCATACAAGGAAATAAGTCGTGTAAGCAATAAACAGCAGAAACAATAAGCAGAAGAAAATAAAGACTGCAAATATTGCCATTACCAGACATCTTACTAAAATGATGTTCACTATACATAAAAGAAGAAAAAAGAAACTTGAAGCTACATGTGTGAGAGAATTTATATGTAGTGACACAGAACATTTGAAAAGGAATCAAGAAAACTTTAAGAACTGAAAAATACATCACTGAAATGGAAAACCTCAATGGATAGGTATGACAGTATACTGTAAAAACAGAAAAGATAATTAGTAGTGAATTTGAGGATAGGTTAAAAGAAAGTATCCATAAATTATAATGATGACACCAAAAAACAAGAAAAAGAAAAAAGAAAAAAAATAGAGCAGAGTGGTTAAGAGATAGGAAAGAGAGAGTGGGAAAAGGCTTACATACATTTTATTGTAATCCTGAAGAAGGAGAGAAAATGGAGTACAGACAGTATTTGAAGAAATAATGGAGTGTCCAGGGAAAGAGGATGACTGGTATCCACAGAATAGGTCATCCTATCTACCTGATTATTAAACCTTCCTTTGCCAAGATCATCCACTGGTGAATATTCACATGGAACATAAATATCATGTTTTTGCCCATTCATAAAAATCTGTTCACTTACCTCTTGCCAAATTTCCATGTCACTATTTTTTTTTCAGTTTTCCAATTATATTCCTTGGTTCCAGACTATCCAGCCAAACCATTAGCCACAGTATCAAGCAATATTGAATTGTATTTACAGTCATTTCTTCTTCTAAGCAAAATGAACAACCAGATGCACTGCTTGAAGTTCTTTCTACTGGAAGAATTCCCCTTCACCATTGTCCAAGGAGTCTCAGAAGGGAGCTATAGTGCCACAGCTGTTCAATTTTGAATGGCACCTGCATATTGCACAGAACCGTCTGTAAACCAAGCCCAAGTTTTTCTCTTTCTTAGTCAACTGATGGTGGGAAACTCCCCAAGAGATCACAGGTTTAGGCTGGGTGACAGAAGATAATGTAACAGAAGCAAAGACTATGGGTATTTGTGTCACTGCATTGTGTAACTTATTTGTGCCTTCAGGGCTTACTCAAGCCCAATCTCATATATGTCACTTCCATTGGATGAGAGAGTGCTGCTGTGCATGCCCACCTTTATTGCTTGATGATTCAGATATAACTCAGTTCATGATAGACAGCTCAAGTTATATGGTAACTTAGTGGCCTATGGTTAAACATTTGGCTACTAAGGCCCAGTAGTAGTCCAAAAGCTGTTTCTGAAGAGAAGCGTAGCTACTCAAAGAGGAATGACAATGCTTTGTCCCCGAATCCTAAGAGTTTGTGCTGTGGTTCACCTACAAGGGCCTACTGAAGGCTTCAAAAGTCACTGACACTTCAAGCACTGTTAAATCTGCTGTATCACATGGCTCAAGTGGCAAAGAAGCTTCTGTGGCAGTGTGGACTTGTTACAAACCCTTCTTTTATTCTGGGCCCCATTCAAAACTAGCAGCTTTTCTGGTTACTCACGAAATGGGCTGGAGTGGCATATTTAATCCAAATGAGGAATATGTTCCCTCTAAAATGCAAATAGTTCCACTCTTTTTTTTTTTTGGTTACAGATGGGGCTAGATACAACTTATTTTTCATCTTACCTTCACCAAGAAGGGAGATCTCCACATGGCCCACACTCCTCACTGGACCCCTAGAAATTTCACTGAAATAAAAAACTCCTGGGTTATTGTCAGATTTATTTCCTACCCTCTGACATGCAAATGTCCTATCAATCAATAAATCTAGTTTAGCTGCTACCTCTTGCTCACCAGTTTCAATCAGCATAATGCCATCAATGTAATAGACCAGTGTGATATTTTGTGGAAGAGAAAGATTACCAAATTCTCTGTAAGTGAAGTTATAATGTAGGGCTTAAGAGTTGGTATTTCCTAATATACAACAGTAAAGGTGTTGCCAGCTGAAAGCAAATGTTTCTCATACTCTTTACTAGAAGGTATGATTAAAAAAACATTGTTGGCTAGATCAATAGCTGCATACTAGGTTCCAAGAAATGTGTTAATTTGCTCAAGCACTGAAGTCACATCTGAAACAACAGTTACAGCTGGAGTTACCATTTGGTTAAGATTATAATAATTCATTGTAATTCTCCCCAAGATTCATCTGTTTTGTGCATGGCCCAATAAGTGAGTTGAACAGTGATATGGCAGGATCACCAGTCCTCTATCCTTCAAGTCTTAATCTCTGAAATCCCTCCAAAAATGCAGTATTGTTCCTGGTTTACCATTTTCCTATGTAGGGACAGGTCTACTGGCTTCCACTTGGTCCTTGTTACTGTAAGGGCCCTCACTGCACCGGTCAAAGAACCAATTTGAGTATTCTGTTAGTTGCTGGTTATGCCTATTCCAATTATCCATTCCAGAATTGGAGAAATAACCACTTTGACAAGATGGGTTTAAGGATTCACTTGGCCTACTAAGAGGTGGACCTGAGTTAAAACTCCATTGATCATCAGACCTCTGTAAGTTCCTACTCTGAGTGGTGGAACATGGTAACATTTTGCATTCCTGAAACTAGGGCCACTTCAGAGATAAAATGTCACATAATCCTCAAAAAGTCTGATTATTTCCTTTTCCACAGTGCACAGTCACCTGGTAAAAGAGTCCTTGGGGAACACCAAAATACATAAATATATAAATACAAAATACATAAAATTTGGAAGTATAGTAGGATTCCAAATTCCAAATTCCAAATCAGGGAGACCCAGCTTCTCCTTCATTCAAGGGGTTCTGGGTCTGTAAACAGGCTCAAATATGATAATTGATGAGGGGATATAGTTTTCTGTTTGGATGATTCAAGTTAGACATCTTTTCAATTGACCTGGAACTTCTCTGCTCATATCGATCAAGTAAGATTAGTAGACAGCCTATTTATTTCACTGTAGGAACACCAATGATCAATTATCCATTGTCATAGGTCTCTGTGAATCGAATTATTCTGATTTCTGCTTTGACTCTGCTGTTCATTATGGTAACCATGCCCACCTTGTCTTTAGTGATTAAATGCCATCAGTTGGCACCTGCTACTCCAGAATTCAATTATTCCCATTGCATTTAAGGATCCAAGTTCAGTGTCAGCAATTCACTTTAATTTCTGACCTACAGAGAAGACTGTCCATAGAACTCTTTGAGGGCATAGGGTTCCCCTCTAAATTGATTCTTCACCATCTTGAACTCCGTGTCCTTCCAGGGTCAATGATCAGATCTTATTTAAATCCACCATATAATTTCAATTTTCCTAAGCCTTGTGATAAAACACTTCACAGTATCTCAAGGCAGTTCTGGCATGTAGTGTAGGCTATCTTTTGGTCCACATTTCAGCTTACCAGTCAAACTGTCAGGGCCCTTTTCAATCTCTCAAGCTACCATGTTGAATCTAGAATGCTTTCTTAGCGGACCCGTATTGATAAATTCTACCTGGTCTAATGTTATGCTCCTTCCTCTATTATCTCACACTCTAAATACCATCTCCACACATATTCCCCAGATTTCTGTGTATGTAAACTAGAAAACTCAAATAGTTCATTGGAAGTATAGCATACTTCCCTAGGGGTCACACTTTTACTTCATCTTTTGAGACCTGCTGGGACTTATAGATCTTATATAAGATCTATCCATAGTCTACTTATAGATCTTATATAAGACTAGGAGTCTACTTATAAATCTAGAAGCAAGGACAGGTGGGAAGGGTGAGTCCTGAGGAGAATCAGCAGTCTCTTGCAAGGCAACTACTTCAGGAGAGGCCACTACAGGTTCCTTAGGCAAAGCAGGGTTGACCTCCCCAGATGGCAATAGAGTAGCTGCTTTTACTCTCAAAGAGGATGCATTAGAATTTAGGGGTCCAATATCCCCAGCTTAATCAGGATCTGTCCATATATCTCTATCTCAATTTTTAGGAGCTCATTCCTTCACAGTAAATGCCTTCATTTTAACAGCAGACACCTGTGAGCTTGTGAATTCAATTTAGTTTGTAATTCAGCCACTCACAGGATGAGACTCACCTTTTGTTTGTTTGTTTTTTTTTTTAGAAATCTCGGCTCTGCAGCTACAGATATAAGGTTTTCTATCAGGGCAGACATAGAAACTTTCTGGTCATTTATCCAGTTTCAAAGCTGGAAATTTATGAACACCTAAGCTCAATCTCTTCTTTTCCCACTTTGTCAAGTTGAATTAGGAGCAACCAGCTGAATCAACGGCAATATTTTGCACATCTCTGTTTCCACATGATAACGTGGACTCAGTTTCCTCATTACTACTGGCGATGGAGTCATTAGTGTCTTTAAATCTGGTCATATTAGAGAAACAATCCCAGGAACCCCAGAACCAATTCAGAAAACTCATCCCTAAGATTCTGTTCCTCCAGAACCACTCTCAGTACCAAAATCTCTATCAGTCAGAGATCTCCAGAGAAATAGAACCAATAAAATACATGTGTGTATAAAGAGACTTTTGTTTTAAGAAATTGGCTCATGTGGTGGTTGGCAAGTCTGGAATCTGTACTGCAGACCAGCAGGCTGGAAACTCAGACAGGAGTTCATGTTGTGGTGTTGAGTCTGAAATCTATAGGCCATGTTAGAGGCTGGAAAATCAGGCAGGATTTCCATTACAGTCTTGAAATAGGATTTCTTTTTCTCTGAGAAACCTCAGTTTTTGTTTTGTTCTTAAGGCCTTTAATTGATTGAATGAGGCTCACCCACATTGTTGAGGGCAATATTTTCTACTTAAACTCACTCTGAATGTTAATTACATCCATAAAAACACCTTCACAGCACTATCTAGACTGCTGTTTGAACAAACAACTGAGCACCATAGCCAAGCCACATTGATGCATAAAGTTAACCTTCAAAACGCCTTATACAAATATTGATACGTAATGGATTAGAGATCTCAACAAATGTCTAGATAATAATATGGACAATACTATAAGATAACATATATGCACCCTTGGCGGGATGCAATTTCTAAGACACAAAAGCGTTAACCACAGAGGAAATGAATGATACAGTTAACTACATTAAAACTAAAGCCTTCTGTTTATTAAAGGGTACAAATTAAGTGAGTGGGAATACAAGCCTATATATATATACACACACACACACACGAGAAATGTTTGTATCCAAAATACAGAAAAAACTTCTGCAAATTGATAAGAAAAAGCAAAGCATCCAATAAAAACTTGAGCTACAGAGATTTGAACCTGAAATTCTCAAAAGAGAATATCCAAATGCCCAGTAAAGATATGGAAAAACAACTCCACAACCTCATTAATATTGAGGAAAATGCAAATTAAAATCACCATTAGATATCATTACATACTTACTAAGTTGGCAAAAATGTTAAAGTATGAACATAATAAACATGAGGTAGAGAAGAGGGGATTCATAGCAGAATGGTTAGGAACCTAATCTCGTGAGCTGGACTCTGCCAAAGTACGGCCTGGAGCAAGTCACTTCACCTTTGTGTCTCAATTTCTTTATCTGGAATGTGGGGATAGCAGTAATAACTAACTTTAATTATATTATAAAGTTTAAATCAATGTTCTCAGAATATTGCCTGGTCCATGGCAAGTACTATTAAGCATCTGTTTTACATAAATGTTTACATTTCAATAAAATACAATGTGATAAAATCAGAAACCTTATACTCTACTGGTAGGTATGAGGATTGAAATAATCACTTTGGAAAATAGTTGCCATGATCTATTATCATTAAAGATACACAGACCCTGCAATAATGCATCAATTCCACTTCTAGGTATGCCTACTGTATATATTGTAGACACATTTATAAGAATGTTTATAAAAACCTTGCTTAATATTACAGAATTGTAAGCAATCATCTAAAAAAGAATTGATAAATAAATTGTAGAAGACACATACAATAAAACACTATCCAGAATAAAAAGAAACTGTAGCTGTAAAACTCAGCTAGACCCAGGAATTAAGATAAATTCCATAAACATTATATTCAGTGAAAAAAGAAGACACAAAAAATATAAAGTATGACTTTATTTTCATAAAATTCAAAAACCAGGAAAGGCTAAAATATATTGGTAGTATTTAGGGAATAGTAACAATATTATTACCATGTAAGTAAGGATACTGGATACTGATTGAAAGAGAGAATGAGTTTCGACAGGGAGAATTATAAGAGAGTACAACGCATATGCCCATTCTTTTGCAGATGGTATTTTCACTTCTTTATGATTAAATAATGATGCTATAAACATTCTGATACATGTGTCCAAGTTTCTGTATTCTAAGTTACATATCTGGAACAGGAATGACTGGATCATGGAGGTATCAGTGCTGTCCTGTCTCTAGACCTGTGTAGAGGTCACAGGTGCTTATTAAACTGTACATATGTAATTTGTGTACTTCTTCAGTACTCGTTACAGTCTATAATTTCAAAAGAGCAAACAGATTGTAATCGGAGAGCCAAGCATAGAATTTGCTTAAGAAGTAGGGTTGTGAAGAAGAAAGTACGACCGTGGCTAGAGGAAGATGGAAATTCGAGAGGAGATGGTGACTCTGCTTTTTTTCTTTTCAAGAAGGTTGATATTCAAGAATTTATAAATATTTATGGAAAACATCTGGTTCAGAGGAGAATTTAAGTATACAGAAGAGGAACGGTCAAGTAAGTATGTTTTCTGAAAAGCAGGAAATGTTGGGAAGCCATTCTCCATGGGCTGCTTATGTTTCTGCACATCTTGGGAGCAGATACATTGATTGCCTTTGCTCTGGACTAACATTCTGGATGTTTGTATACAGAACATCCTTGAAAAGTAGCAATGGTGCTTCACTCTTTGGCAAAGGATAAGTTTATTTATTTGCCTATTTAATAAACTGTACTTCACAGCAAAAATATTTATATTTCACTTCACAGCAAATGCCAGGAAGCAAGTTCTTAGAGACCTATAAAGAGACTTAGACTCCCACACAATAATAGTGGGAGACTAAACACCCCACTGTCAATATTAGACAGATTGAGACAGAAAATTAGCAAGGATATTCAGGACTTGAACTCAGCTCCGGACAAAGCGAACCTAATAGACATCTACAGAATTCTCCACCCCAAATAAACAGAATACACATTCTCCTCAGTACCACATAGCACTTAATCTAAAATCAACCACATAATTGCAAGGAAAACACTCCTCAGCAAATGCAAAAAAAAGGAAATCATAACAAACAGTCTCTCAGACCACAGTGCAATCAAATTAGAACTCAGGATTAAGAAACTCACTCAAAACCACACAACTAGCTGGAAAATGAACAAGCTGCTCCTGAATTACTACTGGGTAAATAACAAAATTAAGGCAGAAATAAAGAAGTTCTTGAAAACCAATGAGAACAAAGACACAATGTACCAGAATCTTTGGGACACAGCTAAAGCAGTGTTAAGAGGGAAATTTACAGCACAAAATGCCCACATCAGAAAGCTGGAAAGATCTAAAATCGACACCCTAACATCACAATTAAAATAATTAGAGAAGCAAGAACAAACAAATTTAAAAGCTAGCAGAAGACAAGAAATAACTAAGATCAGAGCAGAATTGAAGGAGAAAGAGACACAAAAAAAACCTTCAAAAAATCAGTGAATCCAGGAGCTGGTTTTTTGAAAAGATTAACAAAATAGACTGATAGCCAGACTAATAAAGAATAAAATAGAGAAGAATCAAATAGACACAATAAAAAATGATAAAGGGGATATCACCACTGATCCCACAGAAATACAAACTACCATCAGAAAATACTATAAACACCTCTATGCAAATAAACTAGAAAATCCAGAAGAAATGGACAAATTTCTGGACACATACACCCTCCCAAGACTAACTCAGGAAGAAGTCGAACCCCTGAATAGACTAATAACAAGTTCTGAAATTGAAGCAGTAATTAATAGCCTACCAACCAAAAAAAGCCCAGGACCAGATGGATTCACAGCTGAATTCTACCAGAGGTACAAAGAGGAGCTGATCCCATTCCTTCTGAAACTATTCCTAACAATAGAAAGAGAGGGACTCCTCCCTAACTCATTTTAATTCCTAGCCTGTGTGATAGAGTGAGACCTTGTCTCCAAAAAAATAAAAAATAAAAAATAAACAGCCGGCCCAGGATCTGATGTTGAATAAATATTGGTCATCTAAATAAACAAGTAAATAAATACATGAATGGATACATTGATAAGCTTTGAGATTCTTTATTGTTTGGAAAATCAATGATACATATGATTGAATAGCCCTACTCCTTTATAGGAACAGATGTAATTGATCCAGAACACCATCCCAGTCCTCAAAAAGAAAGTAAGAGACAAGTGGAATTCATCACCTACCAAGGAGCTTAAAAACATTTAATTGTTTTACACATGATAATCTACTGATGGCAGCAAGAAATAAAGCAATCCTCTGAAAGATTTTCAAACAAAGACTGATATCTACATTATAAATGAATAAAATAGTGGCTGAATTACACTTGCCCCATTAAAGAAAGAAGTGGCTGTATGTTACCCTCTAAGAAAGGCAGATATTTTGAGCATTTTGTGGTTGTGATTGACTTAGATTTTTTTCTTATGTTGTTTCTAACATCTTTAAAATATTTTCTACTTAGCCACTTAGCAATAACACTGAATTTACCATCTCTCAAATTATGAAATGAAGTGATAAGACATTTTGGTGTATTGAGAACTGATTGTTAAATTTCCTGAATTTGAGAATTGACTGAACTCAAACTGACTTTACCATATCTAAGCCCTTTAAAAGCTGAATGTTCAATATCTTCATTTGTTTAAATTAGATTTAGTCATTAGACTGCCTTTTACAGTATTTTTTCATTTTCCTTTAAAGTGTCTCAGAACTAGTAATTAACAAATTATTTTTGTGTAAACAGGAAATACTTTGTTCTCTACTCTTCCTCACCATGGAAATAAGTGTAATGTGATAACTACTGGAGTGAATAAAGGAAAAGAGCCTGATTAGAAAAGAAGGCTCGTGGCTGGAATCTCAGTGATCAACAGTGCTTTTAATCTTTCACTCCATCTTCGATATAGTTTTCTCTGGAACATATGTCTTTCAGCTCTAATAAAATTGCTTAAGCAATCCTTCTAAGTATGCCCTGTAAATATGTTAAGTAATCCTTTCATTTTAGAATGACTTTCATGATTTCCTCTCTTCATCATCATAGCTAGATCTGTCTTTCTTACATTTCATGACTTTGTTTAATTAGTTTCTGTATTATCCCATTTTTACACTGCTATGAAGAATGCCACCTGAGATTGAGTAATTTATAAACAAAAGACGTTTAATTGACTCAGTTCTCCATGGCTGGGAGGCCTCAGGAAAGGTACAATCATGGCAGAAAGTGAAGGGGAAGCAGGGTACGTCTTACATGGCAGCAGGAGAAAGATGGAGAGCAAAAGCGAGGAAGTACCACATTTAAAACCATCAGCTCTCATGAGAACTCCCTTACTATCATGAGAACAGCATGGGGAAAACTACCTCCACGATTCAATCACCTCCCACCAGGTCCCTCCTTCGTCATGTGGGGATTATAATTCAAGATGAGATTTGGGTGGTGACACAGAGCCAAACCATTTTACTTTCTTTAATATAATTTTATGTAATTTTTATTCAAAGCAACTATTTAGCATTCAAGAATGAAAATGGGAAACTGGGAATACTTCATACTGTGCCGAGGCAATGAGGTAAATGGTAAAAGCAACAGATGAAAAAATGAACAGATGACATGAGTTTTAGTCTTATCCTCACCACATATGATCCTCAATTTATTTTTTTGTTAAGGAGACATAAAAACAACAGCTTTGCCTATCTCACAGGATGTAGCAAGAACTGAGGTAATATATATTTTTTAAAAACGGTAAACAAAATTCAACACAAAATACAGTAAAAAAGTGATTAATTTATATTGTTCTCATTCTCATACATTGGTACACTGGTCCTTGATGAGCCATAATGAACCTGTTCTTTAACTGCATCACCATAAAGTACATTGATAGACCAGATTTCCCAGAGATTGTATGACCTTGATGCTTTAAAACATGAACTATACAAAGTCCTGGAAAGAAAAGTACTAAAGTTAATTTGGTTTTGGCAGAAAGATGTATTGGATGACTGAATAGGGATGTTTCATCTCTAATTTCCAAGGTTGTAGAAACAATAACATCCCAGCACCCAGCTATCCTGTGCCCTATAATGTCCTACTGAGCTAATTCACATCAGGGGTGTGCACATTGTTACTTTTGGCTACGGGTTTTACGTAAGAACACAAAACCGATTCTCGTTACTAGGAAACAAATGGTCCAAATTAAAAGCTCCTGTAGGTTTAAAGCAGCAGAAGCATCCAATTTTAAAAGGACTCTAAAGACACATTTCTCTTCAGTGGGTGGACATAAGATGTGAGTAATTATTAAACTCATAAACTAGCTATAATTGGAAAGACAGTGCAATAGATTAGAGCTGTGTAGTCAAGCTCAGTGCAGATCCACAATTAGAACAAGGAGGCCGGGCACGGTGGCTCACGCCTGTAATCCCAGCACTTTGGGAGGCCGAGGCGGGTGGATCATGAGGTCAGGAGATCGAGACCATCCTGGCTAACAAGGTGAAACCCCGTCTCTACTAAAAATACAAAAAATTAGCCGGGCGCGGTGGCGGGCGCCTGTAGTCCCAGCTACTGGGGAGGCTGAGGCAGGAGAATGGCGTGAACCCGGGAGGCGGAGCTTGCAGTGAGCCGAGATTGCGCCACTGCAGTCCAGCCTGGGCGACAGAGCGAGACTCCGTCTCAAAAAAAAAAAAAGAACAAGGAGAATTTCAGACGGTCTGCAAATGAGGGGTTTATGTGATCTTTCTCCTGGTCCCCTTTCTCTTTCTGACCTCCTCTCCCTTTCTTTATTCAATTTCCTTTTGTTTGCTCCATCTTTTTTTTACTTGCCAGGCATCACCCAAATTGATCACCCATACTCACGTCGTTCCAGTTATCCAGGCAAGCATGCTGTTCTTTTGTTCTAAACGATCGAGTGTTTTCTTTTTATCCTGACCTGAATTCATTAAGTAATTTCACTTTGGCTTTTTAGACCTTGTTACAGGTCGAGTTGTGACTCCTATAAAGAGAAATGTTGAAGTTCTAATCCCCCGTACCTCAGAATGTGACTTTATTTGGGGTACAGTCATTGTAAATGTAATTAAGATGAATCACGCTGGAATAAGGTGGGCCCCTAATCTAACCTAAATGGTATCCTTATGAAAAAGAATGTTATGGGAATAGACACAGACATGCACAGAGGGAAGACAATGTGAAGAGACATAGGGAGAACACATGGAAATATGAAGGCAGAGACCGAAGTGAGGCAGCCACACACCAAGCAATGCCAAAGATTGCAAGCAAACCGCCAAAACACATATTATCATTTTAGTGCAAACTACACAATGACTTCTCAGTTCTGAGCCTAGAACTTTTTGTTTGTTTTTGGTTTTTGTTTGTTTTTGGTTTTTTTTTGAGACAGTCCCACTCTATCACCCAGGCTGGATCGCAGTGCCGCGATTTCGGCTCACTGCAATCTGCGCCACCCTGGTTCAAGTGATTCTTTTGCCTCAGCATCCCAAGTAGCTGGGATTACAGGCACACACCCCCATGCTCAGCTAATTTTTTTGTATTTTTAGTAGAGACGAGGTTTCGCCATGTTGGCCAGGTCGTTCTTAAACTCCTAACCTCGGGTGATCTGCCCGCCTCGGCCTCCCAAAGTGCTGGGATTACAGACTGAACCACCATGCTTGGCAGAGCCTAGAAATTTTGGATTGAGTGTAGAGCTTGTATTAGTAAAAGGATCCACAACAAGGTTTGATTCAGAAATTTGACTTGTAAAGAGAAACGAGCATTGGCTTATGAGTCACATGTTCATTTTTTAAAATCTTACCTTAGTACTCATACTTGGTGTAGGACTTTAGTCATATAGCTTAATCCGCTGAGAAGTTGGTTTTCTCTAGCAGAGTGCCTGGCACACAGCCAATGCTCCTTAAAGTTTGTCTGTTATTTAATAAAACGTTCCTTTTCCTGGATACTAAGGCTCTTAAATCTAGCAGAGCCTTGCTAAATCCCATGCCCATCTTACCAGCTGTTTTGAAAGAAATAATTTTCACTTTCCACTCATCTGAAAAATCTCAATTGACTTAAAAACTGCAACCATGGCACTTAGAAAATCTTCTGTTTGCTTCATCTTGGTGACTCCTGGACCTTAGCATAATTCACAGCCGAAGAATGAAAAACAGTGGTCAGGACTTTTAAGCTATGCTGTGAGGAATATATTATTACCTCAGATAACTCAAACTTGAATGCCAAATCTAAAATTAAGCTTCACAAGCTAGCTCTTGATAATCAGTACAAGGTTATATTTCAGAGCTTGGAAATGATAAATCCAAGTTAACACAGATGGTAAAAGTATGATTTACAATTGCTTCCTAAAGATCAAATTCTTAAAGTCCTGTTGCTTACAGAAACCTGTAATAGCTTAAAATCACATCTTACAAAGGATTAACAACCACGGGAAGTGGGAAAAAAAAAACAGAGAAATATTTGTTTCTCAGTTGCATCCTGCAAAGAGCCTTGGAAGGGAAGTCAGGCTTGCTGGACGTCCGGGCAATCTACTGGTCACTTACTGATACACCTCATTAAATCAGTCTGCACAATGCCCTATATGGTAGGTCATTTATCCCCATTTTATGGATGAAGAAATGAAGTAATTCTAGGTCATTTGTCACAAATCAGAAATCAAATCGAGATTGGCTGACCCCGCAGTCCATGGGCTCTATTAACCAGAGCCAGTTTTGTTTCTAAGTCTACTCCTGACCAGCAAGGTGATCTTGAATAACTTGATGAATCCATCTGGATCTCAGTATCATCCTGTGTAAAACTGGAGTTTTAGAATAAGTGATATCGCAGGTTCTTTTTAGCTGGAGAATTTCTACTTGGAAAAAAATTCAGTGCAAGCCAGAATATTAAGGGCCAAATAAGGTAATTACTAACTCTGCTATGATATCCCATTATGATTTCATCATGATCATTTAAGTTTGTTTAACTCTTCAATAGAACTTGTAATACTGTTATGTGTTTAAACACTAGTTTTAGCTACATATTTCAAAATATTATATGTATTACCTTAAGTTAGCTCTTAAAACTTATACATGAAAAGACTATAGTACTGCATAAAGAAGGTGGAAATGCCAGGCAGAGCGGCTCATGCCTATAATCCTAGCATGTTGATAGACCAAGGCAAGACCAGGCCCTGGGCAGCATGAAGAAACCTTGTCTCTATAAAAAAAAAAAATTGCAAAAAATTAGTTGGAGATGGTGGTACATCTGTAGTTTCAGCTACTCGAGAGGCTAAAGTGGGAGGATTGTTTGAGCCCAAAGGTGGAGGTTGCAGTGAGCCGAGATCATGCCACTGCACTCCAGCCTAGGTGACAGAGCAAAACCCGTCTAAAAAAAAAAAAAGAAGGTGGAAATGCAATAATAAAGAGCACCTATTTTTGTTTTATAATAAATTTTAAATATTATATCTTCAGCAAATCTAGAAGCAACCTATATGACCTAGTCCTTAAAAATATATATGGTTTTACTGTAGTTACTTCAAGAAATATCTGAAAGAGACATAAGGTATGGGAGTAATCAGGCTAAAAAGTCTCTACAAACTGCATAAAATATTACTCTAAAACAATGTAGATAAAACCACATGTAACTTTGGATACAGCAAAGCAAGCTATTGCCACAGTCCTTATTTTATATGTCTGTTGAAGGAAAACTTGCTTCGTAACACATTTAATTAATATAATATACCTAGAAAACAATTTGAACATATAGAGAACCCTTTTTGCAGTTAATTATAGTGTTTATCTTTTTGGCTGTTCTTCATTTAACCGAGGGACAAAAATATGTTGCTGAGGCTACAAGCAAGACAGTTGCTCTTAATTGTTGACTGGTAGAAGAATTAACATAGTACCATTGGGTCCGAATTTGGTTCCTTTCGGTGGGTTCTTGGTCTCGGTGACTTTAAGAATGAAGCTATGGACCCTCGCAGTGAGTGTTACAGTTCCTAAACATGGTGTGTCCAGAGTTTGTTCCTTCAGATGTTCAGATGTGTCCAGAGTTTCTTCCTTCCGGTGGGTTCGTGGTCTTGCTGACTTCAACAGTGAAGCCACAGACCTTCACAGTTGAGTGTTATAGCTCTTAAAGGTGGCGCGCATCCGGAGCTGGTTGTTCCTTCCGGTGGGTTTGTAGTCTCGCTGACTTCAGGAGTGAAGCCACAGAACTTCGCAGTGAGTGTTACAGCTCTTAAAGTGGCGTGTCTGGAGTTGTTTGTTCCTCCCAGTGGGTTTGTGGTCTTGCTGACTTCAGGAATGAAGCCACAGACCCTCGTGGTGAGTGTTACAGCTCATAAAGGTAGTGCGGACCCTCCTAGCACTTTGGGAGGCCGAGGCAGGTAGATCATGAGGTCAGGAGATAAAGACCATCCTGGCTAACATGGTGAAACCCCGTCTCTACTAAAAATACAAAAAATTAGCCCCTTGTGCTGGTGGGTGCCTGTAGTCCCAGCTACTCGGGAGGCTGAGGCAGGAGAATGGTGTGAACCCAGGAGGTGGAGCTTGCAGTGAGCAGAGATCAGGCCACTGCACTCGAGCCTGGGTGACAGAGCAAGACTCCGTCTCAAAAAAAAAAAAAAAAAAAAATGGTAGTGCAGACCCAAAGAATGAGCTGCAGCAAGATTTATTGTCAAGACTGAAAGAATAAAGCTTCCACAGTGGGGAAGGGGACTGCAGAGGGTTGCCACTGCTGGCTCAGGCAGCCAGCATTTATTCCCTTATTTGGCCCTGCCCACATCCTGCTGATTGGTCCATTTTACAGAGCACTGACTGGTCCATTTTACAGACTGCTGATTGGTCCATTTTACAGAGTGTTGATTGGTGTGTTTTTATAGAGTGCTGATTGGTGCATTTACAATCCTTCAGCTAGACACAGAGTGCTGATTGGTGCATTTACAATCCTCTAGCTAGACAGAAAAGTTCTCCAAGTCCCCACTCAACCCAAGAAGTCCAGCTGGCTTCACTTCTCACCATGAGGGTAAATCTTGATGAAAATAGGCCCTACCAAGATATACTGAAATAATGCCATAATCACAGGCCAAGAAATCTCGGCCAGTATCTAAACACTCTGCTGATCGTGCCATCACACTCAGTAAAAATGTTGCAAAAAACTGACCGAGACAAACAAACATGTATGTGGCCCTTGCAGTGGATCCAAAGCAAATGTGGGAATTGAGAGTCATCAAGGAGAGCCAACCGTCACAGAAACTGGATGGGTTTCAGATGAACTGATTGGACATAATATGGAACAGGATATTTACCAGGCTTTGACAATAAATATACAAAACATACAAGGTAGTAAGAAAGTTCATTTGTATAAATTTATAACTGATCTGTCCCTTAACCTGTGTTCTTACTATGTCATTTAACTCCTATGTGTAATCACTAAGGCACTTCAGTTTAGATGAGAAGAAGCACCTAACAAAACATTTCATGTTAGGCACACAATATTTGTGTTCTGCATTTGGTAAAGTTCTTCCAAAATTTAGTTGTCTGAGTTTTAAACTGGCCACTGGCCCAGTCATTCTAATCCTGTTTCAATCTCTCATTTATAGACCATCAATAATGAAAATAATGGTGATGATTATTAAAAACACATATACAATCAATATGTTAAATTGAACAAATCCCTTTTAAAAAATAACATAACTAGATATGATCATTCTTCTCTCACGCTTCTAAGAAAGTTTTTGATTTATGCTGATTAAATTTGAGCTTCCTTGCACCGTAATTTTGTAATCACAGTCAGAAAAAGGTGTCATAAAAAATTACACATAGAACTTGTTTGCTTAATTGACTGGAAGCTTCTCTTCCTTTTATATTGTGTAATTGGATGCCAAATAATGATAAATTAGTCTTAGAAGGGTATGGTACATACAACTGAATAATGGAAATAACTCAGTTTAATTACCTTAATAATTATCATGATAATTTCTAAAACATGTCATGTCTTCAGAGCTTTTCAGTGGCATCCTGCAAAGAGCCTTGAAGAGAGGGGAAGTCAGAAATGAAGACAATATGAAGTCACCCACATAAAAAGGACTACGCTCTAAAAATATTGCTGTGTATTTTACATATATTTAAAAAGGGATAATCTGTATACATTGTATAGACATTTCAAATTAAATTAAGAGCATGGAATTAGAACTATCTCCCCTTCCCCTACCATCTGCCAGTGAATAGGGATGCTTCCTCTATCATCTTCACTCCCTACCCTAGGGGATAGCGTTAGGACGATAATTCAGGAAATTTTGTAATCTATGAAAATTATCTGATGATACCATAGACTGTACATCCCTAAAGCCGAATGCAAATTTTACTTGATTAATCAACCAAGGATGTGGCTTTCAACAGAAATAAGAAATGATTTCAGTTCCAAAATAGTGGCATAGAAGCAAGCTGGCTTCACTTGCCCCTTCTCTCCAACCCCCCCAAAAATAAAACAAATCCAAATATATGGCATCAAGGTTATCACCAACAATATCTCTGAACCCAAATATGAGGATGAGATAGCTCCTGGGGCCACAGAGAAGCGAAAAAAAAAGATGCCAAGCAGACAGTGAGAGAATCAGACATCCATATCCATCATGCCCCTCCCTCAAATCTTCCCAGCAACAAACAAGTAGAAAATGTCCCCCTGAATCACTGTTTCTACACTGGAAAAGGTGAGATGGAGGTAGACAACCAGGTTTCCCTCCATCTTACATTCCCTAGCAGGAGATGTGTTCCTATCTCTATGCACGGGAAGCATCTGAGTGTCTAAAGGGAGAAATATCCCTGAGGACAGCCAGAGACAAAGTGGGGAGAAGGGACTATCTATCATTTGCTGCCCTGAAAATTCTGCTCTATAACTTGGCAAAAGGAGATGCAATGTCAGAGTAGCTGTTCAGCAGCAGTATGCTGTAGGCGGTACCTTTCACAAAGTTCCTTGGGCACAAACTGCTAGCAATCCTTCCCAAACTGTTCATATACCTTTTGGGACCTCCTCTATTCAGGACAGGCAGAGCTCCAATCATTTACTAGAGCCACTGTAAACCTGGACTTAAAGCATCATGTAGTACCCTAAAGGAGGCAGCAACGTAGTAGGAAAAAACATTCAATAGGTAAACTACAAGGAATTTCAACTTACAAGGATAAGCAACATATGCAATAAAAACCTAAACAAGCCAGACATAAAAGACTAAAATAAATAACAAACCCTTCAATGCAAAGACATAAAGAACATCTACAACAAACAAAAGCAAACAGGGAATGATGACCTTTCCAAACAGACAAAGAAAGCAATGAATAACTGACCCTAACAAGACAGTGACATATAAGCTGTCTGACAAAAATTTCAAAATAGTGGTTTTAAGGAAACTCAGTGATCTCCAGATAACACAGAAAAGCAATTCAAAAATTTATCAGGGAAATTTAACAAAGAGATTGAAATAATTAAAAAAAATCAAACACATCTTAGAACTGAAAAATACATTTGCTGAAATAAAAAATTCATTAGAGGCTCTCAACAGCAGAATGAATCAAGCAGAGGAAAGAAGGGAAAAAGGAAAAAAATTATGAAAAGAAGTGAAGATCAACACAAGATACAGAAAATCACTTCAAAAGACCAAATCTAACAATTATTGGTACTCAAGAAGGAACTGAGAAAGAGAAAAGGTAGAAAATTTATTCAAATAAATAACAATAGAAAACTTTCCAAAACTTGAGAAAGATATAAATATCCAAATACAGAAAGGCTAGAAAACAACAACCAGATTTGACTCAAATTGCACTACCCCAAGGTATGTCACAATCAAACCCTTAAAGGTCAAGGACAAAGATAGGGTCATAAAAACAGCAAGAGAAAATAAGCCAATATAATAACATATAAAAGAGCTTCAATTTATCTGACAACAGACTTGTCAACAGAAACCATACAGGGCAGGAGGGAATGGGATGACATTTTCAAAGTGCTGAAAGAAATAAAAATGTCATCTAAGAATACTGTATCCAGCAAAGATATCCTTTAAATATGAAGGCAAGATGAAGTCTTTAACAAACAAACACAAGCTGAGCAAATCCACCACCACCAGACACATCTTACGAGAAATGTTAATGGGAGTTCTTCAACCTGAAAGAAAAAACAAAAACAAAACAAAACAAAAAAACACTGTTATGCAAAAAGAATACCCAGAAGGTATAAAACCCACTGGTAAAAGTAAGGACACAGAACAAACCCAGCATACTCTTATTACTGTAATTGTGTTGGGCATTTATTCATAACTCTATTATGAAGACTAAAAAATCTATCAAAAACTATAATAGCTACAGCAACCTGTTAAGAGAAAGGCAATGCAAAAATATGTAAATTGAGACAATGAAAAGTAAAAATTTGGAAGGGCTAGAGTTAAAGTGTAGTGGATTTTTTTTCTTTCTTTGCTTGTATTATTTTCTTTGTTATCTATGTTAAGTTGTCTCAACAATTTCAAAAAAGTAAAAGTTATATCAAGTGTCCTTACTGGCTACAATGGAATCAACAAATCAACAAGAGGAATCTTGAAAACTACACAAACACATGGAATTTAAAAAACATGCTTCTGAGCAACCAATGGATCAATGAAGAAATTAAGAAGGAAATCTACATATTTCTTGAAACAAATAAAATGGAAATAAAACATAGCAAAATCTATGGGATATAACAAAGTCAAGACTAACAGGGAAGCTTATAGCAATAAATGCCTCCATCAAAAATGTAGAAAGACATCAAATAAACAACCTAACAATTCACCTCAAGGAACAAGAAAAACAAGAAGAAACCAAACACAAAAGCAGTAAAAGGAATAATGAAGATCAGAACAGAAGTAAATGAAGTTGAGACTAAAGAAATCAATACCAAAGATCAACAGATAAAAAGTTGATTTTTTTGAAAAGATAAATAAAATTGACAAACCTTTAGCTTCACTAAGAAGAAGACAGAAGATCCAAATAAATAAAATAAAAATTGAAAAGACAACATAACAACAGAGACCACAGGAATACAAAGAATCACTAGAGACTATTATGTGACAACAAACTGGAAGACCTGGAAGAATGGATAACTTCCTGAACACATATAACCTACCAAGAGTAAACCATAAAGAAATGGAAAATATGAAATAACCAATAATGAGTAACAAAACCAAAGCTGTAATAAAAAGTTTTCCACTGAAGAAAAGCCCAGGACCTGATGATGTCACTACTGAATTCTACCAAATATTTAAATAAAAAATAATACCCAGCATTTTGGGAGGCCAAGGTGGGCTGATCACAAGGTCTAGAGACCAAAACCATCCTGGCCAACATGGTGAAACCCCGTGTCTACTAAAAATACAGAAATTAGCCGGGCATGCTGGCATGCACCTGTAGTCCCAGCTACTCGAGATGCTGAGGCAGGAGAATCGCTTGAACCCGTGAGGCGGAGGTTGCAGTGAGCTGAGATCACACCACTGCACTCCAGCCCGGTGACAGATTGAGACTCCATAAAAAAAAACAAACAAACAATAATACCAATTCTATCCTTCAAAAAAATTTTAAAAGTTGGGAAAACTCCCAAACTCATAAGGCCAGCATTACACTGATAGCAAAACCAGACAAGGATGTAAACCAAAAAAGAAAACTACAGGCAAATATCCCTGAAGAACATAGATGCTAAAATTCTCAACAAAATACTGGCAAACCAAATTCAACAATACATTAAAAAAAAAATTCACTATGATCAAGTGGGATTCATCCTAGGAATGTAAGACTGGTTCCACATATGCAAATTAATAAGCATTATAGATCACATTAGCAGAACCAAGAACAAAGACCATATGATCTTTTCAATAGACATTGAAAAAGTGTTTGATAAAATTCAATATTCCTTTATTTTAAAAACCCTCAAAAACTCAGTATACATGGAGTATAATAATAATAAAGGCCATAAATTTACAGCAAACTTCATACTGAATGGAGAAAAATTGAAAGCCTTTCCCCTAAAATCTGGAAAAAACCAAGAATGCTCACTTTCACCATTTTTATGCAACATAATCTGGAAGTCCTGGCCAGATTAATTAGGTGAGAGAAAGAAATAAAAGGCATTCCAGTCAAAAGGGAAGCAGTCAAATTATCTACATTCACAGACAACATGATCTTGAATTTATAAAAACTTAAAGATGCCACTAAAATATTCTTAGGACTGATAAGTGAATTTAGCAATTTTGCAGGATAAAAAATCAATATACAAAAATTAGTAGCATTTATATACGCCAACAGCGAACAATCTGAAAAAAATTTCAAGAAAGCAGTTCCATTTATAATAGCTACAAAGAATATAAAATACTTGATAATTAACTAAGCGAAATAGGTGAAAGATCTACACAGAAAACTATACAACACTGATGAAAGAATTTGAAGAAGACACACAAATAAGTGGAAAAATATTCCATGTTTGTGAATTGAAAGAATTAATATTGGTAAAGTGTTGATACTACTCAAAGTAATTTGAAGATTCAGTGCAATTTCTTTAAAAATATCTAAAACATTCTTCACTAAAATAGAAAAAAAATACTAAAATTTATATGGAACCACAAAAGACCCCAAATAGCCAAAGCAATTCTTAGCAAAAAGAACAAAGCTAGAGGCATCACAGCACCTGACTTCAAAATATACCACAAAGCTATAGTAACCAAATTAGCATGGTACTGTCATAAAAACTGGCACATAGGCCATTGGAACAGAACAGATAACCCAGATCTAAATTTGCACATTTATAGCCAACTCTTTTTCAACAAAGTTACCAAGAATGTACAATGGGGAAAGGAAAGGCTCTTCAGTAAATGATGCTGGAAAAACTGGGTAAACCATATGCAGAAAAATAAAACTAGATGAATATCTCTCACCATATAAAAAATAAAATCCAAATGGATTAAAGTCTAACTCTACAACCCAATACTATGACATTACTAGAAAAAAAAAAAATTGGAGAAAAACTCCAAGACATTGGTCTGGCTAAATATTTTATGTGTAAAACCTCAGAAGCACAGGCAACAAAAGCTAAAATGGACAAATGGGATTACATCAAGCTAAAAAGCTTCTGAACAGCAAAGAAAACAATCAACAAAATGAAGAGATAACCCACAGAATGAGAGAAAATATTTTCAAACTACCAATCTGACAAGCTATTTTCAATAACTACAATAAATAATCAGCTGAAATAACTCAATAAAGATAAAAAAATCCAATTTAAAAATGGGCAAAATGTCTGAATAAACATTTTTCAAAAGAAGACTTACAAATGACCAACAGGGCCATTTGTTCTCGCATGAGGTCAACATTCTTACCCCAGTTAATTTTTTTTTTTTCCAAAAAGACAAGGAACAATGGATGCTAGTGAGGATGTAGAGGAAGGGGAAGACTTGTATATTGTTGGTGGAAATGTAAGTTAATACAGCCACTGTGGAAAATAGTATAGTGCTTCCTCAAAAAACTAAAAATAGAAATATCATATGATCCAGAAATTTCACTACATGTATGTATCCAAAGGAAAGGAAATCGATGTATCGAAGAAATGCCTGCATTCCCATGCTCATTGAAGCACTATTCACAATAGCCAAAAGATGGAATCAACCTAAGTGTCCATCAGTGGATGAATGGATAAAGAAAATGTGGTGTAGGCCAGGTTCAGTGGCTCACGCTTATAATCCCAGCACTTTGGGAGGCCAAGCCAGGTGGCTCACCTGAGGTTAGGAGTTCGAGACCAGCCTGGCCAACAGGTGAAACCCTGTCTCTACTAAAATATAATTAGCTGGGTGTGGCAATCCCAGCTACCAGGGAGGCTGAGGCAGGAGAATCGCTTGAGCCTGGGGGACCGAGGTTGCAGTGAGCCGAGATCGTGCCACTGCACTCCAGCATGGGTGAAAGAACAAGACACCATATCGAGAAAAAAAAAAAAAAAAAAAGATGTGGTGTATATGTGCAATGGAACAGTTTTCAGCCATAAAAAAGAACGAACGAAATTCTGTCATTTGCAACAACATGGGTGGAAATGATGGTTATTATGTTAAATGAAATAAGCTAAGCACAGAAAGGCAAACATTACATGTTCTCATTCATATATGGGAACTGAAAAAAGTGGACCCCACAAAGGTAAAGAATAGGTTGATGGTTACCAGAGGCCAGAAAGTGTAGGAGGGAGGGGTAATGAAGAGAGATTGATTGATGGGTACAAATACACAATTGGATAAAAGAAATAAGACCTAGTTTTGATAGATCAGTAGGGTGAATATAGTTAATAACAATCTATTGTACATTTTTAAATAAGTAGAAGAGAATAACTCAAATGTCTCTAGCATACAGAAAATATGCATATTTACGGTGATGGATATCCCAGTTACCCTGATTTGATCTTTACACATTATATGAATGTACTTAAATATCACATATACTCTGAAAATATCTACACCTATTATGTATCAATAAAGCAAAAGAGGGCATGAAAATTTGGCGACTTATATAATGAAGATTTCTGGGTAGAGCAGATCAGAGTTTCCAAGCTGGTGTAAAATGGCTTAAGAAACCAAGGAAAGAAGACTGTTTGAGGCTTTATCGTGGCTAGAAGGTGGGGCCAGGATGAGGGTTCCCCTATCCTGGGCTGGGACCTGGAGAGATTTGAAATTTTCATAAACTCCAATGGCTTTTTTATTGGCTTGCCCACCTGCAGGGGCAGAAGGGGCAAAGGGACTGGTGGGCTTGAAAACTGTAAAAGAAAAAAATACCGGCAAGACCAAAAACATAAAAATGAAAACAAACAAACAAACAGAAATGGTTGGTTGACATGAACTGTTCAGAACATAATCAAAAAAAGGAATTATTTTTTCCTCTGAGTAGTTCAGATTGACAAGTGAAGACAGTATTTCAGTTTATCCAGTCTGAGTCCAGATTGTGGTGTTTTTTTTATTAATTTGTTTATCAGGACTATAGTTTCCTTGAAATTCAAGGTTTCTGAGAGAGAACTGTACAAATCATGGGTGCAAAGCCGGACCATAATACTAAACATGACTAGATCTCTCTCAATCATCTATCTCACTCTCTATATATAATTTTTCTAAGGTAACAATATTTTTTATTGTCACTAATAGAAACCGATAAGATATAAAATCCTTTAAAAATAGAATGATGCTGATTCTTTGCCTTGGGAATAAATGTGGGTAATACAAACAGAAGTGTTCAGTTTGAAGAAAGCAAGAATACACAGTGAATTTTAAAAAATGCTTATGCATACAGACTATTGTGAGAATGGGTTCAGTTTGGTAGAAAGAAAAATAACAGATGATTAATAGTTAAATGGGTAAATAGGAACCTCGAATTACCTCAACATTAAGGAAAATAAAACAAGTAACAATAGCAAAAACTAAAGTTATCAATCTTCTAACTTGCACACATCAGAATTTTTTAAGAATCTTCTAAGCCTGAAGAAAGATGGGGAAAAAGGTCATTGAGTCAGCTCACACAAGCTTTTCTGGAATGGTTATTGGCTCACATTTGGGTTTGCTATTGTCAAATCAGAATACAGACCTACTTTGTCAACATGAAGACTAAGCCGCAGCTCCTGGCCCTAATATGGCCTGCAATTACCCTAAACTGTCTCTATGATTGCATTATGTCTTTCTTCCTCACCATGATAAAACATGCCCCTTTCTCCTGAGCTTTAAGCATTTTGCAAGTTACTGGAAGCAAATTCTCCAAGGACCTGTTCCAATCAAGTTTTAAATTCCATAAATTATTTGACTTTCACCATCTTTATTAAAAGAAATATTTCACAGTTTGGTAGGTCACTATGAGCATCTTTTTCTCATACTTGGAAAATGTACTATTTCCAGTCCACGTCAGAGACACAGTGGGTTAAATCTTTTTCTTATCAAACACACAGAGCCATTCTTACAAGGCCTAGCCACTGACTCTGCGCCCATGGATTCTTGGAGGGCATTACTGCCACACAGCAACCACTGCTTTAGCCGGGGCCACCCGGTCAGACCACCTATCTTAGTCTATTCAGTGTTGCTGTAACAGAATAGCTGAACCTGGGTAGTTTGTAAAGAAAAGAGTTTTACTTAGCTCATGTTTCCACAGCCTGGGAAGTAAAAGAAGCATGATGCCTCCATCTGCTAGGTTTCTGGTGTAGGCTTTTTGCGTTGCCTCAGAGCAGCAAAGGTCAAAGAAGTAGACATGTTCCAAGAGGCAAATCCAAGGGGCATCCTGGCTTTATAACAACCCACTCTTGTGGGAACACTGCTTCATGAATTAAAAGTCTCTGGAGAGGAAGAACTCACTCACCACTTCTGGAACAGCACCAAGCCATTTGTGAGGGATCCATCCCCATGACCCTAACACCACTCATAAGTCCTCATCTCTCAATATCATCACATGGGGGATCAAATTTCAACATGACTTTTAATGAGGACCAACTCAAATCATAGCAATGCCTTTCCTGAAAATCATAACTTACAGCCAGAGAGAAACTTTGGCACTGGGGAGAAATGAAAGCCATTAGGTACCACCAAGCACAGACTAGGTACTTAATCATGTTAAATGAAAGCCATAAAAACAGACAGGCAGAGAGTAATAGAGATTTCACACCCATCTTCAACTAGCATGCTGCCAAGAACATTGTTATCCACATAAATCACTGAAGTATCATTCTATTTAAAATTCTCTCTGTCTTGGATTCTATCTCCTTTTTTCAAAGGCTCATTGAATGCTGTTTTAATTTATATTTTCAAGGGGATATCAGTTCGCCATACTATACAAATGTGATATTATGGGTGACTGCAGCTCAAGTTATATTAGAAGCACACTTCTAAAATGCAGGTGGGTAAATTATAGAGGGAAAAGTCATTTTTCCTAGAGGTGCCTAAACCTTCTATTTTTCACTCTCTCCAGTTAAGAAGAGTTTCATCAGAAGCTCCTAGAGATAGTGGTCACAGACCTCAGTCCCAGGCCTGAAGAAGCCCTGTGATAGATGAGCTGCTGTCATGATGTGAAATGAGGATGGAATTATCTGAGTGGTAGAACTACAAAGCAATTTGACCCTAGTAGATTTCATTTCATTTCACTTGAACCAACATTTATTGAGTCTGATTGTGCTGGACACTGTGCCAGGCACTTCCATGTATGTTTCAGCCCCAAAATGGCACTGTGATGCAGACATAATTTATCCCACTTTTATGGAATGAAGTCAAGGTTCAGCAATGCTAAATAATTTGCTCAAAGGGAAGAACTGCATTATGTCCTTCTTCTTTAGTATGATAAAATATGCCCCTTTCTCCAGAGCATTAAGCAGTTTTCAAGTTACTGGAAGCATATTCTTCAAGGACCTTTGCCAATCAAGTTTTAAATTCCATAAATTATTTGAACTGGAATTTAAACTGAACAACTCCTGATGTCATGTATAAAAATTTTGCTACAAAGTGGATGCCAATGTCTTATCACATGCCAAAGAAGACAAAAACATTTTTCTTAGATTCTTAGAAACTTTTATAACTGATCTTTACTCCCTAGAAGGACTCATTTTTTGTTTGTATAAGTTTATGGGGTACAAGTGCAACTTTGTTACATGCCTAGATTGCATATAATTTGTTATTTATTTTTTATTTTTGGAGACAGAGTCTCGCTCTGTTGCCCAGGCTGGAGTGCAGTGGAGCAATCTAGGCTTACTGTAACCTCTGCCTCCCGGGTTGAAGCAATTCTCCTGCCTCAGCTTCCCGGGTTGAAGTGATTCTCCTGCCTCAGTTTCCTGAGTAACTGAGATTACAGGCACTCACCACGACACCCAGCTAATTTTTGTACTTTTAGTAGAGATGGGGTTTCACCATTTTGGTCAGGCTGGTCTCGAACTCCTGACCTCATGATCCACCTGCCTTGGCCTCCCAAAGTGCTGGGATTACAGGCGTGAGCCACCACTCCCAGCCTGCATATACTTTGTAATTGAGAATTTTCTATATATCCCAACATACATTGATGTCCAAATTGGTCTTTCTTCTCTACTGGAAGTAGTTATTTCTACCTCTGCTTATTTTCTTTTCAAGTTTTTAAGCATAGACACTTAGACGTCTGCTTTGATTCTTAGCATCTGTTCCATCTTTAACAATCTATTATCAAATCCTATTGAGTTTTCTTTAAAATATTATGCAGTTTCACTATCCTTATATTCATCTTATATTCCTAGCCCAGTCTGCCATCACCTCTAGCCAGAATTATTGCAATTGCCCTTTAATCTATCTTCCTTTATGTAGTTTTTCACTTTCCGTTAACTATCACCTCTAGTGCCACACTAGGGGGTACAGAATTTCAGACAAATATTTATTGTGGGATCCCTATCTGTATAAGCCACTTGATTAAAATATATTATGGAATGTATGGATTTATGTAATTTTAGTGATTTATCAATGACAACTTAGAATAATTAGTAGAGAAGAGGTATGCACATAATTTGTTTATTGTGGTCTGTGTTTTGTTTTGTTTTTTTTTTCCAATATCCAGACACCTTCTTTTCCTGTTCAGATTTAGAAAAGGACCATTCAGGCCCTTTATTTTCAAATGTTTTATTTTTGGCTAATTTAAATCTCCTGAAATAAGAAGAAGTCAGGGAGGGTGGCAAGGATTTAAAAACTAACTATTGGGTACTACACTCATTACCTGGGCGATGGGATCTATCATACCCCAAACTTCAGCATCATGCAATATTCCAGGTAACAAGCCTACACATGTACCCCCTGAATCTAAAATAAAAGTTGAAATTATGTTTTAAAAAAAGAAGAAAATAAAAGAAAGCATAGATCAGGCCTTACACATTCCTGGCCCTTCTGCAAAAAAAGAAAATGGTAGCAATGCTGTTACTACTTGTAATACTATGTTTCTTCATAAATGATATAGATTTTGTACTGAAGCAATATAGTTCTCCTTGCCACCAAATTTCCTGAATACTATTTGTCTAATGATTGCCACACCACAACTCAGGATGTTCCATCATCCATTGTACTGGCTGTGAATACCAGCTTCCAATGACTCTTATAGGTTATTGCTGTGCTTCATTGATGATGTCCACAAACGCAAGTCTTACCCCGAGTAAAAAGGAAAATATAAACAATAATTATTGCCTGGAGATGCTAATTTATCACTCAGAATTTTATAGCACTAACATAAAAAAATACGTCTTCCAACCATGTATTCTCTTGACCTTTTGGGCCCTAATAACTGTATTGCTAGAATGTGGTCACCTCCAAATTTGACTGCCCACCTGCCTTCTCCACACCAGCGAGGCAGAGAGAGAAGAGCAGTTCCATTCACACAAGGAGTGACTGTCTTTCTTCTGACATGCTTAATTCTGGCTCTGCATAGTACACCACTGCACAGATCAGAGGCAAAGAGAATATTGATCAGAAGAGCCCACTGGATTGCCGAACAGCTGTTTGAAAAGCCGTTTGAGAAAATATGGACAGCAATCCCCATGGAGTCTGTGTAGGGAGTGAGATGACTGTCCCAGTGTCAATAGCAGGAATGCATAGGGAAAAGGTGTCTGCCTCCATCCCTGCTGTCCTTGAGTGCTGTAGACCAGAGGTGACAGCCTAGAAGGAACACGGCCACGTGATACATGGGCCCAGATATATGGCTCAAGCCCAAGGGTAAATGGTAGATCATTGGTAGCATAGAGACCCAACTTGTCCTATGTCCAGTATAAGGGAGAAACACCCAAATTTAATAGGTTAGTTATATTCTGGCAGCCTAATCTCCAGTGATCCTGTGGAAAAAATATTACACTGGCCAGCGGCATGATCTGATCTCCAGGATACCCTCCTATAACTGATGCACAGCTACAGGGTTCTCAGTGACTCATTGTCTCAGAGTTTCTCAAGACAGCTGGCTGATGCTGTCCTTGGGTATAAAATTTGGAAAGTGTCCTCAAGGGGAGAAACCACTGGAGGCCCAGACCAGGCTCATGGCACCCTGGTCTGGCCTCAGGAAAATCTGCTTGATGGCATTCCCAGCCATAGATGGTTCCAGGTACTAGACAGGAAATATGAACATTTTGTGGAAGGCACTCCACAGTATAGGGATTCCTTATACATGAGGCCTCATGGGCAGGGGCCTACCTGCCTAGGTTTAAGAGTGGTAATGCCCTCCCTACCCAGTATCATTTCCAGACAAAACACCTAAAACATTGTCCTAGAACTCAAAATGTCTCGTTACTGTCTACCATATCTATCATATTCAAACTCAAATCCAAATTTGAGTTTTATTAATCTATTAATACAGTTGTAAACATTTATTACCAATCCATATAAAATCCAAATTTGCTTTTCCTTATACAGCATAATCTGGCCTCGTAATCTTTATGACCAGCTTCTCCCTGTTCTCCCATTCACATTCTTTCTGGTTAAAGAAGTTTGACCATATCTTACATGTTCATTTCAACCTACATATCTTCATTCATATTCTTTTTTCTTTCTTTCTTTCTTTTTTTTGGTGGGGGGGGATGGAGTTTCGCTCTTGTCGCCCAGGCTGGAATGCAATGGTGTGATCTTGGCTCACTGCAACCTCCACCTCTCAAGTTCAAGCGAATCTCCTGCCTTGGCCTGCCGAGTAGCTAGGATTACAGGCATCCACCACCACACCTGGCTAACTTTTTGTATTTTTAGTAGAGAGGGGGTTTCACCATGTTGTCCAGGCTGGTCACGAACTCCTGACCTCAGGTGATCCACCCGCCTCAGCCTCCCAAAATGCTGGGATTACAGGCTTGAGCCACCGCGCCTGGGCATCCTCCACTTTTGCATTGCAAACATATACAGTCTATCTATTTTTAATAATTCAGCTCAAGTATTAAGTCTTCTGGGAGTGTATTAACTCACTGTTTTCTCCATTTTTGACAATGTGCAGTTTTTAAAAGTCACTGCTAGTCAATTTAGCATAAAACTGTCTGCCTTTTCTTTTCTTTCTGTATCTGTGTGTATTAGTCATTCTTCTTAAATTACACACTTATTGGTGGCTAGAGATATGTAATATACTTTCTGGATTCCTCTCAGTACTTTGAAAACTATGTGCTGATTCGTTCCATAAAACAATGTATTACCAACCCAAAGCTAAACTTGGCCATTTTATTAGAATAAGATATTTCTTATTTAGGAGTCTTGGTAAAAATAAGTGATTAAGAAAATGGCAAAACAGGAGCACATGATAGAAGGAGAAAGTAAAATGTAAAGAATGATGAAAAGAAAAAAAAAAGAAAGAGATAGTTTTTGTGCCTACCTTTTCAAAATATATTTCATCTAAGAGGTTAGCCAGGTCTTTATTTTTCTCTGGAGAGGTCAGATGATATATGAAATGAAATCACTTAACTGTGATTTCCTGAAGACATGTAATGCCACAGAGGGCACTTTAAAATAAAGTAAGGTCAGGTCCTTATTAAGTGTGTGAAGAAATGAATGGTAGACCTGTAGGTTGATTCAGCAAAGCTGAAAGCAAACACAAAAATCTTTACAACTTCTCTACCCATCTTTACTTTAGTAATTGCCTTTTAAGGCAAAGACCAAAAGATAAAATACAATCTTTTATTTTGAAAATTATAATATCTATTCTGAATTTGAGACTTGTTATTAGTAAAATTTTCAAATATATACAAGCCAAATGATAATACAAGAAACCATCACATGTACCACTCACTCAAGTTGCAATGATCAACTCGTGGCTATTTTTGTATCATCACTACCTTCTATCTCCCATCTTCCACTCAGATTGTTTTAAAGCAAATTTCTGACATAGTAATTTCATGTAAACACTTCCATATGTATCTGTAAAAGAAAAATTCTTTCTTTACCAAAACAGTCATTAAACACACACACACATTTCCTTAAGACCTTCAAATAGCTAGTCAACATTCACATATTCTAAATTCTGTTATGATTTTTAATATTTTGTGTATTTGAACTAAGATCCAAACAAAGCCCATATACTGGATTTTCTATTAGTCACTGATATTAGTAGATGAGTTCCTCACTGCATTTCATGTTTTTTTTGCCTTGCAAAAACTTACATATATTTTGTAATCTTCTTACTGTGCAATTTACTCATTTAACATAATCCTGTGGCTCTAATTTAAATATCTAGGTACTTTCATGTTTTAGCTCTTTTTTTTTCTTTTTTTCTGCAAAGCTGCTTTATAGGTGGTGCTGCATTTTTCCAAAAGTAGGTACAGTAATCCACACTTAACCCACTGGATATATGTTTCAAGACCCTCAGTGGATGTCTGAAACCACAGATAGCACCAAACTCTATATATACTATGTTTTTTCTATACATACATACATACATACCTATAATAAAGTTTAATTTATAAATTAGGCACAGTAAGAGATTAACAAAAACTAGTAATAGAATAATTATAACAATATACTGTAATGAAAGTTATGTGAATGCAGTCTCTCTCTCTCTCTTTCTCTCTCTCTCAAAAATATCTTTTACTACATTCATCTATTTTCAAACTGCCCTATACTGAGAGTAACTAAAATCAGGGAAAGGGAAACCTTGAATAAGAGGGGACTACAGCACTTACTGACCTACTGTCTGGTTCTCTTTCTGCCATGTTAGCGGCCATTGAGAATCATTGCCTGGATCAATACATTCCTTGGGGGTTGCAAAATGGTAATTTTTAAAATTATATCATACTCCACTTATTAGTTGGAATATTTTTAAAGTAGAAACTTCTCCTCATCAACTACACCAAAGTAATAGTTCTATTAGTAAAGGTTAGATAAATACTGGATTCTTTCCATTTATTAACCTATTTCCTACATAAAGAATTTTATGAGTACCTCCAATAATGATCAAAGATTTTTCACACCATTAGGAGCTCACAGATTTAAATACAATCACACACCATATGACAACTTTTCAGTTAAGGACTGATGGCATATACAATGGTGGTCCCATAAGATTATAGTGGAGCAGAAAAATTCCTGTCATCCAGTGATGTCATAGCTATCATAACATCATAGCACAAGGCCCTCTACAGATGTACCACTGTTTTATTTTTTATATCATATTTCACTGTACCTTTTCTCTGTTTAGATATGCTTAAATACACAAATATTTACCTTTTGTTACAGTTGCCTGAGGTATTCAGTACAGTAACATGCTATACAGGTTTGTAGCCTAAGAGCAATTGGCTATACCACATAGCCTAGGCGTGGAGCAGATTATACCATCCTGGTTCATGTAAGTACACCCTATGATGTTCACATAACAACAAAATCATCTAACAGTGCATTTCTCAGAACCTGCCCTCGTTGCTAAGCAATGCATGTTTGTATATTTAATGCATTTTAAGCTATTCTAGTTATTATCCATGTGGTCCCAATTTTGGTTAGTGGGAGCCTATTCAAGTTGGCTTTTGCAACCTGTTGACAGAATTATAGCAGTCCTTGACAGCATATCTTTGTTTCTGGCATAACAAGACATTCCAGACTCACCTTGTATATTCCTAGCTCCATACGTAGATGCAGTCATTTTTCTAGGAAATACTATTTTTTAGTACAAAATGGCATATAGAGATCACAACCTGGATGCTAGTCATGCTTATTGCTACTGGGCTTGTCCTTGTTTCTAAACCTTATTGGTGAACAGAACTAGGAAAGATATATGTAATTATATATAATTATATGTAAATTATAAATATATTACAAATATACAATCTTGTATATTGAAAATACATAAAGCTTATGCATTATAAATTTATATTGTCATATATTACCTTATATATTATAAATATATATATACATTCTAAAGCCAAAAATTATTATAATATCATACCAATACTTGTCATTCAAATTCCAGAATACACGGGTTTTCCTTATTGTCATTAATCTTACACATCTGACTTTTCTTCCATGCCATGCACCATGAGCCTGTCTTAACAAGTTTGCTTTATCTGATATCATACACAAATTCTTTGAAAATAGCAATGGCAATGCTACCACCAAAAATATGATTACTGAAAACATAGCTTTACAGTCCAATTATTGTGTTTTATAGTCATAGGAATAGTTTTTCTTTGAATATTTGGTTCAAATATCACCTCAATATACATTTGCTCATTTATCTCATTTGCATTTCAATATTTTATATTTAATTTTAATTAGAATTATGTGATTATAATTACATATATACAAAGTCAAATCTAGAAAACAAGGTGTACTCAAAAAGAATATTACTTCTATCTCTATTTCTTCCAACCCAAGTTTTCTTCCTCCTCTTACAGGAAAACTTTTATTTTAATGTTATATCCACTATCTTACCTAATGCTAGCATACATAAAGACACATCTTTATCTATCTTGACATGGAGTTGTGGAGCCCACTCCAGAGTATTGTATAGAGTTTTTCTGTACAAAATGGCAGCCATCAGACACATAGACTATTTGGGTTTAAATTTAAAATTATTAAATTTTTAAAAATTCAGTTCTTCAATCTTACTTTTTCATCATGTCTGATCTCGTGACTACTGGTGTAGAATGTTCAACTTGTCAAACAAAGATTATTGTTGAAACCTCGAATGTGGTCACTCCTTGAATAAATCAAGCAATTAATCTCAGCCAGTTGGTGACAAGTTGATTAGATTCAATCTCTTCCATCCTAGAAATACAAAATTCATCCTGATGAAGATTAACAGGTGATTTGGATATAGTTTCACCTTTCCTTCCCATAGTTGTCAACTCTTTGAAGACTCACAATGTTTGAGCTGCTTACATAGGATCCTACTAAATAATTCCTTGGACCAAAGACCTGCTTTCTATCCAAAGATGGATAGCTGTGGTCAACAACTATGGAATCCATTATGGCCTACCACATACTATATTATCCAGAAATGACTTGCATGATAGACCAGTGGATTGACTTATTGAAGGCATGGCTGAGACACTAGTTTAGAGATAACACCCTGGGTGAATGGAGTACAATCCTTCAGGATGAAGTCCACCTTAAATTAATGGCCACTATATGACACTATGTCTGCAAAAGTTGGAATACAGAAGTCCAGGAATCAAGACGGTAGAAACAGGAATGGCTCACTGTAGTTCATGGTGACTCGCTTGAGGATTTTGTGCTTTTACATTCCCACAAATTTGTCTCTGAGAGTTTGAAATTCCTGGTTCTAAGAGATGGAATGCTTCTATCAGGAGAAACCCTATTATTCCTATTAAACTTAAAGCTATATTTATTGCCTGGCCACACTGGGCTCCTCCTCCCAGGAGACCAACTGTCATAAATTGTTACCGTCCTGACAGTGGACGGTAACAAGGATCATCATAAGGATATTGGATTACTGCTGGATAAGGACGGATGCCTGAGCAGAGAGGAATATGTTTGGTAATCAAGTGATTTACTGGGCACCACTTCATATTTGCATGCTCGCTTCAATTTTAAAGAAAAGTATAGCAACTGCAGCCTGATTAAGGGCATGATAATTAGAGGCTCAGGAATAACAAGGGGTTAGTTTATACTAACAGGCAAGCCAGCTACACCATAAAAAGTGCTTGATGAGAATGATGGGAAACTAGAATAAGTGGGAGAGAAAGAGATGAGAAATGTCAATAATTTCCTTGGATTCCACATATAAGTAAGATCATACAGTATTTTTCTTTCTATACCTGGCTTACTTAACATAATGTCCTCTAGCTTCATCCATGTTGTCACAAATGACAGAATTTCAGGTTTTGTTAAGGCTGAATAGTATTTCATTGTGTATTACACAGCACAGTGATTACAGTTAATAATAATATACTGTATATTTCAAAATAGCTAAAAGAGAGGATTTAAAATTTTCTCATGACAAAAAAATGATAAATGCTTGAGGTGATGGAAAAAAAAATTATAATTTCCTGAGAAGCAACTGCAGCCCTGAGCACTGCATTTTGTCATACTAGCTTTCATTTCATGAAATTCCCCAGAAATTGGAGCCAACCAAAATCACAGAGAAACCATCCATGGACAGAGAAAACTTACTGAGAGAAGCAAATAGATATGAGTGGTGCCAAGGGGTAGATGCTACAGATATTGTTGGCATGCTGCCCAGATCCCATTTACTAGGCCAGTGCAACCGTCTTTCAGCTGTGGTTAATTGTGGCCTTTATTTTATTTTATTTCACTTCATTTCCAACTTTTATTTTAAGCTCAGCAGTACATGTGTGGGGTCTGCAGGTTTGTTACAGAGATAAATGTGTGTCATGGTGGTTGCTGCAGAGATCATCCCATCACCCAGGTATTAAGCCCAGAATCCATTATTTCTTCTCCCTGATGCTCTCTTTGATCCCATCCCTCACCTTCAGACAGGCACCAGTGTGTGTTGTTCCCCCACATGTGTCCATGTGTTCTCATCATTAAGCTTCCACTTATAAGTGAGAATGCATAGTATTTGGTTTTCTGTTACTGCGTTAATTTGCTAAGGATAGTGGCCTCCAGCTCCATCCATGTCCCTGCCAAGGACATGATCTCATTCCTTTTTATGGCAGCACAAAATTTCATGGTGTATATGTACCACATTTTCCTTATCCAGTCTATCACTGATGGGGATTTAGGTTGATTCCATGTCTTTGCACGAATAGTGCTGTAATGAACACACATGTGCATATATCTTTATAATAAAATCATTTATATTCCTTTGATTACATACCCAGTAATGGGATTGCTGAGTCAAATGGTATTTCTGCCTCTAGGCTGAGAGCCAAATCACAAACGAACTCCCATACACAATTGCCACAAAGAGAATAAAATACCTAGGAATACAGCTAACAAGGGAAGTGAAGGATATCTTCAAGGAAAACTACAAACCACTGCTCAGATAATATAGAGATGACACAAACAAGTGGGAAAACATTTCATGCTCTTAGATAGGAAGAATCAATATCATGAAAATGGCCATACTGCCCAAAGTAATTTATAAATTTATAGATTCAATGCCATTCCCATTAAACTACCATTGAAATTCCTCACAGAATTTAAAATTCATGTGGAAGCAACAAAGACCCTGAATAGACAAGGCAATCTTAAGCAAAAAGAACAAAGCCGAGACATAATGCTACCCCACTTCAAATTATACTGCAGGGCTACAGTAACCAAAACAGCATGGTACTGGAACAAGAACAGACACATAGACAAATGGAACAGAATAGGGAATCCAGAAATAAGACCACACAACTACAATCATCTGATCTTTGACAAACCTGACAAAGACAAGCTATGAGGAAAGGATTCCCTATGTAATAAATTGTGCTGGGAAAACTGGCTAGCCATATACAGAAAACTGTAACTAGACCCCTTCCTTACACCATAAGCAAAAATCAACTCAAGATGGAATAAAGACTTAAATGTTAAAATCAAACCATAAAAACTCTAGAAAACCTAGGCAATATACCATTTAGGACATAGGCATGGGCAAAGATTTCATGATGAAAATGCCAAAAGCAATTGCAACAAAAGCAAAAATTGACAAATGGGATCTAATTAAACTAAAGAGCTTCTGCACAGAAAAAAAAAAAAAGAAAAGAAAAAAATTAACAGAGGAAACCAACAAACTACAGAATGGGAGAAAAATTTTGCAGTGTATTTATCTGACAAAGGTCTAATATCCAGAATCTATAAGGAACTTTAACAAATTTAAAAGAAAAAATCTAACAACCCATTGAAAAGTGGGCAAAAGACATCAACAGACACTTCTCAGAATACAACATACATGCAACCAACAAACATATAAAAAAAAAGCTCAACATTACTGATCATTAGAGAAATGCAAATCAAATCCATATTGAGATACCATCTCACCCCAGTCAGAATGGCTATTATTAAAAAGCCAAAAAACAACAGATGCTGGTGCGATTGTGGAGAAAAAGGAAGGCTTTTACACTGTTGGTGGGAGTGTAAATTAGCTGAACCATTGTGGAAGACAGTGTGGCAAATTTTGGCTTTCAGTGTTTCATACCTCTGGCTTTCTGCAGAGAATTGCCCTTGGCTGATGTGAGTCACCTGATGTAGAAATGCCTTGGAACTGAAGCACTTACTCCCATTAGGATTGAGCTATAACCAACGACTGCAAGTGGGTATAATATCTTAGCCCCTCATTGCCTGCCTCTGGTGAGACAACCTCTGTAGTGTAATTCATGCTCCAGAGTACTCCACAGTATCAGAATTAGGCATTAACTTCCCAAGAAACTGTATCTTTGCCTGGTTTCTTCCCCATGCACTGTTTTGTTTTCCTAATTTCCTTGCAACTTTCCCCCAAATCAATCCTCAGTAGATCACATGCAAAACAATTCCCCATGTCAGGTTTTGTTTCTAAGAAGCCCAACCTAAAACATATTATTCACAATAGTTTTGATATTTTCTGAATCCTTTGTGTTTCTGTGTCTCTATGTATGTGTGCAGTTCTATGTGTAGTAGGATTCAGCCAGTTAGTAGTTTTGTGATATTCTAATTCTTATAATTCCCAGTGTCATTAGAAATAGGAATCTTGATGTGGGGGAAAGTGCATACAGTAAGGTAGTAGAGGTTGAAAAAAACTCTATGTATCTAAAATTTTAATTGGAAATAGTATGACTTCATGACATAATACATTTTTTCTTAAAATATTTTTATAAAACACATTCCCTAGCTCTGTCCATTGGAAAGACCTATAATTTATGACAAACCCAGTAGGAGAGTTCACAAGTTGTCTTGAAAATACAATTTTCAACTAAAAGTTACTAGGTATCCTTGAAATTATGGCTGATTTTAAATGTATAGTAGGAAATACACAAGATGAGTCTGGGACATTTTGTCATAACATGTAACAAGGCATTATCAAACACTACTAGGATCAAACCCAATAGGGCTGGCACTGGCTAAAGAAGGTATAATTTTATAAGGATAGCAACTGCCTTAAATATGATAATACTAAAACAAAGAACAACAGCAAACCGTGCTAATTGTTCAGTGGTAGACACTTCTGGTAATCAGTTCATCAGTTTTAAAACTGACAAAGGGAAAAAATCAGGTGTTGGCTTAATCAATTTGAGCCACATGGTACTGTAACAAAGTACTACAGACTGGGTGGCTTATAAACAACAGAAATTTACTTCTTATAGCTCTGATGGCTGGGCATCCAAGATCAGCATGCCAGCAAGGTCCAGTTCTGGTGAGTGCCCTCTTCCAGTTTGCAGACAGCTGACCTTTAATTGTATCCCGACATGGCAGGAGGAGGAGAAGACAGCTCTCAGTGATGCCTTTCATCAGGGCCCTAATCCATTCACGAGACTTACACCTTCATGACCTAATTACTTCCCCAAAGCCCCACCTCTTAATATCATCACATTGGGGATTAGAATTTCAACATATGAATTTGGCTGCAGGGGGACACAAACTTCAGTCCATTGAAGGTGCTTATCTTACCCTTCTTTCTATTCAAATTATACGACTGAATAATGAAACATTTACTGAGGAAAAGTTTATCTGTAATAGAACTATTCCAACTAATAAATTAAAAAGGAATTAGAGACTTGGAAGATGACCATTTGCAAACCCTATTGAGTCAAGACAATCATCAACTGCAGTTAGCGTCATTGAAAAGGAACCACCAGCCATGTCGTACCTCCTGATAGAATAACACAATTCTGTGTATGAATTACCTTCACCAAAAGTTTAACTCAGTCAGCTCAAGACCGTCTAACCACCAGTATACTGGGAATATGGAAAACAGAGAAATTCAGATTGTGGGAAATATTGTACAACAAATTAATGAATGAAGAGGGAAACTACAGATTAAAAGATACTTAAGAGCATTCTGTGGCCAGGCATGGTGACTCACACCTGTAATCCCAGCACTTTGGGAAGCCGAGGTGGGTGGATCGCCTGAGGTCAGGAGTTCAAGACTAACCTGGCCAACATGGTGAAACCCTGTCTCTACTAAAAATACAAAATTAGCTGGGTGTGGTGGTGCACATCTATAATCCTCAGGAAGCTGAAGCAGGAGAATCGCTTGAACCTGGGAGGCAGAGGTTTCAGTGAGCTGAGATCGTGCCATTGCACTCCAGCCTGAGTGCAACTCCACCTCAAAAAAAAAAAAAAAAAAGGAGCATTTTCTTTTATAAGATGACTTAGGGAACCTAGGGAAAAAGTAGGAATTTAATATGTGAATGAAACAGATGAAGCAATCATGACCACAGAAAGCATCATTATCATCAGTGTCTAATTTAAAATTAAATATTATAATTAAAATATGGAAAGTTGTTCAAAAGAGAAAAAATGTACTCATCTTCTAATTTTACATAGGAAATATTGAGAAATACTATAATAATTTTGATGTTAGTACTTTTTGTAATATAATATTAAAAGGACATTTACCATTCTTATCATTACAAATATAAAGACAACAAAATAGTCCAGGCATGTTGGCTCATGCCTGTAATCCCAGTCTCAGTGAGGCCCAGGCATGAGGATTGCTTAAGCCCAGGTGTTCAAGACCAGCCTGGGCAACATAGCGAGACCCCTTCTTTACAAAATAAAAAATAGAAAAATTAGCTGAGGCTGGTGACATGGTTCTGTAGTCCCAACTACTCTGGCAGCTAAGGCAAGAGGATTGTTTGAGCCCCGGAGGTCAAGGCTTCAGTGAGCTACTATCACACCACTGAACTCTACCCTAGGAGATAGAGCAATACCTTATCTTTCTAAAAAACAAACAAAACCAAAGACAAACAAAATAGAGTCCATACAAAAGAATAATTTTTAAAAATAAGAAAAGAAGTGGAGTCTTCCAGTTAAAAAATAGCAGATCAAATCACATATGCTTGCTCCCTCCTGAGATCCTACTAAAATAAGAGTAAAATAATTTAAAAATATGAATCCACAAGACAAAGAATTCTAGAATAGTAGAATAGACAATGATGTCAAAATTTTGGAAAATGGAAGATGACAAGTAGAAGCTGTCTTGGCTGAATAATAAAGCTGAAATTTAAACTTCCAGAGGGAGGAATCAAAGGAAACCAGCCAAGTCAAAAACAGAATCCAGAATGTTTAGGAATAGAAAGACCCATACTTCTGAATGGGAGGAGAAATAGAGCTAAAAGAAAGATAAATAACTGAATGTCTATAAAAAAAGTCACTATTCCCATCCCTACCCAGACTCCTCCTCCTGCCTGACATAGCCCAGGTTTCCACCAATTCCCATATTAAGCATGAGCCTGAATAATTTTCAGAATTATCCTCTTGAGAAATGGAACTCAGAAATATCTATACTTGAGGAAACCAGATTCTACCATTGTTCTCAGTAAGAGAATTAGGTTGATGTAATCTATTGCATCATAGACAGAAACAGAAGTCATGTAATTAAATTTGAACTTGAATTTGGATCCTTGGGAGATTATTTAAAATTACTTTTAAAAGGTACTATAATCAATCATTGATTTCAAAGTCATTGGTTATGTAGATAGTTGCCTGCCATGCGCCAGACACTTCAATTAAAGATAGTAGATATGGTCAAATCTGCTGAAGTAGATCATAGACATTACAAAACTAGATATGTTCTGTCACAAATTATTGGCTCATCTACTTGTCCAGTTTTCTAGCTAATTTTTAGGAGACTTTTAAAAACATTTCTGAAGTTATATACGTTAATTAGATGGAATGTTAATGAGTTAATGAGGAAGTTACAATGTGCTGTGACACAGATGCATAAACCCTTGCCCAGTGGCAAGGTTTCAGACTGATTCAAATGCTTGTTTGTGGCCGTATGGAGGAAGCAAAGGAAACTGTGGAACAGGAGACAAGGAAGTAGTCGGGAGGGCTTAGTCCTGAAAGCAGTCTTGGAGAGAGCTGCCAGTCTATTCTAGAGACTGCTACAGCCAGGGCAAGCTGGGGCAAAGGGACTGATCTGTGGATAAAGAGTTCACAGATGATTCACCATGACTCTGTAAAGCATGTCTGTTGGATGAAAGATTAGGTGAACATTCCAGGCAGGACAAGAACACGGATGGGAAGGTGAAACACACCAAGCTTCTTGCCCTATACAGGTAGGAACACTTATGGAATTAGGCTGATAAAAGTCCCTTAACCTCATATATGAAATAAAATGAGCTAATAATAAGAAAGCCCTTAATAATCTCAAATATGTTGGGCAAATCATGAATAAATAATTCATCATAAAAATAAAACAAGCAATTAGCTTTTCTTGAGATAAAAGTGTTTCCTGGGGTGAAGACTACTACTGTTGACTGGACCCCCATTAGTATAACGGGTACAATTCTTAATCTTAAAGAAAATAGTGATAAGACAGATCCAATTACAGTGAGTTCCATAGGGGTGTTGAAATGTTTTGATTGCTATGGAGTTCTCTGTTGCTCTGTTTCCTCATGTGTAAAATGGTATATTATAATACGGTATATATCTCCTAAGATTGCCAGCAGAGTCAAAACAAATAATGCAAGCAGAGAAGACACATCTGATGCCCCACAATACCTCCCTCTGCATAGGCAGATTTTTTTTTGACAGAGACATATGACTTACAAAGCCTAAAAATATCTACTCTCTGGCTTTTACAGAAAAAAATTGGTTGACCTCAGATCTAAATCAACAATACTAAGTACCTGCACTTTAGGGACTCATCTAGCACCTAAAATTCTAAATTGTCCCTACTTAACCTTAGCAAGAATAGCAGGCTAAAAGCAGAATAAAAGCTTATTGAATTAATCTAGAGACTACATTATCTTAGAAATAATTACTACTTGAAATGAGTAGTCTCGAGGATGTACTATTCATTATATTATCCAGGTTCAAGTATGAAAGAAGCCAGAGGCCAGAAAGTTACATCCCATTATTCCTCTGCTTTATTTCTCCATGGCAATTTCTTACAGAACAGTAACTTGAAATGTGGGTCTTGGTCACATTGGTCAGAGTTTTGTATCTGTATTAGTCAAGGTTCTACAGAGATATAGAACCAATACAATATATATAGATTACATGAAGAAATTTATTCTAAGAATTGGCTCATATGATTTTGAGGGCCAAGAAGTCCAACTATATGCCCTCTGAAAGCTAGCAAGCCCTCTACAAGCTAGAAAACCAAGAATGCTGAGAATGTAATTAAGTCAGAGTCCAAAGGCCCAAGAACCAGGAGCTCCAATGACAAAAAACAAGAGAAAATGGATGTCCCAGCTAAAAAAGAGAGAGCAAATTCACACTTCCTATGATTTTTCATCCACTCAGGCCCTCAGTGGATTGGATGATGGCTTCTCACATTGGTGACAGTGACTTTTACTCAATCTACTGATTCAAATGCTAATCTCTTCTGGAAGTACCATCACAGAAACACCCAGAAATGTTTTATCAGCTATCTGGCTATCTCTTAACCCAATCAAGTTGACACATAACCTTCACAGTAACTTAAATATAACTACTGTTAAAGTATTTGTTCATTATGTTATGAAATAATCTTTGAGAATCTATGATCAGGGCATCTTACTTGACTCTACCTATGTGGTGATAATTTGACCATATTAGCACCTTAGAGAAGTATAGGTTGTATTTCTACTTGTGATAAAGTAGTCTTGCATCCAGTTATGGAGAAAATGTATCTTTCCTGGTAAACTCTCATACTTTCACTTTTAGTGTAATGAAAATTATAAAATTATTCACACTTCCCTATTTGATTCAGACATATAGTGCAACAGAAGGATGTACGACCTAGAAACAGAGAGCTAGTTGGACCCAAAGTTCCCTGCCCAACTCCTCTTAGAAACTCACACCCAATCCCCACAAGGTGGCCAAATGCTAGCTATTTGCAAACTGATTATTCTTCACCAAAAAAGCTGTCTTTATTTTCGTCTCATAGAGAAGGAGAGCAATAATGAAGCAGGGCCCCTTGTCAGGAGCAAAATCCTGTGATGTGTCCAAATGGACCCAGACCTTGTGCACCGTTGCACAGAACGCTACGAAAACAGGGGATGGGCTGACCTTTCTGCCCATGAGTTACAGCCAGAATCTAGTGATACTGCGAACTCTCCAGACCTTTTTTGCTGGGAAACTCAGAACTAAATTCTGTAGTGAAATGCCTGGTACTTATAATGCAATCATTTCAATATGTATCATGGCTCTTATTTTTGCTTTTTAAAAAAATCACTACTTAATGGTCTTATTATGTCTATTATTATAAGCCAATTCAAATCTTTTGGGGGAAGTAATAGAGTATAAATAATACATAAGGAAAATTTTAAAAATCCCGAGTTTCAGAATCAACACTGGGAGGGAGAATCACCAATCAATTAGGAACAGCAATTTTGGATGTTACAGAAGTGAAAAATAAACTCCAAATGTGTTTGAACTAAATAAAAGTAAAAACAAAAATAAATCCCTTATCTTTGTCCAGCATGTGCTATGTATTTTGGACAACATGAAATACAATCATCACTGCTCACAAGGAGATATCAGTATCAACTAGGGGATGAATAATGCACATTTTAAAAACTTGAGAATATTTTAAGACTAATTTTTACTTCTTGATTGTCTGAAACAATGTCTATTATAGATTTAGAAAAGGGGGAGTTCAATATAAATAGAATTGGTGAGAAAAGGTTTCATATACAGAGTGAGATATATTCCAATCAATGAACCTTTTCTAGCCAAGAGCTCCCCAACCAGTGTGCCAAGTAGATCCCTCTTCCCTCAGGGCAGCTGGGCAGGGCATGAGGTGGTAAGAACATCATCTGACTGGGAGCAGCCTGCTCTAAGCTTCTAACTGCCCTCCGTTCTACCCTAATGTGTCATGCCACAAATAGTTATCATTTTCCTTGTGTGAAAAGCAGTCTTGTGATGATTGTAGGGGAAATGGAGCTATTTTACTATATTAATCTCAGCTTCTCCTATCTGATTACATTCCATTAAACTTCTTCTAAACTAAATCTAGCTAATCTGAATCTTTCTGGCTGAACTGTTGTCTTTGCAAATAATTTCCCCAAATTTACAATCTTATAAAATCAATCACTGTGCCTCCTTGCTGGAAGCAATTTTGGCCAACTAGATAGTTCATTAGTTAATTCTCTGTGGATATTCAGTAGTTATATTTTAGTTGATTGTTGTATCCATGAAAAATATCCCTTTTCTTCCCACCACTATATAGGCAAGCTTACTTTCCAAGATGATTGACATGATTATGAATATTCTGCACTGTGCACGTATCTCAGAATAACACCTTATATCACCAAAAAGAGGAAAATATACTTTGATTTATAATCATTAGGTTTCTACCTTTACATTTTCCCATTCAGACACAAGTTTAAACACTTTCACTGAATTTTGAATCATTTTTCTAACCCAAATAGTGTCTTTACATTAAAAAATTAAAAGTTGGTGAGAACCAAAATTAAAAAATTACAAATGTTCATGATGAGTAATGTAAAGAATCTTCTGTTTCAAGTAAGATAAAATTAACAACAATTTAGTAACAGAAAATGGATAAATTAGGAAAAGAAAATGAGAAAATGTATGTTGCAACAATAATCTGAGTTCCAAAGTCTTCAGTGTCAAAGAAGAGACCTCTAGATGTAGCTTTCTAGAATATCAGTCCCTCAGGCATATGCCAATGACCCTACAACCAGGAACCCAGAAATAGCTTCTAGCTGCGGGTGCCTGGCTGAACCCCTTTCTTCTCTCACCATGAATGCTGCTGAAGTTCATGACCTACACTACACAAGGACAGAAGTGCTTTTGTTTCTTCACTTATTTTAACATGAATATTTTATATCTTAAAACAGCAACAAAAACAAAAAATACACATAATGTTCTGCAATTAACTCCAACGTCCAATAAGTGAATTTTCTATAGCCAGTAGAAAACACCCACTCTCAATTATTCAGATGTTGTGAGTTTCTTATGCCTACAACAAAGCCTAGATCAAGGGGTGGCAAACTTTCTCTGTAATGGGTCAGACAGTAAGTATTTAGGCTTTGCAGATCTTATGGTTTGTGTTGCAACTATTTGTCCTTGCTGTTGTAGGGGAAAGCAGTCATAAACACTACATAAACAACTGAACATAGCTATATTCCAATACAATTTTATGTCTGGACACTGACGCTAGAATTTTACATAATGTTTACATATCACAAAATATTCTTTTTTTTCAACCATTTAAACATGTAAAAATATTCTTATCTCATAGGCTGTACAAAAACACGCTGTTTTGTGCTCCCTGGACTTAGTTTGCTAACTGCTGGCCTGGATCACTGGTTAGCAACTGGCTAATAAACTCAATGTGGGTGTGTAGGACAGAGGAGTTTTGAGAATAGAGTTATTACAAGGAATCTGCAAATGAAACACTGTCTCTGGAACAAATAATCTGTCTCATGCATATGCTACTATTCAAATGTATGTATACACAATTAAATTAGTAAAATAAAGTCATAGTATCTTCAAGGAGTTTTACAAGGTAGCACAACATCATCAAACATATTTTAATCTGCCTATTCCTAGAGTTGTTTTGCTTTGTGTTTGTTCAGTGAGAGTATAGTAGTTCTAATCTTTAGAACAAAATTAGGTACAATTAGAACAATACAGATGAATGAAAAGAGAAATGAAGGAAGGAAGGGAGGAAGAAAGAGAGGAAAAGAGGGAGGGCAGTAGGGAAAGATGGCAAAAGGGAGGGAGGGAGGGAGATCTGAATAACACAAGGCAAAACAGGGCCAAAACAACATGATCTTATTGGACTAATTCAGTACTAACAGAAAGACAGATATTTTGACTAATGGAACAAAATAAAGAACCTGGAAAGAAATCTATGTATATATGGTCAGTTGATCTTCAACAAGGGTGCCAAGAATACACAATGGGAAAACAATAGTCTCTTCAACAGTGGTGTTGGGAAAACTGGATATCAGGCAAAAGAGTAAAATTGGACCCTTTTCTCAAACCATCCACAAAAAGAAATTTAAAATGAATCAAAGATTAAACAAATAACTTGAAACTGTGAAACTCCTAGAAGAAAACATAGAAGAAATACTTTGCAACATTGTTCTTGCAATCATTTCATGGATATGACACCAAAAGCACAGGCAACAAAAGCAACATTAAACAATAGGACTATATAAAATAAAGAGCTGCTCTACAGCAAAGGAAACAATCAATAGAGTGAAAAGGCAACCTATAGAATGGGAGAAATATTTGCAAACCATATATCTGACCATGGGTTAATCTCCAAGATATATAAGAAACTCCCACCACTCAATAACAAAAAAGCTAACAGGGCAATTAAAAAGTGGGCTAAGGATCTGAATAGATGTTTTTTCCAAAGAAGACATACAAATGGACAAAAAGAATATGATAATTCTCAACATCACTAATCATCAAGGAAATGCAGATCAAAACCACAATGACATATTACCTTACACCTGTCAAGATGGTTATTATGAAAAACACAAAAGACAAGTATTGGTGAGAATATGGAAAAATTTGAACTATTGTATGCTATTGGTGGTAATGTAAAATGATAATGTAAAATGGTGATGTTATGGAAAACAGTATGGAGGTTTCTCAAAAAATTGAAAGTAAAACTAACATATAATCCAGCCATTTCACTTAATAAACTGAATTCAGGATCTCAAAGACATATTACAACTTCCATGTTTATTGCAGCATTATTCACAATAGCCAAGATGCGGAAACAACATAATGTTCATCAACAGATGAATAGATAAATATAACATGGTATGTACATACAACGCACTATAATTCAGTTAAAAAGAAGTAAATTCTGCAATATGTGACATTGATAGGCCTTGAGCATACCATGCTGAGTAAAATAAGCTGGTCACAGAATAAATACTGCAGGATCTCACTTACATGAAGTATCTAAAATAATCAAACCATAGAAGCAAACAGTAGATTGGCAGTTGCCAGGTGCTGGTGAAGGGGAAATGGGAAATTACTAATGAATGTATATAAAATTTCAATGTGCAAGATAAGTTCCAGAGGTCTAATGTAAAATACTGCACGTATAGGTAACAATACTATATTTTACACTTAAAAATATGTGAAGAGAGTAGTTTGTATGTTAAGTGTTCTTACCAAAGTAAAAAAAAAAAAAATAGAAGAGACATGGAGATATGAGTATTGTTTCCAGTAAAGGCGTCATATGTTTGGAATAATGATTTCTAATCTTTCCATGAAAGATAAAATGACTAACATTAAGGAGACTAGATAGTAGAGTTACAAATGTGGTTAATTTTTTCAATACAATTTTTAAGCCTAATTTATTCACTTACGTGCAAAATCACCAAGGTGCTAGGAATACCAGCCTTTATGTCAAATACAAAGCTCTAATTTTAGGAAGAAAAAAAAGTAACCAATAAGGAGGAATTAGAGTGTTAGAAAGATTATAATTATGTTAATAATGCAATAATAATAAATTTAATGGCAATCATAGCAAGAGGAGTAAGAGCTAACATTTACAACTCCACTTTGGTAGTTATAGAATAGATGCAGTTGATTCAGCAAGTTAACAGCATGAAAAGAACATTTCTGGATGTTTGAGAAAATAAAAAATAAACTATAATATTTACAAAGAAAAACCTTTCCCAACACCCCCTTTACCACAGACTGAATGTGTTCCCCTAAAATTCATATGTTGAAATTAAATCCCCAATACAATGATATTGGAGGAGATATATTTGGAAGTTGATTAGGTCATGAGGGTAGGTCCCTTACTCATGAGATTAGTGCCCTTATACAAAAAGGCACCAGAGAGATCCCTGCCCCTTCTTCCATGTAAGGACATAGCAAGAGATGTCTATCTATAAACCAGGAAGTGGGTCCTCACCACACATTGAATCTACTAGTGGCCTTGGTCCACCCTCCAAAAAACTATAAGAAATAAATTTCTACTGTTTATAAGTCACCAGCTTATTGTATTCTAGTTATAGTAGCATGAACAAACTAAGATACACTTCAACCATTAATATTTATGTATCTATTATACAAGTAGGCAATGGCAAATTGTGCTATTAATCTTTAAAAACAGTTGGGCAGCATGGTTTACACCTACAATCCCAGCACTTTGGGAGGCTGAGGCAGGAGGATCGCTTGAGCCCAGAAGTTCTAGGTTTCAGTGAGCTATAATATGATCTTACCACTACACTCCAATCTGGGTGGCAGATCAAAATCCTGTCCAAAAAAAAAAAAAAAAAGAAAAAAATATATATTTATACCTTGGAAATATTATTTGGTTATTAAATATCTGTTTCTATGACATTTTGTTCCCTAGTTACAGAAACCTAATTACGGATGTGTTTAATTATGATTATGGCCACTGCCATTTATTATGTAACTAAATTGCTAGCCAAGAAAACTGAAATCCAGCTGTGACTAAATATGCTAAAAATTAAGTATGTACCAAAATACAACAGCATATTAATTTATCATATCGTATAATTTACATAATTGAATCCTAATAACGTAACCTTATTTACTCTTCAAAATTTCTAAATATAATTATATTGTGTGGTTTCTATATATTAAAAGGGTATATATGTATATGTGTGTATGTACATATATAGATGTGCTTTCAATCCTTATTGCTTTTCATCGAGCACAAAACATTTAATATTATAAAAATGAAAACTGACATTTTCAAGAAAAAATTGAGGGAATGAAAACATTAAAATGAAAAAAAAGAGAGAGAAAGAAAAAGACCAAAACAAAGATGAAAGTCAAAAGTTAAAAAAATCAAAAGAAAGACAGGACAAAGAAGAGGAGGAAGGAAAAAAAACAAAAAACAAAAAAAAAAACACCAGATGTTTAGGGTCTGCTGTTTTACTCTTTTAAACCAATATATATTTCTGGAGAGGAGGTATGGCAAGTGTAATTAGACTTAAAGAATTAAAGAGGATTGGGACATTTAAGTAATTGAATATTTAAATATTTTTCTTTTGAAAGATGGAACCCAAAATTGCAGTCATTTCCTCTCACATTCTATTGGCCAAAATCTTGTCACATGGCCACATCTGATTGTGAGGAAATCACAAAGTCACAGCTAAAGACCGTATTTCCAGTCTTTAGCTGTGACTTTGTACCTAGTTGGAATTTCTGTTACTACAGAAGAAAGAGAGAATATATAACCATATTATAATAATATATAAAAAAGTATATTATAAAACATAATAATATCTAATACAAAGCCCCACAAACTTAGTCCTGCACCTTCCATTAAGATTCCTTTGAATACAAAGGCTCTGGTATGCTCAGTAGAGGAAAGGGAAAATTTCTGATTGAAGCAATTTACCTTAAGACATAATGGAGAGACAGGAAGGATATCATATTATTTATAAACAATGTTTCCCGATCTCTGATGTGGAGTCGACAAGGAAGTGATACGAATTTTTACCCCTCTCTTTAGAATACCCTGTTTCAAATTAATATTAAAAATTAATCTTAAATTAATCAATTAAATAATTTTTAAAATAAATTAATATTTTAATTAATATGTTTCCAATAAACCTGTTTCCTTTCCCTTCCTTTTCCTTCCATATTCCTTTCCTTTTTCTGCAAGTGACAACAGTAAAGACTGCTAGTTATCTCCTTGATATCTATCATCCCTTTCTTTTGTAGTAGTCAAAGTTCCAGCTAGGTACATCATCACAGCTAAAGACTGTTTCCAGCCTTCCTCACTACCAGATGTGGACATGTCACTAGGTTTCTGCCAGTAGAATGTTAGTGCACATGACTGCAATTCTGGATTCCATGTTTCAAAAGAACAGAGCAAGCTCTCCTCTCCTTCACTCTTTCCAACATCTTCCCCTTTTGAAAGTAATATAATGGCGGAACCTGGGGCAACCCCACTCCTCCCCAACCACTATCCCCATCACTGCACTGTACATTTTTTCCCATAGCATATGTTGCCTTTTACTAATGAAATATATATTAGTTACTCATTATATTCACTATTTTCTACCTTCAGTAGGAAAGGGTAGAGATTTTTCTGTTTCCCCAGCACCAAGAAAATGACAAGATAAATAGAAGATGCTCAATAAATAATTGTTGAATAAATGAATATTCATATGAACAGAGTCTGGAGAGCTTGGAAAATGAGAAATTTATAGATGCTCTTGAAATCTCTGATAAAAACACGTAGTTTAGGTTATTATATCCAAAAAAATCATTCTAGATCTTTACATAAAAACTCTCTTTACATGCCTACTCTGCTTAATTTATATTCCTGATTTTTTGTTTGCCTGTCATTTATATATTAAAGTATCATAAAAAGAAAAAAGAAAAATAGCCATAAATCAATTATAGGGGATTTTTCTTTCAATCAAGGCCCAAAGAAGAAAGAAAGCTGGCATTGAACACAAACAAAACATAAATAATTTTATTGTTGTTATTATTTTCTTTTCTTTGTTCCGGAGAGAGAGAAATATAAAATATTACCTTCTGGCTTTGGAACTTAAGAACAGAAACTTTCAACACTCTTTAATAAATACAATAAATAATATATTTGCTTCAGTGCACTGAATGACTAGTTTAGGGGTCTGAATTTGGACATAGAAGAAAAGAAAAAGGAAAAATTATGAAAAGAAATAAAAGGAAGAAAACAAGAAAGGAGAAGAGAGATATATTTGGTTGGGTAAGAAAATAATTGTTGCTAGAGGAACATAAATTTCTACACATATAAATAAAGAGAGCTATTTATCCATATTTGTGCATCTGTATTTGTATATATACCTATTTGTATTAATTTATATATGTATTTGTGTGTGTGTATATATATATTTATATATGTCTTCCTCATTTGTTTTAAACTGCTTCATAGTACTCCATAGTGTGGTAATTCTATCATTTCTTTAGTCATTGCACTACAAACAATATTGCAGTGAAAATCTTCGTGTATACCTCCCTTTGCTTTTCAGCCAGTTTTTTTGTACAGAAGTTGGCAAGAATTGGAGATATTGAGTCATAGAGTATAAACAATATTTAAAATTTTAATAAACACTGCAAAATTTCTCTTCACTGTTAGAAATCCCTATCGGGAAAAAAATTACTGTTGCACACTTACAGGCATTATTATCCTTTTAAATGACAGAGTATATAACAATTAGCTGATTATCATTAGGAGAAATTAAATCTTAAACAAATAACTGGCTCCATTCCACCATCTAGGATTAAGACGAAGTAGCTTCAAATATTCATTGAGAAAATATTTATTTAGTGTCTATTTTTTACGAAGTACAATTATAATTATCAAGGACATGGTAGTTAACAAAACATATTTCTTGCCTGCAGGGAATTTATATTCTAATTGGAAGAAACAGTCAAAACAAATAGATAATTAATATAGACCATGAAATGTGCTGACAGGTACTATGGAGAAATATAACCCCTGACAAAGGGGCTAGAGGCTGCTAGGCTGTGGATGTTGGTATTAAATATTAGTTGTCAGATAAGGCTTTTTTGATAAGATGGCACTTGGATAAAGACCTGAAGGATGTGAGAGAGAAAGACATATAGTTATCCATGGGAAGGGTGCTGCAGAGAGGATGAACAGCAACAAAGCCATTCTGGCTGGTGGGAGGGAATAGGAGAGGGGTAGAATTAGATGTGGTCAGGAGTGGCAAGAGTGTCATCAGTATTGTCTTTGAGTTTTACTGTGAGTTATATGGGAGGTCTGGAGCAGAGGAAGACGTGATCTCATTTAAAGACAGCTGTGTTGAGAATAGAGTCTAAAGGAGAGGGGTAGAAAAAGAGGCTCAGTGTCTCAACTATTCCAATAATCCTGGCCAGAATTGGTGACAGCTGGGATTGCCAGGTAGCAGCAAACATGGTGGAAATGGTCACTTTCTTTTCTTTATTCATTATCTATCTATCTGTCTGTCTGTCTGTCTGTCTGTCTATCTATCTATCTATCTATCTATCTATCTATCTATCTGTCTATCTATCTATCTATTTTGGAGACAGGGTCACATTCTATTACCCAGGCTAGAATGCAGCGGTTCTATCAGGCTCACAGCAACCTCTACCTCCCGGGCTCGGGCTCAGGTGATCCTCCCACTCCAGCCTCCTGTAGCTGAGACCACAGGCACATGCCCAGCTAGTTTGCTTTTTGTTTTTCTCTTTTCTTTCTTTCTTTCTCTTTCTTTCTTTTTCTCTTTCTTTCTTTCTTCTTTCTTTCCTCTCTCTTTCTTTCTTTTTTCTTTTTTTCTTTCTCTTTCTTTTCTTGTATTTTTAGCAGAGATGCAGTTTTGCCATGTTGGCCAGGCTGGTCTGGAACTCCTGGCCTCAAGTGATCCACCCCCCTTGGCCTCCCAAAATGCTGGGATTACAGGTGTGAACCACCATGACCAGCTTGTCAGTTTCTTAATTCCAATAAAATTATCTTTCTTCCTGTCAGGGTCTGGTTTACCCAAGCCCTCAGAAAGAACCAAATATGATTCTTCATATGCATAAATGTTTTGCTATAAATGCACAGAACATTTTCATATACATAAAAGATGCACTCTAAATCTGTGCCATCTGCAATAACCAGTGAAAAATAAACAAGTGAAACTAAGCTTTCCATAGAGTATCCTTCTGTCATTTTCTTGGAGTAGACAAATGCAAAATCGGGCAACAGCAGACCTTCAAGACCAATCATCTCAATTTCTTGCAGTCGTAAAAGACCAAGTGATGTTCCTCTTATTTCCTTGTCAGACTTACTAGAAGATGTCCCCACTTCACAGCATACAGCCAAGAGCAATGTTTATGAATAGAACCTGCTAATGACAAAGTGGGTCTTTGGACAAGGATTTATGAATTCTTGAGTGCCAAAAGTTCCATAAATAATGACCATGGGAACACAGATAAATTTTTAATTTTATTAGAAAGTTTGATGAACTATCAACATCTCCCCTGAGAAGACTTTACATTTACAATTGAATTCAATTACTTCTCTACAGAGCACTGTAAAAGAAATAAGTATGGTAGTGATTGTGGTTTCAGTGTGTGTTGTGTGTTTGCATGTGCATATTTAAATAGCCACCCCTAAATACTAAAAATACTCCCAAAGTGATATTTTGTTTATACTATCACAGTAAGAAGACATTACTTTGAAAAGCAATTTAACTTCAGTTAATTACAGTACTTTCTCTTTTTTTTCAATTAAACTAGGGGACATATTCTGAAGAATTGATAGGCTTAATATACTAAGCCATCAACTATTTAAATCTCTTTTTCTTCAGTCTACACAGCTACTCTGGAGAGAAAAAATAACATGCAAATTCAACAGCTCTAGTGAAAGGCTTCTTCCTGCCTGTTAACTTCTCAGGGTCTGTTTTCTCTTAGTCTACTTCCTCCAGATCGTAATAAAAATGGCTAATACTTATCAAGTATTTATTGTATGCCCGGCAGTGTCCTAAGATTTAACATAAACTAGCTCATTTGATCCTCATGATAATTATTAACCATATTTTAGATGAGGAAATTGCAATCAAAAAAGTTAAGAAATATTCTCAAGGTTGCACAACTGGTAATTGGCAGTGTGACTCCAGAGACCCCTCATTCATTATGCCACACTCCCCTTCATCTATATTTAAAGCTTATTAATCAACATTCTTGCAAGTTATAGCAAATTATCCTCAATGGTCTGCTACACTTCAACTGGCATCTGCTATTCTTTTGACAACAACCTAACACTCACCTTTCAGACTCACTGATAGGGGTCCTTCCACCTTTAACAGGATGTCTCTCATTTTTGAATTATGGTAATTTACATGTAAGAGAGCATATTAAAAATCAGCATGCTACTGACAAGAGGTTGTAGACTTTGAAGGGTTTTTATCTTCCTGCATCTAATCTGATCTAGCAATGAAATTCATAGAACACAACCAATCTCATTTTTTCCAATGGCCTATCCGATAAAAACAAAAGTCTAAATCACTTACTGTGTGTGAATGTACACATACATACAATTTTCCAACTCCCCACCCCACCACAGCCATCATTTTACCATTTTGATAGCTGCTAAGCTTTCCCTATAAAGTGTGATATTCATTTTCTTCAGGTCTATTTTATTCTGAACTTGTCTTTCATAGATGAGGAACTAATTACCCTTAGATCTTGTTATTCTCTTGTCTATGTCAGCTGCTCTAATAAGCCCATAGTGACAGGAAAAAAGATAATTAAGATTACTAGAGAGAAAAGTAAATAGGAAGAAAAGAAAAAGCTAATGTGGAATGTAAGAAGTTAAAAGTCAGAAGTTTTAAGAGAATTCATTTCTGCTTATCAAGACCCGCCTTTTAGAGTGCTTATAATTTTACTCCTTCGTGCATTTCTTTTCAATTCTCATCTATATATATATATATATTTTTTTTTGCCTAGTGAAAGAAATATAGTCTAGGGAATCAGAAAGACCTTTTGACACGGGCTCTGTCACTCCCAAGACATGTGATCCTAAGCAACTTTTTACTTTATCTCAGCCCCAGTTTCTTCATCTATAAAATGAAGATAATCACACTGACTTCTAAAAGCTGTTGTCGAGAGTAAATGCAATTATGTATGTAAAGAACCCAGGACAAAGCATGCCACACAGTATGCATAAATATAAGCATATACTGCTTAGTATACATAAATGATAACTCCTTTTCCATGTTCAGTCATATTTGTCCAATATGTAATATGCCTGTATAATTGTAACAACATATTATCTAAATTCGGACATGTCTACAGGGGAAAAACCTCTTATTAGCAATGAGTATACAGCCATAGAAAGAAGGAAATAATTTGAAGGATTAGTTCAATTCTTGCTTAATAAAGAGAGCTAAAAATAAAGTAAGCCTGAAAGTGCTGACATCAAAATGAGAGCTTCTAATATTATTACAGAAGAATGTCATTAAGTTCTAATAATTAACAAATATAAACTAATACACATGGATATCAAATCTAATTCTAGGCAAGTTGAAGGAGACAATATACTCTATAATAAAGTTTTCATATCCTGAATTGATTTTCAACAAAAAATTTTAATAAAATATATTTTCTTTGCATTTCACATTATTTATTCACTGATATTTCCCTTTTGTAAGAAATCATTCAAGAAACGTTGCTAATAAATACTAAAATGTAATGGACGCTCTTATTTGTTTCAGATGTAAACAACTTCATGCTAATACCTAGTTTATTTGCTTATAAAAAGTCCTATAGGTATGGGAATGTTTAGTAAGTACGCCACACAACCATGAAAAGACGTCCCTTTTATTTCAACCAAAATTACCACCTCATTTCCTTTTAGAAATGAAAAATATTGTTCTCTAATACTTCTAAGACTTATCATGTGACCACAAGAAAGTTACTCAAAGACAAACCATTCACGTTCTTCATCTGCCAAATAAAAAGATAGATTAGATCCTTCTCGTTAATTCTCCCAACATTTTTCACATTTGTTTAAACAGATATTTCAGTATTATTTACTCTGTATCCAGTACTGAACTAGAAGTCAGGATAGGAAGGGGGAGAGAAACATGAATATACATGGTCCTTCCCCTAATGGATTTATAACATCTGGTAGGTATATCATCAGAGAAGGTAGACTCCATCTCTGAGTTGGTCCTATTCCCAAGAATAAAGAGCTCTGTTGCACATTCTCACTGTTCTGGCTAACCAGTGTTCATATCCCACTAATTCACTTATTTGGTTTCTTTGCAAAAAGAGCTCATGCTTCTGACATCTAATTATTGCTTCAGATGACCTTGACCACAGTTTGAATAATCACCTTTAAATTGTTTGGTTCTCATATTGGACCAGCTTCCCCAGGAAACATCTTGAATTTTGTTTATGCTATCTTCTAATTCTGTTTCTAGCTCTTTATTCTCAGCAGTTTTGAGTGAGAAACAGCATTGACTTTTAGGCAAAGCTCTGCCTTCCTATTCATATTATTCAGTTGCAACCTATGTCTGCAGGTTAATTTCATCCTCCTTGTTTCTATAGTTTACAATAATCCTGCTTTTCTTTCTAATTCTCTGGCATTTATTTCTTACCACATGGCAAATAACGGAAGGGGGAAGCTATTTTTTCATTTCCCACTCTTTAACTTCTCCAAGCTTGTGCTTTAAAATTAAAATGGCCTGTTATATTTCTATTACATAATGCACTCTCTTTCTGTCACAGCTTTAGAGAAGTTACTATTATTTTACTTTGATTAATTCTGTATTTGAAATCCCCTAAATGTCCTTGCAATTTCATATGGACACAAGAATAAAGTGAACATTGAAACATGAGATCCTCTTTGCTGATCTTAAATATCCAGTGGGAGTTGCCATTTTGTGGTACAGAAATCTTAAGTCACAGCAGTTTTCCACTTCTAAAAAAATACTGATTCTAAAAGCAGAACACAGAAGTAGCATGTAAATATTTGGGAAAGTTATGTCATGAATATTTTTCTCATACATTTTTAATTAATCAGTTAATTTATTTAGAAAAGTAGTCAATGCAATTATAACAAATCTATGGAACTTCAAAGGCAGAAATATCAGGCTACTGATTAATGTCACAGAAACCTGATTATGATGTCTGATGTTATCAAACAAAAAGAAATTATTTTATAAATTTTATAGTATCTAATAAAAATTTATGTTGCATTATTTTTTCTTTCATTAAAATATGTATGTATATATTATGAGTAACTACAAATTTTAGATAAATAGATTGATAGATGGATAAACAGATGGATGTTGAACCTTAAAATGGCTCACATCTTGTCTGAGATAATCTGTTGGTAATAAATAAACATACTTAGGTCCAGGCGCAATGTCTCATGCCTGTAACCCGAGGACTTTGGGAGGCCAAGGCAGAAGGATCTCTTGAGGGTAGGAGCTTGAGACAAACCCGAGCAACATGGCAAAACCCCATCTCTACTAAAAATACAAAAATTAGACAGGTGTTGTGGCGCACACCTGTAGTCCTAGCTACTCTGGAGGTTGAGGCAGGAGAATCACTTGAACCGAGGATGTGGAGATTTCAGGGAGCTGAGATTGAGCCACTGCACTCTAGCCTGGGCAACAGAGAGAGAATCTGCCAGACACACACACACACAAATTGACATACTTGACATTAGCATTCAGTGACATATATTAACCAGGCCACAAAAGGTAATATTGACCTATTTGTAGAAAACTAAAACAACACACAAACTTTCATTATCCTGACTGTTCAACTGTCACCAGACTCAAATACATAAAGAATCTTTAGGCCAGCGATGATGTACCCATGAGACGGGCCTTACCACCTGCGGGGGTCTTTAAAATGCGCTGCTATGGGGAGCACAATGGACTGACATTTCACCTGCAACTCTTTTGAATCCCGCTGCAGCACTGGTGCTGAGGCCATGCCTCTCCCAGGTTACATTGTTGGGGAGACAGGTATTAATTCAGGTCCAAGTTCATTTCTGTGAGATGAGGGACTCCTCTAATGGGCAGCTTTGACCGAAGAGGTCAGCCTCTCCTTCAGCTTGGCCTAACTTTCTTAAAACAGTGCCACAGTCCTGGACTCTTCCTGCCCAATCCTCCCTTTTTCCTGCTCTCTTTCCACAGGTGCCAGGCCTGCATTAAAGGCTGGAGGCTCTCCCGCCTAGGCCTGCTTCCTCCCCTTCATCCTCCTCAGTCACCTCTCCAGGAAACTTCTTGGGTGTCAAGTCCTGTCTTGGGTGCTTGCTTCTCAGATGATGATACTGGTCTAGTTGGCATTGGGAGTTGACTGAGAAAGCAGATGGTAAAATGGGTTTTGAGGACTGGTATGGCAAGGAAGACCCCATCCTGAGAAGTATTTAATCCATGGGCATCTCCTGATACAAGGTGGCAGCACAACCGGTTGTTACTCAGATAAAACATCAAAGGAAACTGACCATGCAGGTATTGTTTTTTATTCACTTGAAAGGTAATGAGGAGCAATGCTTACGAGGACTGTGCAGTTATTGTTGATGGCCACTATGTCGTACTGATGCCCTGCAGAGGGATAATGAGAAAAAACAGCTATACAGGAACGACTAAAGGGTAAGCATGAGAGACAGAGGATTATGCAGTAGCTTACCTGCACAGAGAGGTCCCTACCTCCGTTTTGCTTCTTGCGATATTTTCTCAATTGATTACAATTTGTTGCTTTGTTATATTTAATACATCTTTTAAAGATACCTTAATTACTTTAGGGCAAGATATAAATTAATACCATAATTAATTCATCTTGTCATGTAAGCCCTCATGAGGGCTTACATGACTTTCCAGATGATCTGTTTAATAGAATTTTCAATGTAAGCAGAGACGACACCTACTTGACTAGAGCCCCTTGCTAGATACAAGGTTGAATTCACACGGAAAACTGGCCTTTCCATAGGAATCCTAGTAAAAAGACAAAACTCCCACAGAACTCTTGAGTCATCCTTAGCCAATCTCCAAAATACAAAGTAGGATTGTCTTTTCTTTCTTCCTTTCTTCTTGTCTTCTTGTGCTCTCCTTCCTTTATTTCCTTATTGTATTATTCTTTGTTTTTACTGACTTCTAAAAAGAATTTAAGGCAGCTGTGACCTAGAACCAGCGAAGACTGAAACCAGTGTGTCTTAAAATCTCTGTCTGTCACTTTTCCCAGGCTTCATAGAACTGTAAGGAAACTCTAAGAAATGTAAAACACAGTTGGGCGTAGTGGCTCACACCTACAATCCCAGCACTTTGGGAGGCTGAGGTGAGTGGATCACTTGAGGCCAGGAGTTCAAGACCAGCCTGGCCAACATGGTAAAATCTGTCTCTACTAAAAATACAAAAATTAGCCAGGCACGGTGGTGAACACCTGTAGTCCCAGCTACTTTGGAGGCTGAGGCACAATAATTGCTGAAACCCAGAAGGCAGAGGCTGCAGTGAGCCGAGATCTGCACTACTGCACTCCAGCCAGGGTGACAGGGGGAGAATCTAGACTCTGTCAAAAAAAAAAAAAAAAAAAGTAACCTTCCCCCAAGTGAAAGAATTAAAACACAAAAAATAATGACAAAAACAACAAATTAATTCCAGTGTAAGGTAATCTATAGTTACATGTTAAAGTTGCTCAGAGAAAAGGAAGATCAAGATGGGACTGATTTGGCTACATGGGAAAAAAGGAGACAAATAATTCAGGTGAACAAAGGCTGGGCGTTGTGAAATGAGTATCATAGTGTATTCAAAGCAGAGAGAGGTATAGGCCTGGTTGAAGAAATAATTTAATGATTGAGATTGTGAGAAGTAAAATTAAATAAAAATGGTCAGATCAGATTTGAATTTATGTTATGGGCAAAAAGGAGTGACTAGGAGTTTTTCATGTTGGAATGACACCTAATGACAGGGTTTGCAGAAAGAATTCGGGATAGGAAAAACTATGAGTTTCTTGTTGTGATCTCAGATGGAAGCAAGAAGCATCTGAGTTTGGAGTTTTTTAAAAGTGCTGTTGGAGATGAGAAAGATGAAAGGAGTAGATGGCGAAATAAGAATTGGCAAAAAATGTATCTTCCTTCTTACCTCTTACCCATTAAACTTCAGATCATCTGCCTTTGCCGTAACTGTTTCCCCCACACAGGAAGAAATAAATTAGTTCCTAATTCTTCTGCCTTTAAATTTGCTTGCCTGAATCAAATTGAAATTAGAATTGGAGTTGAGACTTATTTTAAAATATAGAACAAAAGCATTCTTTGAAATTTGATTATAAAATAACATTTCAGGTTTTTAACTTTGTCTAACTTTTTTTTGCATTATAAAATTGGTTCTGTATTCCACAATATTTAAATTTTGGAAGTGCTAAAATAGAAAGTAACTCAAAAAAGTGCATTTTTTTTGTAGGATTTAGATTATCAAATTTCTCCCCAAACATTTTATAGTCAGTTGAATATTTCTGCATAAATTACAAAGAGCTTAACAAGTCATGGTCTAATACACATAACTAAATTGTTGTCCAAATTTTTAGGATCAGTCAACTTATAAAATAAAAATGTGATGTTTTGTACTCAGACCTTCTAAGTTACACCTGCAACCATCAAGAGACCAGAATACAGTGACTCCTTTACTATCACTGATGTACCACAAAAGCAGATAGAACACATGATATTTCTGCAAGTTTATCTCAACATTTATATGCCATTCTTCAATACTATAAACCTAGAAGCTTTTACTTACTCAGCAAATTATTACCTAACCTAATTTGCACAAAAAAATGATTCCAAAGCATTTTGCATAAGTAAAATACTAGGCCACAAAACAATGATAAGGAAGATTTTAAATAAAGAAAATAGCTACGCCCTTCTTCTTTAATACAGAAACCAGAGATTACACAAGTAGCCCATCTGAAGTTGATACAAATTCAGGATAAAAGATTTGCAGAGTCAGCTACCAGAAAGGTTTCACATCATTGCTAGGCATTTGTGTTGGTGCAGATAATAAAAACATAACCTGCAGAAATTTCTGTTCTCTAAAATTATAACTGTATAGAGATTGCAATAACTTAAATGATGTGACACTCATTTGTTCCTCTCTGTCTTTTAAATCTTTTATTACTCCTGGTACTGCCCTGAGGTCAACTCCAGTCATGAAGCTGTACTGCTGCAACTGTAGCAGCAACATCAGACAGGCACCAAAAACTCTAAGAGAAAACCTGTGTATTTGGCCAGAAGATGAAGAAAATGAGCCTCTGGAAGCTAGAGAATGTGAGGGAAAATATTAGAGTGGAGATAATTCTGTGCATGAGGTGACATAAGTCCAGGGCTCACCACCAATCTGCACATGTACAGAACAGATACAAAAGAGCGTAGCAAAGGTGCTGAGAACTGAACTACAAGATAAGCCACCTTCCAAGTCCAACACTAACCTCTGAAAGATGCATGTGCAGAATTGACCCAGAACAGCAAAACAAAAACTTTGAAGGCTTAACTACTCATGAACCACTTCCCAAGTCCCAAATTAGCCCTTGAGTAGCTCAGGCATCGGACAGACCCAAAGAGTAAACTGAACACACACTAGGACCATCATCTGCAAAAAAAGATCAGACTTGAGACCAACACCTAAATGGGATGATTGCCTGCTGTATTAGTCCATTCTCACATGGCTATAAAGAAATACCTGTGACTGTATAATTTATAAAGAAAAGAAGTTTAATTGGCTCACAGTTCTGCAGGCTGTACAGGAAGCATAGTGGCTTCTGCTTCTGAGAAGGCCTCAGGAAGCTTCCAATCAAGGTAGAAGACACAGAGGGAAGAAGGCATCGCACAAGGCAGGAGCAGGAGCAAGAGAGAGCAAGAGGGGAGGTGCCACACACTTTAAACAACCAGATCTCATAAGAACTCACTCACCATCACAAGGACAGTACCAGATGGTGCTAAGCTGGTCATGACAAACCACCCTCATGATACAATCAGCTTCCACCAGACCCTACCTCCAGCCTTGAGGTTACAGTTAGACATGAGAATTGGGCAGAGAAATAGATCCCAACTATGTCACCTACTCGTGTAAAACAACAACAGTAACCTGAACGTGTTAACTGTACCAAAATTTCACAACAGAATGGTCAAAATGTCCATGGTATAATTCAAATTTATCTGACATACAAAAAAGAATGAAAATGTGATCAGTTTTAGAGGAAAAGAAAATTAACAGATATCAACATCAGGATGATACAAAGTGTTGGAATTATCAGACAAACATTTCAAAACAACTATTACAACTATGCACATTGATGGAATGTTAAATACTATTGGAGTGAATAAAAGACAGAAGCTTTTCTTAGAGAAGTATAAATTATAAAAAGTACCAAATGAAAATTTGAGAACGAAAAAACCACAATATCTGAAATAAAAATTATACTGGATTGGCTCAAGGGCCAAATGAAGATGACAGAGGAAAAAGTAAGTGAGCATCAACAGAAATCATTAGAAATTTGTCCAATCTGAAGGACAGAAAGAAAACAAGATTGAAAATAAAGGAAACAAAGAGAATCCATAGCCACCAGTCCTGCTCTGAAAAGAAAGCTGAAGAGAGTTCTTCAGGCAGGCTGAAGGAAAATGATACTAGAGAAAAACATAGAACTTTAAGAATGAGAGAACAGCTAGAACTTTAAGAATGAGAGAACAGCAACAGAAATGGAAAATAACTGAATAGATTGATTTTCTCCTCCTAAAGTCTTTAAATATGTATGAGTGTTGAAAGCAAGATTTATAACACTGTCTGGTTGGGTTTTCAATGTTCTAATATAAAATACGATTATAACTACATAAGTAGGAAGAGAAAAGGGAACTAAATTATTAAAAGGTATTTATATTTTATTAGAGGTGGTAAAATATTAACTTAGTCTGTGAAAAGCTAGGTACGATTAATGTAAATTCTATAACAAATACTAAAAAAATACAGGAGACTTAACTAAAGATCTCAAGAGATTAAAATAGAATAATATAAATATTCAAACAATCAAAAAGAATACAAGAAAGGGAGAACAGATAAGCAAAAACACAAGGAAAACAGAAAACAACATTTTGAAAACATTTAAACCTAAATCAGATTTTATCAATAATTACCTAATATGTAAAAGGTATAAACATACCAATTAAAAGACAGAGATTGTCAGATTCAATATTAATAAAATATAAGACCCAACTATATGTTGTCTATAAAAATTTACATAACAGCTATGATATAGATAGCTTTAAAATACAAGGAAAATGTGCACCACACAAACACTAACTCATGTGCTAATATCAAAGTTCACTTCAGAGCAAAGAAAGTTACCAGGATTGAAGGAATAAAGAGAGATATTACATAATGATAAAAGGATCCATTCATAATAAAGATGTACAATCCTAAATGTGTAGTCATGTAACAATGGAGCTTTAAAATACATGAAGTAAATAAGAATGGAAATTAAAAAAGAAAAATATCCATAATTACAATTGGAAACATAAACATTATTTCTCTATAATTATTAGAACAAGTAGACAAAAATTCAGCAAGGATATGAAACCCAGAACATTATCAATCAACTTGACCTATTTGACATTTATAGAACATTCTGTCCAATAACAGCAGAATACACATTTTTAATTGCAATTGAATATTTAAAAACATGGACCACATTCTGGTACTATAACAAAGCAAAACAAACAAACAAAAATCTTAACACATTTAAAAGAATTGAGGTGATGTAAAATGTTTTCTGAGCAAAAAGAATTAAACTAAATATCAAATATGCAAAGATATTTAGAAAATCCCCCATATATGTGGAAATTTTAAAAACACACCTGAATGATCCATGGATAAAAGCAGAAGTCTCAAAAGAGTTAGAAAATATTTTTAAGTGAACTAAAATGAAAACAAAATATATCAAAATTTGTGGAATATAGCTGAAACAGTGCTTTGAGAAAAATTTATAGCATTGAATGCTTACATTAGAAAAGATAACAGGTGTCAAACAATCTTAAGTTTACACCCAAAATGGAAAAATCAGAAAATAAAAACAAAATAAGCAGAAGTAAGGAGAGTGTTTACCCTCTTTGTTGCAATAAGATTCTTCTTGTGTTACTCATGTTTTTCCCTCATATCTGGAACTTACTGGAACCATTCTGTATTCATTATTGACACATAAACAGAAAATAGCATGAGTTCATTGTAAAAGATAGTAAAGATTACTTTGAAAAGTAAAATCCATTCTACCAGGGTAGGAAGTTTTCAGGGTAATCAAATGTTCACAAAACTGGGTGCCTCGGTGTCTAAAAGTATGAGTGTCTTGCTAAGTCTTCAACTATTGAGAGCAGAATGTTGTAATTAATAAAATATTTAAACTGTCCTATACTTGACTATGTTCCACGATCCAAACTTTAAAAAAATTAAGCAATAAAACTTTCCTTTATCCAGGGCCAGAAAGTTAAGAGAAATAGAGGTTTCATTATGATATTTTGCTCTTGTGGTATTTGTGTTTGAAGGACTTTCTGAAACTTAACCCCTCAAGATGATTTGCCTTGGCCTCATGACACATAAATAAGCCATCTTGAGGGATAAGAATTTATCGGATTTTAAAAATCTGCCTTTATTAAGAGAAACCATGTTAAAGAAAAATATCCCAGCCTTCATAAATAATTATATTCCTGAGTTTTAATCTGCACAGTTGAGAATTCTACTTCACTATACAGCAAAAGCATCTCATAACCAGGTTGTTTTTAAGACATGATTGAAAATTGTATATCCATTATTAAATTTCAACCCAGCTTTAAAATTTCTTTTTACAATGTTGTTATTTCATTTATACATTCATTCATGCGCAAATCCATCTTCAGTAACTGCAATATAAGTCACTGTTTCTATTATCAGTAATAAAGAAGATGTCAGTATAATGAAAAAGATAAGTCAATACTTAATAAAGTATGGTGAATGCTGTGTTGTGTCTAGGCATGTGGGTACTGGGAAGCATGTGAAAATAACTTGTATCCCAGAGGAGGTGGGTCAAGGAAGGCTTCTCAGAAGAGCTATTGAATTTGAGTTTTGATAAGATGAAAAAGATTTCTCCAGGTAAAAAAGCTTGAGCAGGCCATTCAGCACTGATAGAGAAATGCATGAAAAGGACACTGAAGTTTACGAAGCCAGGACTTCAGGAAAACTATTTATACATGGTTTGGCAAAGCTACAGCATCATATGAATTGGGGAACAGCAAGAAATGTAGCAGGACAGATAGGCAAACACAAGATCAAGGCAGGAAAAATACTTGAATTTTATCCTGAAGGTCATAGGAGGCACTGAAAAAACATGGACAGAAGGGTGATCTAATCAGATTTATATTACAGGAAGATGTCTCAGGTGGTAGTGAACAAAAAGGGTAAGCCTGGCAGCCTAGACACTATATTTGCAGTGTTTCAAGTGAGATATTATTAAAGTCTAAAGGAAGACAATGGCAGTGAGAATGGAGATGAAGAGCTAGATATTGAACTTATTTAAGGTGTATAACTAACAGGACTCAGCACTTGGTTGTATATGACTGAAGATGAGGTATAAAGAAAGCTTGAGGAATGATTCAGGGATGATTTTTAGATTTCTGAATTGAGTACCGGGCTGATGGTGGTTCTTTCTACAGAGTAAATATATGGGTTTGGTGGAAAACATAATGAGTTCAATTTTGTATGTATTGAGTTTGTATTCTGGTGCAGCAATCAAACAGGAGCATCCAAGAGGTATCTGGATATACAGAAGCATATATTTGGACATAAGAAAGCATAAGAGATAAAACTAGAAAGGAAAGATAAATTACATTTTAATATGTTAATGTCAATATAATATTCTGAAATATTATGTAAGCTATAATTAATACAGTATTAATAAAATATACTATTAATATAATAATATTATAGTATTACTATAATAACTTATATTAGTGGTAGCAATCTAAGTTGATAGGAAGCCTCCAAGGAGAAATTGCAGAATGAGAGAAGAAGGTGACTAAATAGACAAAACCATGGAAGGCAGAGCAACATATAAAGAATGGGTAGGAAAGGAGAGCTCATGAGGCTGACTTAGTAATACCTAGGAGACATGGAATTCTGGAAGCTAAAGAAAAAATTTTAGGAGGGAAAAGACATCAGTTGTGTCAAACATTGCAAAATCAAAAGGATAAAGATTGAGAATATTTCCACTTAAATTTAACAACTATGAAGTCATTTCCAAGAGCAGGTTTAATGGAATATTGAGACAAGAAGCCAATATTGGACACAGGGTGGGGAATATCACACACCAGGACCTGTCATGGGGTTGGGGGAGGGGGAAGGGATAGCATTAGGAGATATACCTAATGTAAATGACGAGTTAATGAGTACAGCACACCAAAATGGCACATGTATACATATGTAACAAACCTGCACGTTGCGCACATGTACCCTAGAACTTAAAGTATAATTTAAAAAAAAGCCAATAAATAAAGATGTGAAAGTAATATAAAAAATGGAGATGCAGATGTAAGACTACCCTTTTTAAAACTGTGAAGATAAAGCAATAGATATATAGTCAGAAGGTGTTGAAAGGTCAGGCATTTGTTTTCAAGGTAGGAGAGACTAAATATGTTTATAGGCTAAAGAACATCAGTGACATAAAGAGAGAATCTAAAGAGAGGCGGTAACTGATGAAGCAGATCTCTGAGAAGGTTGGAGGCAGGAGGTATAGGTAAATACCAAAATAGAGGTGTAGGAATATTTTCTCATTCAAAAGGTAGGTTGAAGGTGGGAGAGGAAACAAATTTTTTTTTTTTTTTTTTTTTTGAGGCAGAGTCTTGCTCTGTCGCCCAGGCTGGAGTGCAGTGGCGCGATCTCTGCTCACTGCAAGCTCCGCCTCCCGGGTTCACGCCATTCTCCTGCCTCAGCCTCCCGAGTGGCTGGGACTACAGGCATCCGCCACCACGCCCGGTAATTTTTTGTATTTTTAGTAGAGACAGGTTTTCACCATGTTAGCCAGGATGGTCTCGATCTCCTGACCTCGTGATGCATCCGCCTCGGCCTCCCAAAGTGCTGGGATTACAAGCGTGAGCCACCGCGCCCGGCAGAGGAAAGAAATTTTAAAAATGGGAGAGATGAGTTTCCTTAACCGTCTCTATTTTGTTTGTGTGTGTGAATTGGGAGACAAAGCCAACAGTTGACAATGAAAAAGGAGTTGAGGGCCTTAGTGTGAGGGAGAAAGAGCTGACAAAGATCATAAGGGAAATAGGAATAGAAATGCACAGAATAATTACCCAGCAACCTTAAAGACTAACCTGCGATTAGAGAATTTGTAGTTGCATTAACCCATTTGTTTTTGTTTGTTTGTTTGTTTTTACTCCAGTGATGCTCAGCAGCCTAGAAGAAATTGCAGATAAGGTAAGGTACAAATGCTTTGGGTACAAAGGTTTTCTTGGTATGTGCAACAAAAAAACAAGGGGACAACTGATTAAAGTGTTAGTGAAATATTTCCATCAGTACATTCATTTTCCACAAATTTCCCCAAGTTGTATGTTTCTTGAAACATTAACACCAAAATATTACCAACTCCCTTTCTCTGCATGCCTGAAATGCCTGACAAGCTTTCTAACCACAGAGCTATATTAGAGAATTTCATAATTAACCCCAACATATGATTTAACATTAACTCAGCACTGGTACAGCACAGTAAGCAAGCTCCCTTCTCCATTTCCATATGAAAATGTGTAGAGAATTTATTCAGAGGCTTCATGTGGTCTGTGAGTCTTGATGATGATAGCCATCCATGGCCATTGAGAGGAGTTCACAAAAAAAATGACAATTTGTTTTGGTACCTTTGCAGAAACATTAGACCAGAACGACAGGAGACTAGATTCCCAAGGCCACCCCTCATGACAGAATAGCAGAAAATCAATGGATTGGAAGTCCTAGGGTCATCTAAGGACACCAGCTCAGAGGTTAATGACCCCAGGCTCAGATATAAGCCACAGGATTAATTGGTTCCAAGGCCTCTATCCTCGTTTACCATATCTTCATGTGTCTTCAATCAAAAGGGACAGATGGTGACACCACATTCTAAAAAGGGCCTAACCATTGAGGTATATAAATTATATTATTTCTTTTAAAATCCCTCACTTCCTGAATCACTTTTCACCCCTGTATTTGGTCTCTCTTTTATGGAGACATAGCAGCCTCCGTGGGTCTATTCTACTATTTGTTTCCTATCTCATAGCTGGCAGTAGCCCTCCTCAAGGACCTCTTAGTAGGCTCACATGACTTAGGACTGCCATAATGTGCCACCTTACTGCAGTCACCTAGATTGCTTAGCCCATCTTCTAAGCTTCAGCCACACCCATGACAAGTTTATTGACAAAAAGAAATCTGTATTTCTTGTGTCTGCTGCCAATTGTGTGTGGGTGAGGCCTTTTTGCTATAAGAATTTAGAAATCAGAGGATTTGGGTTTATATTCAATGCACAGTTGCACCTTTAACAGAAAATTATAAGACACAAATTGTATTAATCCGAAGAGTCTTGTGTATCATTCCTTTCTTTTTACTCTCACTAGTGTTCATTTTTTTCCCAAATAATCAGAAGAGGAAAAGTCTACTGAGCTTGAATGCATTTTTACTCTCTCTTGAATGCTTGATTGTTATGTTTTTGGCTGTACCTCCTGCTTCTGTGCCTACAGGCCTGAACACTAGGCTATTAAAAAAATACTAATCTACCTAAGATGCTATAGAATGGCGCCACTGATAGGACCCTATGTTTCAGGAAAAGTCCTTTGTAATCCAACACATCCTCAATGATCCAGATTCTTAAGAGGGAAAGAACAACCAGAAATAGTGGGAAATCAGATTTTGAGAATTTTATTAAGAAATAAAATTGTGTTGATTTTGAAAGTATGGAAACATTTAGAACTGATACCCAGTATTTCCCTATTGCTGGAAAGTTTATTAAACTAAGCTATTTTTATCATTAGACAAGTTATTTGATGCAAATATATTCTACTAAACTTTTGAAAATAGCTTTCTCTTCAACATAGTTGAACCCTGCCCCTTCTGATGTAATTACCGCTATTAATTTGCTTAAGAATTAAGACAATCTACAAAACCAGCTGAGTTGCTTTTATCCAGTATTCTGGATATATATCCCCACCACCATCACTGCGATGGATTTGAAAGGCCTCTCCTCTTTCATATCACAAGCTTCTGATTCCCACTCTGGGGCATGTGTATCTGACTAGTGGAATGTGTATGCTCTACCACAATAGCAAGGGAGGCTGGGAGAGCTAGTGTCAGATATTTTTAACTTCAGTTGTGAGGGGCTGACCCTGCCACGTAAATTCTATTTTCCAAACACAGAACTTTCACATGCTAGTCAAGAGGGTTGACAGTGCCCTAAATGATTGTTTTGAGGATTAGATTAGTTTTTGTATGCAAAGTGTCCGGTACAGTGCCTGGAACAACAAAAACGTCAAATATCAGCTATCATAAAATTATATGCACATATATACATGTATAGAATTAATATTAGAATATACATGAAGTATAAAATTAACACTGTTGACATTTATATATGTATATATCTGAGATTATAAATGTGCTCATTCTGTCATAAAAGTCATAGGCATTTTTCAACAGGCAAGAATTTGATGCAGATGCAGATGAAATGGGCATTTCAGGTGGAACTAATGGTTGGAGCTAAACAGTAGTTTTTGATCTTTAATGTGTACAAGGATCACCCAGATAGCTGGTCTAAAATTCAGTAAGCGAGAGATTGGCTGTAAGCAACTGCATTTTGAATTTGCACCCCACATCATTTTTATGAATATTAAAGACTTTGAAAGTCACTGTTAGAAATCCTAAGACAAAACTAAATCTTCCCATATCTATACATTTAAGGGAAACACCTTTGAAATCCTGTTTTTCTCATCCTCTGAGAGGCATTAACGTGCAGTAAGTCCTCACATTACATGGTTAATAGGTTCTTAGAAACTGTGACTTTAAGTGAAACCACATATAATGAAACCAATTTTACCATAGGCGTAAGCAAGAGTTAAGTTGCTATGGCATATTTCCAGTCACAAAAACATCAACACGCTTCTAAATAAGGACCGAAATACTTCTAATATTAAACATTGAATTAAATTTGAGCTTTACGTACATTTAAGAAAGATTAACGGAAACAAATAAGATAATTATTTCGCTGATTATTTTAGTTCAGTGTCACAGGTGGCTGGAGTCCATCCCTGCAGCTCTGGGCACAAGGAAGGAACCCTGAAAAGGACACCATTCCATCCAAGGGCACACTTACACACACACATGCACACACACACACGCACACACACACACACTCACTCAAATGAGACAATTTAGACACGCCAATTCACATAATGTGCACATTGGGATATGGGAGGAAATTGGCGTACCCAGAGAAAACCTACACAGACACGGGGAGAATGTGCACACTCCACCCCTATGGTGGGCTCACCCAGGAATTAATTTTTTTTTTCTTATCAATGTTATAATGAAATGATGCTTTATGAAACAACATCATTTGAGGACTTGCTGTATATCAATTGATAGCTTAGATATCAAAGAATATTTCTTTGATCTCATATCACATACTAGATCAAGAATATGTGATATTCTTGATCACATATTCTTCACAGCATGTTACTGCACTGAATACTATAGGCAATTGTAAGAGGACAGAACAATAGCCCTAAAGTAAGGGCCGGAATTCTTATGTGGAAACATGAAGTTGCTGAGTTGTCATGCCTCTTTCATGGTTTTGTCAAGGATTATGCTGACATCTCTAGCACTTTTCTACCTCTAGAGATGCTCCAAAGATACACCCGGGCTTACCAGGTGAAAGAGATGTTTAAACTGTAGGTGGCTGTAGAGGTTGAATATAGAGAAAGTGCTCTAGTGTACCCTTCCCAGAATCAGGAATAGGTAAATTCCAGATCCTGGCACTGTTTTCTTTTGTTAGAGCCATTTCCATCCTAATTTGTTGGAAGTCACTGCTTTAACACTGGCCTCATTCTGCTCTATTTCATCTAATACCGTTGTCAGTGGTTCCTTGAGATGCACGATTTTGAACACATCTCTTTCCTCATTAAAGCATTCTTATTTCAAGGCCCAGCTAGAAAACACTTTCTCAGGCTGTCCACAACCAAACTCACTACATCCAAGTACCTCATTGTTTAGGTTCTCTTCACACTTTCATATAAAGCTCATATCAGGTCAGGCGCAATGGCTCACACCTATAATCCCAGTCCCTTGGGAGGCCAAGGCAGGAGGATTGCTTGAGACTAGGAGTTCAAGATTAGCCTGGGCAGCACAGGAAGACCCCATCTCTATGACAGTATGTAAATAAATGAATAGTAAAGCTCATAATCCCTGACAATTTTGACATGGATACTCCCCTGGATTCTTATACACAGGTCTGATCTCACAGCTAAGACCAGAAATTTTTCAGTGGAAATTTTCATTTATCTTCTATTTATTTGATAAACTTTGGTTACCTATTTAAGTATCTGTGTACTAGTTTGGTTCTGTGAACACAGAAGGAAGAAAGCCTAAGTGAATCGCCAAAAGCGCAGCAATCATCAACTCAAGGCTGATGGGCAGCTGGTGCATACCAGTTTTGTTATTCCTGTTGTTAAATAACCACTACCTCCAAAACTCTGGCTAACTCCCTGCCACCTGGACTGCTCGGTTCTACTCCCAGAGACTTGTCTTCACTTCTTGATAATCCAGCAGATAAAAGATAATCCTCCACCTAGAAGGGAGCTTCACAGACCCTAATATAGTGCTAATGACTGTCTATGAATGTAGGTCAATAATTATGCCATATCAACTTATAATATTCTATGCAGACACATAAAGTCATGTCTCCTGTGAATACAAGCAGTGTTCTTTCTTCTTTCCTAATCTGTATGCATGCTATTCATATTTTTTCCCTGATTGTATTGCCTAGTATCTCCAGTACGATGTTTTATAGGAGTGCTGACAGTACATATCCTTATCTTGTTCTTTACAATGCCCTTTATCAGGTAGAGGTCATTTCCCCTGTTCCTAGATTACTGAAGGTTTTTATCGCGCATGAATGTTCAATTTTGTCAAATACATCTTTGACATGTACTGAGATGATCACATGGGTTTTTTTTTTCTTATGACTGTGTGGTGACTTTATAATGTGTCACCTTGGCCAGGCCAAACTCTTACTCAGAATATATTCTCTGTGTTTCCAGTTAGAGTGGAATACAGAACACATATTTGCCTGACATCTGGGAGACAGAAGTAAGGCAGCAGCCATATTATTTCTTTACTTGGAAGTTATAGTTCTGAGAAGCTATCTATACAATCACACTTAACAACGAGGATACATCCTGAGATATGCATTGTTAGGCAATTTTCATCATTGTGCCAGCATCATAGGGTGTACTTACAAAAACCTAGATGGTATAGCCTATCACCCTACCTAGGTTATATGGTATAGCCTATTGCTCCTAGGCTACAAACGTGCACCACATGTTACTGTACTGAATATTATAGGCAATTGTAACAAAATAGTAACTTTGTGTGTATCTAAACATAACAAAGTACATGAAAATGTGGTATTATAATCTTAGGGGACCACCATCATATATGAGGTTCATCATTGTCCAAAACATTTTTAAGTGGTTCATGACTGTATACATGTCTATACAAAGACATATAAGAGGCAATTTATTATAGGAATTGGCTCATGCAATTATGAGGCCCCAAAAGTCCCACAATCTGCCTTCTGAGAGCTGGAGAATCAGAAAACCCAGTCGTGTAATTAATTCAAGTCCAAAGGCCTAAGAACCTGGGAAGGAGGGGTTAGGGGTCCTGAAGAGGGTTGGTTGGGGGTGTTGCTGGTCTAAGTCTGAGGGCCCAAGAACCACGACCATCAGTGCCCAAGCATAGGAGAAGATGAATGTACTGGTTCAAGAGGAGAGAGTGAATTCGCCCTTCCTTTGCCTTTTCATTTTATTCAGGCAGGTCCTCAATGGATTGGATGATGCCCATCTGCACTGGTGAGGGTGAATCTTCTTTGTTCAGTCTATTAATTCAAATGCAAACCTCTTTACAGACACACCCAGAAAGAATGTTTTTTCCAGCTATCGGAGCATCCCTTAGCCCACTCAAGTTGGGCTGAGCATCCCTTATCCCTGAGTATCCCTTAACCCATTCAAGTTGGCACATAAATTTAACCATCACAGAAAGTTATAGTGGGTGTTTTTTTCATCATACACTCTGCTTATCTATGGGCTTCCTTCATTGGCGTGGGACAGCAGCCAACCCTACAACTGCATGTATTTTTGCCTGAATTGTACTCCAGCTTCTCTGACTGATGGCCCAGGTGTGTATTAAGCTCCATGTTGAAAGATGCCAGCTTCTTCTGCAGGATACCCACATCATTAGCTGAAGACAGCAAGAAATGATAAGGCTTCCAGATGATTCTCTTGAACTCCAGCTTCTTCTTCTGTGTTCCAGCTTATTTTTGCTCTTCTCTGCTCTGACATTTTCTTGTTGTCTGCTCTGCAAATTTCAAATTCCAGCATCAGACAAAAAGCAAAGTTTTATGGAGAGTGCTTAACTAGCTCCTAGCTCTACAATTGTGTAAAGGCAAATATATATGGGAAGATATATCTACATCTGTATTAGATAGATAGATAGATGATAGATGATAGACAGACAGACAGACAGACAGATAGATAGATAGATAGATAGATAGACAGATAGATAGATAGATAGATAGATAGATGAAACTATTTCTTTGATGTAACCCTGACCAACACAAAATTTGGTGCCGGGAGTAGTGGTTCCAGAAAATCAGACTCTTAAAGATGAGTTATCTGAATTGGTTCATTTTTTTTCTGGGCTTTTTGGAATTGGTTCTCCAATATGGTTATATTTAAAGTGCTAATGACACTTTTTCCACTGTGGAAGAGGACACCAGTAGTCCATGGCATGCAGGAGCAAAATATTTGCTAAAATTCTTGCCTGCATATACCTGTAGTCAAATGCTTATAGAAGGGCAGATTCTAGATGACCAATTATTTGCTGCCATAGAACACGTTGAAAAAAAGAAGAAACATGGAGTTCATTGGTTGATTGCAAATGAGCTAAATAACTTGAGGAAAGAAAATGATCTGAGGGCTTTAAGCTCCTAGTTCATGTAAAAGACCTGAAAGCATCTATGCCTGCCCTAAAATCCTATATCCCATAACCTATACTGTACCAGCTAACCCCTACAGAAATCTTAGCCTAGGGCCAAGTTTTCCAAAAACTGAACCCAAAGTGTAGTTTTTGCATGACTAAATTCCAACAAAAATCAAACTTTTGATGTTATATATTCTATTTGTTAAAGTTAGGGCATTAATGGAGAAGGAATGGGACACTAACAATTGGGATGGGAACAAATGGGTGAATTACAATGGAATTGCATGGTTTGAACCTTGAAATTTTAACTCGTGCTCAGCCTTTTTTGCAATAAAAGTAGCCCTTACATTCCTGCCTAAGATAGTCTCTCCTGTCTTAGATAAGAGATATAAAATAGTCTCTCCTATCTTAGGCAAGGATGTAAGGGCCACTTTTACAATAAAAAAAAAAAGAGGCTTGCTGAAGAAGTAATAGCCTCCCCTGAGGTAGCTGTCTTTCTCAAGACTACTGATCCTCCTTGTAACCTATTCCCATCACCTCTCTTGGCTTCTGGACCTAAAAATAGAATCACATCTCAGCAGGTTCCAAAGAATGAGATCCAAAGCATGACTCATATAGAAGTGCAATACACACCAAATGACTTGCATCATTTTGCCAATTTGTACTGATAAAAGCCTGAGGAATATGTATGGTAATATATCTTAAGAGTGTAGAATCACGGTGGAAGAAATATAAAGATAGATGAGGCTGAACTGATTAATGTAAGTTCACTACACAAAGATTCCATATTCACTTACATGGCCTGTGCAGAAAACAGATGGGTCTTAGAGAATGACAGTAGATTATCATAAACATTATCAAGCAATTGCAGCTGCTGTTCCAAATGTGGTTTCATTACTGGAGCAAATCAGTACATTCTTGGGTATCTGCTATGCAGCTATTGATCTGGCAAATGGTATTTTTTCTCTACTTGTTAATAAAGATCATCAGAAGTAATTTGTTTTCAGCTGGCATGGCCAGCAATACACTTTTACTGTCCTATCTCAGGGCTATCTCAACTCTCAGCATTATGTCATAATCTAGCTTATAGGGACTTTAATTGCCTCTCCATTCCAATGGAATCATGCTGGCCCATTACATTGATGAAATTATGCTAATCAGATCCGGTAAGTGGGAGAGAGTGACCACTCTACACACATTAGTAAGACACTTGCATGCCAGAAGGTGGGAAACAAATCCCCAAAATCTCAGGATTCTGCCACCTCAGTGAAATCCTTCTAGGGTGAAAAACAAGTTGCTGCATCTGCCCCACTCTAACACTAAGAAAGTGGCACAATATTCAGTGGGCCTATTCGGATTTTAGAGGTTACATATACCTCATTTGGGCATGCTACTCTGACCTATTTACTGAAGGATCTGAAAGATCCCAGCTGTGAATAGGACCCAGAAAAACAGAAAGGTCTGCAACAGGTCCAGGCTGCCATAAAAGCTGTTCTATCATTTGGTTGTATGATCCAACAAATTCAATGATATTTAGTCCTGTTTAGAAAAAAAAAAAGTGCAGTTTGCTGCCAGCGCTCATTTAATTTTACATAAACACACTCTTCGAGGCTGAAGCAAATCTGACTGATTTTCAATGTGAAAATGAAATATAAAAACTGTTTTTGGAGTTATTTCTAAACAGAACCGACAGGAGAATCATCTGAATCATCAGAATTGTCTATTTCATAAAAATCAGATTCACCAAATGAATCTTTGGCCAACAACTGTTCAATGACATTAACATCACACACAGGAATGCTGTGTTTTCTATGATTTGATATTTTCAGTGATCAAGAAGAACCAGAAATACCATTTGACCCAGCAATCCCATTACTTGGTATATACCCAAAGGATTACAAATCATTCTGCTATAAAGACACATGCAAAAGTATGTTTATTGCTGCACTATTCACAATAGCAAAGACTTGGAACCAACCCAAATGCCCATCAATGGCAGACTGGATAAAGAAAATGTGGCACATATACACCATGGAATATTATGCAGTCATAAAAAAGGATGAGTTCATGTCCTTTGCAGGGACGTGGATGAAGCTGGAAATCATCATACTCAGCAAACTAACACAGAACGGAAAACCAAACACCACATGTTCTACCCATAAGTGGGAGTTGAACAATGAGAACACATGGATACAGCGAGGGGAACATCACACACTGGCTCCTGTCGGGAGGTGGGGGGCTAGGGGAGGGATTAGGAGAAATACCTAATGTAGATGACAGGTTGATGGGTGCAGCAACTCACCATGGCACATGTATACCTATGTAACAAACCTGCACATTCTGCACCTGTATCCCAGAACTTAAAGTATAATAATAAAAAAAAGTCATTACAGTATAAAATATGGTTCAGCTATCAATAAATTTTGCATTGTTAAAAAAAAGAATTACTACCTTTTGTAAATGGAAATACCACTACCAAATACCATTACTAAAACCACGATGTTATAAATAGAATATCTTTTGTTTACCAAGTTGGTAGAGTGATGCAAAAATAATAATAAAAGCCACATATTTCATGGCAAAGTTATCTCAAGGTAAATGCTGCAGCCACAAGCACCACTAGTAAGTATTCTTGGGGCAAATGGGAAAAGAGTTAAAGTGCTACTGGCAGGTAAAGAAAAGTGCTAGTGCTTATGCAGCTTTTAGCAGACTCTGTTAAGTAAATTACAACACAGACCTTTAGGAATTAAAGCAAAGCCATGCCATTTTTTTGTGCAGATAACAATCCTCCTTTTTAAAAACATATTTTATCTTGTGACTGGGCTTTAATAGAGACTGATCCTATGAACTTTGGCCATCAAGTTACCATGTGACCTGACCTGCCAATCATGAGCGAGCTGTTATCTCCCCATCATGACATAAGGCTGAGCCTGCACCTCGTCATAAAGTGGAGATGATGTACATGAAATTAGGCTAGAGCAGGCCCAAAAGGCACAAGTAAGTTATCTGAGCCCTGATTACTACTATTTGCCTTCTTTCTCTCATCCCATAGCTATGGCTCACATGGCACTCCCTATGACCAGTTGACTGAAGAAAAAACTCAAGCTTGGTTTTAGATAGATCATCCTGCATACTATACTTTAACTGAAAGAGAACAGCTGTAGCTCTACAGCCCCTTTTTGGGACAGCTCTATAGGACTGTGGTGAAGGGAGTACTGGCCAGTTGGCATGGTCATTGTTTTTGCCTGGAAAGGGACAAACCATGGGCTGTATGGATAACAGTTTGGCTGAAAGGTCAAGGACTTAGAAGGAACATGATTGAAAAATTTTTGACAAGAAGATCTGGGGGAGGAGGTGGAGCACATGACCTCACAAAAGTGAACTAAATGGGGCACCAGGGACCAATCCTGGTGAAACAGAGATATGCGACCTTTCTGACAGAGAATTAAAAATAGCTGTGTTGAGGAAATTTAAAGAAAATAATTAAAAATAATTAAGTAGAAATTCTAGAGCTAAAAATACAATTGGCATATCAAAGAATGCATCAGAGTCCTTTATTAGCAGAATTGATGGAGCAGAAGAAAGAATTAGTGCACTTGAAACAGGCTATTTGAAAACACAGTCAGAGAAGACAAAGGAAAGAAGAATTAAAAAAATAAAGCACACCTACAGGATCTAGAAAACAGTCTCAAAAGGGCAAATCTAAGAGCTATTGGCCTTAAAGAGGAGGTAGAGAAAGAGATAAAGCAGAAAGTTTATACAAAGCAATAATAACAGAGAACTTCCCAAATCTAGAGAAGGATCAATATCCAAGCACAAGAAGGTTATAGAACATCAAGCAGATTTAACTCATGGAAGACTACCTCTAGGCATTGAATAATCAACTCCTAAAGGTCATGGATAAAGAAAAAATTCCTAAAAGCAGCAAGACAAAAGAAAAAATAACATACAATAGAGCTCCAACATGTCTGGCAGCAGCCTTTTCTAAGGTTTCCTTAGAAACCTTAGAGGCCAGGAGAAAGTGGCATGACATATTTAAAGTGCTGAAGGAAAATACCTTTTACCATAGAATAGTATATCCAGTGAAAATACCCTTCAGACATGAAGGAGAAATAAAGACTTTCCCAGACATAAAAAGCCAAGGGATTGCAACAAGAGTGAAACTCCGTCTGAAAAAAAAAAAAAAAGGCTGAGGGATTTCAACACTAGACCTGTCCTACAAGAAATGCTAAAGGATGTACTTCAAATGGAAGAAAAGGACATTAATGAGCAACAAATAATCACTCGAAGGTACAAAACTCATTGATAATAGTTAGCACACAGAAAAACACAGACTATATTAACACTGTAATTGTGGTATGTAAACTACTCTTATCCTAAATAGAAAGACTACATGATGAGCCAATAAAAAATAATAACTACAATAACTTTTCAAGACATAGTACAATAAAATATAAATAGAAACAACAAAAAGTTAAAAAGTAGGACAGTGAAGTTAAAGCGTAGAATTTTCTATTTGTTATCTTTTTGCTTGTTTATCTGTTTATGCAAACAGT